>NC_000018.10:20911206-21536206 GCF_000001405.40 Homo sapiens | reverse complement strand
TTACTGTTCTTTATTTGGCAGGTTGACGAGATTAGAGAGATGGTTGACAATGATTTAGGTTTTCAACAGGCTCCACTAATGTGCTATTCCAGAACTAAAACACTTCTCTTCATTTCCAATGACAAAAAAGTAGTTGGCTGCCTAATTGCGGAACATATCCAATGGGTAAGTGATAAAAGAGTGTTCTTAAGTAATTTGGTGTTTAATGAGTTTACAACGTAATCCCAAATAACATAAATCCTGATAAATTTGTCTCCATTTCATGTAAAGATCAGTTTTAATGCAAGAATTCCCATGTGTGAGTCTTCACCATAGTGGAATAATGGTTATGCATGGGAATTAGTTTCTCAAGTCAGTAAGATAAAAATTCTGTAGAATCAGAATACCATCAGGCTGGGCACACTGGCTCACGCCTATAATCCCAGCACTTTGGGAGGCCAAGGTGGGTGGATCATGAAGTCAGGAGTTTGAGACCAGCCTTGCCAACATTGTGAAAACCTGTTCTCTACTGAAAATACAAAAATTAGCTGAGTGTGGTGGCTCACGCCTGTAATCCCAGCACTTTGGGAGGCCGAAGTGGGAGGATCACAAGGTCAGGAGTTCGAGACCATCCTGGCTAATACGGTGAAACCCTTTCTCTACTGAAAATACAAAAAATGAGCCTGGCATGGTGGCACGTGCCTGTAGTCCCAGCTATTGGGGAGGCTGAGGCAAGAGAATCGCTTGAACCCGGGAGGCAGAGGTTGCAGTGAGCCAAGATTGCGCCACTGCACTCCAGCCTGGGCGACACAAGACTCGGTCTCAAAAAAAAAAAGAAAAAAAAAAATAGCCAGGCGCGGTGGTGTGCACCTGTAATCCCAGCTACTCAGGAGGCTAAGGCAGGAGAATCGCTTGAACCCAGGAGGCAGAGGTTGTAGTGAGCCAAGGTCACGCCATTGCACTCCAGCCTGGGTGACAGAGTGAGACTCCGTCTCAAAAAAAAAAAAAAATCAGAATACTATCAAAGTTTATTTTGGAAGTTTCCATGTTGGATACCAATGTAATGTCTTTCTCAATTAGTCCCTCTAGCACTGGAGTAAGTCAAGGCTAGGCGAACTAGAGTGGGCAAAATCCAGCTTGTTTTTGTAAATAAAATTTTATTGTCGCCCACCAACACCCATTTGGCTTACATATTTATGGCTACTTTTGTACTACAAAGGCAGAGTTGAATAGTTGCAACAGAGACCAGGTGGACTGCAGTGCCTAAAATATTTGCTATCTGTACCTTTATAAAAGGCCCACACCACCAGGCATAGTGGCTCAGACCTGTAATCCCAGCAATTTGAGAGGCTGAGGCGGGCAGATCAGAAGGTCAGGAGTTTGAGACCAGCCTGGCCAACATGGTGAAACCGTGGTCTCTACTAAAAATACAAAAATTAGCCAGATGTGGTGTGTGCCTGTAATCCCAGTTACTCGTGAGGCTGAGGCAGGAGAATTGCTTGAACCTGGGAGGCAGAGGTTGCAGTGAGCTAATATCATGCCACTGAACCCAGCCTGGACAACAGAGCAAGACTCCATCTCAAAAAAAAAAAAAAGGCCCACACCTGGAATAGATCACCACTTCCTTTGTTGAACTCTGAATGAGTAGTTATCTTGTGTTTAGGAGCCAACTTGTACAAAAAACAAACAATGGAATCATGTATGTTTACATTATGAGTGTTACTAGAAACTGCCGAGACCATTCTAAGAGAACAGAAGCTTCTGGACTCCCTAATAATGCTCACTTTGAGGCAGACCTGAATTCTATCTTTTTCCAGCTAAGTGCTTGCTCATGAACTCAGTGTACATTGTGTGTGACTACTGTTCAGATGGTGTCTTTTAGCATATTAACTCATTTATGCCAAAGGTTGCAACAATTTTTTGATTTTTTTGCATGAGTGAAAAATAAGACCTTGGCGATGACCTTGAGCAGTAGGATATAAATAACTCCCACATGCTTAGTGTTCCAGTAATGGAACACTAGGCATAAGTGGGTTAATAGCTGCTTGCACAGATGTATGCTTGATCATAAAATTTTCTAAAAAAGTGAAAAGTCAAAGCAAGTTTGCAGGAGTTTCTCTATATATGTTAAGCTACGTGTTTAAAAAATTCAGCTGGGTGTGGTGGCACCTGTAGTCCCAGCTACTTGGGAGGCTTAGATCGGAGGACTGCTTGAACCCAGGAGTTTGAGGTTGTAGGGTGCTATGTTTGTGTCTGTGAATAGCCACTGCACTCCAGCATGGGCAGCATAGCCAGACTCTTGTCTCTTAAGAAAAAATAATAAATGAGTAAATAAATATTCAGCCTGAAATTATTATATAGTGCTTATGAACCTTGCTATAATAACAAAATTGATTTAAATAAGTAACTGATAGGGTAGTTTGGGGAAATTAATTTGATATAAATTGACTAATTCATAGAAGTTTGCCATACTGAAATTGAATTAATTTTACATAGTGCGAACTATTGTGTTTTTAAGGTTCTATTCCACCTAGATCCATAAATGACTTATAGCGGTGTTTAGACTAGAAGGATAACTATGTAATGTTTGTTAGGGTTGTTTTTGCTGACTCTTAACTGTGTTGTCTGTTTACTTTTAAGTTTTATATCTTGTCCCATCAGAAGGCTAGTCATGGCTGGGCACGGTGGCTCATGCCTGTAATCCAGGAGTTCAAGACCAGCCTGGCCAACATGTTGAAACCCCATCTCTACTAAAAATACAAAACTTAGTCGGGCATGGCGGTGCGTGCCTGTAATCTCAGCTACTTGGGAGGCTGAGGCATGAGAATCTCTTGAACCCAGGAGGCAGAGGTTGCAGTGAGCCGAGATCGCACCACTGTACTCCAGCCTGGGCGACAGAAGAAGCTCTGTCTCAAAGAAAAAACAAAAAAAACAACCAATTGTGTTATTTTTTGGCAGCTAGACTGGCAGAGATATTTTTTATTTTTTATTTTTTTCCCATAAAGCCAGCCACCATAAAAGAGATATATGTTTTTTAAGGTATTTTTTTTTTAAAGAGATTGCAGTGTGATGAAATGGCTTTTTAAATTATTGATTTCTCTGCTATCCCTAGTCTCAGTTCTTGTACAACTGTGAAATCTAGAACTGTGACAGCAATCACAGAAACAGTTACTGCTGTGTTCTTAACATGTACTTTTGCTGGTTCTTGGAGTGCGGGAGGTAGAGAGAACTAATGTTCAGTTCCTATTGGGGGGGCTCCTCATGATGGCAAGGTACTTTGCATATATTACTTGGTTTAATCTCTCAAAATGAGAGATGATGGATATCGCCAGTGAGGAACCCAAAGGTTAGAGAAATTGTAACTTACTTTCATGGTCATACAACTAGTAAGTGAACTGGAACAGAATGCAGATCCAGATTGTCTGTTTCCTAAAAATGAGAGTGAAAGCATAAGTGGCCCCATAGTTTGTTAAGCCAGTCAAATGTCATAACCGCCTCAACCAGATCAGTATTAGTTGCTAATTAATAATCTCACTTAAATTTTTTCCCCATTTTTGACACCTGTAGGGCTACAGAGTTATAGAAGAGAAACTTCCAGTTATCAGGTCAGAAGAAGAAAAAGTCAGATTTGAAAGGCAAAAAGCCTGGTGCTGCTCAACATTACCAGAGCCTGCAATCTGCGGGATCAGTCGAATATGGGTATTCAGCATGATGCGTCGGAAGAAAATTGCTTCTCGCATGATTGAATGCCTAAGGTAACTTGAATGTAATCCTTCAAATCATTTTTAGTAGTTTAGGACTTAGGCAGAGCTTTAGTGTAAAGATTGGCATTTAATTAACATGCGTATAATCTTTATTTGTATTAATTACAAATTTTGCATGAGGTTATCAGTGTATTGGATCTGTAAGTACTTTTTATGAGAATGTAATGTGAGGAGGAAGAAAGCACTATAGGCTAAACACTATTAATATTAAGCTGTTTCGACTTACTTATTTGTAACTATGATGTTAGGCCAAAATAACCTGCCTATTTCAAGTTGTGCTTCATTTTGAAGAATTTTAAATATAACCAAAGAAATGTGGAAAGTTCCTTGGGAGTTCAGCTTTTAGAGAAATTTATCTTAATTCAAGAATATTATTTGTAAACTATCAAAATCTCTTATTAGTTTTTCTTTTATCACTTGACTGTCAGAGATATCAAAGGGACACTCAGAAAAATTGTTTTGTTTTTTGTCCTATAAAGTACCTCTGATAAAGATTAATGAAGGAGGTTAAAATTAATTATTCAAAAGAGGTTTTTAGGTCAGCCAATTTTTTTTTTTTTTTTTTTTTTTGAGATGGAGTCTCATTCTGTTGTTCCGGGCTGGAGTGCAGTGGCGTGATCTCTGCTCACTGCAACCTCTGCCTCCCAGGTTCAAACGATTCTCCCACCTCAGCCTCCCAAGTAGTTGGGATTACAGGCACCCACCACCTCTCGAACTCCTGGTCTCAAGTGATCCACTCGCCTCTGCCTCCCAAAGTGCTGGGATTACAGGCGTGAGCCACTGCATCTGGCCAATTTTTCTATTTTTTGTAGAGATGGGGTTTTGCCATGTTCCCCAGGCTGGTCTCGAACTCCTGGGCTCAAGCAGTTCACCACCCTGGCCTCCCAAAGTGCTGGGATTACAGGTGTGAGCCATCGCGTCTGGCCCTAGGTCTTTAATGTCTTACTGCAGTGTTTAATAGTTTTCAGTGTACAAGTCTTAATGCTTCTTTTGTTACATTTATTCCCAAGTATTTTTTTTCTTTTTTGGAGACAGCATCTCACTTTGTCACCCAGGCTGGAGTGCAGTGGTGCAAACACAGCTCACTTCATCCTCAACATCCTGGGCTCAGGAAATCCTCCTGCCTCAGCCTCCTGAGTAGCTGAGACCATAGCCATGTGCCTGGCAAAAATTTCATTTGTTTTGGTACAGTCGGAGTCTTGCTATGTCGCCTGGGCTGGCCTTGAACTCTTGGGCTTAAGCAATCCTCTCACCTTGGCCTCCCAAAATGCTGGGATTACAGGTGTGAGACACTGTGCCTGGCAAGTATTTAATTTTTTTTGATGTTATTATAAATGGACTTTTTTCCCCCTAAATTTCAGTTTTAGGTTGTTCATTACAAGTGTATAGAAACAGTTTACTTTTGAATATCAATCTTGAATATGCAGCCTTGCCAGACTCGTTTATTAGATTTTTTGTTTGTTTTTGTGAATTTTTTAGGATTTTCTATAAACAAGGCCTTTTCATCTGCAAAAGAGATAGTTTTATTTCTTTCTTTCCAATCTGGATGATTTTTATTTCTTTTCCTCATGACGAGAACCTCCAATACAATATTGAATAGAAGAGGTGAGAGTAGTCTTCTCTTATTCCTGATCTTTGAGGAACAGTTTTCAGTCATTCACCATTAACTCTGATATTCCTTGATGTCTTTGATCAGGTTGAGGAAATATTTCTACTCTTAGTTGAATATTTTTATCATGAAAAGATGTTGGGTAAATGTTTTTACATTGTTGCTTTTATTAAAATTTAACCTCAGGTTATTGATATTATAGATGAATAATTATTTTCAAAAATTTTGAGCACATACAGCAGTATCTAAAAAGCTTTTTTAGTCAAATTGTATTTGACAGGTTATTCCAGTTTTAATGATTAGAATTTTTTTTTTTTTAACATTTCACACTTAACCCTTCCCCCCCCCCATTTTTTTTTAATAGGAGTAACTTTATATATGGCTCATATTTGAGCAAAGAAGAAATTGCTTTCTCAGATCCCACTCCTGATGGAAAGCTGTTTGCAACACAGTACTGTGGCACTGGTCAATTTCTGGTATATAATTTTATTAATGGACAGAATAGCACGTAAAACAAATTCTTGCCTACACCACTAGAAGACATCTATTGAAGAGAATGGATTGGTTGCTGACTTTAACCAGGAACTAGGGCCATTTTTATTACAATGAACTCAGGACTGGCAACAACCATATGGTTGTTCCATTTTCATAAAATTGGAAACAATGCAGTAATAGCTTATTGTTTTGTTTTTTAAAGAAGATATTTTATTATCTTTTACAGAAATTTATGATTGATGTATTTTATCTATAGTTATTTAGACATGTTTACATGCAGCAGATAATTGTTCATAGTGGACTGAAAACTAATGCAAGGACTATGGTCTCAGTGATAAGTATATTTTGAAGTTCTTAATATGGAAATATACCAGTGTAGCTTGGTACTGTATTTTTTTATATTGATCTGCTGATACCAGTGATAGGCTTAAAGATTGTATTTTCACAGAGTGGAAACCAATTTTTTTAGTTATTGTTCAAGGAGGGTGCAATATTAAGTGTTTTGGAATTTGAAGCTAATTTTTAAAAGGCCTGAACTATACTTTGAAGAAACCCCTATAGAAAAGGAAAGCTCCAGCTAAATAGGAAGAATTAGAATATTGAGCTTTTTTTTCCTGATTTTTCTCTTTCCTATCTTTGATGGAAGGAGGAAGTAGAAAGTGGTAAAGAATTGAGGCTTTCCTTCTTGGAGAGCTGTAAATGACAAGCATTAGGAAAGGTACCCTCCTAGATTCATTATTCTTTCATTCTGGTTTCACTTTTAAAATAAATGGCAACTTGGCACACCTAGGCTGTTAACAAATCTCAAAGAGGTTTATAAAAACGTATAGAATACTTGGAAGCAAAGTATGGATGACTCGGTATCTGCTTTGTTATTCCTCAGAAATACTGCACTGAGTATATGCCCTCATTACTGGACTTCATTTTGATACTTGTCTATCCTTCATAGTGCCCTCTACTTTTAAAGGGTTTATATGTTGAAAAACTGCTGTGGCCTTTTATGACCTGTATATAATGTAGAATAAAAATAATAAAATACTTGATAGCTTTTTCTAAGTGACCAATGTACTAACTGAGAATAATGGTGTGTTGTCATTTGTGCTTTTTCAGGGTGTTTTTTTGGTTTGATATCTTGAAATATGATTAAAACATTGGCTTCCTAAAGGCAGTTTCCACCAGTTTGCCAAAGGATCATTGTGTCAGCAGCAAATCAGCTGAACTTTATTTCCAAAGGCAAAATCCTTTCTGATTATTTTAGTAACATAGTACTTTTATGATGTTGCAAATAAATGAAGGGCCCACAGCCCAAGAATGAATTACCACTGTGGTTCAACTTAGGTTATTTTTGTGAGCTGAAATGATCATATCTCAGTTGAAAACTGGCTAAAATTTAGGGCCTTAAATTAACAGGTATACATTTTATTTCCCTATAAATTTTTGCTTTTACAATTTCTAGGCCAGGCGCGGTGGCTCACGCCTATAATCCCAGGACTTTGGAAGGCTGAGGCGGGCGGATCACGAGGTCAGGAGTTCGAGACCAGCCTGACCAATATGGTGAAATCCCGTCTCTACTAAAAATACAAAAATTAGCTGGTTTTGGTGGCATGCACCTGTAATCCCAGCTGCTCAGGAGGCTAAGGCAGGACAATAGCTGGAACCTGGGAGGTGGAGATTGCAGTGAGCAGAGATTGCACCATTGTACTCCAGCCTGAGCAAAAAGAGCAAAAAACTCCACCTCAAAAAAAAATTTTTTTTTCTAGAGTGGTATAAGACTCTACATTTTGTATGGGTAGAATGATAGGGCACGGTAAATATTTCCCCGTGATTCATCAAGCTGGTCTAGCTTTTTTTTTTTTTTTTTTTTTTTTTTGAGACAGAGGCTCACTCTGTCACCCAGGCTGGAGTGCAATGGCATGACCTCAGCTCACTGCAACCTCCACCTCCTAGGCTCAAGCGATTCTCCTGCCTCAGCCTCCAGAGTAGCTGGGATTACAGGCACCTGCCACCACGGCCGGCTAATTTGTTTTTGTATTTTTTAGTAGAAACAGGGTTTCACCACATTGGCCAGGCTGGTCTTGAACTCCTGACCTCACGTGGTCCACCTGCCTCGGCCTCGCAAAGTGCTGAGATTATAGGTGTGAGCCACTGCACCTGGCCCTAGCTTTTGATACTGTCATTTCCCTTTGGGCTTGAGACTGTTCTAGTCAATCCTGGTCTCATTGTTTGCCTGACAGGTACCATGATTTAAAAAAAAAAAAAAAAAACAGAATGAAATTTTGGGATATAGTGTAGACTCTCTAGTAACTGTTAATCCCATAATACAGGTCCAATTTCCATAAACAATAGTATACTACTTTGACTACTTTTGACTTGGTTTCAAGGTGACCTGGAGGTGGAAGAGGGTATATTGGGTGGTTGGTTTATATGTTATTATTACTGAGAAACCAGTTTATTTTCATGTTTATACTGAAGATATAGCCTCCCAAATTTTACAATTTAGGTATTTCTCTAAGAATAGTATTATTAGTTAATACCTAACATTTGAGTGTTTGCTATGTGTCAGACCCTGTGTGTTTAGTCCTGCATTATTTTATGTAATCATTACGACAGTCCTATGAGGTAGGGTTTATAATTGAGGAATCTGGAACTTAGATGATAATTAAGAGCCGTTTGTGTGAAAAGTGTTGAAACACTGAACTAAAGCTGTGATGTGGAGATGAAGACGAGACAGATACACATTGAAAAGATAAAATTGAAGAATTGACACAGTTGAATTGATAGGAATTTATAAACAACCAGAAAAAGATCATGGCAAAGAGGTTAAGGTAAGTGGGAATTTTGGTTTGGGTAATTGAATTAGATTGACAGATGGGAATACAGGGGAATTAGGTTGGGAGGATTGGATGGGGATGTCCTCAGTTTTGGTCAAGATTTTAAGGTGGTTGTAGAAAGAGTCTCTTAAGTGGAGAAACCTTTTAGTATACAATTGGATATGTGAATCTAGAGTTTCAGAAAGGTTCTAACTGAGAAACAAATTTATGAGTTCACTTATTTATTTGAAGGTTCACAAGGTCACCCTGGGGTTTGTAAAATGAGAAGGTAGAAGAGAGTTGTGAGGTACACCATCATTTAAGAGTCTCAAAGAAGACTGCCTAAGAAGGCATGAGCAGCAAGGTAGGAGAGCCAGAAGAGAGTGGTAGAAACCAAGGGAAAAATGTCAAGAATCAAAGAATGATCAACCCTGTCATACCACAGTTGAAGACTGAAGAGAGCCCAAGTGATGTTAGGAAAAGAGCAGTCTCAGTGGAGTGGTGGAGGCAGCAGGGACACGGTGAGTGTACACTAATGGCCACAGACTGTAGAAGAGGGTGAGTCTGTAATTGCTGACTATATAAAGGTGCTTATAGATTTTTTGTTAGCAGCCCTCATGTAGTTGTTGGTTGTTTATAAAAATATCTAGCATAGAGACATGGTAAGAGCCACAAATATAGTCAGGAACTACAAGATTTTATGGGCGATGCTTTTATCTGCATGGACACACAGATAAAAAGCAGTATTTTACTACTTCATAATATGCAAGAGTGAACTTGGTTTATCTACTGAAAGCCTGACTGTTGTAAGGACAGTCAGTGAGTACAACAAACCTGCAGTGTTATTTTAATTGTTCTTGTTTACTTTGCACGGCTGCCCAGCTATAGAGTCTTATCCTTCTGGATGGGAACACAGCTGTATTCCTGCCCATCCACATTGCAGCTAGGGTTGAGATTGCTGAGTGAGTTGATTTCTAGGGTAGTGACTCTAGACATACATTTTCTTTCTCATGGCTCCTGAGTCTTTAGGCAGAAAAAGGGATGAGTTCTGTCTTTTAGCAACCCCCCACCCCCACCCTTCTGGTAAAAATAAAATACACTGGACTAGTAAAAATAAAATATGTGGAATGAAGTGGTCAGAAAAGAACTTACTGGTGTTGCCTTTTTTTTTTTTTTTTAACTTAATACCATCATCTATTGTCATAGTCACTGAAGTAGATGCTTTAACTCAACAACACTTGATAGTTGAGAGCACAGTGAATTTATTATGTGAATGACTTTTTCTTTGGCCTTAGCGGCAATTCCTAAAGTCATCTTTAGCAGTATTTTTACTGTTGTTGTTTTGTTTTCAGTGAAGCCAAGGTTTCAGTGTTAGAGTAGTATTCTCCTAGACTCAGAGGAAGCTTTAAGGGCCAATTTCCAGTTTCTGTGTCTAAAGAGAAGCTTGATAAATGTTCGTTCTCTGGATGTTGTTTCAGGCCTAAGTAGTTTAGTGTGATGTTGCAGCAGTCAGTTTCACAGTTAATTAATAGTCTTTTCAAGGCAGCTGCTTTGGAATGTATAGTGGAACACCAGTAGTCTTTACTTTCCTCTGAAAGTCTGTCATTACACTTACAAATATTTATTGCCCTTCCTGAGGGTCCTTTGGCCTAGAAGATTGTTTTCATGGAATCTATGTCAAATTCTTTTAATTTACTACACTTTATTAATAGATTGAAAGCCATTTTTCTGGGACAACAAAGTTGTTATTCTCAAAAGTTGGTAAAATTTTTTAAGAAGATATAATTCATACTACAATAACAGCATCTTCATACTACATAGTTCTAGCAACTTTGAGACACTCTCAAAAAGTTTGAGAAGTTTTAACTGGAGATTAACAATAACAAACACCTTGTATTAGTTTTAGCAACCCAAAGTTGTTCTGTTTCCAGAAGGACATCAAAGTGAGTGTAGTTGCAATCTGTCAAATAAAAGATTGGTATCTACTATGTATGTTTTCAACACCTCTTTAATCTTGGTTGTCCAACCTATAATGTGACTGACTTCCAGCCTTTTTAGGACATTGCCAGAGTCAGGGAGCTTGTTTTCTTAACAAACATGCCAGAAAACTATAAAGAAAAAATAACTTTTTGGAGGGGGTGGGAGATAACTTTAATACATTAAGCAAATTAAATCAAAGGACAAAAATATAACAGTAGACACAAGACAATTTTGAATCATTAACAAAATGTGAGGTAGACTAGTGAAATTCACCAAATTTTGGTTAAGAACATTTTACAGTAATAACACGGGTGCCCCATTTTCTAAAAATCACAAAAAGCAATTGCATAAATTACAGCCAAAAAAAATTATAACAATTGTCTTCTAGTTTTTCGTTTACATTCAGTATTAACCTGTGTGAACTGTCATACATGCTGAGGTTCAGCAGGTCTACAGGTGAGTTACTGTGTGGGCCTAGCGAATCCATTCATCCCACATCAGTGTCCTAAGGGATTGCAAAGCTTAAAGCTGAACACACTAGGATATATATATATATACACACAAATCATGGTGTCCTGTGCTTGTGCAATTTTATCCTTAAAGAAGGACCTAACATACTCAAGAATTATACTGATGATAAGATGATTTTAAAAGATCCAAACATTAGTAAGATAGGCTTTGAAAAGAATAGGCAGATCAATTTCTCCATTATAGGGGTGATGGTCTTTTGGCTTTATTCTGGCATATCTCTTCCAGAGTTAAATAGTATTTAAGAGCTCATAATAATAATTTGAATTTTCAGAGTGCAGCCCTAACTAATGGAGTACCTGCATCTGATGTAACTACTTAAAAAAAAAGTTCTTTAAACTATGAAGTCATAAAGCCAGAAGAAACCCTGAGAGGCCATCCACCCCAGGTACAATTGTTTCAGAATTCTTTCAAGTATTTTATTTGCCCTATGTAAATGTTATTGGAATATTGCACAGACAGTGGGTTTCTTGGTATTATTTGCATTAGGCCCTTTCAACAAAACAGGAACAAGTGAAATACATTCATATTTAAACCAAATTGCTTCAAAACATACCTCTTTACCAAAAATTCTGCTGTACTAAAATTAAGGAGTATTTTTTAAAGCATATATAAGGCAGGTCCTCTTTGAAGGACAATTAAAAATGGGGTTAAAAGGAATTGTTCACTTCAAAATACAGTTAAAGCATTATAAGTAGCTATATTAAAACCAAGAGATCTGCAAACCATTTTTAGTCTAATACATTCCATTTTTTCACTAGCTTTGTAAACTCCTTGTTGTCATAAGATAATAAAGCTGGTCAATTAACACTATTTGTTCTAAGTAAATGCAGGCTTAGTAGGCCCCTCAGTAGTTTCAGGTCACAAACAAGATTGATTCAAGTAAAAATGGCCATTTTAAGTGGGGATAAAGTAGTAAATATGGGCTAATGAGAAAACTCTCAAGAGATTGTTCAATGATGAGAACTGGAGTAATTTAAGAGTAAACTTCTAAGACTTAGTTTTATCTAGAACACTTTCTAAAAATAATGTTTTTGATTAAAATATTTGAGAAATCTGTAGAAACATATGCCTCCCATTGCCGATACTGGACAAACACCCCCTGCTGATTTTAATGAATCAAAAAGACTCTTAATGGAGTCTTCCTTACTCCTCACAAGAGTCACTGGTAAGATTAAGTAAAAAAACATTTCTCTTTCTATGGCTCAATTTCCCAATTCGGCAATTTCTGTGGCGTTGTCAGTGTAAGGTGGTAATATTTAGTGCATCTTTTAAAGGAAGCTTTGCTTGAGTCCCTGAAAGGAAACAAACTAGTTTCACTCTGCAACAGAACCTCAGCCTGACATTTAGGTTTGCTGGTGCCAACTGCTTAATTCCAACCAAACGGTGGGTGCAGGTTACCTGCTGAAAGCTTCTTAACTGACTTAAGTTCTTGCAAAAGATTAATCACTGTTCCATAGTCTCATAGATAAGATATTCTTAAAGACTGGAAACACATTTAAAGAGTGGGTAAAGCAAAGGAATTAGGCTAGGAGAAGATGCATAAATGCACACAATGCCTGCTCTGCATTTACTGATTTGTTTGTTCAGTTTAAATAGTAAACTTCTAACTCCTGTGGAAATTTTGCCAAAAGTTTCAATACATAGAAGATTATAAATCTTAAACTAACACTGCACAGAGAAAGACAAAGCTACTTCTTTTTTTAAATACAAATATCGTCTACATTCTATCATTTCAAACCCCTGAGTAATACTGTACCAAAGTACAGATCTGAAGAGAAACTGAGGGTTCAGGCCTCAAACGTTAATCTTCAATTGATTCCACACCAATGGCATGAGTCTCATGTAACACATTCAGGCTAGTTAATCCTGACAGTCAGTTTCCCCCTAACATAGTAATAGAAAAAAATAATGCAAACTCCATATTCACTCTCCAAAGTATATCCTCCTCAGGATCCCATGGGCAGACCGTATCTTAAGTAATTGCATAACTGCCTAGGATAGAGTTTACCTGAATTTAAGGGTCCTGTAATTGGAACTGAAGGAAAGTGATGTCCCCAAAGACCTGGATCAGATTTGGGGAGTTCTTTGGAGAATTTAGACAAATATGTTGCACTTTGCTCCACAGTGATTGTACTTTAAAGGAAAAAGAAAAATCCCAAATTGTTTCTGTCCCATCCCACCTAGGCATCTTTTTGCTGTTTTGGTCTCTTCAAAAGCTCATACATGACGTCCAGTAAGAAAGTAGAGAGGCTTGTCATCACTGCTGTTAGCAGTTTGAAACTCGTCCCGGAGGCGGAACTGCCACTCATCTTCTAGCTCTAAGCGGACAATTGTTTGGCGCAAGGAACTTCTGTCTTGGCAGATGACACACAGTGTAGCACCTTCAGGAAAAAAGACAGAAATATGTCCTAGGCTCAGGGATTGAATTTATAAAGAACTTTATCTCTGATTATATTTCCTAAGCTAACACATCTGAGAACCAACAGATGGATAAGCAATCTATCAGAATTGTTTTATTTTATTAAGTAGTTTTGCAAATTCAGTAATTTTTTTTGTTTCTTTTTTTGAGACGGAGTCTTGCTCTGTCTCCAGGCTGGAGTGCAGTGGTGCGATCTCGGTTCACTGCAACCTCTGCCTCCTGGGTTCAAGCAATTCCCCTGCGTTAGCCTCCCAAGTAGCTGAGACTACAGGTGTCTGCCACCAGGCCCAGCTAATTTTTTTTTGTATTTTAGTAGAGATGGGGTTTCATCATGTTGGCCAGGATGGTCTCGATCTCCTGACCTCGTGATCCACCTGCCTCGGCCTTCCAAGGTGCTGGGATTACAGGTGTGAGCCACTGCGCCCAGCCCAAATTCAGTAATTTTTAAGAGTATAAAGTAAGTAATCTTCCAACCACATTCCCTCTTCCCTGTGATAACTAATGTTATGTTTCTCATGTGTTCCTCCTAGATTAGGGTTTCTGAACCTCAGCACTATTGGACTTGGATAATTCTTTGTTGTGGGGGCTATTCTGTGTCTTACCTTTTTTTTTTTTGGAGACGGAGTCTTCCTCTGTTGCCCAGGCTGGAGTGCAGTAGTGCAATCTTGGCTCACTGCAACCTCCGCCTCCTGGGTTCAAGCAATTCTCCTGTCTCAGCCTCCCAGGTGGCTGGGACTACAGGTGCACGCCACCACTCCCAGCTAATTTTTTGTATTTTAGTAGAGACGGAGTTTCACAGTGTTGCCCAGGCTGGTCTCAAACTCCTGAGCTCAGCCAATCCACCCACCTTGGCCTCCCAAAGTGCTGGGATTACAGGCGTGAGCCATCACACCTAGCCTTGTTCTGTGTCTTGTAGGATGTTTGGAATCTAAACATCCTGCAGTCTTGGCTTCTGCCCACTATATGCCAGCAAGCAGCAGCCTCCAGTGCGACAATCAGAAGTGTCTCTGTCTCCTGGGAGGCAAAATCTACCACTCCCCCATCCCCAATAAGTCTCTAAATAAATAAATAAATAAATAAGTGAATGAATGAATGCACAGTCCCCGCACAACCCCTCTCCCTGTTCTCATGCTGCACAGCGTTCTGAACCTCACTTTCTTCACTGATCTCAAAGGTCATTTTATAAGGATTATCTGTGATGTTTAATCTTAGTTTGTTCTTAGGCCAGTCTCTCTTTTTTTTTTTTTTGAGATGGAGTTTCACTGTTGTTGCCCAGGCTGGAGTGCAATGGCGTGATCTTGGCTCACTGCAACCTCTGCCTTCCGGGTTTAAGCGATTCTCCCGCCTCAGCCTCCCGAGTAGCTGGGATTACAGGAGCCACCACGCCCGGCTGATTTTGTATTTATTTATTTACTTTTTTTTTGAGACGGAGTCTTGCTCTGTTGCCCAGGCTGGAGTGCAGTGGCGTGATCTCAGCTCACTACAAGCTCCGCCTCCCAGGTTCACGCCATTCTCCTGCCTCAGCCTCCCCAGTAGCTGGGACTACAGGTGCACACCACCATGCCTGGCTAATTTTTGTTGTATTTTTTAGTAGAGACGGTTTCACCATGCTAGCCAGGATGGTCTCGATCTCCTGACCTCGTGATCCACCCGCCTCGGCCTCCCAAAGTGCTGAGATTACAGGCGTTGAGCCACTGCGCCTGGCCTCAAGTGCTTTTTAAAAATATCTTTATCTTCTGTATTTTGCTCAGTGGGAACCAATAGCAATTACAAGCAAGATACTAAATTTGACTTACCTTTTAGAAATTTAAATTTCTTAAGATCAGCACCTACAAAAGAGTCACAGAGGTACAAAAGGAGTCCACTGAAAAACACCCCTTCACAGTTGACATTGCTGGAGTGGGGTCTGGAGCTGATATAGCATATGGCCACCTGAAATCATCAAGCAAAAATAGCATGGGCATTTCAAGAGCAAGCAAAATATCTGCAGTTCAGCAGAATGACTCAGTACCTTCCTTTTTCTCTATTTCAGGATAAGGTAAAGGAGATGAGTTTTTTCCAATATTAACTTAAATGGCTTGGTTAGTTAAGCTTTGCAGCCTCCTTTATGTAGCGTGCCAAGTGTTAACCTGTTTAAAGCTTCTCTTATTTATGTTTCATAATAAAGGACTATTAGGAGACAAATTAGTAGTAAGAAACAAGCCCTTCCATTTAAGAGTCTTTATCAAATTTAAAAAACTACCTTCCACAAAAAAGCATACTTAGGAAAGATTAAATGTTTGGATTGCCTTATTGGTGAGAATAAAAAATATTTTTGATCAGCTTTCCATTTAGATATACTTAAATTTTCAATTGGATAGAAGCTTAAGACAGTGCATGGGCTGGGTGCGGTGGCTCACGCCTGTAATCCCAGCCCTTTGAGAGGCCGAGGTGGATGGATCATCTGAGGTCAGGAGTTGGAGAGCAGTCTGGCCAACGTGGCAAAATTCCATCTCTAGTAAAAAATACAAAAAAAATTAGCCAGGCGTGATGGTGTGCACCTGTAATCCCAGCTACTCAGGAGACGGAGGCAGGAGAATCGCTTGAACCCTGGAGGTGGAGGTTGCACTGAGCCGAGGTTGCACTGAGCCGAGATTGCACCATTGCACTCCAGCCAGGGTGACAAGAGTGAAACTCCATCTCAAAAAAAAAAAAAAGACAGTGCATGAATTTAAATTTTTGGTTCTATCTGGCTTCTGTGAACAGATGATAACTGCAAAAATTACGGAGAAGTAAGTAAGATAGTTGGGAGTTAAAACAGTGGAATGGCTAAATGCATGAGCCAGTCTGCTTGGGTTCAAATACTGGTTCCTCCATTTAGTAGCCATGGAACAATGAACAGTCTCCTTCATTTCACTATACCTCAGTTTCCTCATCTGTAGAGATAACAATAGTACTTGTTTCATAGGATGTTTTCTGAATTAAATAACTTAGTATTCAGTAAATGTTAGCTGTTGTTAAGTATTGAGATTGTGTTAATACGTAGAGCCCTGGACTCTAGGATAGGGGAATTGGAATATCTGGGTCAGACATGTAAATTACATACATCTTTTACAGTACTTACATAAATACTGTAAAAGATGTTATTAGATCTCGTGGGTGTGGGTTTGTTTTGTTTTTTTTGAGATGGGGTCTCTGTCACTTAGGCTGTAATGCAGTGGCACAAATCAGATCACTGCAACCTTGAACTCCTGGGGTCACGTGATCTTCCCACCTCAGCCTTTTGAATAGCTGGGACTACAGGCGTGCGCCATCACACCTGGCTAATTATTTTTATTTTTTGTAGTGACAGGGTGTTACCATGTTGTCCAGGCTGGTCTCGAACTCCTGGCCTCAAGTGATCCTCCCACCTCAGCCTCCCAAAATGCTGGGTTATAGGCACGAGCTTCTATGCCTGGCCTTTATATCTGATGGTTTTTAAGGTTCCTTCTACTTCTAAAATTCTATAATTCATTACCCAATCTACAGTGTAGATTACTGAAACATAAAAATGGGAATGTAAAATGTTTACACTGTGAAATTTTAAAAATTAGTTTCCAAAACTGAATACAGTGACTTTAGCGTTAAAAGAGTACGTGTATGGATATGTGTGTTTTTTTCAATACATACAAAGAAAAAGCCCTGGAAGGAAATGTAGTACACCAAAATATTCTTCTGGCAGGTGACTTTACTTTCTTATGATTTTAAAACATTTTTTACAAGGAGGATGTAGTACAGTAATCATTTCTAAAGGGACAGCTTAGTAGTAGGAGCCTGGAGGTGCAAGTGGCAGTTTAAAAAAAACTAAAATGTGAAAAATTTTAGAAAGAAGTCCAAGGGGTGGGAAGTGGAGAAATGCCACCTCTAAAGGCTTCAGGTGATACACATTTATTTGTTCGGTAATCACTGAGCTCCTCTTACGTATGTCTAAAACAATGCCTAAGACATTGTATGTCTTTGAAGAACTCACACTTTTATGAAGAAAAACCCACATAATTACAGTATAATCTGATGAATGTTAAGAGAAGTGGGAACAAGCAACTGCTGCCCAAAGTCACCGAGGTAGGCTTCTTAGAGGAGCTGACAGCTGAGTTGTATATTCTCTGGCTCATTTGTGGAGATAAAATAGGCATGGGGAGGGCAAACTGCCATTGCATGTTGTGTGAACCTTTGCATAAGTGAGTATGCAAAAGGGTAGAAATACAAGTTTTGATCTGTATTACTATCTTTAATAAAAGTTCTGGCAAAGGACCAGACTGGCATCTTGATTGATATTTCATGTCACAGGCTCCTTTTTTGTAAACAGCTAAAATGAGAAAGAAATGGATGGATGTAGGTAAGCACAGTATCCCCCACACCCTTTTTACCTCTGGTCCAATGTTAAGGTAGCAGTCAATGGCCAGCACAGGACTCCTGAAGTTATGGATGGCTTTGGGGAAGAGTTTATATGAGGCGTGCTGAAGGAATTTCTCCAGGAGAAACTGTGCAGGGGCTGCCAGTAGTGTGTGTTCACTGTCGGGAGCACAGATGTATTGAAGGGGCAAGATGGGTGCTAAGCTCTCTGACACCTGAAATCAGAGGCGAGATGATCATGGGAAACTTGTCTGTCACTGGATTAAACAGGTGAGGAAACACTGAAGTGTATCCTAACAGTCGCCAAATAATAGCAGTAGCACAGTGAGGGGTGCTAGGTTCAAATGTATGTTAGTAAAGGGTCCTGAAAATTTTTTTCTCTTGGGAATAGTAAAATAGGATTTAATGTAAGTTACACACAGCGAGGGCAGAAGAAAGCAGGCTTCTCTGAAAGTTACCACATTTAACAGGTACACTGTGAGATCCAATCGGAAGCCTTTTACAGTGTGTGTGGGTTAAATCCTATCTCATCCTAACTCTACCCCACAACCCCACCAAAAAAATGGCAAAGAGGTTTCTAAGCTCCACTGGTAGCCCCCATGCTGTGAATTACTACATTCAGTAGATTTCTTAGAAAAGGGTAGTAATACAGGTTTTGATCTTTATTACTATCTTTTAAGAAACTTCTAGCAAAGGATCAGACTGGCATCTTGATTTATATTTCTCTCATGTATTACATAAAGAATGTAAAAATGTGGTGGTGCGTGGTGGCTGAGGCAGGAGAATCGCTTGAACCCGGGAGGCAGAGGTTGCAGCGAGCTGGGATCATGCCACTGCAGTCCAGCCTGGGCAACAGAGCGAGACTCTGTCTCAAAAAAAGAAGGTAAAAATGTAAAGTTTGCCATCTTGAAACTAAAGCCTTGAAGGATGTGTTAAGGCTTAAATCCAAAGAAACTTAGATTTAAGGCTGACATCTAAAGTAATTTTGTTGGATTGTCAAAACAAATGTTTTGGCTCTAGATGAGTCTCAGTAACAGAAATGAGATTGAAAATTTGACATTAAGAACTCCCTAATGGCCGGATGCGGTGGCTCATGCCTGTAATCCCAGCACTTTGGGAGGCCAAGGCGGGTGGATCACTTGAGGTCAGGAGTTCAAGACCAGCCTGGCCAACATGGTGAAACCCCATCTCTACTAAAAATATAAAAATTATCCAAGCGTGGTGGCACGGACCTCTAATCCCAGCTACTTGGGAGGCTGAGGTACAAGAATCGCTTGAACCCAGGAGGCAGAGCTTGCAGTGAGCCGTGATCACGCCACTGCTCTCCATCCAGCCTAGGGGACAGACTGTCTCAAAAAAAAAAAAAAAAAACTCCCTTGTGTTATTTCACTTTTCTAATAAAATAGAAAGTGCTTAATGCCAACATCTAATAACAAAGATAGTCATTATCATTGTGCTTATTTTCAGCACTTGAATCAAGCTTGCGGTACTCACCATGATCTTTGGTTTAATGATAAAGTCCCTTTGCCCTCCAACCTGAACATGTTTCTTCATGAGACTGAAGTTATTAAAGCGGCAGATGAGCAGGCCACTACTGTTTGTTCTCAGATTAAAGTCAGCATCTTCACAGAAATACCTAAATTGTAACCACAACAATAGTTTTCTTCCGCTGGCATATCTCAACCATGATAACTATACACAGAGAAATAAATGTGTGGCAAGATATTAGGAGCCTAAAATAATCAACCATGCTTTTGTGGAGCTGGCCCTCGTAACACTGACCTGGAAAAACTCTGATTTGGGCATTACAGCCTTTCAAGGAAGGGGAAAGTGAGATTATTTTTGTCCCAGCTATGTCACAGGTTTTAGGTATCCCTATGCAAAAACAGGACTATATTCCTATTTGATACACTCCGGCAAAACAGGAATGCAGAGGTGCTCCCAGTTTTAAATTTCTGGCTACAAGCAGGATGAAGCCTCTGTCAAATTTAAAACAGGAGTGAAAGCAGCAGCTATTCTATAACCGTAAGTTTGGCATAAGGACTTTATGGTTCCTGCCTTCTTGCTTGGCCCTCTCAGGTTTTGTAGGAACCTGGACATAATTTATTTGGGAGGCAAGGCCATGGCTACCCTGCTCATCCCCATCTGCTGCCTTTTCCCTACAGTAGGATTTCCCTGAATCCTACTAACATTCAGGAAAATTGATTTCCTTCTGAGTCTGGAGGGTGAAGGAGGGCTTAGTCTAACATTCAGGAAAAGTGATTTCCTTCTGAGTCTGGAGGGTGAAGGAGGCTTAATCTTAGATGTTTGTGGGTCCACACACTGACTTGAGTCAGTAGTTTTTGTGTCTTGAGTTCTTGTTGAATAATGAGATGGCTAAAGTGTTTTCTCTAAGCATTTCACATTGTAACCCCTGTTAAGGTCTAGGTCAGTTTGCTGATAAAGGGGCACACTTTGGGGCTTGTGATCCCCCTTTCTCCTTGCCCACATAAAGAGTCAGCTTCTCAACTGAAGACATACGAATAAAAGCATTACAGAGGCTAGAGCTGGGCAGAAGCAATCAGTAGATGCCAGGATTACCTGCATCCATGAGGCCTGACTTACCTGTTGAAGTCATACTGCACATTCTGAGTCAAGTCTGTGTTGAGGAGAATGAAATCATGCACGTGACACCTAGAGAATGGGGCCTTTAGGCTCTGAGAAGTCAGCTTGCTGCTCCATTTCTGTATGCCCAAGATTGCATAGTGGACAATTTTTGGTGTGGCTTCAATGTGCTGCAAGACAGTCTTCAAGGACACATTCTTACTGGAAACTCCTACTTCCATGGGCTGGCTATGAAATATAGTTTATATAAGATGTTGATAAATATTACAGAAGAGAGGATCATTTGTGAAGTGTCTACACACTACTATATACCAGTAATACTCTCAAGGATAAAATTAACTGATTTACTTCGTATTAGCAAATGGAGAAGAATGTCAAGCCCAGTTTTCACACTGCCTGTCACTATTATAAAGAAACTGCCTTTTGGGGTGGGGCTTATCACTTTCGGGCAAAGAAAGAAATCCGGCCTGTGTCAGAGTGAACAGTGAATAAAGAGTTGCCAAAGAAGAGGTAGCCGGAGGTTGGAAGCATAGAGGTATCCTTCCCAGTTCTGGTAATTGTGTATAATAAGGAATATTTGAAAATTTCACTGGCTTCAAATCCAAAATAGGAACAAGGACACAAAATCACAGTGTTTGAGCTGGGAGGGGCTTAAAGGTCAGCTGGCACAGTGTTGCAATGGGAGTGCTATTGAATTTTGGGGGTTTATTGTGTCGGACTTCTTAAAATGTTTGGCATTCTCTGGTCCTCACAGATGCCCCGACCAGCACCCCCTAGCAATGTGAGGGGGCACTACCCCAGGAAGAGAACCACTGATTTTGGCCCAGGCGTAATTTTACAGGTGATGGACTTGAGATATGGAGAGGTGAGATGACTTTCCTTTTTCATACAGACAGTTAAGAAGCATGACTGCGTGTGGTGGCTCACACTTGGTAATCCCAACACTTTGGGAGGCCAAGGCAGGAGGACTGCTTGAGCCCAGGAGTTCAACACCAGACTGGGCAACATCTCTACAAAAAATTATAAACAAAAAACAGAGTTGGGGCTAAAACCAGGTCTCCTGATTTGAGATGTCAGCAGTCTTTCTCCATAAATCATAGTGTCTCAACAGACTTTATTTTTGTTTTTTTGAGACAGAGTCTCGCTCTGTCACCCAGGTTGGAGTGCAGTGGCACAATCTCAGCTCACTGCAACATCTGCCTCTTGGGTTCAAGTGATTCTCTTGCCTCAGCCTCTCAAGTAGCTGGGACTGCAGGCATGCGCCACCACGCTCAGCTAATTTTTGTATTTTTAGCAGACAGGATTTCACCATGTTGGCCAGGCTGGTCTAGAACTCCTGGCCTTAAATGATCAGCCCGCCTTGGCCTCTCAAAGTGCTGGAATTACAGGCATGAGCCACTGTGCCTGGCCGCAGTAGACTTTAATAGCTAACCAACGCTGTGATCCCAGAATGGTCCAGGAATTTAATGGGCTACTGAATGTCTAAATAAAAGATTCCTAAGTCACCACAAAATGTTCTAGTGAGGGTGGTCTCATGGTTGACTGTTTTGCTCTGGAAAGCTGTCTCTCTCTTTCTTACTTCCGTATGTAACTGTAGTCAAGAAATGTATTGTCCTGTCTATAGCATTGTGTCATACGCCCCCAGCTTGGAAGTCTACCTGGATGGCTCCTGAACACTGTGAATGTTCCATAGGACACATGAGTCATCCATCATGACGATGAAAGGCCAGACACACTGGCGTTTAATGCCTAGCTCCTCCAGGCGGTTTCTCTCCAATTCTAGGTTGTGATATGATAGCTCCTTGATGAGGAACCTGGCAGCACCTGGAAGGCAACATAACCACATCTGCATATCCACACATCCTTCACTCAGGCTTGGCTGAAGCCCCACAGGCAGCTATATTCTCTCCACAGAATGCCTGTTCACATGGGAACCATGCAGGTGGGAGCCAACCAAATGTTCAGAGCAGTGGCTCTCAAACCAGTGTTACTGGGAATCACTTTTAAATGTAGATTCTTAAGAGTCCATTACTAGAGCTGCATTTGAGTCGGTATGGTGTAAGGGCCAGAAACCAGAGATATCTTTGAGGATGCAAATGGTATGAACCACACTTTGAAAGTATTGCAAGAATCCAGTTTCCCTCACAGGACAAAGGAATCCACATCTAGGAAATGCTGTTACTGTTTACTTCCTTGAAGCATGACAAGAGGCTCTCTCAGACTTGGAAGCAGCCACTCACATGTCCTGTACTAGGGAGTTAACTGGGCTGCAGTGAGTGGGTATGCCAATTCCACTGATATGTCCCCTGCTTTAGATACTTCAAGGAAACTGACGGCAGCTTCTTTGAAGAAGACAACTCTGGAAACTGGCACCCTTTCCCTAGATCTGCCTTTTGCAAGAGGCAATATGGTATAGAGATTAAGAGAAGAGACAGGAGCCAAACTGTCTGATTTTGAATCCTAATTCCACCACTTTCTAGCCATGTGACCCTGAACAAATTAAACCCATTGTGCCTTGGCTTCCCCACCTCTAAGAAGACAATAATAATGCCGATCTCATAGGGTTGCTGTATGATGCTCAGGATAGCGCCTAGTACCCTCTAAGTACTCGGTGAATGTTAGTGATTATCAAGATGATAGTCAGTAATCAGCCAAATTTTATGAGTGGGCCATCGTAAAATGAAACAAAACGTAGGTGATAAATGAAAGAAAAGCTATTAAATCTATGGAAGAACCAGAAGCAGTGTGAACAGATCAAGGGTAAAACTGGGATTTAGGAAAATCTACCTTCCAAGAACGTGTGTGTAATAGTTTGCATTCTCAACATAATAAAGGCCATATATGAAAAGCCCACAGCTAACATCATCATAGTCAATGGTGAAAGACTGAAAGCTTTTCCAAAACTGAGATCATGAACAAGACAAGGATGCCACTTTTACCATTTCTATTTAACATAATACTGGAAGTCACGGCCAGAGAAATTAAGGAAAAAATAAATAAATAAAAGGCAACCAAAGAGGAAGGAAGTAAAATTATCTCTGTTCTCAGGCAACATATACATAGAAAACTAAAAATTCCACCAAAAATCCCCTTTAGAATGAATATGTGAATCCAGCAAAGATGCAGATGCAAAATCAACACCAAAATCAGTTGCATTTCTATACCTCAACTGTGAACAATCTAAAGGAAATCAAGAGTTCCATTTACAATAGCATCAAAAAGAAAGACTTAGGAATCAACTAAGGAGGCAAAAGACTTGTACAGTGAAAAGTACAAAGCATTGATGAAGGAAATTAAGGAAGACACCAATAAATGGAAAGACATCCTGTGTTTATGGATTGGAAGACTTGATATTAGATATCAGTGCTACCCAAAGTGATCCATAGCCTTAATGCAGTCCCTATCAAAATCCCAAAGACTTTGCAGAAATAGAAAAATCTATCCTGCGATTCATCCAGTATCTCAGGGGACCCCAAATAGCCAAAACAATCTTGAAAGAGAGGCAAAGTTAGAGATCTCACACTTCCTGATTTCAGAACTTACTACAAAGCTATAGTAATGAAAACAGTGTGGTAGTTTTGATCTGGGCCTATAGAAAGCCCAGAAATAAACCCTCTCATATATGGTCAAATGATTTTTGACAAGGGTGCCAAAGCCATTCAGTGGGTAACAGATGGTCTTGTCAACAAACACAGTTGGGGGCTGGGCACGATGTCTCACACCTGTAATCTCAGCATTTTTGGGAGACTGAGGTAGGAGGATCACTTGAGGCCAGCAGTTTGAGAGCAGCCTGAGCAACACAGACCCATGTCTCTACAAAAAATTTAAAAATTAGCTAGGCATGGTGGCATACGCCTATAGTCCTAGCCACTCAGGAGGCTGAGGTGGGAGGATTGCTTGAGCTCAGAACTTGGAGGCTACAGTGAGCTATGGTCGTACCACTGCACACTCTAGCTTGGGTGACAGAGCAAGACCCTGTCTTAAAGAAAAATGGTGCTGGGAAAACCTGATAGTCACATGCAAAAGAATGAAGTTGGACCCTTACCTTAGACCCTACACAAAAATTAACTCAAAATGGATCAAAGACCTAGACATAAAAGCTAAAACTATAAATCATTTAGGAGAAAACATAGGGGAAGGCCTTGTGACATTGAATTTGGCAGTGATCTCTTACATATGATATCAAAAACAAAAGCTAAGAAAAAATAGACAAACTGGACTTCATCAAATAATAGAGTAAAAGGCAATCCATGGAATGGGAGAAAAATTTTTTTTTTTTTGAGACGGAGTTTCACTCTTGTTGCCCAGGCTGGAGTGCAGCGGTACGATCTCAGCTTACCGCAACCTCCACCTCCCCGGTTCAAGTGATTCTCCTGCCTCAGCCTCTTGAGTAGCTGGAATTACAGGCAAGTGCCACCATGCCAGGCTAATTTTGTATTTTTAGTAGAGACGGGGTTGGTCAGGCTGATCTTGAACTTCCTATTTCAGGTGATCTGCCCGCCTCGGCCTCCCAGAGTGCTGGGATTACAGGTGTGAGCCACTGTACCCGGCCGGGAGAAAATCTTTACCAAGAGTGTATCTGATAAGGCATTAATACCCAGAATATATTTTTTAAAAACTGCTACAACTCAACAACAACAAAATAATTCAGTTGATTTTTCAACAAAGGACTTTGGAGACAAGTCTTCAAAGAAGATATACAGATGGCTAACAAGCACACAAAAAGATGTTCAATATTACTAATCATTAGGGGAATGCAAAACAAAATCACAATGCAAAACACCTCAAAAAAAAAAAGTGTTGGTGAGGATGTGAAGAAATTAGAATCCCTGTGCACTGTTGGTGGGAAGGTAAAATGGTGCAAGCCACTATGGAAAACAGTATGGTGATTCTTCAGAAAGTTAAAAATAGAATTGCCACATGATCTAGCAATCTCGCTTCTAGATACATACCCAGAAGAGTTGAAATAAGGGTCTGAGATATTTGTATACCTGTGTTCATAAAAGCATGATGCACAACAGCCATAAGGTGGGAGCAGCCCAAGTGTCCACTGACGGATGAATGGATAAACAAAATGTAGTAGATACATAAAATGGAATATTATTCAGCCTTTAAGAAGGAAAGGAATTCTAACACATGCTACAACATGGATGAACCTTGAGGACATGCTAAGTGAGATAAGCCAGTCAGTCACTAAAGGACAAATACTGTATCATTCCACTGATATGAGGCACTTAGAGAAAGTAGAATGGTGGCTGCCAGACGCTGAGGGGAGGGAGGGAATGGGGAGTTGTTTAATGGGTATAGAGTTTCTGTTTCACAAGGTGAAAAGAGTTCTGGAAATCAGTCTTAAAACAATGTGAATGTACTTAACACTTCTGAACTTTAACACTTTAGAAGTATTAAAGCAGTACTTTTTTTTTTTTTTTTTGGAGACAGTTTCACTGTTGTCACGCAGGCTGGTGTGCAGTGGCATGATCTTGGCTCACTGCCGCCACCAGCTCCCGGGTTCAAGTGATTCTCCTGCCTCAGACTCCTGAGTAGCTGGTATTACAGGCGCACACCACCACACCCAGCTAATTTTTTTTTTTGTATTTTTAGTAGAGATGGGGTTTCACCATGTTGGCCAGGCTGGTCTCAAAACTCCTGACCTCAGATGATCCACCCACCTCAGCCTCCCAAAGTGCTGGGATTACAGGCGTAAGCTACCGCACCCGGCCATGGCAGTAAATTTTATGTTATGTGATTTTTACCAAAAATAAAAATAATAATTTGTATATTTCATTTGCATATGTGTGTTGGCTTCATTCTCCCCAAATTATTGCAAAAATGGCAAAACTAGTACTAAATAGTTTGGTCAGATCTAGGATGAGAAAACTTTCTCCTAAGGATCAGGCAGGCACAGAAGAAGGTCATATTCATATAGAAAAAGGCTTCAGTTAGTATGAGTATAGGTGGTTTTGGGGAGGCTGAAGGAACAGAAATATTCAGAAGCCTTAATTCACTTGATATAAAGTGATAAACAATTATATTCAAAACAAAACCATTTTTGAAAATATTTTAAGCCCATATTAAGGCTGTTTGAAGTTGAAGGACATGAAAAGGCATAGAAAGGAACAAGAAATGGGAGAGACCTAAGAAGGAAGGGAGAGGCAGAGGCTAGGTTGGGAGACAGTGGAGAAAGAGGAGACCCTGGAGAGAAGAAACACGTGGGTTCAAGAAAACTACTCAGGTCTTATCTGCCCTCCAGTCCAGCTCTAGGCTGGGTGTTATTACTTCCCTTTAAAATGGGAACAAGCAGCTCCTGACTTGGCACTGAGGCACCGACAGAAGCAGATGGGCCAAACTGTTTAGAACTGCAGCGCAAGAAGTGTCCAGAAGAGCGCAGCTCTAAAACACTGGATTCAGTTAGAGATGTCCTGCCTGAGAAAGGAAAATGAAGGCATTCTGACATCTACAGTCTCCACAGCTCTGTCATACATACAACAAGACTGGCCCCCTTTGAGAAATCAGCGCATTGCTCTTAAACTCCAGGAGGAAAGCAGGACTTCTTTCAGGCACATTCCTGTGTCATAGGCAGTAACGATGCTTCCAGCTCCCTGGTTGTACAACAGCCCCCTATAACTTGCTACGTGCCTTAAAGATGAGATGACCTAGGGGCCCCTCTTGATCTGGGTGAACCACTAATGCTGCCTCTCCCTTAGACCATCTTTTTTCTCATGGTTACATTCCTTCCCCAGAGTGCTCAGCTCAGGAACATTTGCAGCCTACATGGGGAAGAATCCCAAACCTTCCCAGGGTGCTCAGTACACCAGTGACTTCTTCCTTAATTACCAGTCCTCAGAGTTAATTCTGCAAAAGTGCAGATAAAGGGAAAAAGAAAACTCAAATTCAAGGGAGAGTCAAAAAGCTTTTTTTTTTTTTTTTTTCCGAAGAGTGGTGAGGAGGGCAGGACAATTTCTAGAGGCAGGGGAATCTGAAAGTTTCATGCCAGGGGAATGGAGCTCAGTTTATCTTCGAAGCCCTTCTCCCCATCCCAGGGGGGCCCCTTACCCACGCCTGCATTATTGAACATGCCGGGAAGCACCAGCATGATGTGGTTGGGCCAGTACTTGCGGTACAGAGGCATCTCATACTCTTTGACCACCAGGAGGTGAAGGTGGCTGATGCCCTCCATGGCGTGGAAAAGGTTTAGGAGTCCGTGCTCATGTCGACCACTGGAAGGAGTGAAAATAGGGCTCTTGACTGCATTCAAATTCTGCTGAAAGGGAAAAAAACAGACCATAAAGGGAAATTAAAGCCTCTAGATTGAAGACGCTTAAAGAACTAGGTCTGGTGCCTGCCAGTCCAGATGCTCTCACCCACCTTGTCTGAAACCAGGGGCAGCCGCATGCTCTCCAGGTGCTTGCCCTGCTTGCTGAAGACAAAATGACTCTCTTTGGATTTGGGAATGATGAAATAGAGCTGAACCTCTTCTCCCAGCATAGAAGAAGAGAATGTGAAGGCATGAAGGGTGGAGTCAGACATCTACATTTGCAAAGAAGAAAGGGAGGGAACGTAAGTAAGCCCACAGTTTCCAAACTTCCAGGCCACTCCTTCAGGTTGTTATTAAGAGATGGAAACTAACATGAACTGGTAAGTGCCACCAGAGCAGGCTGTGAGCAGCCACGTCTAAAAGGTTGATAAGGCAAACACTTCATTTAGGAGCTGCCACTGACATGACAGCCCGCCGTCTTGCACCTGCATAGCCTCAGTGGAAGAAGTACTTGTTGCCTGGCACTGCATTCTGTGTGCTCTCAGAGCCACAGCTGCTTCATCCTGTGCAGAGGTCAGATATATCTGTGGGATGTCCTGCTCTGTATGCATTCCTAAAGGTCCCCTGTTAATCGGAGGGAAACACTTCTGCTCTATGCGGGTCAGATCAAATGAATATCAGCTTTCTAAATATCAGGTTTGACATTAAAATGCCTCTCCAGCCCCATCTTTCCAGGCTACAGTGGATGCTGAAGAGGTTCAATCATTTAGCCCAGAACTCTGGTTTCAGAAAAGAGACCATTTGACTCACTGAAGCCAAATATAAATCTAACCTACATTTAAAGTGCTGCAGAGTTCACGTTTTTTCAGTAACCTATCTCAGTGAATAATTATATAATAGGTCTTTTCACGCTTTTAATGTGGATAAGATTTGGCTTAATAAAAGGATACCATCAATTTTCATCAGCAACTAGAATCGAAGTAGGTTTCCCAATGGTTTTAACCAAAATACTATATTTCATAGAAAAATAACATTACACTTCTTCCCTTAATTCTAGTTTATTCTGCCTCAGAAATGTGGGAATATACTACTTAGTACTGTAGTCACACAGAAACTTTATGAATAGAGGATTTCTAATAAAGAGATTTTCTAAAAACCTATAATCTGTAGACCAGGGGACTTGGGTCTTCTATATTCTATAAAGCTTTTATGAGCTTATTTCAAAGCAGCCCACCAAAAGTTTTCAGTGACACCAAGAAAACAAATGGGATATAAAAGGTAACTTGTATTAGAAGGGCAGAATGATTCGATCAGTTTTTTAAAGTATATCCTTTCTAGTACTCATTTGTATTTCAGGATGAGATGTGGGAAAAGGGTGACGACCTGGCCCTGAAGAGCAGAAACAGGTTTAGGGGAGTCAGTATGGCCTACCAGAAGCAGGAGTTGTTTCTGTGTGTTCAGAGCCAAGTTATAAAAATAAAGATGAATTTGGGGAAGTAAGCTCTGGATATTACTATCATTTGTTGCCTTTCCATCTTTTGTGCTTAAAGATGCACTAGCCAAAAAGAAGCCACATACTAAGGGTTATTGGCCCATGTTCTTCATTCCTATGTCTCAGTTCTCACTGCATAAAACAAACTGACTCCACTGGCCAAGCCACCCCACGCAGGTGTGAGAATATGACTAGGTTGGTGCAAATCAACAGTCTTGTTAGAATCACAGCTCAAAGGGCACACCCTGTGGATCTGAGATAATAGTGCCATTTTAGTCAGTGCTCCAAAGGGAAGAGGGGGAAACCCTTTTATCAAATATACTGTAATATATGGATTGCAAATAAACACCTCAGCTACTTCCTAACCTAAACATGACACGTGTAACCATTTGAAGAAGTAATTCAAGACACTAAAACTAAGCTGCCTCCTCTCCCTCCCATAATCCAAATAAACCCAACATTCATTTAATTATGGCTTCATGCATTGTGCTTTTTTTTTTTTTGAGACGGAGTCCCACTCTGTCACCCAGGCTGGAGTGCAGTGGCGTGGTCTCGGCTCACTGCAACCTTTACCTTCCAGGTTCAAGCATTTCTCCTGCCTCAGCCTCCTGAGTAGCTGGGATTACAGGCATGTGCCACCACACCCGGCTAATTTTTTGTATTTTTGGTAGAGACGGGGTTTCACCATGTTGGCCAGGATGATCACGAACTTCTGACCTCAGGTGATCCACCCGCCTCGGCCTCCCACAGTGCTGGGATTACAGGGTGAGCCACCGCGCCCAGCCTTCATGCATTTTTCTCACCAATGAGTGGCTCCTTCTTATGAGTAAACTATCCTTTACCAGAGGCCTGAAACTAGGGGCCTTATTTTTCATCCCTCCACCCCCCACCCTTACATACAAAATCCATACTGGGTGACAGAGGGCGAGGGCGAAGGTGGGATGGTACCTGGGAGGCAGAGGTGAAGTCCATGTACTGGCGGCACTGTTCACAGTGGTGAAAGGTGTTATAGGCTGCATATTTGGTCAGCATTATGGATACAGTTTCCCGTTTCCTGGGCTCTTCAACTTTGGATTCCTTTATCACTTCTGTGTATAAAGGGGCAAAAAGCCATCCCATGAGATAACATGTTTTCCCTATGCCTGGAAAGAAAAGTCCCTCTTTCCCCAAAATGACTTTTCCATGTATTCTGTAATTTATGCCCTAAGAAACAGTTATGAAAATTTAAAAAATGATGCGCATAAGAGCGAAAGAAAAGTGAGATGTAAGGCACCCTGAGCTAGTGTCCCCTTAACCCAGAGAGGAGGTGAACTTGGCTGATTGCACTGACCTTGTTTGACCCCTGCCAGCTTCTCAGTATACACCAGGCTCATCAAACTGTACTTGGGGTCATGCACACTGACATCAAAAGGCATTTTACTGAAGCTCTCGATGTCAGGCCAGGGCTCTCCCTCTGACTGGCTCACTTCACTGCTTTCATTGTGATCTAGGACAAGAAGGAAGTGTGCAGAGCAGGTGACTGGCCTCCCTCTTCCCCATGTGTCAGAGAGAATGGCTTTTATGGGACGTAGAGCCCAGATGGGTGGACAAAGGCATTTCTGAAAAATGAGCTCCCCTGTCCCAGTAGAGGAGGCAGAATTGTTCACACCCATGCTGAGAGGAACATTTGCCCTCACTGGCCCCCAGCATTCGTCTCTGCAGACCCAATTCACAAACTCTGGCATCTGTAAGATAACCTAGTCTCCACCAGGCCAAATTTCCTTAAAAGTTTAATTTTGGATGATCTTATTTCTGTCTTGAGATTTTAACTGTGGGGTGTTAATATACTGACACCCAAGAGATTTTAGGATGCACTGAGCAAGATTCCCAATGTCTTCCGCACGTTACAATCAGCTGGGAGCTGGTAAAAATTCCCACACTCAGGCCACACATCCCAGAATAGTTCAGTCAGAATGTCTGACTGCCCAGGATCCAGTCATATTGTTTAAGGCGCCTCAGAGTGTTCCAATATGCAGTCACGGTTGAGAGCCAGTAGACCTGGGTGTGAATCCTGGCCCTACCCCTTACAGCGTCACACCTTCAGGCACTGTACTTAACCCTGAGTCCCCAGATTATAGTAAGCATTAATGCAGCCTCAACCACCTGGGATCAAATGATCCTCCCACCTCAGCCTCCTGAGTAGCTGGGACTACAGGCACGTGCCACCATGCCCAGCTAACGTTTTTGTAGAGGCAGGGTCTTACTGTATTGCCTAAGCTGGTCTTGAACTGCTGGGCTCAAGCAATCATCCTGCCTCAGCCTCCCAAAGTGCTGGAACCGCAGGTGTAAGCCACCATACCAGACCCTTTTCTTTTTGTTTTTGGAGACAGGGTCTCACTCTGTCACTCAGGCTAGAATGCAGTGATGCAATGTAAGCTCACTGCAACCTTGAACTCCTGGGCTCAAGGAATCCTTCCACTGCAGCTTCCTGAGTAGCTAGGATTGCAGGCGTGTACCATCACACCTGGCTAGAGTTTTAAAATTTTTGTGAGAGATGGGGTCTCCCTGCTGCTCAGGCTGATCTCAGACTTCTAGCCTCAAGCCATCTTCCCACCTTGGCCTCCCAAAGCACAGGGGATTACAGGTGTGAGCCACCCTGCCCAGCCAGAGATGGTACATTTAAAGTGCCAAGACACGCTGGACATGGTGGCTCACACCTGTAATCTCAGCATTTTGGGAGGCCGAGGCAGGCAGATCATTTGAGGTCAGGAATTCGAGACCAGCCTGGCCAACCCTGTCTCTACCAAAAATACCAAAATTAGCTGGGTGTGGTGGCACATGCCTGTAGTCCAGCTACTCAGGAGGCTAAGAATCACTTGAACCCCTGAGACGGAGGTTGCAGTGAGTTGAGATCGTGCCACTGCACTCCAGCCTGTGTGACAGAGTAAGAGTCTATCTCAAAAAATAAATAAATAAATAAAATAAAGTGCCTAGACAGTTGCAGGCACACAGCTGGTGTCTAACAGATATTTTTTATGATTGGCCAGGTGCAGTGGCTCACACCTGTAATCCCAGCATTTTAGGAGGCCGAGGTGGGTGGATCCCCTAAGGCTAGGAGTTCGAGACCAGTCTGGCCAAAGTGGTGAAACCCTGTCTTTACTAAAAATACAAAAAACTAGCTGGGTGTGGTGGTGCATGCCTTTAATCCCAGCTACTTGGGAGGCTGAGGCAGGAGAATCGCCTGAACCTGGGAAGCAGAGGTTGCAGTGAGCCAAGATCGCACCACTGCACTCCAGCCTGGGTGACAGAGCAAGACTCCATCTCAAAAATAATAATAATAATAATAATGATAATAAAGTGCCAAGACAGTTGCAGGCACGCAGCTGGTGTCTAACATTATATTTTTTATTAGTGGCCAGGTGCAGTGGCTCACACCTGTAATCCCAGCACTTTGGGAGGCCGAGGTGGGTGGATCACATGAGGTCAGAGTTTGAGACCAGGCTGGCCAAGATGGTGAAACCTCACCTCTACTAAAAATACAAAAATTAGCTGGGCATGATGGCGTGAGCCTGTAATCCCAGCTACACAGGAGGCTGAGGCAGGAGAACTGCTTGAACCCAGGAGGCAGAGGTTGCAGTGAGCCGAGATCATACCACTGCACTCCAGCCTGGACGACAGAAACTCCATCTTAAAATATATATTTTTTTATTATTAATAATAATAAAATGTATAAGATGAAAAAGTAGCTTAAGACAACTTTCAAAGGGAGAAAAGAAACTTTCCAAAAAAGGCTAAAGATTGGAGGTACAGCTAATATCTTTTTAACACATATAATACATTTATTTTTATATCCCTGAACTAAAGTCTGCACTTTCAAGCCTAGTTTAGTTTTTAAAAAGGTGTCATTGTGCCTCTTGAGAGCACCATTGCATTAACCTGCACTAAAATGAGGGAGAAGGGAGAAAGCCAAACTAACAGTGTTTCTTACTACAAAGGTCAAACAGGCTGTAGCAGACTCTCACAGCTCACCGGCACAGAGTAAGAGTCAAGATCACTGTAGCATGATCTGAGGAAAAAAATCAAAGGCATCACTCTGCTGTGGTGCCAGCGAGCCTGGCGGGAGAGCTGGCAGAAGGGCAGGCCTCGACTCCCGGTCTGCTTGGCTCTGGCTTTGCCCTTCTGGCTCAGCTCTTTCTGGGGGCCTTGGGGTGTTTTGAGGCCAACCTGGTGGGCCCGACGATCTAGTGCAGCTTAGCTGGGAAAAAAACAAGGAGATGTAGATGGGAAGATGAATTCGTGTGTGTGTCTAAAAACATGTATGTGAATTGATGAGAAATGGAAACAGGCCTGAAGCCATAAAAAAGTGGTTAAATATGGCTGATTTTACCTACTCTTGCTCGGCCCTAAACTAGTTTCTTGGGCTGGTCATGGAACAGGTTCAGCTATTTAGGTAAAACAAGTGAGGTGAGATCTCCAAGAGCTAATTTGGTAGATGATGCCAAGGGCTTTCCCTATTCCAGACTCATCTTTGAGAGGCTTGAGAGGAACTTCCGCCTGGTTGCCTCTACTTCCTCCCCACAGTTCCCTGCCAGCACAGTCAAATTGGTGGGAGGTGTGAAGCCACAGTTTTGAGCCACACTATTCTTCTTCTTCTTTTTTTTTTTTTTTGAGACAGAGTCTCGCTCTGTCGTCCAGGCTGGAGTGCAGTGGCGTGATCTCAACTCACTGCAAACTCCGCCTCCCGGGTTCAAACAATTCTGTGCCTCAGCCTCCCAAGTAGCTGGGATAACAGGCACCCGCCATCACCCCCGGCTAATTTTTGTATTTTTAGTAGAGACAGGGTTTCACCATGTTGGTCTCGAACTCCTGACCTCAGGTGATCCGCCCGCCTTGGCCTCCCAAAGTGCTGGGATTACAGGCGTGAGCTACTGCACCGTGCCAGTGCCGAGCCGAGCCACACTGCTCTTAGCGGCAGAGTGGAATCAACTCCCTGGTGCCAGCTGGGGAAGACAGCTGGAGTGGTCTTGGTATGCCCACTGGCTTCCACAGCCCTATCAAGCACCTGCCCTTGTGTCTCAGTGCCGATGTTTTGTTCATAGTGCCAGCATTCAGTTCTACACATAGAAGTTTTCATCTCATTATAGTAATCCCGTGCCTTCACTCAGAGCCTATGGGTAAAATATAAGACATACTCTGACCAATCAACAAAGGACTAGTATCCAGAATACAAATATGCCCTGGATCCTGAAGCAGTTGAATACTACAACTCGAATTTTACAATAGTTAACCATCTAGGCAATTAATCTACCTAAAAAGCCTTTATAAAACACTTTTTTGCAGCCATAAAAAAGAATGAGTTCATGTCCTTTGCAGGCACATGGATGAAACTGGAAGCCATCATTCTCAGCAAACTAACACAGGAACAGAAAACCAAACACAGCATGTTCTCACTCACAGGTGGGAGCTGAACAATGAGAACACATGGACACAGGATGGGTGAGGGGCAAGAGGAGGGAGAGTATTAGGACAAATACCTAATGCATGCGGGGCTTAAAACGTAGATGACGGGTTGGTAGGTGCAGCAAACCACCATGGCACACGTATACAGCTGTGTAACAAACCTGCACATTCAGCACATGTATCCCAGAACTTAAATTAAAAAAAAAAAAACAGCCCAAAAACCAAAACGCCTTTTTGCCCAGCACCTCGCAGGACATTGTAAAGAGGCTAAAAGTAGAATACACCATCCCTGACCTCAATGAGCTAAAAAAGGCTACAGTTTACTCAGAACTATTTGCCGGGCACATTCTTTTTTTTCATTTCTTTCTTTCTTTCTTTTTTTTTTTTTTTTTGAGACAAAGTCTCACTCCATCACCTAGGATGGAGTATAGTGATGTGATCTTGGCTCACTGCAACCCGCCTCCTGGGTTCAAGTGATTCTCCTGCCTCAGCCTCCTGAGTAGCTGGAATTACAGGTGTGCACAACCATGCTTGGCTAATTTTTATATTTTCAGTAGAGATGGGGTTTCACCATATTGCCCAGGCTGGTCTTGAACTCCCCATCTCAGGTGATCCACCCGCCTTGACCTCCCAAAGTGCTGAAATTACAGGCGTGAGCCGCCATGCCTGGCCTTGGGCACATTATCTTTAGCCTCCCAATAACTCTGCAGGTTAGGTACTGTAGAAATCCCAGAAGCCAAAAGCAAGTTCCCGGGATTTGCAATTCAATGTCTTTGTCTCTTGCCCCTCTGCCCACTCCCTGGGCTCAGCACTCACCGGTGTTGATCTCCTCCTCATCATACACGTCCACCTCCAGGAGCCTGATGAGCATGCGGAAGAGGATCCTGAGGAACTGTAAATAGGAGCCCGTCTTTCCCACCTAATGGAAAGATTTTTAATTGGGGAGGAGTGGAGGCGGGAAAGAGAGGGGAAGAAAAGAGAAAAGAGATTTCACACCTTGGCTCTGCAGTGTCTCCTGCCTGAGAGGCCTGAATGAGGTCCTCACTGCTCTGTCACACCTGCTCCACCCCCAAGAGGTTTTCTGGCTTCTACTTCTTGAGGAAGACGCGCCAACCCCAGCCTAAGAAACGGCCCCGGCTGGCTTGGCCCTACCTGTGGGGGCCCTGTCAGCAGGAGCCGTCGGGGGTGGAAGTTTCGGGTGCCAGAGGCCGGGTCCAGCTGGTTGCTATAGTCAGCGTGGTGCTGCCGGGCCAAGGTCCACTGCCTGTAGTAGAGGGACTGCTCCTCACTGCTCATGTCCTTGTTCAGGAGTGGCCGCAGGGAGCTCACCCAGGCCACGTCGGCGTGGGGCAGCAGGGAGGAGGAGGATGGCAGCTTGCCACTCTTCTGGGAGCCCAGGAGACTGTAGGCCGCTTTGGATAGGATCACCACTGGTGGCAGGGCTGCCTGTGGGCCCCGGCAGCCTCTGATGGGCTGTCCCGGCCATGGGAGGGTCCTGGGTCCTGAGGATGATGATGACGGCTTGGAGGTGGTGCTGCTCGCCATCTGGGGGCCCAGGGAGTCACATTCCTGCTTCAGAGTCTCCCCGGCTCCGGCTCCAGCTGAGCTGGCGGAGACCCCTTCATCCAGCCCCAAGCTGGTGGCTGGGCTCTGAAAGCTGGGGGTCAGGGACTGCTTCTGGGACTTGTCAGCTGTGCTGGAAGAGCTCACTCCATTCTCCATGATGGAACCTGTGAGAGAACAGACAGAACCCACCCCACAGCAGCTCTGTTACTGATCTAGGGTGTGGAAGCAGACAAAGGCCAGGAAAGCAGTGGACACTGGGCTCGGCTCCGCGGCTGCAGACCCTGAGCAAGAAATCTTCTCTTTGCCGCTCTCCACATTGCTCCGTGTTGCTTCCTTGCCCTGGCTTCTCAGTTGGTTTGGCCAATGGCAGCCACCAGCAGGAGATGGGGTGCTTCTTCTGTGGCTTCCCCCTGCATGGTCTTCAGGGGTGAACCACCTTTCTCTACTGTGGGCTGCGGCTCAGGTCTGGAGAGGTGCTCCCACCCCTCCCTGTGTCAGGCCCACGGTGGCCAGGGCTCCCTGGGGTTAACCACCCCCCAGCACAGCACACCTCTTGCTCCTTTTCCAAGTTCTGTTCACATCTTAGTAAATAGTCCCTCTACTAAACGCTCCTCAAATGACCTGGTTTGGGTCTGCCCTCTGATTCCTCCCAGGACCCCACCCAAAACAGGCTCCACATTCAAGTCCTGTCCTGGCAGCACTGGCTTCCTTCTAGGGACTGAGGGCCTCATGCCTCTGGCTTCAGATCAGCTCCCCAGACTGCAACCCCTTCCATGGACTCCGAAGCTAGGGTGGGGGATGCCCTGCGCGAAGTGGGACATAGGCGTATGCGACTCCAAGGCCGGTGGCTTTTCCCTAAAGTAGCCCCACATATTTGACCAGTTCCTTTCAAGTGTGTTTGTCCTCCTAACAGACCAGCCACTCTTTGGTTTAAAGACAAACCAAAAGCTCAACTAAAGGCCCTCTCTGAGCTCGGCTTGTTGCTGCCCAGACAGGGAGGTCGAATCCCAACCTTGGGAGATCCTGAATGAACAGCCATCAACAAGACATGATTAAAACCCGCCCCTTCACTTGCTCAGCTGCCTGTGTCTCTCTGCCTTGGGGGAGAGCTTGCCTTCTCCCCGCAGCACTGTGCATTCTGGGCAGTGAACCTCCCCGTCACCCTCTGAGTCAGCCATGGCTGGGGTCCCTGTGCTCTGTGTCATGAGCATGGCCTGTAGGGAGGGACACAGTAGCCAAGGGCAAACCACCTTTGTGAGTTCAGCAGAGCAAGGCCAGGGAAGCGCTCACTTTGTGGGGCAGCTCAAGTGAGGGAGAGGAAGGAGTGGGACGGAAGAACCACAGGAAGGAAGACAGGCTGTGCTCCTCCTCCTCATGCTGGTATCCAAAAGCTTCCAGGTGTTATCCCCCACCCCCCTTCTGTGAACCTTTACTATCCTTCAAACCCCTTGACTCTATTCTGAAACTGCTCTCAGAGAGAAAACTGGGGAGCCTGTTGCGATGGGGTTGAGGCAGGCAGAGTGGTCCACATGGTCAGCCCTAACCCCTGGCTGGGGGAGCAGGGCAGCTCCAGCAACTCCAGGCTGAGGGTCACTATCAACAGCAAACCCCACAGACCCCTCCTCTTCTGTTCCTGCCCAGAGCCATCCAGCAGCTGCTGCCAGAATGGACAGGAAGACCAGTGCTGCTTTTGGACAAAATTATGGTGTGTTCGCATGTATGTGTCAGAGTGATGGAAGGATCTCAATGATAGCTCAAAAAAAGGGTGAGAGGCTGGGCGCGGTGGCTCACGTCTGTAATCCCAGCACTTTGGGAGGCTGAGGCGGGTGGATCACCTGAGGTCATGGGATCGAGACCAGCCTGGCCAACATGGTGAAACCTCATCTCTACTAAAAATACAAAAGTTAGCTTGGTGCGGTGGCGGGTGCCTGTAATCCCAGCTACTCAGGAGGCTGAGGCAGGAGAATCGCTTGAACCTGGGAGCTGGAGGTTGCAGTGAGCTGAGATCGTGCCACTGCACTCTAGCCTGGGGGACAAGAGCGAAACTCCATCTCAAAAAAAAAAAAAAAAAGGGGGGGGGGTGGTGAGGGGAGAAGGAGGGGCATGTGACCCAACATTAAGAGTGATTACTTCTGGAAGTGGGCGTGTGTTTCATTTTTAATCTCAGAATTCTCTGTACTTTGTTACATTCTCCATGTTTTCTTTCTTCTTTCTTTTTTTTTCCCTCTCTCTTTCTTTCTTTTTTTTTGAGACAGAGTTTTCCTCTTGTCACCCAGAATGGAGTGCAGTGGTGCGATCTTGGCTCACTGCAACCTCCACCTCCTGGGTTCAAGTGATTCTCCTGCCTCAGCCTCCAGGGTAGCTGGGACTACAGGCGCCCGCCACCATGCCCAGCTAATTGTTTGTATTTTTAGTAGAGATGAGGTTTCACCATGTTGGCCAGGCTGGTCTCGAACTCCTGACCTCAGGTGATCCACCTGCCTCGGCCTCCCAAAGTGCTAGGATTACAGGACCACTGCACCCGGCCGACATTTTCCATGTTTTCTGCATTAAGCTTTATTACTTTCATAATCAGAAAAAATGGAAAGAGTGCTGCATTTGCTATAATACAATTTATCAGAAGAAAATTCATGCCAGGCACTGCCATAGACCTGCAGTAATGCTGCAAGACAGAGGCCGGCAGGCTGCAGGGTGGGCCTTCACCATTGACAGTGGCCCCAGAGGAGCCCTCAGCATACAATGCTTGCTGTTAACTGTTTAGAAAAGCCATTCATTCATTCATTCATTCTAGGAAACATTTTGTGCCAGGTACTAAGCCATTTAGCACAAACATACAGCTTCAGGACCTGGAAGAAAAACAGGGCCTTTGTGCAAATATGAGATGCATAATAACCATGAGAAGATTAAGGGTAGAAAAGACTAGGGAAAATGGTACAGGCTAGGGTTGATAAAATTGTTTTTAGCCTATTACCAAGCTCTTCCTTAAATGTTTACCCAGGAAAGTATTTTGTGGCTGTTCAACAGTCATGTTTTCCAAGCATCTCCCACCTGGAGCTGGGTCTGGAGAGGATGCCAGTCCCTGAAGGCTCCTCTGAAGGCCGTTGGGGTGTCAGTAAATGCCTCTGCCTTCCAAATTCCTACACACCTCCTGACTCATGTCTCTCACTCCATGAAAGAGAAAAGAAAGTACTGACCCGAGGTCCCTGTGACAGCGCTGCTGTTGCTCTGGGGCCGCTCCAGGTCGATGAGCAGCTCATCGGAGTCATTCTCACTGACAGCAGCTCTCTCCTGCTCCTTCCCGCTGAGGTCCAGGGCAACAGTGGGTCCCCGGATGACCTCTTTTGAGACATAGCAGCATGCCAGACCCACCTCCTGCTCCAAGGCCGTGCGAGTTAAATAGCTTGAGTCAATTAACCGGAGGTCACAGTACTTCAAAGACCTGAACAAAAGTAATTGTGTTGTTGGTGAGTCTATCTGGCCAGGCACGCAGTGTGTATGTGTGCCTGGTGATCTGGATGCAACACACAGCAGTTAAAATCATAGGTTTCAGTGCCAGGTGAGCCTTGACTGAAACCTCAGCTCTGCCACCTCCCAGCTGTTATGACCTTCACTTCTTTGTGCTTCATTTTCTTCGAATATAAAAAGAGTGGATAGTGTCGGGCTCATATGGTTGTTTTAAGGACTGAATACATGTAAGGCATTTAGGGCACTGCCTGACACGCACAGTAAGCATTCAGCTAATGCTTTTATTGTTGATGTTGTTGTTGCCCTCCAGTCTATGGAGTCTAGATCCTTGAGGGGTGCAGGAATAGCAGATTAACAAAGACAAAGCACTTTATAAAAAAAAATCCTGCTTTTCCTCCCTGCCTCTCTGACATTTCTCAAATGTGGCTATCGCCCATTCCCAAAATTGCTGGGTGTTCTCTGGAAAGCTAAAAAAAAAGAATAAAAGAAGGTTGTATGGCTGTATTTCTTGTATCCCTGCATTAAACAATCCTCTTCTCATTACCTGCCAAACAAAGGAAATGACTGGGCCATCAGCCAAGTTTTAATCATCAGTTCAGCTGGGCAACTGATGAAAAATGGAATTAATTATTGAAACTGTACCTGGGAAAGGTTTCTCCAAGAGGATCTTTGCCAGTTAATATCACAATACAAGGTAGACCGTCTAAATCTTGGTATGTCCGAGGGATCCACTCTTCTGGTTCATTTCCTCTCCAACTCTACAGAAAGAGACCCGTATGTTAAAATTAAAACTCTCATTTAAGTTTCCACCTTTTTTACAGGCTTCTGAGTCCAGATTTTAGACACACTGTGCTTTCAAATTACTCCACTAAGTGTTTACATATGTTTATGTATGTATATTTTAACTGCTACTACATCGCATATACAAGGCACTTCTGAAGGAACGAGGGCTGTAGTTTATCTCAGTAGGATAAAACGGAGATGCTGGTATACCTCAGACATTAGTAACACAAGCCAAAAACACATACAATGTGAAATATCCCACTAGTGATGGAAACCTTACAGAAATCCTGGCTAAACTACCTGAATCCAGGCACTTAAATATACTTTCTTCACACATTGGAGAAATTCTTGGGATTGGAAGACTGAAAAAGAGTTTCAGTTGTGAATGACTCAAAAAAGAATCTCAGAATTCCATTAAAACAGACATTTCACCAAGAAAATAATGAAAACATTGAACCACTCTTGATAGTTATTTTCCCTCCTTCTTGCTTTACTGACTTTTAAAATAACTAACAAGCAATTATTGGCTTAGGGCCTTGAAAGAATCTCTCTCAAGAAGGCTAAAAATATAACCAGACCTGGATTGAGAAAAAAACAACAAAACGAAACTGCCCCTCATTTGGAGGGGTAATGTAATTGGCTTATGGTTTCTCAAAGAACCTATTAAGTATCAATTTTTCATATAAACACACATATACATAGACATACATATCTTTAATAAATGGAACACCAATCTTGAAAACATAAACATATCAATGAAAAGTAATCCCGCCAATTTGAAAAATATTCAAAAGTAAAATGATCTTACAGATGTGTCTATTTTAGAACAGAAAGAAAAATAACCATCTCTTAAGTAGATAAGGTGGTTTCTACTGCTTTTCATTAAGTGTGTAGCATGTACCTATACTTTTTACTACCTTTCTAGCAGGAGTTATTATAAGCAATGAACTGACATTTCTGATAACGTTTTAGGGGAACAGACTAAGAAGCAAGGTGTTAAGTAATACATACAATTTTTTTTTTTTTTAGACAGAGTCTTGCTCTGTTGCCCAGGCTGGAGTGCCGTGGACAGGTGTGAGCTACCATACCTGGCCAGTAATGCATACAATTTTGTTTTAAAATAGACTGGTACTTCCTTTGCTAAGCACAAAATAGGATAAAAAGAAAGTCACCAAGCAAAAGACAATAGGGTTTGATTGGTGATTTGCTAATGCCTAGAAAAGGCTCAATAAAGAAAAGGCTCAATAAAGAAAAGCCAGTCTTTAGAAATAAACATTCCCACAATCACTTCAAATAAAATTTCTATAATTTGTAAAACTGGAAGAAGCTTAACCATTCTTAGGCTTTTACTTGTTGTCCAATCTTTTATTATATATGTGCATACTAAGGGGAAATAGGGAATCTACGTAACTGTTCACAAGTTTCACAGACTTCCCGTGTTTTAGAAAAATCAATGTGTCAAAAAGATTTTTTTAATGCTAGAAGAAAAATTCTCTGTAAAAATTTAATTTTCCATACCATTTCATGTCAGGGGGAACCATAACATTGTCTCATTTAAAGCAAACCATTCTGGAATAGAAATCACTTTACTGATCACATTCACACTGGACGCATGGTATCCCTGACACTGGGTTTCTCCCTGAATGTGTTTTATCTCCCAGAACTGTCTCTATAGAGGTCATAGCTTTACCAGGAAGAGGTCAGGTTTATATTGATGGAATAAGAGTTAAAATGTTTTACTGTATGAGGACTTTTTTTTTTTTTTTTTTTTTTTTTTTTGAGACAGGGTCTCACTCTGTCACCCAGGCTGGAGTACAGTGGTGCAATCTTGGCTCATGGCGACCTCCACCTCCCGGGTTCAAGCGAATCTCCTGCCTCAGCCTCCTGAGTAGCTGCGATTACAGGCACCCACCACCACACCTGGCTAATTTTTGTATTTTTAGTAGAGATGGGGTTTCGCCATATTGGCCAGGCTGGTCTTGAACTCCTGACCTCAAGCGACTGCCCGCCTCAGTCTCCCAAAGTGCTGGGATTATAGGCGTGAGCCACTGCACCTGGCCTATATGAGGATGTTTATTTTCAGATTAGTAGTCAAATCTCACTTTTACTCTTGACCAACCACAGCTAGCCAAACCCACTATAAAATGCTTTTCCATCACATTGCTCCTTCTGATGACTGATGGCTGCAGTTCTCCTGTGCATCAATCAGGCCCTCAAGATGACATTGCAGAAGCACTTAACACAAAAGATGGGGTGATCATTGAGTTCAAGGATAATACAAGGCTTAAGAACAAGGACATCTAATGAAAGCTTCACCTGCCTTCTGGAGGAACTGACTTAAACTTTGTATCCTTCCAAAGGGGTCATCATCAGTATAAGTTAACCACAATACATAACAGGATAATTAGGGGTAAGCACAAAAATAAGATCACATAATAGAAGTAGTGTTGGATTTTACCCAAAAGTAGAGATAGAAGGCACAATCTTGCCATCCTGAAAATGGTGAAGGAGGTTGATAACTTAGAAATAAATGAGTGAGCCGCAATCTACTTGACAATTCAGTCTTGCTTACGATGTGAACATCCCAACATGATCTCATATTTTTACTCCCACACAAATACAGAGTATAAAAAGGACTGATGTGATCCAGTGATTTTGAGAATTTGGGACTTGTTTATTTTTATATATTTTTAAGAGACAGGGTCTCACTCTGTTGCACAGGCTGGAGTGCAGTGGTGGGATCATAGCTCACTGCAGCCTCAAACTCCTGGGCTCAAGCAAACCTCCTGCCTCAGGCTCCCAAGTAGCTGGGACTACAGGCATGAGCCATCACAGCAGCCAGAATATGGGACACTCTTATACGTACTTGTTGCCTGGCAGCTACTCATACCAATTGAGGAAGATGTCACTGCCTTGAGAAGTCGTAACTTGAGGCCCCCTTCGTTTAGGGCACAGTGATTGTCAACTAATGTGCCTCTGAAAGCCCTGCAGGTGATTCTGATGAGCTAGCAGCCAGGTGAAGAACCTCAGGCCTTGACTGTGGTTTTCCAACAGTGGTCCAGAGGGGTAAATTATTTAGGACAGACTGATTTATACTGACTTAGTGACTGGCCCTTCTGAACACATGATTAAGACTCTCTAAGTAGCTTCACTTAATCAGTGTCAACAGAGACCAGGAGAAGACCCAGCAGCCTCACGTGCATTTAGGTCATCTCTGGCAACAGATGTGGGAGACTTAGCATGGTGCTGCTGATTGTCCGCCTTTCCAAATTCTTTTTCTTTTTCTTTCTTTTTTTTTTGAGACAGAGTCTTGCTCTGTCGCCCAGGCTGGAGTGTAGTGGCACAATCTCGGCTCACTACAAGCTCCGCCTCCCGGGTTCACGCCATTCTCCTGCCTCAGCCTCCCGAGTAGCTGGGACCACAGGCGCCCGCCACCATGCCTGGCTAATTTTTTGTATTTTTAGTAGAGACAGGGTTTCACCGTGTTAGCCAGGGTGGTCTTGATCTCCTGACCTTGTGATCCGCCCGCCTCGGCCTCCCAAAGTGCTGGGATTACAGGCATGAGCTACCGTGCCCAGCCTCCAAATTCTTCATCATTAGCAATATTCAAATGGTCTCAAGCCCGTAATTCATGTCTCCATGAATTATACTGTAAGAAGCGTTTCCGGAGTTTTGTTATTCATCCTAGGAATTCCACTGTAATGTAGTCTATGACTATAACATAAAATTGTGAACGTGTATCTATATATGAAACATAAATGTTACAACTTCTAAATTTAGGAGTTTCTATTTTTTGGACAATTTTATTTGTTCCAATTGCTTATTAAGCTAATACAAGATATTTTGTCTGCATTTTGGATTATTCAATTTAGGTTAGCTAACTGAACACAAGAAGAAGATTTACATCTCCAGAACAATTTTTTTTTTTTTTTGAGACAGAGTCTCGCTCTGTCGCCCAGGCTGGAGTGCAGTGGTGCGATCTTGGCTCACTGCAAGCTCCGCCTCCTGGGTTCACACCATTCTCCTGCCTCAGCCTCCTGAGTAGCTGGGAATACAGGCACCCGCCACCACACCTGGCTAATTTTTTTTTTGTATTTTTAGTAAAAACGGGGTTTCACCATGTTAGCCAGGATGGTCTTGATCTCCTGACCTCCTGATCTGTCTGCCTCAGCCTCCCAAAGTGCTGGGATTACAGGCATGAGCCACTGCGCCCAGCCCAGAACAATTTTTGAACACTAAATAATCATCCCCAAATTAGAACTCTTAGAGATTATACAACCCAATTCTCTCATTTTGCAGATGGGAAACCGCAGCCCAGGGTGAAAATGCAAATTCCCCCATGACTATGTGCCTTCTTTTCATAAAATTTGTGCTGAACCAGATTTTCCTTAACCCAATTTAGCTCAGCATTTAATGTATAGGGCGCAGAAACAAGTTGGTCTAACTCAGACATACAGTAGCTAGCTCAGTTCCATACCGACATGTAGGTGGATATTTGATTAAATGCTTTCTAATGGCTAGGCCCCACTGGATTACAGGCCCAGAAAAACCGAGTCAGGCATAAGGTAGGGAGTTAGGTTAGTTGGCTGAGGGTTCTACTCCTCCCACCCTGATGCTTGACAGGAGAGGAAGGGGAGAAGCAGTCAATCACTGGCCGTGCAGAGGGAGCAGTGAGGGACTCAGTCATGCACTAAATTCTTCTGTAGGGCGCCTGGCAAAGTCTCAGTCCAGCCAAAGCCTTGGGGCTGAGGGTCAAAGCAAGTAAAAAGAAACAACAAACTGCTGAGGAATCCACATGCAAGAGGGCTAGGAACAGTTCTGAGTACTGAAGATGAAACAGAATACTTTACCGACTCTAGACATGAGCTCACAGAGAGGCTAGATGAACAGAAAAGAATTAGTGAGTTGAGGATACTTAAAACATTACCCCACAGAGGTCTGAGAGGATAACTTACCTTTTTTTCTCAGAAAACAGATGGCCATGGGCTACATGCATCTTGAACAAGGCCAATAAACATGGGGTCAAATTGGGTCATCTCATTTTTTTGCACCTGCAGTTGGAGAGCATGGAAGACCAACTGCATGCACTAACTGCATGCTATAAAGGGCTGGGCAATCTTTACAAACTGGTTCTAATTAAGAAAGTGAATATGTCCCTTAATTTAGCCTTATCATTGTCATGGAATCACACATGTGATTCTATTAAACTCAGGCCCCTGAGCCACCTATGTAGGATTCCTAGAAAAGAGAAACAAATGGTATTTTAAAGGAGAAATGTCTGTCCATTGCTAACCTTTAATCGCGCCACAAAGTGAGTTGCAACACTGAGTTCGGTGGCCGGGTTCCCAAGGATGATCTCAAACCGATACTGCAGACCCAGTTTGTCGCGCACCTCCTGTAGCCGCTCCTTGGCTAACATCGCCAGCTGCACCGAGGGCACCCTGATAATGAGCATGTGTCCCCTCCCACTTTTGTTTTTGCCTGGGGAGCTGATGAGGTCATCCATAATGCTGAGTGTTTCTGGTGTGCTGTGGTCGCGGAGTGACGCCATGGTGGTGAGAGCCATCAGGGCCTCAGAGTACTGCTGGATGAGAAGATAGCAGCGGACGACCATGCTGTGCAGCCTGGGGTACCTTCAACAGAAAACAAGGCACTAGCACTCAGGCAGCAGGGCCAGCTGGGAGCAGCAAGGCCTGTGCAGTAAGAATGCAGATTAAGCATGGTGGGGAAGGGGCTACTGATCAGTGTGGTGGGGCTTTAGTTCTAGAATGACCTGGGATCCTACATCACTGGAAGGAAAAGGTTGAGCTTCCAAAGCATGTGAATCAACCTGTTGGGATAAGTACAGCACAGTAAAGGGGTTTAGAGATTGTCTAGAAACCTCTTCTCAAAGTATGGTCTACAGACCACCAGCAGCAGCAGCACCTGGGAGCTTGTTAGAAATGCTCAATCTCCCCACCCCAGACCTACTAATCAGAATCTGAAGCTTAACAAGACTCCCAGGGAATTGCATGCACGTTAAATTCTGAGACACGCTGGTCTATTCCATTCATTGCCAGCATAGTCATCATGGATAATTCCTGGATCCTCACCTCTTGCTGGTGGTATTGGGTTAGAATGGCAGCACTGTCCACTTATTTCTCTGATATATAAGATTACAATACAGGAAACTGAGGCATTAATGTAATATCTGTCGAGTATTAGACATAAAAAGGGTAATTATTACTACTAATCTGAGGTCAGCCTCACAGATAGCAATTTCTATCTTTCCATAAACTGTTCCTTGGTGCTGGAGAAACTTGGAGCTGACTGGAGAAATAGCACCCCCTAGTGTTGTAGCCTCATCACCTGAGACCTGGCTCCGTCAAGGGAGCCAAGCAAATCTGAGCCTGGTAGCAGCAGCAGCCTTTGGTACCATTTTCCCCTAAGCCTGGACTGCCAGGGAAGAGGATCCCTTTGTTAAAATCGGCAGTTTTTACAATTATAGGAGGTAGAAAACAAATCTCTCCTTTTGGTGCTACGCCTCAGCCAGGCCTGATGACAAAATGAGTACGAATGGGCAAAGAGGACCCAGTTACAGGCATGAAGAGCTGCTAGTCAAGAAAGCAGGTGCTTGGCTACCCTGAGCACACTGCCCAGCAGTACTTCTGCTGCTGAATAAAAATAAAATTTTTTAAAAAAGAAAGTAGGCTGGGCGCGGTGGCTCATGCCTATAATCCCAGCACTTTGGGAGGACGAGGTGGGTGGATCACTTGAGATCAGGAGTTCGAGACCAGCCTAGCCAACATGGTGAAACCCCATCTCTACTAAAAATATAAAAATTAGCTGGGTGTGGTGGCGGGCGCCTGTAATCCCAGCTACTTGGGAGGCTGAGGCAGGACAATCACTTGAACCTGGGAGGTGGAGGTTACAGTGAGCCGAGATCATGCCATTGCACTCCAGCCTGGGCGACGGAGTGAGAGTCTGTCTTAAAAATATAAAAAAGAGAAAAAGAAAGAAAGTAGGTGCTGGCAAAGTGGGCTCTGGGTCCAAGGTTGGCCAATGCTCTCATGGAGCCTGGTAGAATAAGGCTGGGGCTGTGCACTTTCTTTCTGGTTGCCATTTGGTAGCAATGCAGCCACCAGCAGCTGGGTAGGCTAATGGGGGATTTCACCTTTGTTCCATTCTATAATTCTACTTAAAATACAACAAGTGGTCCACTGGCCTTGCACAGAAAACCTCCAGGTCAAAGAAATGCCAATGACAGCTATCAAATGAATAACACATGAACACTTTTGAGGTGTTTTAGAACTGGAAAGGACCAAGATGCCCTGTATATGAACAACTCTGCCTTTTCTTTTTCTTTTTTCGAGACAGAGTCCCGCTCTGTCACCCAGGCTGGAGTGCAGTAGTGCAATCTTGGCTCACTGCAACCTTCGCTTCCCGGGTTCAAGCAATTCTCCTGCCTCAGCCTCCTGAGTAGCTGGGATTACAGGCATGCGCCCAGCTAATTTTGTATTTTTAGTAGAGACAGGGTTTCTCCATGTTGATCAGGCTGGTCTCAAACTCCTGACCTCAGGTGATCCGCCCACCTCAGCCTCCCAAAGTGCTGGGATTACAGGTGTAAGCCACTGCACCCGGTCTTTTTTTTTTTTGAGATGGAGTCTCACTCTGTCGCTCGGACTGGAGTGCAATGGCGCAATCTCAGCTCACTGCAACCTCCGCCTCCCAGGTTCAAGTGATTCTCCTGCCTCAACCTCCCAAGTACCTGGGATTACAGGTGCCCGCCACCACGCCTGGCTAATTTTTTTTTTTTTTTGTATTTTTAGTAGAGACAGGGTTTTACCACGTTGGCCAGGCTGGTCTCGAACTCCTGACCTCAGGTGATCCACCCACCTTGGCCTCCCAAAGTGGTGGGATTACAGGCATGAGCCACCGCGCCCAGCCCACTCTGCCTTTTCATAGAAAGAGAATGAGTTCAGGGGCAGAGAGAAGTTCAGCTGCTTGTCCCAGTTCATACAACTGATCAGAGACAAAGCTAGCTCTAGATTTTATCCAGCCTCTAGCAAGGTCTTCACACATTGCAAGGATTTAGCTGGCTGGGTAGAAATGAAGAAATCCTTCAGTTCAATAAATCCTGGGCTGGTCCCTTCAGGTATTCAGTAAGTCATAGCTACTATTAGGCTGGGGTGACTGGGTTGGAGGAAATAAGTATAGATAATCTATGTTTCAAGCTTAATGCTTTTTGCTGGGCCACGTAGAAAAGCCAAAGTTAGAATAAATGGTAACTTTGATATCTGGCATTTCTGTTTCATACTCTGGAAGAATCATGAAGTCAGAAGTGCACAGTTTCTCCAATCTGTCATGCTTGCATTAAACTATACTTACAACTTTTGTAGCACAAAACTACAATAGAAAGTTGATGAGATCATCATTTAAAATAAAAGTTAGGAAACTCTGAATGATGTTACCAGAAAAAGAAGATGCATTTCAAGCTGGTGGATGTAACAGGTGGGTAGGAATGCTTAAAGGGGGTACTCATGGAATGATTTTGGAAAATTAAGACTACATGTGCTGTGAAAGGATTAATGTCACAGTGTCAGTTAAGACTTTCCAAATCCAACAGCTGCAAAAATATCAAACCGTACTTGAGCCTGTGCTCTTTCCGGATGCAGTATTATAATCTACTGAATAGGATGCATCCATAGGTCCTCATTTTAATTTCCTTTTCTTTTTTCTTAGCAAAATTATGGACAGGTTTGTTAAATAGCTGTTAAATAATATGATCAATTAAAGCCATTCTAAGAACTATAGCTACTAAAAATTAGAATTTGCCCCATAAAATAAAGCCCAATCGCCCCAACATTGGATGATCAAACAGAATATTGTGGAGGGCAGAAAGGGACCTTTATTAGGTTAGGTAAATTCTAATGTCTCTACCTACCTCTGAATCTATGATTCAAGGTCACAGAGGGAAAAAAACTCTTTCAGAGTTTAATCTGAAAATGGGGATTTTTTTTTTCTTTTTTTAGAAAAGGGAAGAAAAGACAGCAGTTATGTTCCTTAATCCCTAAGGCCAGGGACTGGAGGAGGAGCCCCAAGAACTGAATTCACCTCAATTATCTGATTGCTCTTTAATTTCTTCCAGTGTATACTTCAAATCTCTCATAGTAAAGTTTAGTTTTTACTGAATCATCTTAGGGTCCTTGCCTGTGGTGGACAGGGGAGAAAAGAGGGAAAAATGTCAAAGTCTGAGGTGTAGGGTAGGAGAGGCCGGAGCTCAGAGAAGTGGGACTTTTTTTTTTTTTTTTTGAGACGGAGTCTCGCTCTGTCACCCAGGCTGGAGTGCAGTGGCGTGGTCTCGGCTCACTGCAAGCTCCACCTCCCGGGTTCACACCATTCTCCTGCCTCAGCCTCCCAAGTAGCTGGGACTACAGGCATCTGCCACCACGCCTGGCTAATTTTTCGTATTTTTAGTAGAGATGGGGTTTCACCGTGTTAGCCAGGGTGGTCTCGATCTCCTGATGTCATGGTCCGCCCGCCTCGGCCTCCCAAAGTGCTGGGATTACAGGCGTGGGCCACCGCGCCCAGCCAGAAGCGGGTCTTGAATAAGCAAATCCCTCTCTGCCCTATCCATCTCCTGATGATAGCAGTGAAGCATGACCGGGAGCTGACTCAGCATGAAAAGTAGTGCAATGGCCCACTTTGGTTGTATTTTCCTTTATTGATCTTGGATGATCACATAAAACAATAGTAGGGCATCTTAGGAAAGGCTGTTTTAATTTGGCCTTTGCACGTCATCTGCAAGGGCTCCATCAAACACCCCGTAGCACTGACACAAAAGGCTTTTGGCTATTTTAGATCTGCAAGTACAGCTAGAGAGAAGAGCAGAAGGCCTTATTTACTATTTACCTCTCCAAGAGTGTGTTCACCATTTTTTCAAAAGTCTCGTCACATCTCAGAAGTGGGCTCGTGATCCCCCACTGCAGAGACTTGCTGTACTCACTCAAGCCAAAGTACAGCTTCTCCTCGCAGCCCACGTCCTCCTGGTTCAAAATACAGAGCAAAAACCCAATGAGGACAGGATACAGTGTGTCTTGTTTTCCAGAAAGTGGGGTTTACAGAAATGACCGCTGTAAGAGGTTATTTCCTGACAAGTAAGAAAAAATACTGTTTCATTATGTAACCCGACACCAACTCTGCAGTCATCTCTGAGGCACTAAGTGAAACTTCTTTTAATTTCAAAGGAACTGAATATGTGATTAGTGGAAAGTTGACACACTTCCTTCAGGCACATGGTTTGTTTTCTTTTTTTTTTGTTGGGATACACAAGGTCAGACAGCCTCAATTCTCAGCCTTTTTCCCTGCTGGAAGTAGTTCTCTATACAGATAAATAGGCTTTCCTCAGAACGCTCTAGAGATTGACAAACTCCTCTGTTACAGAAACCTTAACTTTTCTGACATCATTTCATAATGATAACTCATAAAAGCTTATCTTTGCAAACAAATTTTACTTTAAAAATGGAATATATGCTTTCCTTTAACAGGATCCACAGTATTTAACGTAGCCCCCTCTTGATGAGTCAGTCATCACTATGAAAATGAATAGCTATTTTAGGATGTGACATAAGGATGCCCTCAGAGGATCTTGAGAAGTGTGACAAGTTGCTTATCCTTAAACTCAGAAGCTCTACGATATTAAATAAGCTTTTTGAGTTCATGAATCTGTTTTTGTTTGTAGCTTTCTTTTGCATCTTTTCTACATTAGTTTTTTACAGTCACTGCTTGCTGTCATGTTGCCTGTGCCATTTGGTCTCACTTTTGTTATTTTATTTTATTTTTGAGACCAAGTTTTGCTCTTGTTGCCCAGGCTGGAGTGCAATGGTGCGATCTTGGCTCACTGCAACCTCTGCCTCCCGGTTTCAAGCGATTCTCCTGCCTCAGCCTCCCGAGTGGCTGGGATTACAGGCACCCACCACCACGCCCAGCTAATTTCTTTTTTTGCATTTTTAGGAGAGACGGGGTTTCGCCACGTTGGCCAGGCTGGTCTCAAATTCCTGGACTCAGGTGATCCGCCCGCCTTGGCCTCCCAAAGTGCTGGGATTACAGGCGTAAGCTACTGCGCCTGGCCCACTTTTGTTATTTATTATGTGTTGACATTTTTATTTAAGTGCTCTCCAACTCATAAAGGAAATAAGGCAGCTTTAAAAAATGTAATAAGATAAAGGCTGGGCGCAGTGGCTCACGCCCGTAAACCCAGCACTTTTTTTTGAGACCAGCCTGGCCAATATGGTGAAACCCCATCTCTACCGAAAATACAAAAATTAGCCAGGCGTGGTGGCGGGTGCCTACAGACCCAGCTACTCAGGAGGCTGAGGCAGAAGAATACCTTGAACCCGGAGGTGGAGGTTGCAGTGAGCCGAGATTGTGCCACTGCACTCCAGCCTGGGCGACAGAGTGAAACTCCATCTCAAAAAAAAAAAAAATTATATATATATATGTATGTATGTATTAAGATAAAAATAAATTAAGCAATCAGAGGAAGAAAAAGCAAGGGTAAGAGAAGGAAGATTGGGCCAGGGATAAAGTAAGTATTCCCTAAAATGCATGCCAGCAGCTGCTGCACATTTGGTTAGAAGTGGGCTACAAATTTGGTAGCCCAAATTCTGAGCTTTTTTTTTTTCTTTTTTTTTGAGGAGTCTCACTCTGTCACCCAGGCTGGAGTGCAGTGGCATGATCTCGGCTCACTGCAATCTCTGCCTCCTGGGTTCAAGCCATTCTCCTGCCTCAGCCTCCCAAGCAGCTGGGACTACAGGCATGTACCACCACACCCAGCTAATTTTTGTATTTTTAGTAGAGATTAGATTTCACCATGTTAGCAGGCTGGTGTCGAATTCCTGATCTCAGGTGATCAACCTGCCTCGGCCTCCCAAAGTGCTGGGATTACAGACATGAGCCAATGTGCCCGGCTGGTTCTGAGCTTTTCAGTAACCATCTAAAGAGAAACAACTGTATGATTTATAAGGTCCATAAGATAAAAATAAAGCATGTTTTAACTGGCAGCTTTTAATTTTTTGAGGTCCCCCCCAAAACCCTGCTTTTAGGAATAGGGTTTGAGGGTAAACAGGCTTTATGAGAGCACCGGAATATGTTCCTAGAGATACTGGAGACTGACAACATAGATTGAATGACATCTATTTTCAAGGCTAGAAGCCTTTGCTTATTTCCTTCTGGGCTTAGCTGTGTTCTGGGTAACTGTGTCAAATAAGTCATTTCACAGGGAAAAAAGTCATTCATCTAAGTTTCCCTCCTTATCTGGACTGCAGACACAGAGTCATCTGGAAAAGCTTTATGAAGTGTGTACTTGGTCTTCACGTTTCCCTCTCACCCTTGGCCCCTGTTTCTTTGGGAAAATGTCAAATCCTATTCCGAGCCTGCTGCTCTTCCTGACACAGCATTAGAACTGCTGGATACGATGCATCCGCCTTGCATCCACCTGTCCTCGTTTTTATTTCTCTCTCTTTCTTCTTAGCAGGTTGGTAAATAGATGGCCTGTGATTAACTAGAGCCAGTATGGGTTTTGAGAACTAGAGCTACTAAAAATTAGAATTAGAAGTGAATGGTTTCTCCATCTGTTCTGTTTGCATTAAACTGTAACTATGGTTTTGTGTTACAAAAGTTTTAACAGAAATGAGTGGAACCATCCTTTAAACTATGAGTTATGAAACTGAATGATTTTACTATAAAGATACGTTTCAGGTATCATAAATCGTCTGACTTATTGAATCACTATTTCTGGGGGGAGAATGTCCCTTCTCATAAGGCAAACTCCCCGCTGTGGAAGGCCTGCCCTTTCAGTGACCCTCCATGCTCCCTGTGCTTTCGCTGCGGGCGTTGGTGATGACTTGTTGGCCCTTGGTCTCACTACCCTCTTGGCAGTTCTTTGTTATTTTCTTCCATGATTCTAACCACACCAGCTGCTTCAATGATCATTGTTTGTAAAAAAAAAAAAAAAAAAAAAAATCTGTAATCTACACAATGGTGTGCTCACCTGCATCTTAACTCAAAGTCAGTCTCATCTGCCCTCCACAAATCAAACTTCTTTCAGGCCAGGCGCGGTGGCTCACGCCTATAATCCCAGCACTTTGGAAGGCCGAGGAGGGCAGATCACTTGAGGTCAGGAGTTCAAGACCAACCTGGCCAACACGGTGAAACCCCATCTCTATTGAAAATATAAAAAATTAGCCGAGCGTGGTGGCACATGCCTGTAATCCCAGCTACTCAGGAGGCTGATGCAGACGAATCGCTTGAACCCGGGAGGCAGAGGTTGCAGTGAGCTGAGATCGTGCCACTGCACTCCAACCTGGCTAACAGAGTGAGACTCCGTCTCAAAAAACAAAACAAAACAAAAAACTTCTTTCAACTTCTTTTTTCCAACTAAAGGGAACGCCTCAAAAATATTTCTGGTTCTTCTCTCTCCCTGAATAAACAAATCCTAGAAAATGTACCATGTCTCCCATCCATTTTACTACCAGGACCATCATTCTAATTCATGTATTTGTTCATTCTAACCCAAATTATCAGAAAAGCCACTGACTGATCTACTTCTAATCACTTTGACTTAGCCTCTAGATTGAATGAACTGCCTCTCAGTAGCTATTAAAGCTGAACATATGAGTACCTGATGACACAGCAATTTCACTCTCAGAGACCCAAAAGAAATGCATACATACGTTTACTAAAGGGTGTGCCAGGATGTTACAGCAGTACTATGTGAAATAAAATAGGATGGATACATGAATTGTGGTGGAGTCATATAATGTAACACACACACAGAGCAAAAAGAATGATTTACGATTCATGAAAACTGCAAATTTCACAAACATCATGTTGAGCAAAGGAAGTCAGATACAAGAGAGTACATACTCCATGTTTCCATTTATATAAGCTCCATACTGAGCAAAACAAATCTGTAGTACAGAAGGCCAGAATAGTGTTACCCTTTAGTGGGGGTGCCTAGAAGGGACACAGGACTTCTCGGGTGGTGGTAATATTCTGTTTCTTGATCTGAGTGCTGGTCCCACAGGCGTGTTTCGTTTGTAAAAATTCATCAAGCTGTACATTTACATTGTTAATATAAACAAGAAACAGGTAAATTCTAATAATGCTATATATATATATATATATACACACACACACACACACACACACACACACACACACACATACATATATACTGTTGCTCAAAAATCCTTAATGCCTGTATAATAAGTATAAACTTTGCTAGCCTGAAACTCACAGCCTCCATGTGTATATTTCCAGTCTTCTTTTGCATCCTATCCAGCATTCTCTGAAAAATGCCCACAGTTTTCTCCTCTGTGTCCCCTGCCCACACTGTCTGCTGCCAGGAGTGCCTCCTCCTGCCCCCATCCCCCTGCCCAGGCCTTCCTGTCTTTCCAGGGCCATCCCCTGTTCTCTCTTTTCCACGGAGCTTCCTCTGGACCTCTCAAATAAATGTGACTCCTCCCTCACTTCAACTCCCAGAACATTTTGATTTTTTGAAATTGTCTTATTCTCCTCTGGATAATAGTGACTTAGATATGTACTTTGCTTTCTCCTCTAAACCATCAGTTTTCTTTTTCTTTCTTTCTTTTTTTTTAATCTGTCACCCATGCTGGAGTACAGTGGTGCTATCTCGGCTCTTTGCAAACTCCGCCTCCCAGGTTCAAGTGATTCTCCTGCCTCAGCCTTCTGAGTAGCTGGGATTACAGTTGCCCGCCACCACGCCTGGCTAATTTTTGTATTTTTAGTAGGGATGGGGTTTCACCGTGTTGCCCAGGCTGGTCTCTAACTCTTGACTTCAAATGATCTGCCTGCCTTGGCATTCCAAAGTGCTGGGATTACAGGCATGAGCCACTGTGCTTGGCCTAAACCATCAGTTTTCTGTGTGTTCTTTGCAAGATTCAACACAAGTCCACAAGTGTGCTCAATCATATTTTTTGAATTAAATTAATTTGCTTTTTTCCAATTACTCCTCCTGGGATATAGGCTTCAATATAACTAAAGGACGCTAATCATCAGGAGCTTCTCCCTTACATGTATAAGGTTGTTGTATATTAAATTAAATGCTTTTTTTCCCTTTATCCCATGTTGATCTCAATTTCAGGGATGATTTCTTTAAATCTTAAATTGAAGAAGAGTATAACTATTCACCTCTCAATTAGTTTGAACAAATACCTGATATCATATCTTTAATCCAGAAGTACATCACTAGATATATCTAAGATAAGAAGCCCCTCCCCTCTTTTTGTTTTTGAGATGGAGTCTTCCTCTGTCACCTAGGCTGGAGTGCAGTGGCATAATCTCGGCTCACTGCAATCTCCACTTCCTGGGTTCAAGCAATTCTCCAGCCTCAGCCTCTGGAGTAGCTGGGATTACAGGTGCCTGCCACCACACCCAGCTAATTTTTGTATTTTTAGTAGAGATGGGGTTTCACCACATTGGCCAGGTTGGTCTCGAACTCCCGACCTCAAGTGATCCACTCATCTCAGCCTCCCAGAGTGCTGAGTTTACAGGCGTGAGCCACCGCGCCTAGCCAAAAACCCTTTTCAGAAACATAACCACAGGCTGGGTACAGTGGCTCATGCCTGTAATCCTGATACTTTGGGAGGTCAAGATGGGAGGACTGCTTGAGGCCAAGAGTTTGAGACCAGCCTGGGTGATACAGTGAGATACTGTCTCTACAGAATATTTTTAAAATTAGTCAGGCATTGTGGTATGTGCATGTAGCTCTGCTACTTGGGAGGGTGAGGTGGGAGGATTGTTTGAGCCCAGGAGTTTGAGGCTGCAGTGAGCCATGATTGCACCACTGCACTCCAGCATGGGCGTCAGACCCTGACTCAAAAAAACGTAAAAATAAATAACTGTAATACCATTATTAAACCTTAAAAATTAATCACTTCCTTAAAATGATTTTTTTTTTTTTTTGAGACAGGGTCTTGCTATGTCTCTCAAGCTGGAATGTAGTGGCATAATCTCAGCTCACTGCAGCCTTGACCTACTGGGTTCAAGCAGTCTTCCCACTTCAGCCTCCTGAGTAGCTGGGACTATAGACACATGCCACCGTGCCTGGCTAACTTTTATACTTCTTGTAGAGATGGGGTTTCACCATGTTGCCCAGGCTGGTCTTGAACTCCTGGGCTCAAGTGATCCACCCACCTCGGCCTCCCTAAGTGCTGGGATTACAGGTGTGAGCCACTGTGCCTGGCTAAAATGACTTTTAAGGAAAATTATTTTAAGCCTGTTTCTCTATTTCATGGTAGGAGAAAATAAAGGGCAGAGGCTATTGGTCCTTCTTCCTATCACTGGGGTGTGATCCCTTTCGGAAAAGACTGAATTAGGACAGTTGTCTCTACACTCCAATATATCGAAATTTAATGCAAAATAAGAGAACTATCTGGGGGATTAAAAAATTAATTAGTCTTGGCTGGGCATGGTGGCTCACACCTGTAATTCCAGGACTTTGAGAGGCCGAGGTGAGTGGATCAACTGAGGTTGCGAGTTCGAGACCAGCCTGGCCAACATGGTGAAATTTGGTCTCTATTAAAAAAACAAAAATTAACCAGGCAAGGTGGCGAGCACCTGTAATCTCAGCTACTCTGGAGGCTGAGGCAGGAGAACTGCTTGAACCTGGGAGGTGGAGGTTGCAGTGAGCTGACTTCGCACCACTGCACTCCAGCCTGGGTGACAGAGCGAGACTCTGCCTCAAAAAAATAATTAATTAGAAAAATAATTATTCTTTCCATTCATTCTCTTGGCAATCCATTCTTTGTCAGAGCAACCCAGCAGCTACTTGGGTAGCCCACAGGCTCCCCTTGTAGTTTGGAGGCAAAGGAACTCTGGCAGCTCTGTTATCTCACCCCTACCTCAACTGCCCAATGAATGGCTGGAGCTGGCATGGAGAAGATACCAAGAAAGCAAAAGCTCAAAGTAATCTCTAGTGATAGAACACACTGAGTTAGTTCTCATAAGGCAGTGACTGCTGAAGACAAGATTCAAGGACCTGAGCTTCCTGCTTGCAAGGAACAAACCAATGCTTGAAGACAAGAGCGCCAAGTCAGAGAACTTACCTACTTCATGACAGAATAAAATGCACTGGGTTGAAAAATAAATGTTAGTTTTATGTAAGACATTTTTGGTGTTTTTTACTTAAACATGTTTATTTTAAAATATCCAGTGTGTTCAATATTTTTAAATGAGGGATCCATTGCTTAATGGCTAATTTTTATTATTTTTATGAAACTCACATTTCTTTTCTTTGATAGTATATTTAGCATACAGTTTCAGGTCATAGAAAATATTTTTCAATATTAGAGATTGGAGTAAAAACTATAAATCCCTGGATATATCCAATGTTGAGATGGGTAGTCTCAACACATTCACTGCTACTATGGAGTTATCTAAAGTAACAGTGCCATCATCCCATTTCATACAGAAGACTGTGAAAACTGATTTAAAACAAAAACCCAGTTGCTGGAGGAGCAAGAGAGTAATTAACAGTGATGCAGATCATCAGACTAAAACATGACAAAAAGGCCATCCAAGAGGACAATAAAATGTCCAGGTCTCAGGGTGAAATTAATCATATGAAGGCACAAAGGAAATCCAGGATATTGATGATGGCCTCAGATAACATCAACATTTTCTTTTTGAAAAATTATATACGACAGATAATTTTGTATCTGCATGATACCTAAGAACCACCTAATCAAATTTATATAGGATATTATTCACAAGCCTTTAGTCTTATAATAATTGTTAAAATATATGGAACTTTTGGAAGATACAGAATTATGTTAGTTTTTTGTTTTTTTTTTTTTTGAGACGGAGTCTCGCTCTGTCCCCCAGGCTGGAGTGCAGTGGCACAATCTCCGCTCACTGCAACCTCCGCCTCCCGGGTTTAAGTGATTCTCCTGCCTCAGCCTCCTGAATAGCTGGGATTACAGGCGTGTGCCAGCACACCCGGCTAATTTTTTGTATTTTTAGTAGAGACGGGGTTTCACCGTGTTAGCCAGGATGGTCTCGATCTCCTGACCTTGTGATCCACCCGCCTCGGCCTCCCAAAGTGCTGGAATTATAGGTGTGAGCCACCGCACCCAGCCAGATTTTTGAACTCTTACATAAAGCATTACGTTAGATTTTGAATTCTTATGAATATGGTCTTAAGCCATGACACATTTTGTTACAAGGTCCTACCCTCTTGGGAACTGAGAACATGACAGTGTATCAGACAGCAGGCAAGAGACTCACCCCAGTATCCAGCTGTATCCAGTGAACCTCATTGCTAGAGCTAATGCGGGACTGTTGGGTCTGCAGAGTGTATGGGAAGGAGCTGACCTGGAGCACCAGGAGGTTGAAAGCTTCCAGAACTTCTCTGCAATTAATGACTCTATCAGCTAGCCCATGACTGGGTTCGCTATGTGACAAAGAGCCTGAAATGACACTGTAGAAAAATTGAAAGTCATATTAATACCTCATTTAACCAAGTAGATATAGAATCAGACACTAACATGGACATACTGTTTTAGTTTTTATTTTTCTATCTCTTTTCAATTGGGAGCAGAGAAGAAACAACTAAAATTTGACACGGAAAGGAAAAAAAATTTACATTCCTTCTTTTCAGACAGATTTCAGGAATATGTATTTTTTTTCCTTTTCACTTTATTCCCAATATACCTCAAAGTGCAAACTCAGTCATTTAGGCCAGTGATATCTAAATCTGCAGTTGGGCCAGGCATGGTGGCTCACGTCTGTAATCCCAGCACTTTGGGAGGCCAAGGCAGATGGACCACCTGAGGTCAGGAGTTCAAGACCAGCCTGGCCAACATGGTGAAACCCCGTCTCTATTAAAAAAAAAAAATACAAAAAAAATTAGCTGGGTGTGGCGGTGTGTGCCTGTAATCCTAGCTACTCGGGAGGCTAAGGCAGGAGAATTGCTTGAACCAGGAGGAGGAGGTGGCGGTGAGCAGAAATCACGCCACTGTGCTCCAGCCTGGGCAACACAGCTAGACTGTTTAAAAAAAAAACAAAACCCCAAAACAACAACAACAAAAAATTAAATTCAGAGAAGTCCCAACATGTATCCTCAGAAATATCACCCAAAACTTTCAAAGATGAGGTGTACAGGGTCAATGAGCTATTCCTGCTCATAGAAGACTACCAAGACCTAAACAGATGTGGGCAAAATTTCTTTTCCCGCTCTCTCTCTCTCTCCCTCCCTTCCTTTCTTCAAAATCTAACAAGTTCTACAAGATCTTATTTATACCTATGTATGGCTCTAGGTTTCAGATTGTGGAGTATTATCAAACACTTTCTGGCTTCTGAAAAAGAGCTTTGCAATTCTGACATTTCCCTACCACAAACCAAAAACTTCCAGATTCCTAACCTCAGCATCTCCTGGAGAAAAGAACATCTACAAATGCTTGATGATGTCTGAAATTTCTCTCCCCACTACATGGTGAGGACAAACCATGATATGTAATACACGATGACTATTTGCCACCCCCGACCCCTGCTGATTTGCTTTTTGATCCATAGGAGCAAAGATGCCCCCTACCAGATAATTACTAGAATTTGATCTGGGAGCAAATATGGATCCATATTTGACTCTTTTTTTTTTTTTTTTTTTTTTTTTTTGAGACGGAGTCTCTCTCTGTGTCACCCAGGCTGGAGTGCAGTGGCATAATCTCCGCTCACTGCAACCTCTGCCTCCTGGGTTCAAGTGATTCTCCTGCTTCAGCCTCCCTAGTAGCTGGGATTACAGGCATGTGCCACCACGCCCAGCTAATTTTTTTGTATTTTTGGTAGAGATGGGGTTTCACCATGTTGGCCAGGCTGGTCTTGAACTCTTGTCCCCAAGTAATCCACCCACCTTGGCTTCTCAAAGTGCTGGGATTATAGGTGTGAGCCACCGCACCCTGCCAACTTTTCTTTCATTAATAAGTTCATCCAGGCCAGGCATGGTGGCTCACGCCTGTAATCCCAGCACTTTGGGAGTCCAAGGTGGGTGGATCACGAGGTCAGGAGTTCAAGGCTGGCCTGGCCAAGATGTTGAAACCCCATCTCTACTAAAAATACAAAAATTAGCCAGACGTGTGGCGGGCGTCTGTAATCCCAGCTACTCAGGAGGCTGAGGCACAGAATTGCTTGAACCCGGAAGGCGGGGGTTGCAGTGAGCCGAGATCGCATCACTGCACTCCAGCCTGGGTGACAGAGTGAGACTCTATCTCAAAAATAATAATAAGTTCATCCAGTAAATATGATACTCTCTTGTTTAAACTGGGAAACTGGGGAAGCTTTCAGGTCATCAAAGTGGCATCTCTACTGCTTTTAAAGGCAAGAGGGGAGAAGGGCAAGGAAGAGGAGAAATAGTGAGAGAGGAAGGAAAAGAAGCAAGGCCAAATGGAAAAGTGGGGTGGAGGCAGAGAGGGAAGCACATCTCCCTTCCAGGAGCTCATTCATCTTAACCTCCTTATTGCTGTCCTTTCTCTAATGAAGCTGAGTTCCACAAAGCTCTTAAAACAAAATTTTTTCAGGAATCTCTAAATTCATCCAGAGTGCAGTGATATGGTTTGGCTCTGTTTCCCCACCCAAATCTTATCTTGTAGCTCCCATAATTCCCATGTGTTGTGGGAGGGACCCGGTGGGAGATGATTGAATTATGGGGATGGGTCTTTCCCATGCTGGTCTTGTGATAAAGAAAGTCTCATGAGATCTGATAGTATCATAAGGGGGAGTTTCTGGCTGGAGAAATTTGCATAAGTAACAAGGAGCGGAATCTTAATCCCCAAGACAATGGGGGAAAATGTCTCCAGGGCATGTCAGAGGTCTTCATGGCAGCCCCTCCCATCCACAGACCTAGAGGCCTAGGAGGAAAAAGTATTTTTGTGGGCCAGGAGGGAAAAGTGGCTTTTTGGGGTGGGCCCTGTGCTGTGTGCAGCCTAGGGACTTGGAGCCCCACATCCTAGCTGCTCCAGCCATGACTAAAGGGGCCAATGTACAGCTTGGGCTGTTGCTTCAGAGGGTGGAAGCAGCTTCCACATGGTGTTGAGCCTGTGGGTACACAGAAGTCAACAACTGAGGTTTGGGAGCCTCTGCCTAGATTTCAGATGTATGGAAATGCCTGTATGCCCAGGCAAAAGTTTGCTGCAGGGGTGGGGCCCTCATGGAGAACCTCTGCTAGGGCAGTGTGGAAGGGAAATGTGGGGTCAGACCCACCACACTGAGTTCCTACTGGTGCCAGTAGCCTCTTTGTTTTAGCCAATTTCTCCCATTTGTAATGGCTGTATTTATCCAATGCCTGTACCCCCATTCTATCTAGGAAGTAACTAACTTGCTTTTGATTTTACAGGCTCCTAGGCAGAAGGGACTTGCCTTGTCTCAGATGAGACTTTGGACTTGGATTTTTGGGTTAATGCTGAAAAGAGTTGAGACTTTGGGAGACTGTTGGGAAGGCATAATTGGTTTTGAAATGTGAAGATATGAGATTTGGGAGGGGCCAGGGGCAGAAAGATATGGTTTGGCTCTGTATCCCCACCCAAATCTCATCTTGTAGCTCCCATAATTCCCACGTGTTGTGGGAGGGACCCAGTGGGAGATGACTGAATTATGGAGGCGGGTCTTTCCCGTGTTGTTCTTGTGACAGTAAGTCTCACGAGATCTGATGATATTATCAGAGGTTTCTGCTTTTACATCTTCCTCATTCTCTCTTTGCCTGCCGCCATCCATGTAAGATGTGACTTGCTCCTCCCTGCCTTATGCCATGATTGTGAGGCTTCCCCAGCTACGAGGAGCTGTGAGTCCAATGAAACCTCTTTTGTAAATTTTCCCAGTCTCGGGTATGTCCTTATTAGCACCATGAAAATGGACTAATATATGTAGTTAACATAAAACCAACATGAAATCGATGAGAGAAGTCGAGGAAGCAAGAAAAGGGTAGGAAAAAGTTACCAGTAAGAAGATGGCAAAGATTAGGGTCCCTGGGCTTTGGAATCACCTTTAACACATTTTCTTTTCTTTCTTTTTTTTTTTTTTTTTTTGAGACAAAGTCTCACTCTGTCACCCAGACAGGAGTGCAGTGGTGTGATCTTGGCTCACTGGAACCTCCAGCGCCTGGGTTCAAACAATTCTCCTGCCTCAGCCTCCCAAGTACTGGGATTACAGGCATGCACTACCAGGCCCAGCTAATTTTTATATTTTTAGCAGAGATGGGGTTTCACCATGTTGGCCAGGCTGGTCTCTAACTCCTGACCTCAAGTGATCCACCCGCCTCAGCCTCCCAAAGTGTTGGGATTACAGGTGTGAGCCACCGCGCCTGGCCATCTTTAACATATTTCATTAGGTAACAATTATTCCTGTAGAAGGGAGACTCCATTTGCTCACTCTGAACCAATCACCTCGTTAGTTCCACATGGGAGTTGTCATGAACTAGCACAAACAGTGTGTACGGGTTCTGTTTCACTCTCCTCATAAAAACTTCAAACTTGGTTTGAATCTCATTGTCTAGACGAACAACATATTTTTCTGCTCTCTGATGGGCTGTCCCATTTTCCTCCAGACCCAAGTCTACAAGGACACCTGCCAAGAAGAAAAAAGTTCATCTTTTAACACACTTTTACACATACACACACACACAGGAGATAGACTTGAGTTCATTGTCAGCTGACACTGGGTACCAACTGTATGAAGAGATTTACAGAGCAGATGTTTTTTCTTTCTTATGTTCCCCATCACAGTATGAGGAGGAAATATCAGATATCCTTTTCTTTGTAACACTGCCGCTCACCTCCCATCCCTGACACAAATACAGGGAACATTCTGGTACATGAGATAAAGGCAGCTGAGTGTATGAGACCTTTGCTTCATTAAATTCTATTTGTATATAACATGCTGCTGCTAATGGCTTCAACAGGCCACCTGGAAAAAAATTAAGCTTTGGGCTACAGCTCTTGACCAAATTAATATAAGCCTTTTTAACCCTAAATTTGGCAACAAACCATATACAAGAAAAAAAAAACCAATATAATGTTCAAGGATACCACGTTAGATTGTCAGCTTTTCATGGTAGTGTTTTACTCATTTTTATACAGTGACCATCTTGCACAGTATTTAGAGCACTGGCAGACCTCAGTGAATGTTGGATTTAGGTACCAACTTAATAAACTGAACTGAATTAGTCATGACTGCTATATTCTCAAAATATTAGAAACTATGAAACTTTGATACTGTATCATTATCTCTGTCTATAATAAAATTACTTCTGCACACATCTAAAGTAGTTCTAGGCACATAAAACTGTTGTTGAGATAATTGATTAAAAGAAGAAATCTTCCTTTAAATGAAGAGACTTTTATGAATTATATTGACTTAATTTTATCTGTCTTTTCTTTTAATATAAATGCAGCTCAGTGAACAATTACATGCAATTAGCATCTAGAATCTGTAATACTAACAGGCCTAAACGGTATAACAGAAAAAAAGTTTTACCATATGAAAAATTCTTTATACCAGAAAAGGTGGAGAGAAAGGTAATTTTGCTTTCAAACACTGTTCATTAGGAGGCTTTACTCACCATTTGTTTTCAATTCCCACCCAAATGTAGTCAAATTTTGCTGTGAATATTTCCAAAAGCAATCAATCAAACATTTAATTTGGCAGGTACTGTGATTTTTTGTGAAAGTGGATTGTGGCTGGGTGTGGTGGCTCATGCCTGTAATTCCAGCACTTTGGGAAGCTAAGACAGGCGCACCACTTGAGGCCAGGAGTTCCAGACCAGCTTGGGCAACATAGTGAGACCTTATCTCTATAAAAAATACAAACATTAGCTGGGTGTGGTGGCGCACGCCTGTAGTCCCAGCTACTCAGAAGGCTGAGGAGGAGAATCGCTTCAACCCAGGAGGCCGAGGTTGCGGTGTGCCGAGATCACACCACTGCACTCCAGCCTGGACAATACAGTGAGACTGTTTCAAAAAAAAAAAAAAAAAAAAAGAAACAAAAGAGAGGAAAAAACTCATTCAACCTTCGATAGCTATTTATTGATCATCTACTGTGTGCCATGCCACTTACTGTGCTAGGTCTGGGGATAGAGGGGAACAGGACTAAGATCTAAATCTCATGGAGTTCATGATGGAGAAGACAGAAAATTCTGATGAGTGTCATGATGGAGACAAGGTACTATGGGGTAGGCAGAGGAAGCAGGTAGAGGCATTAGACAAAAGAACCTACTTAATCTCTGAAGTGTCTGTTTCCTTATCTGTAAAATAGGGAGTGTAGTACCAGTTGCAAATTAGTCTGTATTTCCTGTCTATCCTTAGGAAATAAGCAGCGTGAGTTAAGCCATCCTAAAAAGATCATAAATAATTCATAAAGAGGATAAAATATACTGTATTGATAATTAAGAGTTTGCTGCCTTTCAAAACAAATGAAATAAAGACCGATTGTGGTTTTTTGGCTAAGGTCCAGTGTAAAGATGACTGTGTATCTTTGACAGGTCAATTCCATACATTCCCTTACTGGAAAAACAAAGTTCCAGAAATCTAAGAGGTTGTTTTCTTGGATATAACACAGTATATTAGTCCATAACTATGCAGGGTGCTGGCTCTGTCCTCAGCAGGCACATCAGAGCTACCTGATTGTTTTATTTGCAGCTGGGCATTTTTAGTAGATCATCCCTACTTTTAAATTGTGTTATAGACTTGCTTTTATTTTTGTTTTTTTTCCTCATAATGAAAGTGATAGATACTTATTTTGGAAAAACTGGAAAGTATAGAGATACATTTAAAAATAAAAATGTATCCATAATTCTTTAATTCACTGCTTCCATTTTTGTGCTTTCTTTCCTGTTTTTTTTCTATGCATATTGTGCAGCCTGACTCACATTTTGTAATTGTATATCCTGAGATATATATATTTGGCTTATAACTACAAAGAAACAAAACAAGTAAGAACAAAACTATCATTGTTTACTAATAATATGTCTGTGTAGAAAACACAAAATAATCTATGGATGAATCAATAAGAATTTAGTTGATAGATTCAAAATCAATTTACAAAAATCAGTTGCATTTCTGTACACAAGCAGTAGTTAGGAAATGTACTTTAAAAAAACATTTACAGTAAGTTCAAAAAATATTATGTATCTAGGAATAAATCTTACAAAACGTATGTAAGACCTTTATGGAGAAAATGATGAAACTATTAATTATGTTAAAAATGATCTAAATAGAGCTATATCATAAAATAAAAATTAAATTTTCCTCAAACTTATCTAGAGACTTAATGTAATTCCAATAAAATTACCTTTTTTAAAAAAAAATTTAAAGAGACAAGAGTCCTGTTCTGTCACCCACGCTGAGTGCAGTCGTGTGATCACATCTCACTGTGGCCTTGAGCTACTGGGCTCAAGCTATCCTCCTGCCTCAGCGTCCTGAGTAGCTGGGCCTGCAGGCATGTGCTAGCATGCCTGGCTAAGATTTTTTTTTTTTTAATAGAAATGGGGGTCTCACTATGTTGCCCACGCTGGTCTCAAACCCCTGGCCTCAAGCAGTCCTCCAGCTTTGGCCTCTCAAAGCACTGGGATTATAGGCATGATCCTAGCCCAACAGGTTTGATTTTTTAAATTTTACTTGAAAAAATGTTTTTAAAATGTATATGGCCGAGCAAAGAACCAAAAAGAGTCAAGATAGTTCTGAAGTAGAAAACATGGGAGAGGTTTGTCTCACTGGAAATTAAGAATTTCTTTGTTAATAAGACAGTGGTTTGGGCACAGAAGTATGAGTTAGTAATTGTGTAATTACCAGAAAAAAAGTCAAAGAAGTGAATATATTGTAGATAATGAGAACTAGGTTTCTTCCTGTCAGAGAAAGAAGTTACAAATAACTCATATTTTTAAACATAGATAGGTAGATATAGAAATAGAGAGGTATATGTGTGCATTCATGGGTTAATATACATACATATCATTTCCTAGCTCTGTCTGCTGAGTGGACTTAGGCACAATGACATCCTAGTAGCAATGGGCACACTTAACGCCCACATTTTCATTTCTAAATACCATTCTTCAATACAAGGAATCAGGTTTCTTGGAAAAAAGGTTAATCCCAGTGTTGAGGCAGAACAATACAAAGTAACCCTCGAATATCTTATGGTTTCAGAAAGTAAGAAAACAGTATGTGAAAATGGATGATAATATGTTAAAAAAAACCACAAGAGCCTGCCTGAAGGCGCCTCCAATGGCCAATGCTGGAAAATTTGAGCAAAATAATAATGATCATCACTATAGTGTTGGAAATAACCCATAGAATAAAATAAAAATGACCTGTATTTATAAATACATACATAAATGAGGAGGAACAGCTTTTCCTTACAGAATTTAATTAACAAACTCCTACTAGTAAATGTAGGGAAAAAATGACAGAAAATCATCAACTTGGAAATACTACAATAAATTGCAGGCAAGATCCACTAATGGATGCAAAAATTAGTGGTTGAAAGTTTGATGAAAACAGGATATTACCATTGCTCAAAATATTTCCACAAGATTTTAAATCACTTCCAAAGAAGAAACTAGTAACTTTACAATGCAGAAACTTGGCAGACATACCTTAATCAAGTGATCAAGGTTAACATCACCAATAATAAAACATCAACCTCATGTACTCCCTGACATGATGCAATGAGGACACAGTATCACTTTTGTGGTTTTCTTGCCAAAAACTCAAAACCTCAATTTAATTGTGAGAAAACTCAAACATTCCCTACACAAAACAATTGATTAGTATTCACTTAAGGTCATGAAAAGCCAGGAAAGACTGAAGAAATGTCATAGATTGCAGGAGATGAAGAGGACATAACTGAATGCAATGTGTGAACCTGGACTGGAACCTGGAACAGGAAAAACGACATGAAGAGAAAGATTGGTGAGATCTTTCGTTAACAGTATCATTCTGGCACTGAGTTCCTGCTCTGATAATTGTATTATAGTTAGGTAAGTTGTTAACTTTAAGAGAAACTGAGTGAAGGGTTTAGCGAACTCTATGATTTTTTAACAGCGTTTGTGATTGATATAAGCATGTATTCACATATAATTTACCCATTTATAATGTATAATTCAATGGCTTTTAGTATATATTCATGGAGTTGGACAACAGTCACCACAATTTTAAAACATTTTCATCACCTCCTAAGGAAACTCCATACATTTAACCCCTCAATTCTTCCCTCAACACCCCCATCCCTAGGCAATCACAGTCTACTTTGTGTCTCTATAGACTGGCTTATTCTAGACATTTCATGCAAGTGGGATTGTACAAGATGCAATCTTGTGTGATTGGCTTCTTTCACTTGGAATGATGTTTTCAAGTTTCATCCACGTTGTAGTATGCATCAATACTTTATTTCTCTTTATTGTTAATATTCCATTGTATGGATATACCACATTTTATTTATCCATTCATCACTTGGTGGATATTTGGGTTTTTCTGCTTTTTTGCTATTATGAATAATGTTGCTATGAACATTTGTGTTTTTGCATGCACGTATATTTTCACTTCTCTCTCATTTCGTATCTTTTTTTTTTTTTTTTTCAGATGGAGTCTCGCTCTGTTGCCCAGGCTGGAGTGCAGTGGCATGATCTCGGCTCACTGTGAGCTCCACCTCCCGGGTTCATGCCATTCTCCTGCCTCAGCCTCCTGAGTAGCTGGGACTACAGGTGCATGCCACCACGCCCAGCTAATTTTTTTGCGTTTTTAGTAGAGACAGGGTTTCACTGTGTTAGCCAGAATGCTCTCAATCTCCTGACCTTGTGATCCGCCCGCCTTGGCCTCCCAAAGTGCTGGGATTACAGGTGTGAGCCACTGCGCCCGGCTCATTTCATATCTTGGAGTGGAATTTCTGGATCATAGAGTAACTCTATATTTAATCATTTGGACAACCACTAGACTGTTTTCTAAAGCGGCTGTACCATTTTAAATTCCTAACAGCAGTGTACGAGGTTCCAACTTCTCCACATATTCAACAATTCTTACTACCTCTCTTTTATGGGTCATACTAGTGGGGTGTGTAGCAGTCTCTCATTGTGGTTTTGATTCGCATTTCTCCAATGGCTAATGAGGAACATCTTTTCATGTGTTCATTGGCCATTCATGTATCTCCTTTGGACAGATGCCTATTCAGATCCTTCATCCATATCTTAATTAAACAATTTGTCTTTTTATTATTGAGTTGTAACAGGTCCTTGAATATTGTAGATATAGTCCTGTATCAGATAAATGATTTCCAAATAGTTTCTCCCATTCTGTGGCTTGTCTTTTCACTTTCTTGATGAGGTCCTTTGAAGTACAAATATTTAGAATTTTGAGGATTGTCCAGTTTATGTATAAAAGTTTATGCTTTTGGTGTCATATACAAGAAATAATTATTAGTATTCCAAGGTCACAAATATTTATACCCATTTTCTTCTAAGAATTTTGTAATTGTAAATCTTACATTTAGGTCTTTGATCCATTTTGAGTTATTTTTTGTATGTGAGGTAGAGGTCAAACTTTATTCTTTTGCATGTGGATATTCAGTTGTCCCAGCATCATTCGTTGAAAAGACTGTTCTTTCTCTGTTAAACTGTCTTGGCACCCTTGTCAAAACTGAATTGATTGTAAATGGGAGGTTTATTTCTGGAATCTCAATACCATCTTGTTTATCTATATGTTTATCATTTTGTCATCACCACACTGTCTTGAGTACAGTAGCTTATATAGTTTACTGTAGCTTAAAATGGGGAAGTGAGAGTCTTCCAACGTTATTCTTTTTCAATAATGTTTTGGGTATGCTGGGTCCTCAAATTTCCACATGAATTTTAGGATCAGCTTGTAAATCTCTGCAAAGAAGCCAGCTGGGATTTTGGTAGGGGATGCATTGAATCTGTACACCAATTTGGGGGAATATGGTCATCTTAAAAATATTAATATATCTTCAATTTTATAAATATGTCTTTTCATTTATTTAGGTATTCTTTAATTTTGTTCAGCAATGCTTCATTATTTCAAAGCATAAGCTTTGCACTTCTTTTGTCAAATTCATTCCTATGTATTTTTTGGATATTCTTGTGATTAAAATTTTCTCAATTTCATTTTCAGATCCCTTGTACTATTTTTGCAACTTTTTTATGTCTAAAATTATTTTAAAATAAAAAAAATTTTAAGGAGGTATGCGCATACCAAATATTTACTGAAGCACATACATTGCAGGTGGGAGTGTAAATATAATCACTTTGGAAAAAATTTAGCATTCTTTGGTAAAATTTAAAATGTTCATAACCTGTGCTCCAACAATTCTATTCCCAGAGAAACTCTTATATGTGTACCAGCACTGTTTGAAGGAATCAAAAAACTAGAAACATTACAAATGTACATCAGTAGTAGAATTGTGCTTTTTAAAAGATATGTGATGTATTTATATAAAAGAATACTAAAAATCAGTAAAATGAATGAATTACAGCTACAAACAACAGCAGGAACAACTTCAGGGACGTAACATTAAGCATAAAATATAAATCACAGGAGAATACGTAGAATGTAGTTCCACTTAGGTTTAAAGTATATGAAATTAAGCACATATGGTTTAGAAGTTAAGGCATTATGGTAAAACTATAAATAAAAGCAAGGGAATGATAAACACAAAATTCAGTGTAATGGTTACTTTTGAAAAGAGAGGGACATTAGCATCAAGGAGGCGCACCAGGGAGGAACAGTCTTCCATGTTCCTTATTTTGGTGGGTAATGAGTGCTCATTCCATTGTGATTTTTAAAATATCCTTTATAAATTTGATCTATTCAATAATTAAAACTTCTTAAAAAGGGGGAATGTAAATTACCCATCCATGTTTTAGAAACTATTTGAGGACAATAATAACTCTACAGAATTCCATCTGAAAGATACATTATCAATGAAAAGCAACTATTTTAACTTCACATTCTATTTTGACTACTGCAGAAATGGAAAGACTAGTGTCATAAATACCTGTATACTCTTCAATTAGATTAATCAGTTGTTAATATTTTGCTACATTTGCTTTTCCTTTGTTACTTTTTATTGTTGTGTTTTTGCTAAATAATTTGGAAATAAGTAACGTATATCATAATACTTTACCCTTAAATCCTTCAATATGCTCTTCCTAAGAGCAAAGGCATTCTCCTGTATAACTACAATATCATTATTACATCTATGGAACTGAACCAACATCAGTATAATATTCTTTAATACACAGCCCATATTCGAGTTTCAGTAATTGTCCCAGAGCTGTGTTTTAACTTTTTATATTTTACTCAAGTATCCAATTAAGAATTAAGCATGGGTTTTGGGGCTGGGGAGATTAGGTTTATTAAAGGACACAAAATTTCAGTTAGGAGGAAAAGTTCAGGGAATTGATTGTACAACATGGTAATTATAGTTAATAATAATATATTTTACACTTGAAAATTGCTAAGAGAGTAGATTTTAAATGTTCTTCACCACAAACAAATAATAAGTATGTGAGGTAATGGATATGTTCATTAGTTTGATTTAGCCATTCCATAATGTTTACTTAACATGTCATGTTCTATATCAAAAATATATACAATCTTTGTCCACTAAAAAATAAATGAATTATTATACTTGGTTGTCATGTCTCTTTATTCTCCATGTTTAAAATAACCAACAGCCTCCCTGACTTTTCTTTTACCTTTTTTCTTTTTAATCTTTCATGACATTATTTTTTAAAATTCAAGCTAATTGTTTTGTAAGATGCCACATCATCTGGATCTGTCTGGAAGCTTCCTTGTGATCAGACTCAGGTTGAACAGTTTTGGCAATTATACCTCATAGGTGACATTGTGTGCTTTTTTGCACATAATGTCAGTTTGTCTCATAACTGGAGATGCCAAATTTTGATTACTTGGTTATGGCAGTGTCTACTGCCAGATCTCTCCATTGTAGAGATACCTTTCCCTCTTTGTTAGCTTTTGATCCATGGGATGATACTTTGAGACTTTGTGAATATTTGTTCCCTGACTTTTTTTTTTTTTTTTTTTTTGAGATGGTGTCTCTCTCTGTCCCCAGGCTAGAGTGCAGTGGCGCGATCTCGGCTCACTGCAACCTCTGCCTCTTGGATTCAAGTGATTCTCCTGCCTCGGCCTCCTGAGTAGCTGGGATTACAGGCATGTGCCACTACGCCCGGCTAATTTTTGTATTTATAGTAGAGATGTGGTTTTACTATCTCTACTATAAATGGTAGAGACCAGGATAGTCTCGATCTCTTGACCTCATGATCCGCCCCCCTCGGCCTCCCAAAGTGCTGGGATTACAGGCGTGAGCGACCGCGCCCGGCCCCCTAATGACATTTTATTCAATGGCTTTAGTATCCATCTTTGTCAGAATCAATAATTACACATTGGTACTACAAAGTGGGGATTTTCTAATTCCATCATTTTTCCTGCATTTATTAACTGGTACTCTTCTGTAGAGAAGGCATTCCCCTAACCTCTCACTTCTCCTGTTCCTTTTATTTTTTAGTATTGTTCTGGACTCATGGGTTTTAAAAAATTTTTCAATAGGTTGCAATCCATTGCTATCATTCCTTGTGACGCTAGAAATTTCCAAATTTAGCCATAAATCCCCTCAGGCAGGCTGCCATGTCCTTTTGGCATGCTCCAATCAATCTTTGCACTTTCTCACTTTCTGGCACAACAAAATATTCCAGAAATGTTTCCACTTCAGAGCTGGGACAGTGGGGAATGGTGTTACAAGCCCAAACCTAAATGCTCCATGTGCTCACAGATACGAGTTTGAGACCAGCCTGAGCAACGTGGTGAGATCTTGTCTCTAAAAAAAATTAGCCAAGTGTGGTGGCATGTGCCTGTAGTTCCAAATACTTGGGAGGCTGAGGTGGGAGGATTACTTGAGCCTGGGAGTTCGAGGCTGGAATGGGGCATGATCATGCCACTGCACTCCAACCTGGGCAACAGAGTGAGACCCTGTCTTTCAGTGGACAGGAGGATTTTTCTTTTTTCAAATTATGACTTCACCCTTTCATTGCCAATTTAAACCTAAAATGAATATTTCTTATTTTCCCATTTCACATTTGAAGTTCCCATCTTTCATTTGAGAACCCTGGTTTTCAACATTCAACTACTGCCGGGTGCGGTGGCTCACGCCTGTAATCCCAGCACTTTGGGAGGCCGAGGAGGGCGGATCATGAGGTCAGGAGATCGAGACCATCCTGACTCTCATGGTGAAACCCCATCTCTATTAAAAATACAAAAAATTAGCCAGGCGCGGTGGCGGGCGCTTGTGGTCCCACCTACTTGGGAGGCTGAGGCAGGAGAATGGTGTGAACCCGGGAGGTGGAGCTTGCAGTGAGCCGAGATCACGCCACTGCACTCCAGCCTGGGGGACAGAGCGAGACTCCATCTCAAAAAAAAAAAAAAAAAAAAAAAAAAAAAGAACCATTAAGCTATTTACCTATCGGCTCTCTCCTATGATATACACAAAATAGTTTTAAGATTATCAGTAATACTCCCAGTAACAAACATTCTAATTCAAATTCAAGATTTCTTTCCAATCTTTTTCCCCATAGGATATGTCACATTAACAACATACAGTAAGAAAACTGTTAAAAAATTACTTGAATTAATTCTTTTTGCTGTGTGGTTAATGTTATCAATGTGATATGCAGTTAGGTTCCTCCATTTGTTTGTATTAAATTTTAAGTTTGCCTTTCCCCATTATTTTATTTTTGAATATATAAATCATTTTCAAGGCTCAAAAGTCAAAATTACAGTCATTCCATACCTATCTCTTCCATCCCATAGATGAACTTTTTCATTAGGCCGGGTGCAGTGGCTCACACTGGTAATCCCAGCACTTTGGGAGGCCAAGGCGGGTGGATCACCTAAGGTCAGTGGTTCGAGACCAGCCTGGTCAACATGGCGAAACCCCGTCTCTACCAAAAATACAAAAATTAGCTGGGTGTGGTGGTGTGTACCTGTAATCCCAGCTACTCTGGAGACTGAGGCAGGAGGATCACTTGAACCTGGGAAGCGGAGGTCACAGTGAGCCAAGATCGTGCCACTGCACTCCAGCCTGGGTGACAGAGCAAGACTCCACCTCAAAAATGAAAACAAAACAACAAAACAAAACGAACAAATAAACTTTTTCATTAGCTTCTGACTTAACTTTCATGCTTTGTTTTGTTTTTCAAAAATAAGCAGAGGCAAGGAATCTGAAAATGTCAGAAGTGATGAGCAATGGCCAGTCTAAGAAACGTCACTTTTATTCTGTTTCCTTACTAACTTAATTTATCACAGTTCTATGGAATTAAACAAGTTTATTTTTCAAATGAATCATAAGCAAATTGTCACACCTTTCCAACTCCACAATAAAACATGGATATCAGCAGGGCGCACCTGCGGCACTGATGGTGGTACTAAGAGATCCAGGGCTGTGTCTAACTAAATACTAAATCTTACTTTTGACATGAGTGGGAACATAGGAGCACCAGTAACTCTTCTTCCTTCCTGACATCTTGCAACTCATTGAGTTCTAGAACAGAGCCAGTGGTGGTTGGGAGTCACCGTGTTCCCTAAAGGTTTAGATTAATAACCTTTTAGGGAACACATTAACTAATGTCTCTTACTCTTGGCCAAAGTAGATTTCTGGAACATGGGCTTTAATGACTAAATTTGTTTTTACCAGAGGGCCACGAAATCTTAAATATTATTTCTGTGTTTGCCTTTCAAAATAGATTTGAACTTAAAATTCAACAAAATGTTGAATATTTGTTCAGCAAATATTCATGCATAGTAAAATATTCATTTTACTTTCTGGCTGAAGAGAAAGATCATTAATAAACATGCAACTACAACACACAGTGTGTTGAGTGCCAGGGCTGGAGAACTGCAGTGTGTGCATGAGCACCACGCACACACACACAGTGGGAGAAAAGCTGGGAAGGAGCATGCCCTGGCAGCCAGAGGAACCAGAAGGAATCTAATGAAAGGAATGGAGGTCTCCAGTGTTGCCAAAAGCTCAAATAAGGACCGAAAAGGTCACTGGTGATACGGGCAAGGGTGCTGTGAGGGTGGGAGCCAGTTTGCCAGGTGTCGGGGAGTGACTGGGAGACAGAGGTGAGGATGGACAGCCCTCTTGGTTTGGCAGTTGGTAGGAGGAGGGGAGCTGGAGGGCCAGGTGGGATTAACAAAGTCTTGTTTTGTCTTTGAGAGAGTGGGGCAGGTTGACACTGATGGAACGAGACCCCAGAGAGAAAAAAGTTGAAGCAATGAGAGAGAAGAAAAGCAATAGCGTGAGGTTCCTCAAAGGTGGAAACTCTATCTGGGGTGAGGCGTGTGGGTCAGGCTGAAACAGAGCAGGGCCAGCTCCTCCACTGATCAGCAGGGAAGGGGACAGGTGTATACACAGTTAGGTTTCTAGATTCCCAGGCAGGAAGTTGTTGGTTTTTTTTCTTTTTCTTTTTTTTTTTTTGAGATGGAGTCTCACTCTGTCACCCAGGCTGGAGTGCAGTGATGCGATCTCGGCTCACTGCAACCTCTGCCTCCCAGGTTCAAGTGATCCTCCCACCTCAGCCTCCTGAATAGCTGGGATTACAGGTGCATGCCACCTTGCTTGGCTAATTTTTGTGTTTTTAATAGAGACAGGGTTTCACTATGTTGGCCCGGCTGGTCTCGAACTCCTGACCTCAGGTGATCCACCTGACTCAGTCTCCCAAAGTGCTGGGATTATAGGCATGAGCCACCATGCCTGGCCTAGAGGCAAGTTTTTATTTGAAGTTTTTGTTTGTTTTTTTCTTTGGGTGGGGTAGCATGGTCATTTGCTAAGAGAGAAGGATGAGGGATGAAGTCTGGGGTTTGAGGAGTGAAATGGAGTCCATGACAGCCACTGTGGAGAATGGGAGAGAGAACCAACTAAACAATCAAAAAAGGGCTATGCACAGTGGCTCACGCCTGTAATCCCAGCACTTTGGGAGGCCGAGGCGGGTGGATCACCTGAGGTCAGAAGTTCGAGACCAGCCTGGCCAACATGGTGAAACTCCGTCTATATAAAAAAAATTAGCCAGGTGTGGTGGTGCATGCCTGTAATCCCAGCTACTCAGGAGACTGAGGCAGGAGAATCGCTTGAACCCGGGAGGCGGAGGTTGCAGTGAGCCAAGTCTGTGCCATTGCACTCCAACCTGGGCAACAAAAGCGAAACTCTGTCTCAAAAATAAACAAACAAAAAAATTAGCTGGGCATGGTGGCACATGCCTGTAATCCCAGCTACTCGGGAGGCTGAGGTAGAAGAATTGCTTGAACCTGGGAGGTGGAGGTTGCAGTGAGCCGAGATCATGCCATTGTACTCCAGCCTGGGCCACAAGAGCGAAACTGCATCTCAAAACAAAAACAAAAACGAAAACAAAAACAAGACAAAACAAAACAAAACAAGAATTTAGTACGGCATCAACTGGAAAGGTTGATTTTTCCCCACACAGTGAGAACATGTTGTATATGTGTGGCCTGAAGGAGAGTGTGGCCTGAAATTGGGAACATCTGAATGGGTGATTCCAGGATTAGGCAGGGTCCAGGGTATGACGAGGCGGGCAGTCATTGTGGCTGTGGTGAAGCGGGGGGTAAATGTGCCTGAGGGTGAGAACGGAAGGTACTGAGAGCTGGGTATTGGCTGGGCCATCCCCCGGACAGCAATGCATGTGCTGGGTTATGCTTGCACAAAGCAATCTCTCGTGTTTCCTCTACCTCAGGACAGCAGTTTCCCAGTACATTCTTCCTGGGCACCTGTTCCCTGTGTCTTAGTCACTGAACAAAAAATACTGTCTTTTTTTCTGTTGAAATTTTAAGTGACCAACAAGGGAGTATAAGGTTGGTGAGACCAAAAAAATATGTCTTTATTTTTTTATTAAAATTTTTTTTTGTTATTTATTGTTATCTTACAGAAGAAAGCTCTGCCACAAGAAAATCTGTTTTTAGAAACTGAGAATGCCGGCCATGCGCGGTGGCTCACTCCTGTAATCCCAGCACTTTGGGAGGCCGAGGTGGGCAGATCCCCTTGAGGTCAGGAGTTCAAGACAAGCCTGGCCAACATGGTGAAACCCTGCCTCTATTAAAAGTACAAAAATTAGCTGGGCATGGTGGTGGGCGCCTGTAATCCAAGCTACTCGGAAGGCTGGGGCAGGAGAATCACTTGAACCTGAAGGGCGGAGGTTGCAGTGAGCCGAGATTGTGCCACTGCACTCCAGCCCGGGCAACAAGAGTGAAACTCCGTCTCAAAAAAAAAAAAAAAAAAAAAAAGTAAAGAAAAAGAAAAAGAAAAGAAAGTGGGAATGCCTTCCTCTCTCTCTTCACTTCCCCTGCAATGTCTACTGCTTCCTTAAAACTGCCTTATGTCCATTTGAATAGAGTAATCTCTATATCAGCAGACAAATACGTCTCTCTGGCTTTGTTATAATCATGCATGTGTTAAAGTATCAGATTTGTGTCATTCCCCTGACAGGATAAAACTTCCTTGCCTGGATACCTCCAGATCCGCTCCCATTTGCTAGGGCTCCCACCAACACCATTTTACAAGCAGGGAGGCAAAAAACGGACAGTCACTTCCTGTACTTCTCTCTCCCACCTTGAACTGAAATGGGCTTGCCTTTGGATTGCACCAGTATGCTAGTATTCTCATTCACAGAATGCGGGGTCCTCCGAATTAGAATTATGCTACCACTTCAGATTTCTAAAAAAAGGACACTAAAATAAAATAATTTCCTATAGTATAAAAATGCTCCTTCCCCACGATCACTCCAGCAGTTACAAGTCTACGTTACGCAAACTTAAAAGATGTTAAACCCGCTCCATTTCTTTTTTTTTAACCTTCAAATTCTGTCCATGATATTTTGTTTTGTTTTCCTTTTTCCTCCTCCCTCCCCTCTTTGCTTCATTTCTTCATCAGAATGTGTGCTGAGGTTTCAAATGCTTCACTTTAGTGCTGGATCTGCAACAACGTGATGGTTTCTATTTTCATCCTTTTACTTTCAGCCATGCAGGCACTGCCAAGGATGTGCCCTTTCTGCATACTCTGGCAGCTCTTCCCTGCCTGGGTGCTTTTCCTGGCAGACTCTGCTGGAATGCTTTCTTTAGTAAAGGAGGCAAATGGAACCAGGACACAGAGACCTTGGACACTGTTTCTCCTTCTGCCCATCTCTTTCTCCTTCTAGCCCTCCATTCAAACATCAGTTGAGCACCTGCTGGTGCCAGGCCCAAGAGAGGCATGAAACGAGGCACTAGACATGCAACAATAAAAAAACTGTCCTTGGGCCGGGCGCGGTGGCTCACACCTGTAATCCCAGCACTTTGGGAGGCCGAAACGGGTGGATCACCTGAGGTCGGAAGTTCGAGACCAGCCTGACCGACATGGAGAAACCCTGTCTCTACTAAAAATACAAAAAAATTAGCCAGGCATGGTGGCGCATGCCTGTAATCCCAGCTACTCTGGAGGTTGAGGCAGAAGAATCGCTTGAACCCGGGAGGTGGAGGTTGTGGTGAGCCAAGAACGCGCCACTGCACTCCAGCCTGTACAACAAGAGCAAAACTCGGCCTCAAAAAAAAAAAAAAAAAAAAACTGTCCTTGCTCTCAAGGTACTACCCTCTGTGATCTCAGGCAAACTAGGCTCTTCTCAATTCACATGATGACATATGAGGAAACTAAGTCAGATGATTTCTTAAAAACTTTCTGTTTTAACAGCTATGATTTTAAAGAGTTATTTTAATGGATGCTCTCCTGCTATTTATTCTACCCGGAGCAATTTCTCCGTACATTTTAACATGCTTCTAGTCCTTTCTCTTCTATCAATTGGTATGTGTTCCAAGAATATGAAGGTATTTAAATATCAAAATAAATACTTTTTTTGTAATTATGATGTGACTATACATTCATTAAGAATGATGCTCACAAAAGATGTTCATGACATGGAAAGAGGTACACACTGTAATGCCAAGTGAAAAAAACAGAGGTAGGGAAGAGAGGTGGAACACTAGGTATTAAGTTATTTGTTAATGCCAACATTTTAACAGTGGTTACCCTTGAATGGTAGGATTATAAATGTTTAAAGGTTTCTACTTTATTTTTTAAAAATAAGGCATACCATAATCATGTTTTTATAACAAAATAAAGGTATGTTTAAATATACAGAAGTGATTGTTTTTGCAGCAAAAATTTCAGTATGTATGCCAAAGCCAGATGTGAATAATTCTAAAAATATGCTTTGCTTTGAGTGTGCCAAACATGTCTATTACAATGATTTTTTTTTTTCTGGATTCTAAGCTTACATAATTGGTCAAATTCTGGTACCTTTTTGAGAGGTGATAATCTTAAAACACTTTAGAAAAATCTGAGGGCATTGAGAAGAGAAAGGAAAAAACCTGCACAATTTATTCATCTGTCAAAAATGTAAGGCTTTATTTAGGAGCTTGCATTTATTAGGAAAGGTGAAAGTGCAGGTCACTGAGAGGTTATTTCAGGAAAAGGCTCTGCAGATGATTTCGTCACTTCAAACAGGTGCCATGATGTGTTTGCTCAAGCACAATTTGGGATATCAGATCACAAACTCAGGGAGGCCACAAATGCCAAATGGTACAAGTAAAATACTTAAAAGACAAGGCCCTTCCTCCATGTTACGAAAGGAAAAAAATCCATATGAAATAACAAAAAATCTGGCTACTGCTTGGTGTGACCGACAACAACCCACTCCCCATACTGGAGAAGGGGCAGGAAAAATAAATGCAGAAAGAAGCCGGTAGCTGAGAGAGAGAACTCACTTTGGTTTTTGGGAGAGCCATGAGAGAAGGCATTTGACCTTTTCCAGCTCATCACCTACAGGTCGATATTTCCAACAAGTCATTTTGTAACCTGTCATTCCAAAACTGAGAGGCTAAAAAGAAGACTGCACTGTCAACCAGACACTTGGGACTCCAGAAGGTGTGGACAAAACTTCACATGTCAGTCACAGCCACCAAGAGGGGTTAAAGAGATAGAAACAGGGAAAAATGTACTGTCAGTCAGCTCATTTGGCCTCTGGAACAAGAGGCCTTTTTAAAAACTTTTAATTTCAAATTTTGTGGGTACACAGTAGGAGTATATATTTATGGAGCATATGAGAAAATTTGATACACGCATGGAATGTGTAATAATCACATCAGGGTAAATGGGGTATCCATCCCCTGAAGTATTTATCCTTTGTGTTACAAACAATCCAATTACAATACTCTTTTAGTTATTTTTAAAAGTACAATCAAGCAAGATTTCTCACTGAGCCATGCTACTCAAAGTGTGGTCTTCTGACACTGGCTTCACTATAAGCTTGTTAGAAATGCAGAATCCGGGCTGGGTATGGTGGCTTATGCCTGTAATCCCAGCACTTTGGGAGGCTGAGGCTGGTGGATCACTTGAGGTCAGGGGTTCAAGACCAGCCTGGCCAATATAGTGAAACCCTGTCTCTACTAAAAATACAAAAATTGGCTGGGAGTGGTGGTGCACACCTGTAATCTCAGCTACTTGGAAGAGGCTGAGGCAGGAGAATTGCTTGAACCCAGGAGGTGGAGGTTGCAGTGAGCCAGGACTGTACCACTGCACTCCTGCCTGGGCAACAGAGTGAGACTATGTCTCACAAAAAAAAAAAAAAAAAAAAAAAGCAAATGCAGAATCCGGAGCACAACCCAGACTCACTGAAGTGGAATCTGCATTTTAGCAAGATCCCCAGGTGATCTTTATGTAGGATAAAATTTGAGAGGCACAATATGACAGGTATGAACATATAAACCACATTTTAAGCACTTCTGGATTTTTCTGCTTCCTACCTGTTTTTAAATATATTGAAAGTAAAATTCTTTGTTTTTTTGTTTTTTTTTTTTGGGAGAGGGTCTCACTCTGTCACCCAGACTGGACTGCAGTGTCTTGGTTCACCACAGCCTCTGCCTTCCGGGTTCAAGTGATTCTCCTGCCTCAGCCTCCCAAGTAGCTGGGATAACAGGCATGTGCCACTACCACCTGGCTAATTTTTGTATTTTTAGTAGAGACGGGGTTTCACCATGTTGGCCAGGCTGGTCTTGAACTCCTGACCTCAAGTGATCCACCCGCCTTGGCCTCCCAAAGTGCTGGGATTACAGGTGCGAGCCACCGCCCCCGGCCGAAAGTAAAATTCTTTACTGTGGCAAAAACAGTCATCTTCCAGATCTAAAATCTGCGTGTGTGTGTGTGTGTGTGTGTGTTTTCCTCAGCTAAGGTAATCAGAAGCAACTTGACATTTATAATTTCGTTTTCAAACCTAGTTTACAAAGGCAAGCATTTTACAGCTGTTTCAAGTTTCTAAATTCCTTATAACTTCTTGTAATTCTAATCAAATTTTATTTCTGAAAAGGGATATTATTTACCACAGACTTGTAACATTTTTTTTTTTTAGACTTGTAAAATTTTTGCTCTCTACCTTTTCACATTTTCTGGGAAAAACATTTTTTTTTCTTTACACTTAAAGTTATTAGAAATAACGCTAACCTTTTTTTCTTAAAGAACGTCATTGCTGACATGGGGGATGGTGTTCTGGTTTCCAGGTCCCAGACGTGCTGTTAATGTGCTAGATGGCCAAGAATCCACCTATGCAAATGAGGCCTGCAGGTGGGAGGAGTTCAGGTGGCACAGACGCCATCAACCCATGCAGGGCCATCCTCGCCTTGAGAAAATTTCTCTTCATCCATAAATGACCAGATTCTAGTCCCACAGATTACATCATGAACTTAATGATACCTGGCAAACATGCACAACAATTTACCCTTGACCTTGAGGGAAAAAGGACAGAGTACTTTGAGGGAAAACTTCAGATAAACCCAAAATAACAAAGTGCTTTTATGATTTTTATTACTGAAGAAGGTTTTAAGCATCCTCTAGACGTTTGGATTAAGCAAAAGAAAGAGGCAGAGGGGATCTGAAGCTGGATCTAGGTGGGCTCCTCTTTGAAAGTTCACTCTTACCTGATTGTCGAATCCGCTGAAGAGTTTGCTGAACCAACACCTCCGATCTGGGAACAATGATGATGAAGTCTACTTTGCTGAAGTGACCGAGGTCCAGGCTCTGGCTGCCACTGTCCGCTATAGCACACACCTGGGATAAGAGTTTTCTGGCAACTGTTAGCTGCGGTTGATAAATGTGGAAGGTTTCATTATCTAAATCTAAAATTTAAAGAGAAGTCATAAGAACAAGGTTAATTTACTTCCCTAATGGCCACTGTGAATCTCTATGAGGACACATACCACACAGACGGTAATGTAATACACTCTCACTACGAATTCTCACCTGCTATTTGCACTCTCTATTGAGTTTTAATAGATTTGCCTATTTTCCCTGAAACGTGGATGAGAGGATGTGCTCAGGAGTGGATGCTGCAGTTTTGCAAATGTATTATTTAAAAATTGATTGATTATCTCACAAATGCCTAATTCAACACCCCTATCCCAACCCAGAAGTGGAGGAGACCGACTACACTGTCGCAGCTGGAGCCAAGACTCATCCCTGGAAAGGGTAGCATTTCCAGTTTTCTTTAGAAATATCAGCACAGGCCAGTTCTCCAGCCCCGACCCAGTTCAAGGAAAGAGGGGATGCCATAATGATCATGATGCTGAGTTCCCCTGAGCTTTTCTGGAAGGCACTACAGTAAATATTTCCTCTTTAGCAAGTCAGTTGCAACATGGTCGGAAATTCCCTCCCCAGTCACTACATAACGTGGGTCATGGAGACACGACCTTCACCTTTCTTCCCACTGGACTCCACTTTGCCAGTGCTGTGACCTAGCAGGTCTAGGTGGTTGTGGCCAGCTCCAGTGCTGATGCCTGGACTATCTGAAGACACCTGACTCATGACATAGCCAGCTGGCCACTCAGCAGGTGACATATTACAAAAACATTTCCCAGATACTCTAAGCAGGTCAGTAGCTTTTTATTGCAAGTATAATCAAGCGATCAATCTTTCTTATACGTGCATGCACATCCACACACACAATGAAAGAAGTTTAGTCAGCTAAACACGTGAGCAGGCAACATCCAATGCTTCTTTAAAGCACTGGTTATTATCAGGAACACATGTGGCAGTTTAACTGCAACAGGGCCTAATTAACCTGTGCTAATTAATGTTTTCTAAAATCAAATGCAGCCGAGGCAAAGACAGCCGTCAACATATCCCAGTTACCATGGATACTGACAGCAAGTGGAGATTTAGATGGATGGTCTCCCTAGTAGTTGAGAGAATCCACTGGAAAAGCCCAAACCTGCAACTTTAAATAGAAGCCCAAATAGTCTTTGTACCACAGACTACTAATCAAAATATATCTGTCTTTTAATACAGTTAGGCTGTTATTTCAAAAACATCTTTAAACAAGGTTTTTAAACAGGGAACCAAGAATGTACTCCGGAATCTGTAAGTCCTCTCAGAATGTTTAAATTCTAAATGTGTTAACAATTCAAAACAGTTAATATAAACACATTTTAGATCATCCGGATCATCACTTTATTACCAAATACCATTGAGAAGTCAAAACATTTTACTGCCTATATTTGCATTTGTTTTAACAACAGAGCTGACTGCCAAGCCATGCTACTTTTATTGCCTGAGACAATCCTAATATATAAATGATACATTCCTATCAAGTGGGGGCCAAGTGGCTGTCAGCAGCAGCTTATATGGGTCTGTCTCCCAACTATCCTTTCTCCTGTTCTTTTTTCTGTCCTGTCCTATGTCATTCCTGTCAATCAGTGAATTGGGGAAGAAATCTGAACCCAAATGAATCCAGTCTTAATGATCAGACTCCTCATCCCTGACACTCCCACTTTGAGCCCCTGAAGCTTGTTGTAGGGCAGATGACATGTTGGTAGCGCTGCTCTATCTGCCAATAAAGCCTCACTATCCCTGAGATAATGTGTGTTTTACAAGTCAGACAGGAAGTGAAGGAGCAGGAGCTGGGGACCCTGCACTGCCTGTAGTCTGACTCTTTCAGACGGTTTTTTGAAGTCCTCTGGGCACAGCTGGTGGAGCTAAGGAAAATGAGCCAATGTCCTGGAATCTTTCAGAGAAAAAAGAGAGAGTGCTTAAGATAAAGTCTTTGACTTTGATTTTCATTCCAGAAGACTTTTACTAGGAACAAAGCCTTTGATCCAGGCCACATGGGAAAGCATTTTTAATTTCAACCAGGTTTATCATGTAGACAATCAGGAAAAGGCTGTTGTGGTCTGTGACTTGAAGAATCCTCAAAACCCTTAGAATGACTTAGTTTTTACAATGTCTGTCCCAAGGACTGACTTCCTCCTCTTGGTCTGAGATGACATTACCCAGGTTTTGTGTGGGAATCATAGCAGCAGCCTCCTGGGGTGACACACATTCATTAAGGTCTCCATCGAAAGGGGTAACCACACTGTCTCCTCTTCTTTGTTGCATTTTTTCCAGCAGCTTGTCTAGGTCATCGCCTATTACAAAATAGAGATAAGAAGGTTACAAGGAAGGATATGTTTGTTTCATTTTTATTAACTGCCCAAGTTGGGCAGTTAGGCTGTTCTCAGTAGATTTGTTGGTCAGCCAGCAATTCATATCAGCATTTACACTTGGCCATCTTTATAGTATACTGGTGTCTCTATATCAAGAACTACTCTCATTGATATAGTGCTTATAATTTACATGCTTTCACATGTTGTATCTCTCTTGACTTCCCTAATACTCAAAAGCAGACAGAATGGGATTAGAAAACTGAGTTCCAGGCTGGGCGCAGTGGTTCATGCCTGTAATCCCAGCACTTTGGAAGGCCAAGGCACAGGAGGATTGCTTGAGGCCAGGAGCTGGAGTCCAGTCTGGGCAACAAAGGGAGACCCAGTCTCTACAAAAAATTAAAAAATTAGCCAGGCATGGTGGCACATGTCTGTAGTCCAAGCTGCTTGGGAGGCTGAAGTGGGAGGATCGCTTGAGCCCGTGAAGAGGGGTGGTGTCAAGCAGTGAGCTATAATCACGCTACTGCACTCCAGCCTGGGCGATAGAGTGCAACACTGTAAAAAAAAAAAAAAAAAAAAAAAAAAAAAAGGAAGGAAGGAAAGAAGGAAGGGAGGGAAGGAGGAAGGAAGGAACGAACGAACAAACCGAGTTCCAGGGAGAGAGAAACTCGCCCAAGGTCACTCAACAAGGTTGTGGCTGAGCTGAGACTTTTGAATCCAGTACCAATGGGCCTTCCTCTAGACCCCCTTACTGCTTCCTGTGGTGTTAGTGACAAAATACTTAGGATAAACCATTTCAAATGAAAGATCAGCTGGCAAGCTTGAGCTCCACACTCATCTTGACAGGCTAAGATTTAAACTCAGAAAATCATACAACTAGGGGCTGCCAGTGTTGCCAAATCTTACAACCACTCACCTAATGATGTGGTTTTGAAATGTGATGCCAGGAAACTGACCTTTCCTGTGATAAGCTCATAACTAATTTCTTTCAAAAACTCACTTGTGGTGAGCATGCTCTCTGCCAGAGCTCGGGACTGGTGCTGACCTGCAGGATGGAGGAGAGAAGAGAAGACTCATCAACAGAACAAATGTTGCTGGAACATTACTTATAATGGCAACAATTGGAAACAATCAAAGGATGTCACTATAGGGACTTGGGTTAAGAAAATTATGACACATCAAAAGGTATGGACAATTATATAGCATTTGAAATATCAATTCTGACTCTAGACAGAAACAGAAATGTTTATAATACAGATGATCAGGGGAACAAAATGATGTACCTTATGTAACTGAAAATATGCACGTTTGTGTTTAATGACTAAGGAAGGTCCCTGTCCCCGCCAGGGGCTGTGAGCAACACCATGGCTGCCCCAGGGCTGGCCAATTGGGCAGATGCCCAGGGGCTGAGAACATGGGGGAAAAACAGACTAGGGAAGAGTATGAAAAACCTTATAAAAATTGTGCTTGCATGGTTATAATGAATTTGCTTTAAAAATATAAACATGTTTTTTACAAATAAAAATGAAAAAATATTAATGTATCACACTGATGAAGCTTTCTGGAAATACATGTAGCACAGAAAAATGGGCAGACAGGTTTTGTCAAAGTGAGGGGGTTTTCTTAGCTTCTTTGCTGGAAGAGGTGAGAGCCATTCAGTACAGAGAAGAGAGAAGCAAAATGTAGTCCAAATGGCTACCCAAGAGGGTGCCTGATAGAAAATCTGCACAGTGCAAAACAAACAAACAAAAATCCCCTCCCACCCCCCAATTTTGTAGTGTACCAACTTTCTGAATCTTTTCTTTAGAGACTATGTTACAATATTAAATAGACTGTTCAGTGAGAAGGGGAATATATGAGCTAATTTTCTGGCAAATTCGATTAACTGGCTTAGGCCACCTGTGGCACTGGCTTTATCACATGCTAGAGTAGTAACATTTCCAAAATCTTTAAAGGACAGCAGTTACATGAGACAGGGGTATCTGTTACTAGGGAGAGCTTTGAAATAATGCTCCCACAACCAGCTGACAGGGGCACCAGCCAAACTGAGGGCTACACAAAACCTGATCTGAGAAGGAAAGGGAAAGTTAAAATTAGGAGGATGAGCCCAAGCTCCAGCAATTAATCAGAGGTTGATTATGTGGATGCCTGAAACACATAACACACATTTTTAAATGGAAAAATGGTCGAATGAATTGATTAAACAAACAAAAAACAAAAAAATTACTCACCTAACACTACCACACAAAATTCATTTCCTCTGATTTTCGATGCACAAATTACCACCACATAATCTGGCAGCCTTTGATAGTGTCTCATTTCACTGAGAGTCCTTAAGGTCTCTGAAATGCCCTCCGCCAAAGAGTTCTGGGTCACAACCACATGAACCAAGTCTTGAGATACGCTGGCAATTAATCTAGCAAGCCAGGGGAGTTGTCCTGGTGACACAGGGACACACTGAGCACCTATCTGCAGGGCTCTTTCTCTCAGAGTAAATTCTTGCATAGCTTTCAGCATAATTTGCTCAAATTCTTCCCTGAGAGGTACCTGATCAGGACCTATATAGAAGAGAATTACAGCTGGAATTTAAAGAATCACAGGGAGGAGAGACACACACACCCATATGCTTTCCTGCAGTCCTTCTCAGCCCATCATACATACTCCAACTAGAAAATAACCTCTTTTTCTTGGAGTGGTCACAAGTATAGAGTCCCTACTAATCATTCCCTGTTGGAAATTATTTTTCTTTCTGCCTCAATCTTTGTAAAAAAAATCAGGCTTCTGTTTTTCTGTATTCCTGATCTCTTTAAAAGAGGAGGTACCAAGAGAAACCATTAATTCCACTGTATGCCCTCGGAGCTGGTCCTTGCACATGGCATATTTCTTGACCTATTAAGCTTGGCATTATAGAAATTGTTAATGACTAATGAAAAAAGAAGCCAACCTACTGGTATATAACCGATTTTAAGTTTCAGTTCTCATTTTAGTCATAGGCATTTTGGAAAACATTTTAATGTGTTGCTTCTAAGCCTAATTTTGAGAATACTGTGCAGGAAATGAAGTTTAATTATTTTTCACTCCCAAGTGATATTGGAGGCAGCCTCACATTTTTCCCAGATAGAGAACGCTTTCATGATCTAGTTATTCCCCAGCATTCTGGATTGTTAAATATGCCATTTGGCCCTCTTCTCCAACCAGTTGGAGCAAAACTTATACTGCTGACCTGTGGCCCCTGGAATCAGGGGGATTTTCTTCCTTATTCTCTTTAGAAACTCAACCAGCCTTTAGAACAAAATAAGCAAGTCAATGTTTGGTATCCAAATGACACAAATGAACTAAGATTTCAACATTTAGTTTAAATTGAAAGCAGTGAGAATACAGTCACTCCCTCTATTCAATCATTTCTTTTGCTGTGTGAACCCAATATTTGAAACTCAGGCTCCCATAAACCAGCTCAGACACCTCAGTGTCTGTGATCTGAGACCAAGCAACAGCCCCAGAACCCATGGCTAAAAGCCCCTTATGGAAGAACAAAGGGGTGATGGGCTGGACTTCTGCATGAGAAGGAGGCACCACAAATGAGTCAGACCCATTCCTTCCTCTAATAGGGATCTAAGTGGTTTCTCTGGCCCTTCCCATCTTTTCTGGGAAAGTAAGAAAATGAGGTGTTTAGTAATGCTCTTCAGATATGGAAAATTAAATAAAATCTTATACATTATAAAAACAACAATTTTAATTGGAGAAAACAGTTTTTCCAGGATTGGGTGGAGGCCAGGGAGAGGTAGGAGAGTAGAATTCTCATAAACAGATTTTTCTCCTCTATACATGGAAACAGGGCAAGAAAATGGTAATGTATACATTATGTCTGTGTTTCTTCTATGCTGCTGCTGCTGCTTTTTTTTTTTTTTGAGACAGTTTCCCTTTGTCATCCAGGCTGGAGTGCAGTGGCGCGATCTCGGCTCACTGCAACCTCCACCTCCTGGCCTCAAGCAATTCTCCTGTCTCAGCCTCCGGAGTATCTGGGATTACAGGCATGCCCAACATGCCTGGCTAATTTTTGTATTTTTGATAGAGATGGGGTTTCACCATGTTGGCCAGACTGCTCTCAAACTCCTGACCTCAAGTATCCACCCTATTCAGCCTCCCAAAGTGTTGGGATTACAGGTGTGAGCCACCGTGCCTGGCCTCTACTGTCCTCAAAAAACTTGCTGGGAATGTGGAGGGATGCTCTTTAAAAAAAAATCACCTAGGAGCCACCAAGATGTCTGATCTTCATTCAGCTTTATCAAATTGGCATCATGGTTAATTGTCACTAGGTAAACACTTTTCAGTGAGCTCAAAGTGGATAGAAGGTGGTCATTTATTTAACGCTTTCTTCCACCAGAACATGACAGCTGAAAAGCAGGTGGCCCTGGCTGTCTCCAATTCCCTACCGTCTTTCATTAACAACCTGAAAGCTCAGGGGCCTGGTTAGTAGTCCATAAGACTCACTCCAGGACTAAGTAACATATTCTATCAGGAGGCATAATTAATTGAAAGCACAAAGGCATTCTGGGAAAATAAAATTACTAAACATGTTCACAACATCCTTTGTTGCCTTAAAGCTCGCTTTTATACAGTTTTGACTGATGTACAATTAGGAATCAAGAAGTGGAGGAAAAGGTATTAAGTTTAAATGAGGTAAGAGACTTCTTAGAGTAAAATGCCTTGTTTCCAAAAATCAACTATCACTTTTTCATCCTCAGCCTTTTAAAAAAATTTTTTTTTTAAATTTTTTTAATTAGAGACAGGGTCTCTGTCTGTCTGCCAGGCTGGAGTACAGTGGCACAATCATAGCTCACTGCAGTTCTGAACTTCTGGGCTCAAGTGATCCTTCTGCCTCAGCCTCCCAAGGTGCTGAGATTACAAGCGTGAGCCACCACACCCAGTACCTCATCCTCAGCCTTTACAATTACATTGCAGGTGTCTTTTCTCCACTTTCGCAAGCTTGATAACAATAATCTTTTCCTTCAAGTGCTGATCTCCAATAACTTAGGTTAGCTGAGGTATCAGTTTTAATGACTTTTCAGAAAGAACTACCTTAATAGGAAAAGTCAAGGTTTAAATAGACTCAGAGCCTTACAAGAATCTCTGGATTTGCTGATTTCATTATCTACTTCAAAGATTTTCTGACTGTGAAATGACTGAGATTTTTTAAAAGTGACTGTAGTGAAGAGGTATGGTTCCTTCTGAAGAATCTTGCTTTTCTTCTTCTCTGATACCTCTAAGTAACTGAGCCGCTGAAGTATTAAAAATCCTTTTAGAAGTTTAGATTTATTTTTTTAAATGTCTATAATCTATGCCATATGTGAAACTATTCTTGCTTGCCTTCTTGAAACCTCCAGAGGCAAGAAATAAAGAAATAAATAAATAATAAATAAATAAAGGACTCCAGAACAGTTGTTGAGGGATAGAGATGTCTCAATGTACAAAGCTTAGGTTTTAAAAGAGAAATAGCTATTCATGTATATCGAGAGGCCTAACTGATTGACTGCAAGTCAAATTCAGGAAAGAACTGATCCTGCAGGTCAGAGAAGAATCTGTGTAATTAAATTGAAATTGTTTCTTTTTTTCTTTTCTTTTCTTTTTCTTTACAAAAGATAAGAGCATTTAGTACTTTAAGAAAAGATATCTTATTTTGACCACTTGGTTCATTTAATTAAATTAGACTCCGATTTTAAAAATTGCTATTAAGATTGAAAAGGAGGCCGGGCGTGGTGACTCATGCCTGTAATCCCAACTTTGGGAGCCCAAGGCAGGTGGATCACCTGAGATCAGGAGTTTGAGACCAGCCTGGCCAACATGGTGAAACCCTGTCTCTACTAAAAATACAAAAATTAGCAGGGTGTGGTGGTTCACGCCTGTAGTCCCAGCTACTCGGGAGGCTGAGACATGAGAATTGCTTGAACATGGGAGGTGGTGGTTGCAGTGAGTCGAGATCGCACCACTGCACTCCAGCCTGGGAAACAGAGTGAGACTCGGTCTCAAAACAAACAAACAAATAATCAAACAAACAAACAAACTGAAAAAGAGTGCTATAGTGATTTTCTTGGTTGGCTATATCATCACTTTATGAAGCCTGGTTTTACTAATTCTGGGTGCATTTAGAAGTTGGCTTTAGATCTTAGAACACAGTCTATAATCTAATTTCAGTATGTAGCAATTAAAATTATGTCATCAAATGAGCTGTGGACCCAGATGAGCTTTATAATTGTATTACCTTTCAATAAGCATCATTAGTAAGTCCTAGGTTTATCATGAAATTGGTGCCTTGTAAATTTCAAAAGGCCATGTCGAAGCAGAGGCCAAGTCAAGGCAGCCTCTCAGGGCACAGAGTTCTAGTCAAGATTGCTAGCTAATGCACCAAACACTGAATATGCCCTAATAAAGCTTTTTTCTTTCTTTTAAAGTTATTTAGTCCAGTGTTTTTATTATCTCCTAACACTGAAGTATTTTCTAAAATTAAAAAATTTCACAAGAGTGCATACTAATATTTTTATGTGTAATTTTACATCTCAAATATTTTTTTCTTTTCTTTTCTTTTCTTTTTTTTTGAGATGGAGTTTCACTCTTGTTGCCCAAGCTGGAGTGCAATGACGTGATCTGGGCTCACTGCAACCTCCGCCTCCCGGGTTCAAGCAATTCTTTTGCCTCAGCCTCCTGAGTAGCTGGGATTACAGGCATGCGCCACCACGCCCAGCTAATTTTGTATTTTTAGTAGAGATGGGGTTTCTCCATGTTGGTCAGGCTGGTCTCGAACTCCCCACCTCAGGTGATCCGCCCACCTTGGCCTCCCAAAGTGTTGGGATCACGGGCGTGAGCCACCGTGCCCGGCCACATCTCAAATATTTTTCTAAGTAAATCAGTGGCTTGAAGTGATAGAGTGAGTGTATAATTAGATGGCCTACTGCCATTTGCAAAATAAAGGACATTTCGATGTAAATGCTGCTAAGCCACTCTAGTATTGTCAGGGCACCTGCATACACCCACTTTGGGGCTTCGGAGAATATATCAGATAGAGGAAGTGAAGGGTTCATGACCTACATATCCCCCTTACCCTATAGCTTAAAGACCTTCCAGGGAGGTCCACAGTTATGACCTCAATGATGGAAAGCACGATGGGACTCCATCAAAGGGGTGTAGCTGGAGAAGAAAAAAAATGGGTGTAGGGCCAGTGGATAAACAAGATAAAAAGGCTAAGTGGAAAACTGGAAAATAATTGTTTAAGACAATGGCTGTGTTTGCACTCCAGATGGTAGGTGCACTTTCAGAAAGGTGGCCTGGCCAAGCTCCCCAGAGAAGGGGTGCTCAAGGCACAACCCTTTAAGGTTCTGCCTACCTTAACTACTTTGGAGACCTTTGCAGCATCATGAGACTGGACACTAGGTGGTGCAATTCATCTCCTCTAGGACCCAAAGAAGAGGAAAGGAAAGGAGTAGAAAAGAAATGAAGGAGAGGAAAGGGAAAAGTTACAGAGAATGGGGTTGAAGGGAAAGAACATTAGAAGCGAAAGAGGGAAAATAAGAGATAGGAGGATAAATGTGAGAAAGAAAGAAAAAGTACATCACAAAAAATCCTCAAAAGTAGTCACCAGCAAATGATTATGGAAAATGACTTACCCAGCCGCACAAGATACTGTATCGTCAGAAGAATCATGTTTTCCACGCTCAGAAATTGGCTGCCGGTCAACCCTAATTTTTCCAAATCTTTGTTTTCCAACTGTGGAATCTTGTAGCAATTCACCAGCAGAGGACTCACAACAATGTCACCAACATTTCCATAGAAATAGGGTAAAGTGCCATAGCCTGTCCCAATAGAAGCAGGTCAGTACAGTTCAACATTTCTTTTTATGGTCCAACCAGGTACACTTGCTCAACGACGATCAAAGCTGCTTAACAAAATTCCCTGCCCTCTGAGATAGCTACCAAACAAATCACTCAAACATATCAATCCCAGGGAATTCACTTGGATGCTCCAAATTCTATCCTTATATTAAGTTAAATGAACAGGAAAGAAAATACAGTTGGCCCTCTATGTCTGTGGGTTCCACGTTCAATCAACCGTGGACTGAAATAGTCAGAAGAAAAAATTCCACAAAGTTCCAAGAAGTGAAACTTGAATTTGCTGTGGGCTGAGTAGTACACTGAATTCATGTGAATGACGTGATGTGTAGGCACTGTATTAAGTATTACAAGCAATGGAGAGGTGGTTTAATGTATATGGGAGGATGTGCATAGGTTATATGCAAATACTGTGCCATTTTATATGAGGGACTTGAGGATATTCGATTTGATATGGGACGGGGCCTGGAATCAATCCCCCAGGGATACTAAGGGACAACTGTACTCATATTATCTCTGTTTCTCATGGAAGGAACATGTTAATATTTTGCTGGAAGACTGATGAGTTTGCAAAACATGTCTGTATCCTCTGTAAAACTGCAATGATAAAATATTTCTGATAAAGTCCCTGATCAAGTTTATTTTCAGATAAGAAATCAGAAAACAAACAAATGACAATATGGCTGGGCAAGGTGGCTCACGCCTATAATCCCCGCACTTTGGGAGGCCCAGGCGGGTGGATCACCTGAGGTCGGGAGTTTGAGACCAGCCTGGCCAACATTTTCACCTTTAGTAGAGGCGAAACCCAGCCTCTACTAAAAGTACAAAAATTAGCCAGGCATGGTGGCATGCAACTACATGGGAGGCTGAGGCAGGAGAATCGCTTGAACCCAGGAGGCAGAGGTTGCAGTGAGCCGAGATCGCGCCACTGCACTCCCGCCTGAGCCACAGAGAGAGACTCCGTCTCAAAAACAAAAAACACTGGCCAGGTGGGGTGCAGCTCACGCCTATAATCCCAGCACTTTGGGAGGCTGAGGCAGGCAGATTGCTTGAGGTCAGGAGTTGAGACCAGCCTGGCCAACATGATGAAACCCCATCTCTACTAAAAATACAAAACTAGGCTGAGCGTGGTGGTGCACGCTCGTAATCTCAGCTACTCAGGAGGCAGAAGAATCACTTGAACCCAGGAGGCGGAGCTTGCAGTGAGCAGAGATTGTGCCACTGCACTCCAGCCTGAGTGACAGAGCAAGACTCTGTCTCAAAAAACAATGACAAAAAACAAAAACAGAAACAAATGACAATACATGTTTCACTTCCTGAGATTTCCTTTCCTTTCCCCTTTCCTTTCCTTTCTGACACTATCCACCTGGAGATATTCCTGAGATTTTCTTTAAAAAAAAAAAAAAAAAGTAAGCTAAATTCATTGATTAATAGCAAGATTCTTCTAGTTTCAGGTGCTTGGAGATCCCTGTTCCTTTGTTATCTTAGCTATTTTTGTGAGGTTGTCTTCCTAAATGTCAGTAAACAGTCTCAAATTGTTTTGAAATAGATAGGATAAAATATGTCCAAAATATGCTCTGTTTTGGTGGTTGATGGAGAGGATAGTCCCTCTGTGAGACTTTCTAAAAGGCAGGCACCAAAGGACCAAAGGGTCCCACGTTCTATGCATCTTTCCAAAGCTTAGTGGCACTATGTTAATGTTCAAAAAGAGCTTCCTAATCTATACAGCATTTAAGCAACTGGGATCCCCTCAGTACCTACAGATCTAGGATTAGCAGATAAAGCAACCAGGTAAAGGACATGACTCCAAGCAAAACCATCCAATTAGGCAGGCTCAGGCCAACCCAAAAAGCAAATAACACTGCATGTAAACACACCCTAAAGATGTGGGGAACTTAAACACCCTATCTATTTTGTCCTTAAGGTAGAGCAAGCAGTCTCCTTCTGGCCTAGGCCAGCCCTAAACCAAGGAGTCTCCTGAAATGGGTATGAAAAGCACTAAGTTAGTCCTGGAATGTAGGGACCCCTAAATGTCTATACCTCCACTTGTAGACCACCTGGAAGGACTCAGCCTCCTCAAAGATGCTAAGGTTCAGACCTGCAACTGTAGGGCCTCTTGGTTCTCTTGAGTAGGGTCTTTCAGCTGGCTTGGCTTGTTTCATTTCTTTGTGGTTTGGCTCCCTTTGACTGGAATGTCTCCTCCCTGACCTTGTCCACTTTGACCAACCTTCAGGACCCAGCTTAACCAACACCTCTGGGAAGTCTTCTCAGATCCCTCCAGGCAGAGGTAAGCCCTCTCTCAGAGCTCTGAGTTCTGGTTGCTCCTGGTTGTGAACCTCTAAGGAGCTCACATGTCACAGTGTGCTATAATGGTATCGCCCATGTGTTGTAATGCTTATTTACCAACGCTGGTGGCTCATGCGAGGTGAGACTCCCCCACTAAACAGTGCTCCTTGAGGGCAAAAAGACTTTGCCTTATCCTCAGCTCCTAATCACATGTTTAATATAGCATGAAAGAGCTGACCAATAAAAGCTGACAGAATCAACAGATGGATGAATATCTTCATGAATACATGAAAAAACACAATGAAATGGAAAAACACTCCTAGATTCCAGCAGACACAGGCAACTTGGAATTCCATTACCTTACCTATCAGAATTACTGGTCTAACTCCTGAGTTACTCAGCAGGTTTTCAGGAACAATTACAGTTTCCCCTGCAGGAATGGGCCTGGGTTGTAAAATTCCAGTTAGTGGGGTCTGTGGAACTGGGGCAGATAAAAGGGGCTCTGGAAAAAAAAAAGTTTGACAAGAAAGATGGCGTGAAAACTAAATGAAATACAATAGAAAGCAATGCAGTTTTAATACTTTTAACAGAGAAGCATTAGAAATCTAATGGTTTGTTGTGTTTTTCATTAGGTTTATTGTGTAAAGTGATAAGTGAAAAAAACAAAAGGAGAAAAAAAATTAACCATAATCATAACATGTGGCTACAACTACTATTTAGCATTTTGCTGATTTTCCTTCCAGTTGTTTTTTCCATATGCAATATTTTGGATCCTGTTTGGTATCTTAGCTTTCCCCCCAAGATTATCAAAGGCATATATCTGTTCATTACATACATTTTGAAAGGTATAGAAAAGTGTGAAGAAGGATGAACTCATCATTAACCAGTACTACCTACAAGCAACCATAGTGACAGACTGGCATAATTATTTGTGTATATAAGATGTCTATGTAGTCTTTAAAACTATTTATTTAAACAAACATTTAAATAACTCATTTATGTCTTAAAACCAGTATATTTACAATTGTCTGTGGTTTGTTCAGCAAGGTAGACAAATGTTTGAACTGTGGATACCAAATGGCTACAGTTAGGTGTTCTGAAAGAGAGCCAGTTGGTTTTGGTTTTTCAGGTTTCTAGCCACAGACTGAACCATCCAGGTCAGAAATAATAAGCGTGGGTCACATAAAGAACCAGATAACAGCAGGGAAAATCTAACACCACTACTAGCAAAACAAGTCCATATATGCTCTATGATGGTGGGTTGGTAGCATTGTGTCCCATATAACGAATGGCTTTTCAATGCTATGGGTTGAAATTAAGCCAAAGGTTGAATTCAGATCAGTTGTAATGATCTTGTGCATGTAGGGAAGGCAAATGTGATCGGGACAAAACATTAGCTACTATCAATATCCTCATATAACTCATTGTCAAGAATTCAGGGAAAGAATGGAAGTAGAAGATATCTCTGCTAATTAAAAACACACTTACAATCCATCTTCTGTTAAAATCTTACCCGTTCTTGAAAGAGGGCGAACTGTAGGGACAGGTACAACTAAGCCAGGTTGGGGGAGAGGTGACCCAGGATACCATCCCCGGTGTCGTTTCTTTGGTGGCCCAGAAATGAACATGGTAGCTGAAGACAAACAAAAAAACAAAAAAAAGAGATAGTCTTGTTCTCAGCCATGTGGAAGAAAGGAAAGAACGCCAGAGTAATATAAGTAATACAGAACCTTTAATTTGATTATACTCAGAAAGTCTAAATCACTCCTTTAGAGGTAAAGTTTAAAAAAAAGCCACATTAGTAACCTAACATTACAATAACAGCCACTTAACATCTGTATGTTGTTTTACAGTTCCCAAGTTTATGTAGGTTATTTCATTTGATTCTACCCACAACCTTGTGGAGTTGTAGGGCAAATATTGTTGTTATACCCATTTTGTAAAAGGAGAAAGGAAAGTTCAGATTTGTTCAGGATCACACAACAGAGAACTTTGAATCCTGTACTTTAATCAGCTAAACCCATGGTTTTTCAAGACACTTCCTTATACATTTGTTTCAACATTATTTCCCAGTTAGGTCATCCACATAGAATCCCAAGATATTTACTCATTACTGTTCACACCAATTACAAACTTTCAAAACACTGTATGACGAACTGAGAAAAAACTCTAGAGTGTGTTGCCAGATAATTCATTACAAAATCTGGAGCACTTGTAACCACTGGTAAGTGCATTATTACAAAACTCTACGACAGGCATTGTACCTTGATCTCCTGATGCATAGCTAGGTCGTGGTGACAAAGAGTAATTCCCTGTGTGGGCTGGAGTGGAGCTGGATGCACTGCCCTTCCCTCCATGGCTACTGTTTCCATTAGCAGCATCTGTAGAACACAAGGAGAGGAGTGCTCAGAACAGAGGCTGGGCGGGGCACTGCTTTCTGGGATGCTGGAACCATCTGATAGACCTCACACTCTAGGATTCCAAGAAACCTCACGGATAGGACTCAGTCCAGTTATACAAAACCAACTGCAACTGTCAGAGGAAGATCTTCATTAAAATTAAATGTCACTTAGAAACAATTTCCTAGGACCCCAAGAGATCTTCTGGAATCAGTTTCAGTGAAGTCTTTGGAGATGATGGGTGGGAGGAAGGGAAAAAAATTCTTATATACACTTTCTTAACTTTGCATCATGGAAAGTTTCAAACATATAGAAAAGTAGAGAGAATAGGATAATAAACATCTACATACCCACCATCCAATTTCAACATTTACCAACACAGCCCATCTTGCTTTATCTATACCCTTACCTCCGTCCCCTCCACATACACACATGCATGCTGTGAATTATTTTGAAGCAAACCCATATCATTTTTGTACATAAATACTTCTATGTGCTTCTTTCTTTCTTTTCTTTTCTTTTCTTTTTTTTTTTTTTTTTTTGAGACAGAGTCTCACTCTGTCGCCCAGGCTGGAGTGCAGTGGTGCGATCTTGGCTCACTGCAAGCTCCGTCTCCCAGGTTCATGCCATTCTCCTGCCTCAGCCTCCCGAGTAGCTGGGACTACAGGCGCCCACCACCATGCCCGGCTAATTTTTTGTATTTTTTTTAGTAGAGATGGGGTTTCACCGTGTTAGCCAGGATGGTCTCGATCTCCTGACCTCATGATCCGCCCGCCTCGGCCTCCCAAAGTGCTGCGATTACAGGCATGAGCCACCGTGCCAGGCCTTTTTTTTTTGAGACAAGGTCTCACTGTCACCCAGGCTAGAGTGCAGTGGCGGGCTCAGAGCTCACTGCAGCTTTGAATTCCTAGGCTTGAACGATTCTCCTGCTTCAGCCTCTCAAATAGCTGGGACTATAGGAGTGTGCCACCACACCTGGCTAATTTTTAAGATTTTTTTTTTAAGAGAGAGCATCTTGCTATGTTGTCCAGACTGGTCTCGAACTCCTGGCCTCAAGCAATCCTTCCACCTTGGCTTCCCAAAGTGTTGGGATTACAGGTGTGAGCCACCACACATGGTCTTATGTATGAGTTTCTAAAAGAAAAAGACTCTTTTAAAAATAACTGTAATATCATTGCTATACTTAAAATTAGCAGTGATTAATACTTTCTTTTTTTCTTCTTCTTCTTTGAAACAGGGTCTCACTCCATCATCCAGGCTGGAGTGTGGTGGTGCAATCACAGCTCGCTGCAGTCTTGACTTCTGGGCTCAGGCGGTCCTCCCACCTCAGCCTGCCAAGTAGCTGGGGCTACAGGCATGTATCACCATACCTGGCTAATTTTTGTATTTTTTTCTGTAGAGACAGGGTTTCCCAGGCTGGTCTTGGACTCCTGGGTTCAAGTGATCTACCCTCCTCAGCCTCCCAAAGTGCTGAAATTATAGGCATGAGCCTATAATAAACATCTACATACCCACCATCCAATTTCAACATTTACCAACACAGCCCATCTTGCTTGATGGCATGAGCCACCGCATATAGCCAATAATTTCTTAATATCATAAAATATCCTATTAGTATTCAAAAATTTCCCCAACTATCTTTTAATTATCTGTTAAAAAATATTTTTTTAAAACAGTTGGCTTGTTCAAATTGGAACTCAAAAAAGATGCACATACTGAATTTAGTGGCTACGTCCCTGAAACCTCTTTTAATCTATAAGATGTCCTTCCTTTTCTTTCTTACAATTAATTTGCTGAAAACCTGGCAGAATTTTCCATTTTCTAGATTTTGCTGATTATATACCTGTGGTGTCACTTATTCTCTTGTCCCCTGTATTTCTAATAAACTAATTATTAGATATAGAGGTTTGATCAAATTCAGGTTTTTTTTTTGGCAAGAGTTATAAGTACTGTGGTATACAGTACTTCCATCAGGAGGCACATAAGCCAGTTTTCTCTCTTCTTATGATATTAAGATTGATTAGTAGGTTCAAAAGTTGTCAGCATAATCCTTGGCATTATAAAGTTGTTCAGCCTTTCATCTGATCGCTTTAGTAACCATGATGATTACTGATCTATTACTTGATTCTTTTAATGCTGTAAAAACTTGATTCCATTGTTCAAAGTCTGTAATCCAACCAGAAGATAGATCCTGCAAGAATTGTTGGACCTGAGTAAGAACAAAAGTGGGCTGTGTAAAGTATGATGCCTAACTGTTGAAAAATTTCCAAAAATGGCCAGGCACAATGGCTCACACCTATAATCTCAGCAATTTGGGAGGTTATGGCAGTAGGATCACTTGAGCCCCGGAGTTTGAAACCAGCTTGGGCAACATGGGGAAACACTGTCTCTACAATTAAGAAAGAAAGAAAAAAGAAAAGTTTCCAAAAATGACAGGCTCTCTTTATGCTCATTCTTCTACTTCTCTTAAAATTTCTTCTACCACTAAACTTGGCTGGGTGCCATGGGTCATGCCTGTAATCCCAGCACTTTGGGTGACTGAGGCTGGCTGATCACTTGACTCCAGGAGTTTGAGACTAGCCTAGACAACATAGCGAAACCTTGTCTGTACAAAAAATGCAAAAATTAGCTGGGCACGGCAGCATGTGCCTATAGTCCCAGCTACTTGGGAGGCTGAGGTGGGAGGGTTGCTTAAGCCTGGGAGGTTGAGGCTGCAGTGAGCTGAGATCGCACCAGTGTACTCCAGCCTGGGTGACAGAGAGATACCCTGTTTCAGAAAAAGAAAACACACACACACACACACACACACACACACACACACACACACACACACCACTGAACTTTTCTGGGATTCTATCTTTATGTTTTTGAGATAGATTCTCATTCTGTCACCCAAGCTGAAGTGCAGTGGCACAAACATGGCTCACTGCAGCCTTGACTTCCCAGGCTCAAGCCATCCTCCCGCCTCAGCCTCCTGTGTAGCTGGGGCCACAGGTGCACATAACCACACCCAGCTAATTTTTTTATCTTTTGTAGAGACAAGGTCTCACTTTGTAACCTGGGCTGGTCTGGAACTCTTGGTCTCAAATGATCCTCCTGCCTTGGCCTCCCAAAGTGATGGGTTTACAGGCGTCACTGTGCCTGGATGAAGCCTATCTTTTGTTCACAGCTTGCCTCAGCCTACATCTCTCCTTGGCTTATAGTATTTACCCTGATGACTTTAACTATATGTTGGTGGCTCTACTCTATACCATCAGTCCTGAATTATCCCTATGATAAATTAAATGGCTGTTGAACAGCTCCACATGGATGTCTTATAGGAATCTCAAACTCAGCATTTCTAAAATTGAACTCTCAATCTCCCACTGGAGAACCTGATCCTCCTTCTGTATCCCTGTCTCAGATGATGGCAATCACCATAAGCCCAGAAAGATGAATGTCTATTGAGACCCCTTCTTCTCCTTGATGCTCACGTTAATCAGCTAATTCCTGCTAGTTTCACTTCCCGAGTAGTTCTCTAATTTGTCCTCTCTTCTGCAACCTGTTATCATTCTAGCCAAGGACCTCATCATTTGTCACCGAGACGACTGAAATGACCTCCAACTAGTTTTCCTATCTCGTCTTCTTCTTACGCATTACAGCCAAAATGATCTAGCTCAAGTTCAAATCAAACCATGCCATTCCTCTGCTCTATAAGTTATAGAGTGAAATCCACATTTCTTAGGCTGGCTGCCTATAACTTTTCCCTTAACCACCACCCACTCACCTCTTGCCACTTTTTGAGCTTTGCATTTTATGGTTCTATCAAGTCCAAATCGCTGGAAGTTCTTGCGTACATCATATTGCTTTTCCCCCTTCCCTTCTTTTCCTTTTAACCATTGTTTCTGCTGTTCCCTGAATCTGAATTGCTTTTCCTCTACTCCTTTGTACAGTGAAGATCTCCTCATTGTCAAAGACCAGGCTCCTCTGAGAACTTACTCTTAATTACTCCTACAATGCTGGGCTAAAACCCTTTGCTCTGCGTTCTTCTGTACATTGCCATATTTGCTACAGTACACTGAAAATATCTTATCAGAGGTCTGTCTCCCCCACTAGATCACAAGGAAGTTGGGGGGTCAGGGATTGAACCTTATCTTTGTATTCCCAGTTCCTAGTTATAGCAGGTGCCCAAGAAATGTTTGTTAAATGGAATCAGATTGTTATGTCACTTCCAAGTAACAAGTGTCATTCCCTGACTCTTCTGGTTGGAAGGCAGAGAACATAAAGCTTCATACACTAGTACATTATTATAGACAGCCACACTTCTCTCTTCAACTGGCAGGGAGAGGCAGCTTCTGTTTTCTTCTATCAATTTGTCAATTAAATGTCACACAAGTCTTTTATGGACTATGTATTTACCAAAGATATATAAGTGAGGAAAACATCACCTGCAGCAAAAGTCTTCCCTACAACCTGCAAAGATAAAGCCAGTGGTTTCACAACATTGTTATTCCGGGTCAGGTCCTGAGCTCCACTTAAATTGATTGCAGAATTAGCTGGACTGAGAATCGGCGAATCTTTAAAATGAAAGAGTTTGTTTAAATTAGCAACTATTTATATATGCAGGAAGGAAGTTAATTCAACAAGAGTTGAGAAAAAGGAGATTATAGAATTTCAGTCCTTTCCTTGAACTATTCTGACATTTTAAAAAGTCCATTTCTATGTGGACTGGTTTTTAATTTTTTACTTATTTAACAAACACTCACTAGAAGTTACCACGTGATGCATGCTATTTTAAGCACTTTAAATATATTAATTCAGTTAATTCGTGTAACAGTGTTGTGAGGTAAGTATTACTACCTTAAATAGCAGCAGCCATTTAACCTAGTCAAAGTTAACTGTGGAGGTGGTCTCCACAGACCCCCTCAAAGCCATATATATATATATATATACACACATATATATACACACATATATATACACATATATATACACACACACACACACACACACACACACACACATATATATATATATACTATTTTTTTTAGATGGATTCTCACTCTGCTGCCAAGGCTGGAGTGCAGTGGTGTGATCTCGGCTCACTGCAACCTCTTCCTCCTGGGTTCAAGAGATTCTCCTGCCTCAGCCTCCTGAGTAGCTGGGACTACAGGTGCACGCCACCACGCCCAGCTAATTTTTGTATTTTTTGGTGGAGGTGAGGTTTTGCCATGTTGGCCAGGCTGGTCTCGAACTACTGACCTCAAGTGATCCACCTGGATTGGCCTCCCAAAGTGCTGGGATTACAGGTGTGAGCCACCATGCCCAGCCTCAAAACCAGATTTTAATGAGATGTATTTATCTCTACCTAGATGAGTTTATTATTTTAAAAGTGTCATGCAAACCAACTCACTGAAATGTAGGAGAAAGCATTTTTCTCTGAAAGAAAGTTGCTTTAGTTTTTTTTTTCTTTTAATAAATTAGAATTAATTTACTGCAATGCCAGGAACATCCAAAAGAAAGCTCTTTGGATTAAGAAAATAATTCAGCCCAGAAAACCACATTCTATTTCAGAGACAGGCTGTGGAAGAGAGAAAGATTCAAGCCAATTAGAGTTTTTCTAAATGAGTAGAGACCCCAAATCCCTGACTACTCCAGCAGAACAGCTAGATCGATTAACACAGGAAAGTGTCAAAAGGGACTGTCAAACCTCTCTGAGAGTCTGAGAGCATGCTCTAAGGAACAGGATACTTACTAATGGTGCTCCCTTAGAAATTACCTAGAAAATTATTCATCCCACAACATGATTCCTGATTCATCTAATCATTGTTTCTCAACAGAACTCAAAAGAATGAAATGGTCCCCCACTGGCTTGGATGAGTTAACATGCTTCTCTAAGGGCCTGACTTACTCACCTGTGAGTGATTTAAGGTCTGCTGGAAGGACCCAGTGCACACACAACATTACAAAGTTGTGGGAAACTGAAGATGACCCCAGTTTTTCATGTCTTAACAGAGCCTTACAGGACAAGAATCCGAGTTAAGTTTGCTATGCTCTTACACAGATCTGTCATTATGTTTCAGGCCACAGTCATATTGTTTGGAAGATTAGCAGCTTTCTATACTAGTTTATACCTATAATTTTAGCATATCCCTAATTTGAAGAGTGATAATTCATCTTATATTTTTAAAACAATGAATTCAAATTGGTACAGAATAATGTTTTAAAAATCAGAAGGTACAAAGTTAATCTACAGAAATAAATCTTCATATATATAAACAACAATCCATAGTTAAATAAAATGCCTATGAATAAGCTTAATAAGAAATGTATGCAACTACATGAAGAAAACGTCATAATATTTCTGGACATAGTATCTGGGATTTGTCTTAACATATTGAAGGAGGAAGTTAGATTAAATAATAATCACTATGTGTTCATAAGTACTGAAACTGGGTGATAGGTCATGGTGGTGGTTTACTTTATTATTCTATTTTTATATGTGTTTGAAAATGTCAGCTGGGTGCAGTGGCTCATGCCTGTAATCCCAGCACTTTGGGAGGCCAAGGCGGGTGGATTACCTGAGGTCAGGAGTTCAAGACCAGCCTGGCCAACATGGGGAAACCTCGTCCCTACTAAAAATACAAAAATTAGCCGGGTGTGGTGGCACACACCTGTAATCCCAGCTACTTGGGAGGCTGAGGCAGAAGAATTGCTTGAGCCTGGGAGGCGGAGGTTGCAGTGAGCCAAGATCATGCCACTGCACTCCAGCCTGGCTGACAGAGCGAGACACTGTCTCAAAAAAAAAAAAAAAAAAAGAAAAAAAAGAAAATGTTAAATAATTTTTAATTAAAAAAAAAACTTACGAAAATCATGAATATACACCTGAACAAATACGAAGACATACCATGCTTCTGAGCAGAAATATTCAATGTCAAAAAGATGCCAATCAACCTAAGTTAACCATTCAGTAAGTTATATTGAGGCAATTATGTACATAGGAAAAAAATAAAGTTGTACCAACATCTTACACCAGGTGTCAAAAAAAAAATCAAATGGACCAAAGATATAAACTTAGACTCTGAAAATATAAAGATAATAGAAAATATGGAAGAATTAATTATCACCTTGATATGGAAGAGGCCAAATTATTAATCAAAATGCAGAAGCCATAAACAAAAGACTGATAAATTCAGTTACAAAAAATAAATAATTTCTGCATGGCAAAATTTTATAGCCATATAAATAGTAGCCAGAGAGAGATGGAGTGGCCATCCTAATCTCAGAAGAAATAGACTCTAGGCCGGGCACGGTGGCTCACGCCTGTAATCCCAGGACTTTGGGAGGCCGAGGTGGGCGGATCATGAAGTCAGGAGATGGAAACCACCTTGGCTAACATAGTGAAACCCTGTCTCCACTAAAAATACAAAAAAATTAGCCGGACGCGGTGGCAGGCACCTGTAGTCCCAGCTACTCGGGATGCTGAGGCAGGAGAATGGTGTGAACCCAGGAGGCGGAGCTTGCAGTGAGCTGAGATCATGCCACTGCACTCCAGCCTGGGCGACAGAGTGAGACTCTGTCTCAAAAAAAAAAAAAAAAAAAAAGAAAAGAAAAGAAAAATAGACTCTAAGACAAAAATTATTACTACATGAAAAAAAGAACACTTTATAATGATAAAAGGGTCAATCCACCAGTAAGACATAATTATAAACATATACACACCTAACAACAGAGCCCCAAATAAATGAAGCAAAGATGAACATAACTGAAGGGAGAAACAGCTATTTAATAACAAGGGTTGGGTACTTCAATACCCCACTTTCAATAATGAATAGAACAACCAGGGAGAACATCAATAAAGAAATAAAAGACTTGAACAACACTGTAAACTAACTAAGCCTAAGACGTCAGTAGAATATTCACCAACAAAAGCAGAATATACATTCTTTTCAAGGGCACCAGGGAGATTCTCCAGGATAGACTATATGTTAGGCCATAAAACAAGCCTCAATAAACTTCAAAGAACTAAAATCATATAAAATACATTATCTAAACTCAAGAGACTCAAATGAACAATCAATAACAGAAGAAAATTTAAGAAATTCACAAATTTATGAAAAATAACACATTCCTAAATAACCAATGGATCAAAGACATCACAAAGGAAATTGTATACAACTTTAAAATAAATGAAAATTAGGTTGGATGCGGTGGCTGACGCCTGTAATTCCAACACTTTGGGAGACCGAGGCAGGCGGATCACTTGAGGTCAGGAGTTTGGGACCAGTCTGGCCAATGTGGCAAAACTCTGTCTCTACTAAAAAATACAAAAAAATTAGCCACGTGTGGTGGTGGGCGCCTGTAATCCCAGCTATTCAGGAGGCTGAGGCAGGAGAATCACTTGAACCCAGGAGGTGGAGGTTGCAGTGAGCCGAGATGGTGCCACTGCACTCCAGCCTGGGTGACAGAACAAGATTCCATCTCAAAAATAAATAAATAAATAAATAAATAAATAAATAAATAAATAAAATAAATGAAAATTAAACACAACATACAACAACTTATGGGATGCCACTAAAGTAATTAGAAGGAAATTTATAGCTGTAAATGCCTATATTAAAAAAAAGAGGCCAGGTGCGGTGGCTCACGCCTGTAATCCCAGCACTTTGGGAGGCCGAGGTGGGCAGATCACCTGAGGTCCGGAGTTTGAGACCAGCCTGACCAACATGGAGAAACCCCGTCTCTACTAAAAATACAAAATTAGCCAGGTGTGGTGGCGCATGCCTGTAATCCCATCTACTCCCGAGGCTGAGGCAAGAGAATGGCTTGAACCTGGGAGGCGGAGGTTGCTGTGAGCCAAGATTGCACCATTGCACTCCAGCCTGGGCAACAAGAGCGAAACTCCGTCTCAAATTAAAAAAAAAAAAAAAAAAAAAAAAAAAGATCCCAAATCAATCACCTTAAGAGTGATCCCAAATCAATCACCTTAAGAAACTAGAAAAAGTGAAAACTAAACCCAAAGAAAGAAGAAGAAAGGAATAAAGACAATCGACAGCAACAGAAATTAATAAAGTAAGGAATAGAGAAACAATAGTGGAAATGAACAAAACCAAAAGTTTGTTTTTTGAGTGAATCAACAAAATTGACAAGTCTTTAGCCAGATTGACCAATGAAAAAAAAAGAAGATATAAATTACTAAAACTAGGAATAAAAGACGGGGCATCACTGGCAACCTTAAAGAAAAAAAAAAGCATTATAAACAAATGCTATGAACAATTGTATGCCATTGTTATAGACTGAATTGTCTCCCCGCAATCCATATGTTGAGGCCCCAATTCCTAAAACCTTCGAATGTGACTGTATTTGAACATAGGCCCTTTAAAGGGGTAATTATGATGAGATGAGGTCATAGGGTAAGGGCGTAATCTGAAATGATTTTTAAGGACTGGTGTCCTTAAAAGAAGAAGAGACATCAGGAATGTGCCCATACACAGAGGAAAGGCCACGTGAGGACACAGCAAGAAGACGGTCATCTGCAAGTCAAGGAGAGAGGCCTCAGCAGAATCCAATCCTGCCAGCACCTCAGTCTTGGACTTCCAGGTGTCCAGGACCGTGTGAAAATAAATTGCTATTGTTTAAACCACCCAGTGTGTGGTATTTTGTTAAGGCAGCCCTCGCAAACTAATATAGCCATCAAATTAGATAAATCTAATTAGGTAATTAGATTTGAAATTGACAAATTCTTAGGACAGAAATGATCAAAATTGACTCAAGGAGAGAGAAAAATTCTGAATAGACCCATAACAAGCAAAGAGACTAAATTAGTTAAAAACAAAACCAAAAATAAATCCCACAATTATCCACAAAGAAAAGCCTAGTTCAGAAGTCTTCCTTAGTGAATCCTACCAACATTTAAAGAATACCATGCTTTCTCAAATTTTTTCAAAAAGTAGAAGGAGGAGCATTTCCCAACTCAACTTCTTAAGGCCAATATTACCCAGACAAAGACATCAAATGGCTGGGTGCCATGGTTTGCACCTATAATTCCAGCTACTCAGGAGGCTGAAGTGGGAGGACTGCTTGAGCTAGGAAGTTTGAGGCTACAGTGAGCTATGATCACACCACTGCACTCCAGCCTGGGTTACAGAACAAGACCCTGTCTCAAAAAGAAAAGGAAGAAAGGAAAAGAAGAAAGGAAAGGAAGAGGAGAGGAGAGGAGAGGAGAGGAGAGGGGAGGGGAGGAGAGGAGAGGAGAGGAGAGGACAGGAGAGGAGAGGAGAGGAGGGGAAGAGGAAGGGAGGGGAGGGGAGGGGAGCGGAGGGGAGGGGAGGGGAAGGGAGGGGAAGGAAGGGAGGGGAAGGGAGGGAGGGAAGGGAGGAAGGAAGGAAGGAAGGAAGGAAGGAAGGAAGGAAGGGAGAATAGTTTATGAAACACATGAATGTGTACATAACAATGCTCAACAAAATACTAGCAAATACAATCTAGCAGCATATAAAAAGGATTATAGGCTGGGCACGGTGGCTCATGCCTGTAATCCCAGCACTTTGGGAGGCCAAGGCTGGTGGATCACTTGAGGTCAGGAGTTCGAGACCAGCCTGGCCAACATGGTGAAACCCCACCTCTACTAAAAATACAAAAATTAGCTAGGTGTGATGGCGGGCACCTGTAATCTCAGCAACTCGGGAGGCTGAGGCAGAAGAACTGCTGGAACCTCGGAAGTGGAGGTTGCAGTGAACCAAGATCGTGCCATTGCACTCCAGCCCGGGCTGACAACAGCGACACTCCGTCTCAAAAAAAAAAAAAAAAAAAAAAAGAGATAAACCGCGATCATGCCATTGCACTCCAGCCCGGGCCGACAACAGCGACACTCCGTCTCAAAAAAAAAAAAGGGACTATATGCTATGGCTAAGTGAGATTTATAGCTGAAATTCAAGGTTGGCTTAACATATGAAAATCTATCGCTGTTATTCCATACACCATATTAACAAAATAAAGGACAAAAACCACATGATCATCTCAAGAGACACAGGTAAAGCATTTGACAAAATCCAACATTCTTTCACGACAAAAACACTCAACAAATTAGAAACAGAAGGGACCTTCCTCTACTTGATAAAAAGCATCTACAAAAAAAACCACTACTTCCAGTTTCAACACAAGAGGACAAAAAAAAAAAAAAAAAAAAAAAAAAGACAAAAAGACAAAAACCCAAAATAAAAACAACAAAAAACCCACTACTACCATCAGACTGAGTGGTAAAGATCAAACTATGATCTGGACGAAGATATGTCCACTCTTTTTTTTTTTTTTTTTTTTTTTTTTTTTTTGAGACGGAGTCTCGCTCTGTCGCCCAGGCCGGACTGCGGACTGCAGTGGCGCAATCTCGGCTCACTGCAAGCTCCGCTTCCCGGGTTCACGCCATTCTCCTGCCTCAGCCTCCCGAGTAGCTGGGACTACAGGCGCCCGCCACCGCGCCCGGCTAATTTTTTGTATTTTTAGTAGAGACGGGGTTTCACCTTGTTAGCCAGGATGGTCTCGATCTCCTGACCTCATGATCCACCCGCCTCCGCCTCCCAAAGTGCTGGGATTACAGGCGTGAGCCACCGCGCCCGGCCAAGATATGTCCACTCTTGCCGCTTCTATTTAACATGTACAAGAAGTTCTATCTAGGGTAATTAGGAAGGAAAATAAAATGTATCCAGGTTTGAAGGAAGAAGTTAAACACATCTATTTGCAGATGACATGATCCCGAATATAGGAAATCCTAAGGAAGCCACTACAAAACTACTAGAGCTAATAAATGAGTTCACCAAGGCTTCAGGACAGAAGATCAGTATTCAAAAATCAGTTGTATTCCTATGTAATTGCAGTAACCCCAAAATATACTTAAGGAAAAACTTCCATTTTATAATAGCATCAGAAATAATAACTACTTAGGAATAAACAGAACAAAAGAAGTGTAAAACTTATACTATGAAAACTACAAACCATTGTTGGTTTTTTTGTTTTTTGTTTTTTTGAGGCAGGGTCTCACTCTATTGCCCAAGCTGGAGTGTAGTGGCATGATCACAGCTCACAACAACCTCAAGTTCCTGGGCTCATGTGATCCTCCCACCTCGGCCTCCCAAGTAGCTGGGATGACAAGCACATGCCACCATGCCCGGCTAATTTTTTGTATTTCTTGTAGAGATGAGGTTTTGCCATGTTGCCCAGGCTGCTCTTGAACTCCTGAGCTCAAGAGATCAGCCTGCCTCAGCCTCCCAAAGTGCAGGGATTATAGGTATGAGCCACCACATCTGGCCACAAAACACTGTTGAAATAAACTAAAGAAGACCTAAACAAATGTAAAGACGCCCATCTTCATAGATCAGAAAGGTTAATATTAAGATGGCAATACTACTCAAACTATTGTAAAGATTCAGAGTAAGCCCCATCAAAATTCCAGCTGGTTTCTTCACAGAAATTGACAAACTAATCCTAAAATTCAAGTAAAAATGCAAGGGACCCAGAATAGCCAAAACAGTTTTTTTTTTTTGTTTTTTTTTTTTTTGTTTTTTTTTTTTTTGAGACGTAGTCTCGCTCTGTTGCCCAGGCTGGAGTGCAGTGGCACGATCTCGGCTCGCTGCAAACTCTGCCTCCCGGGTTCACGCCATTCTCCTGCCTCAGCCTCCTGAGTAGCTGGGACTACAGGTGCCTGCCACCATGCCCAGCTAATTTTTTTGTATTTTCAGTAGAGACAGGGTTTCACCATGTTAGCCAGGATGGTCTCGATCTCCTGACCTCGTGATCCGCCCGCCTCTGCCTCCCAACATGCTGGGATTACAGGCGTGAGCCACCGCATCTGGACAGCGAAAACAATCTTGAAAAAGAAAAGCAAAGCTGGAGGACTTACACGTCCCCATTTCAGAATTTCATACAAAGCTACCATAATTATGCAGTGTGGTGTTGGCATAAGGACAGACATACAGATCAAGGAAATAACACTGAGAGTCCAGAGATAAACTCTTACATTTTATGGGCAAATGAAATTTGACAACAGTGCCAAGAAAATTCAAGGGGTTAAAAAATTTAGTCATCTTAACAAATGGTTTTGTGACAACTGGATATCCACAGGCAAAAGAATGAAGTTGAACCTCTTCCTCATACCACATACAAGAATTAACCTAAGGCCGGGCGCGGTGGCTCATGCCTATAATCCCAGCACTTTGGGAGGCTGAGGCAGGCGGATCACGAGGTCAGGAGTTCGAGACCAGCCTGGTTAACATGGTGAAACCCCCGTCTGTACCAAAAATACAAAAAATTAGCCAGGCGTGGTGGTGGGCGCCTGTAGTCCCAGCTACTCAGGAGGCTGAGGCAGAAGAATCACTTGAACCTGGGACACAGAGGTTGCAGTGAGCCGAGATCGAGCCACTGCACTCCAACCTGGGTGACAGAGGTAGACTTCATCTCAAAAAAAAAAAAAAAAATTAACCTAAAATAGATTATACATCTAAATGTAATGGCTAATAGCTAATAGCTATAACACTCTTAGAAGAAAACACAGGAGTAATTTTCATGACCATGGATTAGGCAATGGTTTCTTAGCTATAACACCGAAAACACAAACAAAAGAAAATATACATGAATTAGTCTTCATCAAGATAAATAAACTTCATGTTTCAAAGGACACCATCAAGAAAGTAAAAGACAACCCACAGAATGGGAGAAAATCTTTGAAAATCACGTATATGATATAGGACTTGTATTCCAAATATATTTTAAAAACTCTTGTAAATCAATAAAGAGTCAACCCAACTGAAAAATTGAAAATTGATTTGTATAGATACTTCTTCAAGGAAAATATACAAATGGCCAATAAGCACATGACAAGATGCTCAACATCATTAACCACTGGAGAAATGCAAATCAAAACCACAATGAGCTACTACATCGTACCCACAAGGGTGGCTATAATAAAAACAGACATTAACAAGTGTTGGTAAGGATATGGAGAAATTTGAATCCTCACACATTGCTGGTAGAAATGTAAAATGGTGCTGCCACTTTGGAAAACAGTTCTCAAATGATTTTACATAGAGTTATCATATGACCCAGCAATTCCACTCCTAGGTTTGAAATGTGAGAGAAAGGAAAACACGCATCCAGCCAAAAACCTGTGCACAAATGTTCATAGCAGGATTGTTCATAATAGCTCCAAAATGGAAATAACCCAAATGCCCATCAACTGATGAATGGCATTTATCCACAGATTGTATATTGTATGGATAAACATAGGTTTATGCTTCAAAGGACACCATCAAGAAAGTGAAAGACAACCCACAGAATGGGAGAAAAATCTTTGAAAATCATGTATCTGATAAAGAACTTGTATCCCAAATATATATATTTAAAAAACCTCTTATAAATCAATAATGGACAACCTGACTGAAAAACTGAAAATTGATTTGTATCAACTTACCTATTAAAAAATTGAAAATTTATTTGTATCATATGTTTATCCATACAGTAGAATATTATTCAGCAGTAAAAAGGAATAAAGTACTGATACATACTACGATATGGATGAACCTTGAAAACATTATGCCAAATGAAAGAAGCTACTCACAAAAGACCATGTGTAACAATTATATGAAATGCCCAGAACAGACAAATACATAGAAATAGAAAACAGATTTGTGGTTGCCAGGGGCTGAGGAAAGGGATGAAACAGGGAATGACTATTAATGGATATGGGATTTTTCCTTGGAGTGATGAAAATGTTCTGAAATTTACTGCGGTGACGATTGCATAATTCTGTGAATATAATACTTAAAAACACTGAATTGTACACTTTTTGTTTTTTATTGAATTATATACTTTTAATGGATGAATTGCATGATATATGAATTATATCTTAATAAAGTTGTCAGTTTATTTTATTTTGAGACAGAGTCTCACTCTGTCACACTTTATTTTGAGACAGAGTCTCACTCTGTCACCCAGGCTGGAGTGCAGTGGCACAATCTTGGCTCACTGTAACCTCTGCCTCCTGGGTTCAAGTGGTTCTCATGTCTCAGCTTCCCAAGTAGCTGGGATTACAGGCATGCACCATCCATGCCCAGCTAATTTTTGTATTTTTAGTAGAGATGGGGTTTTGCCATGTTGGCCAGGCTGGTCTCGAACTCCTGGCCTCAAGTGATTCGCCTGCCTCAGCTTCCCAAAGTGCTAGGATTACAGGCTTGAGCCACTGCACCTGGCCAAAGTTGTTACTTTAAAAATACTATGTATAAACAAAATTATAAACCAGGGAAAATTCTGTGACTAATATCACAATAATTACACTATGCATTACTGTCAACAGAGGCCAATAAGAGAAAAACATTGTAGTAAGCGGATGCTTTGTTGCCCTACATCACATCCCTTTGGTCTACCTTTGATTTCAGGAGAGGCTCTAGTGGACAGTTCTGCATGAGCTCAGACTCCTGGGGATAGCATCCTACCTCAAGCTCACATCTAGCTTCTTTTAGTTATTTGTCTCAGGGCCTTCTCCAAGGCCACAAAGCTCTCTCAGCCCTCTGTATAGTCCAGAAGTGCAAGAACGTATAATGCTTGTAGGGCAATCCTAAATTAATAAGGGATGTAAGAATAAATGTCCCAGCCTCCCGAGCCTCGCATTCTTTTTTCTTTGAGATGGAGTCTCACTCTGTTACCCAGGCTGGAGTGCAGTGGTATGATCATGGCTCACTGCAGCCTCAACTCCTTGGCTCAAGCAATCCTACCTCAGCCTCCCATGTAGGTAGGACCAAAAGCGTGGGCTACCACACCTAGCTAATTTATTTGTATTTTTTGCAGACAGGAGGTCTCCCTATGTTGCCCAGGCTGGTCTCAAACTCCTGGGCTCAAGTGATCCTCCTGCCTTGGCCTCCCAAACTGCCGGGATTACAGGCATGAGTGAACGCGCCCGGTCTGAGCCTCCCATTCTTCAGAAGGATAATTCTTTGAGGAATTCTGCATGCTTCTTGGAGTATCTAGTGGATTCAAGCCTTTCTGTTTTACAGGAATTATGTACAAAAAACACTCTTATGTTGGCTTATTCCTGCTTCCAAGGATTATTTCTCAAATAAACAACCTGCACCTAAGTCCTTCCCTTAAACTCTGATTCTAGCAGAACCCAAACTATGATAACCAACAACTCAATAACTAAAGGGTAAAGGTTATGAACTTAGAGTTTATAGGAAAAAATGCAAACAGCTTTTAAACAAATGCAACAATGCTTAATGTCAATAAGGGAGATGCAAATTTAAAAAACAGATTTTGGGCCAGGCATGGTGGCTCATCCTGTAATCCCAGTACTTTAGGAGGCTCAGGCGGGCAAATCACAAGGTCAGGAGTTCGAGATGAGCCCGGCCAACATGGTGAAACCCCGTCTCTACTAAAAATACAAAAATTAGCTGGGCATGGTGGCACCTGCCTGTAATCCCAGCTACTTGGGATGCTGAGGCAGGAGAATTGCTTGAACCCAGGAGGTGGAGGTTGCAGTGAGCCGAGATCGCGCCACTATACTCCAGCTTAGGCAACAGAGCAAGACTCCGTCTAAAGAAAAAACACAGATTTTATTTTTCACCCATCAGATTCACAAAAATCCAAAAGTTCAATAAATAAACTCAATTAGTGAGCCTCTGTGGAAATATTGGTACAACCTGTTAGGAGAGTAATTTGACAGCATGCATAGAAATTACAAATGAGTATATGTTTGATCCAGCAATCCTGGACATTTATATATATGTGAGAAATGATATATATTGAGGTTATTCATTGCTACATTGTTTCAAAACAATATAAATGCCTATCAATAGGGAGCAGGTTAAATAAATTATGGCATATCCAGATAGTATGTGGCAGTAAAAAATTAATGAGGAAGTTCTCTATTGATTTGGAAAGATCTTTAAGACACAGCAATATGAAAAAGTGAGGTGCAGAATCCTGCATACAAAATTTTGCCTTTGGAGTAAGAAAGTTGTAAAAATAAGAATTTGCATTTGTGCTTGCTTGAATAGATATAAAGAAAATCTAGAAAAATACATAAGAAAAATAATTACAGTGGTTACCTGTTTGGGAGGAGACTAGAAATAAGGTGAGATGAAAGAGAAACTTTTTACTGCATATATATGAATATATTATATATGTATGTATATACACACGCACATAGGTATTTTTGAAATATGTAAATGTTTCAGAACAGTTTTGATTATTTGGGAGTAGCCCCTAAATATCCAAAATGTGATCCCCTGTCACCTTGCTCAGACACGAATTTGAACCATGGGGCTGTGAGGCTACCGTGCAGAACCTGGTGCTTAGTGAGTAAGTAGCTGATTTGCTCAGCATCTACATCTCACCAAGGCCTCATTCTCTCTACTAATGATTTCATATCCATTTAAAGAAGGAACTTGTAAGCACTGGAGGATTCACAAACTTGGAAAGTTCCTTGAGCAAGTCACAGCTCTGCTCTCTACATTGTGGTAGTTTGTAACTTCTTGTTTCTCCCACTAGGTCATACAGCTCCTTGAGGGCATTCCCAGCTCCAGGTACAATGACTGTCACATTGTGGCTAAAGAAATAAAATGGAAAAAAATACCAAAATAATCTCCTTATCCTCTTTATACAATAGTTCAATTACTTTCTGTTAGCCCAAAATCACTGGGGGAAAAAATCTTCCAAAACATAGGGAGCCAATTACGTAGCCAGTAGAGAGTTTGAATCTTGATTTTTGCCACTCGTTACCTCTTATTTCACCAATTATTAACCCTCCTTACAGTCTGTTTCATGATCTGCAAAATGACACTACAACCTCACAGTAGCAATGAACATGTTTAGCACAGAACCTAGAACACAGTAGATATTCAGCAAATGCTTTGCTAAATCTTGTTAAAGGTTTTCCAGATGACCAAGAGCTTAAGTCTTTATGAGCTCTCCTTTTGCCTTTGATGCCTGTACAAAATGTAGACTATAATTTGCTTCTTTCCTGGGTTAACTACAACGGACCTCTTTTCACATTCACATGCAATTAATGTCCTTCTAATGTAGACACCATATTTCTATTATTGCACTCTGAGCCTGCATTAGTTATGTCAGCCATGTTTTATTTTTGATTCAGTTGAATTAGCATTTAATTAAAATATAACATATTTCCCCTCTAAAACTCATGTTAAATCAGGTATCTTCCTAATCCATTCTTATGCTGTTGATTTTAAAAATAGCTTTATTGAGGGATAATTGACAATAAACTGCACATACTTAAAGTACACAATTTGGTAAGTTTGACATATGTACATACACATGAAATCATCACAATCAAAATAATGAACATATTTATCATCCCCACGTTTCCTTGTACCTCTTTGTAATTCCTCCCACCTATGCTTCCCTTGCTCCCATCCCCAAGAAACTGCTGATCTGTTTTCTGCCACTATAGATTACTTTGCATTTTCTAGAGTTTCTATGCATAGAATTGTACAGTATCCCTTTTTTTGTTTCTTTTTGGTCTGGCTTTTTTCACTCACTAGATTTATTTTGAGATTCATCCACATTGTCATGGGTATCAAGAATTCATTACTGTTTGGATATATCAATTTATTTATCCATTCACCTGTTATAGACTTTTGGGTTGTTTCCAGTTTGGGGTTATTACAAAGAAAGCTGCTATCAACAATTGTATACAAGTGTTTGTATGGATTTTATTTTCTTTCCCCTCTGGTAAACACCTAGGAATAAAATGGCTAGACCATATGGCTGGTATATATTTAACTTTTTAAGCAACTGTCAGACTGTTCCAAAGGTGACTTTATAATTTTATGTTCTCAGCACTGCATTAGAGTTCTACCACCTCTACATCCTCACCATTGCTTGATGTAGTCTTTTATTTTAGCCATACTAATAGGTGTATACTGGTATCTCATTGTTATTTAAATTTGCATTTCCCTAATGATTAATGATGTTGAGTATCTTTTCACAGTGCTTAACTGCCACCCATATAACTTTTCTCATTTTAAAAACTGGCTTATTTTCTTATTTTTCAATTTTTATAGGGCTTTAGTTCAGAAACAATCCCTTTATATGCTTTGCAAAGATTTTTCTCCTATCCTGTGGCTTTTCTTTTCTTTTTTTTTTTTTCGAGATGGAGTCTCTCACACTGTCGCTCAGGCTGGAGTGCAATGGCATGATCTCAGCTCATTGCAACCTCCGCCTCCCAGGTTCAAGTGACTCTCCTGCCTCAGCCTCCCGAGTAGCTGGGATTACAGGCACCCGCCACCATGCCTGGCTAACTTTTTGTATTTTTAGTAGAGATGGGGTTTCACTATGTTGGCTAGGCTGGTGTCAAACTCCTGACCTCATGATCTGCCCGCCTCGGCCTCCCAACGTGCTGGGATTACAGGCGTGAGCCACCGCGCCCGTCTGTGGCTTGTCTTTTCATTCTCATTTGAAGGAGAAGTTCTTAATTTAATGAAGTCCAATTTATCGATTTGTTCTTTTTTAGATTAAACTTTTGGTGTTATATCCAAAAAACCATTACCTAAGCCAGGTCACAAATATTTTCCCCATGTTTTCTTCTACAAGTTGCATAGTTTTTGGTTTAACATTTACATCTATGACCTATCTAATTTTTGTATGTGGTGTGAGACATAGATCAAAGTTCATGTTTTTGAATATGGACATTCAACTGTTCCAGTACCATTTGCTGAAAAGGCTATCCGTTCTTCATTGCATTGTCTTTGTGCTTTTGTTAAAAAGTCAGTTGTGGGTGGGCACAGTGGCTCACGCCTGTAATCCCAGCACTTTGGGAAGCCAAAGCAGGTGGATCACTTGAGGTCAGGAGTTCAAGACAGCCTGGTCAACATGGTGAAACCCTGTTTCTACAAAAAATACAAAAATTAGCTGCATGTGGTGGCATGCGCCTGTAGTCCCATCTACTTGGGTAGCTGAGGCTGGAGAATCCCTTGAAGGGAGGTGGAGGTTGCAGTGAGCCAAGATCACACCATAGCACTCCAGCCTGGGTGATAGACTGAGACTCTGTCTCAAAAAAATAAAAACAAAAAGTCAGTTGTCCCTGTATGTGCGGGTTTATTTCTAGGCTTTCTAAAAATACAATTGACATTTGTATATTGCTCCTGTATCCTGCAATGTTTATGCTCACTTATTGGTGCTAGTAGCTTTTTAAAAGATTTCATTGGGTCTTCTACATAGACAATCACGTGGTCTATGAATAAAGACAATTTTATAGTTATGTTTGCTTAGTGACAGAAATATGCTCTAAGAAATGTGTCATTAGGCAATTTTGTCCTTCTGCGAACTCTAGAATATACTTACATAAACCTAGACAGTATAGCCCACTATACACATAGGCTATATGGTATGGCCTACTGCCCCAAAGCTACAGCAAAACTATACGGCATGAATAGTTTTGAATAATTACAACATGAATAACTACTATATGAATGCTATAGGCAATTGTAACAAAATGGTATTTGTGTATCTAAACATATCTAAATATAGAAATGGTACAGTAAAAATACAGTATTATAATCTTATGGGACCACCTTTGTATACGAGGTCCATCACTGACCAAACATCATTATGTGGTACATGACTGTACTTCCTTTTTTAAAAAAATAGTCAATAAATACATGCTTATTGATTAAACTGAATTATGAAAAACAAAACCAGGCCAGGCACAGTGGTGCACGCTGGTAATCCCAGCACTTTGGGAGGCTGAGGCAGGTGGATGACTTGAGGCCAGGAGCTCGAAACCAGCCTGGCCAACATGGTGAAACCCTGTCTCTAATAAAAATACAAAAAAATTAGCTGGGCGTGGTGGCAGGCACCTGTAATCCCAGCTACTTGGAGGCTGAGGCAGGAGAATCGCTTGAACCCAGGAGGCGGAGGTCACAGTGAGCTGAGATTGCACCACTGCACTCCAGCCTGGGCAACAGAGTGATACTCTGTCTCAAAAACAAAACAAAACAAAACAAAAATATTTTTTTAAAAAACAATAAAAATAAAAATACAACAATAAAAATACAAATTTAAAAACCCAATACAGTATAACAATTATTTATATAACATTTACATTGTATTCAGTATTATAAGTAATGTAGAGAAGATTTAAAGTATATGGGAGGATGTGCACAGGTGATATGCAGATATTATGCCATTTTATATAAGGGAATTGAGCTTCTGCAAATTTTGTATCAGCAGGGGTTCTGGAATCAAGCCCTTGTGGATACTGAGAAATGACTGTATATCCTCACTTGCCACTGTAAAACCTCAGGTGATGTTGCAAAATTTCATGTATAAGAACTTTACAATAATGAACTTCCATATTTCCCCTCCTGGCCTTTAGACTATTGTCATACAATTTACTTTTAAATGTATTATAAACCCAAAATATATTATTATACTGGTGTAACAATCATCTTTTAAATAGATTTAAATTTAAAAATTAAATACATTTATCTATGCAGTTACTATTTTCAGTGGTTTTCTTTTTCTTTTCTTTTTTTTTTTTTTGAGATGGAGTCTCGCTCTGTTGCCCAGGCTGGAGTGCAGTGGCACAATCTCGGCTCACTGCAAGCTCCACCTCCCGGGTTCATGCCATTCTCCTGCCTCAGCCTCCCGAGTAGCTGGGACTATAGGTGCCCGCCACCCCGCCTGGCTAATTTTTCAAATATTTTTAGTAGAGACCGTGTTAGCCAGGATGGTCTTGATCTCCTGATCTCATGATCCACCCGCCTCGGCCCCAAAGTACTGGGATTACAGGTGTGAGCCACTGTGCCTGGCCTATTTTCAGTGGTTTTCAATGCCTTGTAAAGATTCGGATTTTCATCTGCTATCAAGTCCATCTATCTGAATGACTTCCTTTAGCATTTCTTGTAGTGTGAGTCTGCTGGTTGTGAACTATTCCATATTTTGTACGTCTTAAAGTGTCTTTATTTCATCTTCATTTTTGAAAGATTATTTTTTGTTTGTTTGTTTTTGAGATGGAGTCTTACTCTTTCATCCAGGCTGGAGTGCAGTGGCGCGATCTTGGCTAACTGCAACCTCTGTCTCCCGGGTTAAAGCGATTCTCGTGCCTCCGCTTCCCAAATACAGGCCCACATCACCATGCCTGGCAATTTTTTTTGCATTTTTAGTAGAAATGGGGTTTCACCATGTCGGCCAGCCTGGTCTCAAACTCCTGACCTCAAGTGATCCACCCACCTCAGCCTCCCAAAGTGCTAGGATTACAGGCGTGAGCCACCGCACCTGGCCAAAAGATATTTTTATTGGGTATAGAATTCTAGGTTAACTTTAAAAATATTGCTCTGTCTTCTCATTTATATTGTTTCCCATGAGAAATCTGATGTCAGGCTTCTTTTTGTTCCCCTGTACTAATTACATGCCTTTTCTCTCTGGCTGCTTTTAAGATTTTTCTCTTTACCATTGCTTTTGAGCAATTTTATTTATTTATATTTTTATTATTTATTTATTTGAGATGGAGTCTTGCTGTGTCTCCCAGGCTGGAGTACAGTGGCATGATCTCAGCTCACTGCAACTTCTGCCTCCCAGTGATTCTCCTGCCTCAGCCTCCCAAGTAGCTGGGATTACAGATGCCTGCCAACACACCTGGCTAATTCTTGTATTTTTTTGTAGAGACAGGATTTCACCATGTTGTCCAGGCTGGTCTTGAACTCCTGACCTCAAGTGATCTGCCCATCTCGGCCTCCCAAAGTGCTGGGAGTACAGGCATGAGCCACTGTGCCCAGCCTTGAGCAATTTATAATGATATGCTTTGGTGTAGTTTTTTTTTTTTTTTTTGAGATGGAGTTTTGCTCTGTCAGCCAGGCTGGAGTACAGTGGGGCAATCTTGGCTCACTGCAAGCTCTGCCTCCCGGGTTCACGCCATTCTCCTGCCTCAGCCTCCCGAGTAGCTGGGACACTACAGGTGCCCGCCACCACGCCCGGCTAATTTTTTGTATATTTAGGAGGGACAGGGTTTCACCATGTTAGCCAGGATGGTCTCGATCTCCTGACCTCGTGATCCGCGGTGTAGTTTTATGTTTCTTATGCTTGGGGTTCACTGAATGTCTTGGATCTGTGGGTTTATAATGTTCACCAAGTTTGGGAACCTGTGGGGGATTATTTCTCCAAATACATATTTTGTCTCCCACACCTTCAGGCCCTCCAATTACTAGTATATTAGGCTGCTTGTAGTTGTTCCACAGCTCACTGATGTTCGTTTCATTTTCTTTTGTTTCTGAGTTTAGCTGCAGATAGTTTCCATTACTGTGCTTTCATTATTCTTTTCTTTTTCAATGACTAACCTGTTGTTAATCCCATCCAGAGTGCTTTTCTTCTCAAACACTGAAGTTTAATTTGGGTCTTTTTCGTATCTGTCATGTCTACTTAACTTTCTGAAGATATGAAATATAGTTATAATAATTGTCTTGATGTCTTTCTCTGCTGACTCTAACGTGTCAGTTCTGCACTGGTTTTGATTGATTAATCTCCTTGGTATTGGTTGTATTTTCTTGCCTCTTTGCACCCTGGTAATCTTTCACTGGATGTCAGGCATTGTCGATTTTATCTAGTTGGGTGCTGAGTGTTTTTATATTCCTATAAATATCCTTGAGCTTTGTTTTGTATACAGTTAAATTATTTGGAAACAATTTGATCTTTTGGGGTTTTGCTTTCATGATATTTTAGGCAGTACTGGAGCAGTGCTCAGTCTAGGGCTATGTATTATCTGTTACTGAGACAAGACCTTCCTAAGTGCTCTATCTTATGCCTGATGTATTATGTGGTTTTCCTGTTTGGCTGGTGGCTGGTGGGAATAGCCACTTTTCTTGGCCTTGTGTGAATGCTGGGCAGTTTCCTCTAACCCTTTTGGGTGGTTCTTCCTTTCTCTTTCTCTCTTTCTTTCCTTTTCTTTTCCTTCTCCTTCCTTCCCATTCTCCCTCCCCTCGCTCTCTTCCTTCCTTCCTTGTGTCCTTCCTTCCCTCCCTCCCTTTGGGACAGAGTTTCATTCGCTGCCCAGGCTGGAGCACAGTGGTTCAATCATAGCTCACTTCAGCCTCAAGCGTTCCTACTGCTTCAGACTCCAGAGTAGCCAGTGCTACAGGCACACGCCATCATGCCTAACTAATTTCTTTATTGTTTTGTAGAGGCATGGTCTCACCAGGTTGCCCAGGCTGGTCTCAAACTCCTGAGCTCAAGCAATCCTCTCACCTCAGCCTCCTAAATGCTGGGATTACAGATGTGAGCCACCACGCTTGGCTTGAATGGTACTTTTTAAAGATCAGCTTTGAGTAATTTCTTCACATGCAGGTACCAAGTAATACTATGTTGAACATTTGAGGGACTCTTTGGATATCTGTGGGTTTCTCTCTTCTTTGTGCAGCTCTCTTCCCTCTGGTACTTAGTCCTGTGAACTCTAGCTGCTCTGGTCTCCCCTCTCAGTTCCTTCTACTTGACTTAAGGAGTCTGCTGGGTTCTACCACTTTCCTCTCCCTATATCATGGTCTAGAAATTGTGAAGACAGCAAGCTTGGGCAATCATAAGACTCACTTTGTTTCCCATCTCTCAGGGATCACTATTCTTTGTTGCCTGATGAATAGTGTATTTAAAATTTTTTTAATGTATTTTTGTCTGTATTTTGTTGTTGCAGTTGTTCCAGGGGGAGGGTAAATCCAGTCTCTTTTCTCCATTTGGGCCAGGAGCAAATGTTGAGCTGATCTGCTACTGATTCTATAACCGTGGTGTTCTCCCTTTGTTTTCCTGTTCCTACTACCCCGATTCTGCTCTTGAAATCTGACATACGTGAGCATTTTACAGAACTCTAGGTAGAGCTCAATACCATCTTTGTACCCTCATCTCCTAGTACCCAGTAATTGCCAAATATAATTGTTCAGTAGTGAGCAGAGAGTTCAAAATCTAGTTATGTTATCATCTACCTGTATCTTGAACTTGCCTACATTAGGTATTGGCCTTTATTTCTACACATGCAGAGCTGACGAGAGATCAGTAAAAAGCAGACATTTTCTACTAACCTATACATTTGGATTAATTTTGAGAATTTTTATGTTTATGAAAATTATAACATAAAAGAAAATTCAGAAAAAGAAACAAACATGCTGAAGTCTTACTTCTCCCACGAACCAGTTTTTTTTTCTTTTAGTACATGCCCTTCTATGTTTTATCCACATTATCTTTTTACGTGATATGACAAAAAATCATTTCAATTTTACTTTTATTGCTTAACAGAATTATTTCCTAGGTGGCTGCACGGTTCATAATGATCTTTTTTAGCATCTTCATCATGTGTGTATGTCACGATTTGCTCAATTGTTGCTATACTAAGGTTGCTTTTCCTTTTTAGTTAATATAAAGGGAACTGCAGTGAATATCTTGACTCTCCATTTCGGTTATTTTCTTGGTTAAGCCCGCTAAAGTGAGATTATTATAGCAAAAGGTATAAATATTTTAAATGTTCTTGTTACATATTGCCAAACTGCTTTCTTAAAAGGTCACACCACTGTTCACCTTTACCAGCCTGGCTGAGAGTGTCGGTTTTACCAGCACTGCATTTTAACACTGAAATAAAATATTTTGGCTAGTGTAATAAGTGAAAATGACTTCACTGTTATTACTTATGGGTTTCTTCATTTCCACAAAGTGGGATATTCTTCCTCATGCTTACTAAGGGGTTGCATTTTCTCTTAGCAGGAATAGAAGTCTCACAAGCACATGCATGACCCGTAGCCTCCTCTCCTGTCTCAGAGGGGAGTAATCATTGTTTTCCTTCTCTCTCCCATCCATGAGTTCATCAAATATTTATTGAGCCTCTTCAGCATGCCAGGTACTATGTTAGGCTCTGGGAATGCAGTAGGGGAATAAGACAAAGATACAATCCCTACCTTCAAGGAGTTTACCGTGTAAAGGAAAACCCCGCGTGTTCTCAGTATCTGGCTAGAAGTGGGCAAATTTGCCAAAGGGTTCCCACCATATTTGGAAAAAAAAGAGACTGTTTTAGAAAAGCATTAACTGAGTATTCATAAGAAACTAAATTTAGAAAATCATGCTGGAGGAACTTTTGATGCACCTAGAGAGGGAAGGGGGAAGTAAGTGCCCAAAGGAGGACACAAAGCGGAAGGAGACAGACACGGCCACATCTTAGGGACGGTTGAATGATACACTCCCATACAATCTGCTTCTTAAACAGCCATCATCAGGGACAGAGGAGGAGTCCTGGGGGAAATGGAAACAAAGTGATAGGCTATGTGAGCAGGGTAGGCCTAGGTTAGGGGGTGGCAGATCACAAAATATTCTGGACACACAGAGGGCAGCAGGCAGCATGAGAGCTCTAAACTCTTGGAAGGCAAAGGAAAGGAGGCCATGGTGGAGGACGGGGAAGGAAAAGTGTTGGACATTTACAGAGTTCCATTTAGAGTTGTTCCTGCCCACTCCCTTCTTAGACAGTAAAGTCAGCTATGAGAGATTACTATGACAGCAACAATCCCACTGTACAATCACCACATGCGAAACAGAAAAACTCAGAAGACACAAACATTATTATTACACCATAGCATCCCTGCCTATGATACTACTTGCTATCAAAGTATGAGGACTACATACATTGGTACATATATGTAGTTTGGTGGTGGGGGGGGGTGGTAAATCCACCCTTTTATTCTCATTGAGATGTATCATAATACAGAAGAGTGCACAAAACATTTATAGCTTAAGGAATAACCACAGGCAAATATCTATGAAACCACCATCCAAGTCAAAGAAACAAAACAAAACAAAACAAAATACTGTCAGCAGCCAGTAGCCTCCTGTGTGCTCTTCCCATTCCATCTCCCTCCTTCTGCCCAGAGGTGATCACTGTGTTTTGTATGCATTCCTCAAATAGTTTAGTTTTGCCCTTTCTTTAATGTAATAGAAATGAAATAATATTGGACGGAGTCTTTTGTGAATGACTTTTTTGTTCAGTATCATCTTTGCAAGATTCCTTTATAGTGCTAGGTGTAGACATCTGTTTGTTTATTTTCATTGCCATATGCTATTTCATTTTATATATATATTTGTTGTTGTTTTGAGACAGGGTGTCACTCTGTTGCCCAGGCTGGAGTGCAGTGGTGAGATCACAGCTCACTGCGGCCTTGACCTCCCAGGCTCAAGAGATCCTCCTGCCTCAGCTCCCCAAATAAGTGGGACTACAGGCATGTGTCAACACACGTTGCTAATTTTTAATTTTTTTTTTGTATTTTTTGTAGAGACAAGATTTCACTATGTTCAAGACAAGGCTAGTCTTGAACTCCTGAGCTCAAGCAATCCACCAGCCTCAGCCTCCCAAAGTGCCAGGACTACAGGCATGAGCCACCTCATCTGACCCTAAATATGAATATCTCACAATTTACTTACCCATTCTATTTTTTTTTTTTTTTTTTTTTTTTTTGAGACGGAGTCTCGCTCTGTCGCCCAGGCCGGACTGAGGACTGCAGTGGCGCAATCTCGGCTCACTGCAAGCTCCGCTTCCCGGGTTCACGCCATTCTCCTGCCTCAGCCTCCCGAGTAGCTGGGACTATAGGCGCCCACCACTGCGCCCGGCTAATTTTTTGTATTTTTAGTAGAGACGGGGTTTCACCGTGTTAGCCAGGATGGTCTCGATCTCCTGACCTCATGATCCACCCGCCTCGGCCTCCCAAAGTGCTGGGATTACAGGCGTGAGCCACCGCGCCCGGCCCCCATTCTATTTTTAACGAACACTTTAGTTGTTTCCTGTTTAAGGTGACTGTGAAGAACACTGCCATGAACAATCTTGAACATACCTCTTGGTGCACATATACAAAAAGTTCCCTAGAATGGAGTAGCTGGATCAGAGGATATGCACATTTTCTACTTTACTATGTATTGCAACCTACTTACAGAGCTTTGGTATCAATTAACACTCCTACCAGCAGTGTATATTAGTTCTTATTACTTGAAATCCTTGCCAACATCTGGCTGGGCACCGTGGCTCACGCCTGTAATCCCAGCACTTTGGGAGGCCGAGGCAGGCGGATCATGAGGTCAGGAGATCGAGACCATCCTGGCTAACATGGTGAAACCCCGTCTCTACTAAAAATACAAAAAATTAGCTGGCCATGGTGGCGGGAGCCTGCAGTCCCAGCTACTCGGGAGGCTGAGGCAGGAGAATGGTGTGAACCCGGGAGGCGGGGCTTGCAGTGAGCTGAGATGGCGCCACTGCACTCCAGCCTGGGCGACAGAGTGAGACTCTGTCTCAAAAAAAAAAAAAGAATCCTTGCCAACATCAACTATTTGTCATTCTTAAATTCACTGCCAATTTGGGATCTGAATATAGTATCTTGTATTTTTAATTTAATTTTCCTCATTACCAAAGTAGTTAATCATCTTTTCATGTATTTATTGCCAACTTGGATATTCTCTTTTGTGAAGTGCCTGTTGAAGTTTCTGCTCACTGTTTCTATTGACATACTTCTCTTATTAATTCATAAGTATTCTTTTTTTTTGTTTTTGTTTTTGTTTTTCTTAAGATAGAGCCTAGCTCTGTTGCCCAGGCTGGAGGGCAGTGGCAAGATCCTAGCTCACTGCAGCCTCAACCTCCTGGGCTCAAGTGATCCTCCTGCCTCAGCCTCCCAAAGAGTGAGCCATGTGCCTGGCCCATAAGTATTCTTTATATATTCTTGATACTAGTTCTTTGTTAGTTTTATGTATTACACATATCATCTCCCAATTTATGGCTTTTTTTTTTACTCTATGGTGACTCCTAATAGTTAGAAGTTATAATTTTAATGTAGTAAAATATCAGTCTTTTCCTTTATGATCAACACTTTGTCTTTTTTTTTTTCTGTCTCCCAGGCTGGAGTGCAGTGGCACGATCTTGGCTCCCTGCAACCTCTGCCTTCTGGGTTCAAGCAATTCTCCTGCCTCAGCCTTCCCAGTAGCTGGGACTACAGACACTTGCCACCACACCTAGTTAATTTTTATGTTTTTGGAGAGACAGGGTTTTGCCATGTTGCCCAGGCTGGTCTTGAACTTTGGGGCTCAAGCGACCTACCCACCTCAGCCTCCCAAAGTGCTGGGATTACAGGCATGAGCCACCGTGCTGGCCTTTATATATAATATTATAATAATATATTCACCTTTATACTGACAGTTATAAAACATAATTTGACATATTTTTCTACAGAGGAAGAGCCTACATAGGCAAAGATATCTAGGGCCCAAGAAAATCATAAAGTGGCCCTGCTTCATAGAGTCTTCCTAAAAGCCATACTATTAGTGACAGGGGCAGAGCTTAGGAGGCTCACCCCATGCTTCCCTACAAGCTAAGGGATAAAACATGTGTTCTTCTAATGGTGGATGAGCATATTATCTTCATTTAGAAAGACAGTACATACCAGTACTATTAATAAATTAATAAAGACTAAATTAATAATCCCCAAATGCTAATTTCTAATTTAAATAAAAACAGAATTCAAATAACATTTATTTCCAGGCATTTGTCTGGTACTAGGTGATACAGAGATAAACAAAAAGAACATAAAGCTTCTAGCGTATAAGAGAATATACATGGTTTGCAAATCATTATAACAGGGAACAGTGTCACACAAGCAGAAGTGTGGTAGCAAGGCTAAGTCATTCCTCACAAAGATGCAAAACAGGCGTTGTTAATTTCAGTTTTTGCAAATGAGGAAAGGAAACCAAGGCACAGAAAAATTGATTGGCTTGCCCCAATTTTCAGCCAATATATGTCAGGTACAGTATCTTAATAGCAGAACTCTGACTCCCAGCCCTGTGCTGTTTACCATCTGCTCTGAAAAACTGCTCACCCCACTGTAGATATTCAATAAATTAGATTGTATTAAACTGAAAGAGAAACAGTGCCACCCCAAAGGATTATGAATTTTCTCAGAGCAGCTTTTTAATCTATTTTTCTAGCTTAATTGAGGCATACTTTATGTATAAAATTTGCCCATTTCAACTATACAATTCAATGATTTTTAGTAGCCTTACCAAGTTGTGTAACCATCACCATAAATCAATGTTAGAACATTTTCATCCCCTTAATAAGAATGCTCACACCCCATTTTCTGTTCATCTCCATTCCCACTCCCTGCTCCAGGCAAGCACTAATCTACTTCCTTCCTCTATAAATTTGCCTTGTCTGCACATTTCATATACACAGAACCATACAATATGTGGTCTCTTTCATCTGGTTTATTTCACTTAACATCATATTTTTGAGATTTACCCATGACATAGCTTATGTCGACAGTTTGTTTCTTGTTATCGCTGGATGGTATTCCATTATATGGATACATCACATTTTTGTCCAGCCATTCACAAGTTAATCAACATTTAGGTTGTTGCTAGCTTTTTGTTATAACGAATAATGATGCTATGAACATCTGCATGCAAGTTTTTATGAGAACATATATTTTCATTTCTCTTGGGTAGATACCTGGGAGTGGAATTGCTGGGTTGCATGGTAGTTTTATGTTCAACTTTTTGAGAAATTGCCAAACTGTATTCCAAAATGGCTGCCACATTTTACCAATGCATTCCTATCAGTGGTGTATAATGGTTCCCACTTCTCCACACCCACAGACACTTGTTACTGTCTTTTTTATGACAGCTGTTCTAGAGGATGTGAAGTAGTATCTCATTACTTTTTTTTTTTTTTTTTTTGAGATGGAATTTCTCTCTTTTTGCTCAGGCTGGAATGCAATGGTGCAATCTCGGCTCACTGCAACCTCCACCTGCCGGGTTCAAGTGATTCTCCTGCCTCAGCCTCCCGACTAGCTGGAATTACAGGCATGCACCACCACACCTGGCTAATTTTGTATTTTTAGTAGAGACGGAGTTTCTCCATGTTGGTCAGGCTGGTCTCAAACTTCTGACCTCGGATGATCCACCTGCCTCGGCCTCCCAAAGTGCTGGGATTACAGGTGTGAGCCACCGCACCTGGCTCTCATTATGGTTTTGATTTGCATTTCCCTGACTAATGATATTGAGCATCTTTTCATGTGCTTATTAGCCATTTGTATCTATTATTTGAAGAAATGTCTATTCCAAATCCTTTGCCCATATTTCAGTTGGACTGTCATCTTATTAAGCTGTAAGAGCTTTTGTAAATTCTGGGTGTTAATACTTTATTAGATTTGTGTTTTGCTAATATTTTTACCACTCTGTTGTTTGCCTTTTCATTTCTTGATGGTGTCTTTTCATTGACAGATAATAACTGTACATATTTATGGGGTACACATATTTTGATACATGCATACAATATGTAATGATTAAATCAGGATAAATAAGATATCCATCACCTCAAACATCTATCTTTTTTTGTGTGTGTATTGGGAACATTCAAATCTTCTCTTCTAGCTATTTAAAAATATATATTATTGTTAACTATAGTCATGCTGCTCTGCTATCAAACACTAGAACTTATTTTTTCTATCTAACTTTATGTTTGTACACATTAGCCAACCTCTCTTCATCCCCATCTCCTCACCCTTTGCAGCCTCTGGTAACCATCATTCTACTCTCTGTCTCCATGAAATCAACTGTTTTTAGCTCCCACGTGTAAGTGAGAACATGTGATGTGTGTTGTTCTGTGCCTGGCTTATTTTATTTATGAGAATGACCTCTGGTTCCATCCATGTTCCTGCAAATGACAGGATTTCATGATTTTTTTACAACTAAATAGAATTCCATTGTGTATATATACCATATTTTCTTTATCCTTAAAATTTTGAAGTGTAAAAGTTTTGAATTTTGATGAGGTCCATTTTATCAATTTTTCCAAAAACAAATCCTTATATTTAGAGTTAATTGACTTATGAAGTTTAAAATATTTTAATTTTGATGAGGCCTATTTTATCAATTTTTCCAGAAACAAATCCTTATATTTAGAGTCATTTGACCAATGCAATTCACTGATGAGAAAACGGTCTGCTCAACAAATGGTGCTGGTACAACTGGATATCCACACATGAAAAGTTGAATTTAAGCTCTCATTTCATACTATACAAAAATTAATTCAAAATGACTCATAGACTTAACTGCAAGAGTTAAAACAATAAAGGCTTTAGAAAAATACTTGGAAATTTTCAAGATCCTGAGTTAGACAAATGTATTTTTCATCTATTCCTGAATTCTCGTCCCGATTAAACATCATCTATGTGTATGTCATGCTTATAATGCAGATAGATAAAAATATAGCCCCCTTCAGTAAAAATGATAGAATATTCCACTGAGATTGGTGGCCAAAATTTGAATTAGCAATTACATGAAAATGTTAAGAGAAGGCCAGGTGCGGTGACTCATGCCTGTAATCCCAGCACTTTGGGAGCCAAGGCTGGTGGATCACCTGAGGTCGGGAGTTCAAGACCAGCCTGACCAACATGAAGAAACCCCGTCTCTACTAAAAATACAAAAATCAGCCGGGCGTGGTGGCATGCGCCTGTAATCCCAGCTACTCGGAAGGCTAGGGCAGGAGAATCTCTTGAACTTGGGAGGCGGAGATTGCAGTGAGCTGAGATAGTGCCACTGCACTCCAGCATGGGTGTCACAGTGAGACTCCGTATCAAAAAAAAAAAAAAAAAGGAAGAAAATGTTAAGAGAAAATATGCAAGCAATAAGTGGTAACCCAGCCAGAACAGAATATATATAGCTTAGCAGGTAGAACTCAAGACAAAGGCATGCAAATAGTGCATTAAACTCTTCTTCAAATACCATACAATGTGTGTACCCATACTTGAGGCTAAAAACTGTTGATTACAGACAGTCACTGACTGCAGATTAAGATTAGGGAGAAAACAATCTCCTATAGAAAGGTGAATCTCAATCCATCAGTTAAGGAAGTGCTGCACATGCTAATATTTGCAATGGTATCATAATGCCAACATGAAATTTCTACAGTCCATTATGTTCAAGTGTCAGAAGAAAGAAATTATTGAAAAGTCTATAAACATAATTCATTAACACAAAAATTTTAGATACAAAGCATCACTTATAAAGGCACTTTCTTTTATTACATTTTCTGGGTTGCATCTGAAATTGTTAATAACTAATTTTCATGGTCAAATTACCACTTACATCCTCACAAGGGACACAAAAGAATGTGAGCATTAAAACTTGGCCACTGTGTTCACGGTGAGTCAGTCAGTGCCTTCCCCTTGCTCCTGGCCTGTGTCTCATGATGGCAACTGGGGAAGCCTTTGCTAAAGCCTGAATCTTGATTTCCTCTTTCAAAGCAAAATTTGTTTACAAATTATATTTTCCGGTAGAATTAAAATTGTATTACTTCTTATTAACATTTTAATATCGTCATTATTTTCAGGTACAACTGGTTATTTACATACCTACCTCTCCCTCTTAGGAAAGGTTACATGTTTTATTGTTCTTTTTTTTTTTTTTTTTAGACAGGGTCTGGCTCTGTTGCCCAGGCCAGAGTGCTGTGGTGGTATCTCAGCTCACTGCAACAGCACCCAGCTAATTTTTGTATTTTTAGTAGAGATGGGGTTTCACTATGTTGCCCAGTCTGATCTCAAACTCCTGAGCTCAAGGGATCCACATGCCTAGGCCTACCTACTAAAGTGCTGGGATTACAGGCATGAGCCACTGTGCCTGGGCCTGTTTTATTGTTCTTTAATCCCTTATATTAGTTTTTTTTCTTTTGCGACAGAGTCTCACTCCATCATCCAGGCTGGAGTGCAGTGGCACAATCTCGGCTCATTGCAACTTCCACCTCGTGGGTACAAGCAATTCTCGTGCCTCAGCCTCCCAGATAGCTAGAATTACAGGCGCATGCCACCATGCCCAGCTAATTTTTGTGTATTTGATAGAGACGGGGTTTTGCCATGTTGGCCAGGCCGGTCTCGAACTCCTGACCTCAAGTGATCTGCTCACCCCAGCCTCCCAAAGTGCTAGGATTACAGGCATGAACCACTGCGCCCAGCCATGAATGTTTTTTAAATCATTGCAGACATCAGTCGAGTACTGAAACCCTGCCTTACAGCAACTGATAAGGTTCTTAAAACGAAATAAACACTTGATACGTTTTTGTTGTAATGAAGTAAATCTTAGCTTTTAATACTGTGGTTTTAAAAATTATATTTCACAGCATAACATATCACGGGATCAATCAAATTACATAAATGATATTCTAAGAGAGACATGCAGGTGTTTCATTAATGTAATGAAGGCTATGCTTTCAATGGCCAGAGCCAAATGCTAACTTGTTTCTTTCTTGAATACCTAGTGACACCATGTTCTCTCATTTATTCTAAAGAGAAGTGGTCTATTCTCTTAGATCAGAGCCTCTATCTAAATCTCCCGTGCAATTTAAAAGCCAAACTTTTTACAATCCAGGAAGAGGTGGACTTAGCTGAGTACAGGCACATAGCAAGAAATGCCCCAAAGAAAGTTAGCCTTATTATCATTGCTGCTGCTGCTGCTAACATATTCTAATAATCACTTCTATCTTGAAAATAAGTAGAAACAATTGACCAGCTCATCAGAATTTCACATTAATTTGAAAGAGGTATGCTGTGTAGCAAATGAAGACCACCTTCTTCTCAATTTGTGATTAACACTGGCAAAGTACATATGCTATGAAGTTTGTGTATCAGATGAGTAAAATGTACTCCACAAAAAACAAGTGAACTGAAACAAATTCACAAAGTCTTTTAAAATACTTTCCTTCTTGCCTAAGATATAACCAAGGCTGGTTTTGAGTAATTTTCTCAAATACTATCTGCAGTGATCTTTTCAGGCAAAGCCCTCCAGCCCTTTGGCCACTTGGAACCATGAAGTTCCACCTGGAATCTTATCTTGGCCTCAGGGCCTGGGCTGGTGCTCTATACTGGAGGAATTTTTAGAAGCCTCAGACTGGTAGCTTATCTGCTCAGTAGGATCAGTCATTCTGCTGATCCTGCTCTGATATTGTGACCTAGTTTCAGGCACTAAGATTTTATCTAGTTATTCATAACCAAGTCCCTCTCTTGTATCACTAGAAACTAGATCCTGGATTCATCCGTTGTGATCCACAATCCTAGCTTAGGACCTTGTTTTGTATCCCAGATGGTGCACTACTCCCTATGACGTTCTGTGGGCTTAGTTAGAGCCCTACCCTGGAACTCCAGTCTTAATGACTGTGTCTCTAATACTTGCCACTGGATGGCTATGATGCAGACTCCCCTCATGTCTGGATTTCCACTTATTGCCTACTGTCAGTCTCCCCTAGAATGAGGTCCTAGGCTCCAGCTAAATTTCCTACCAGCTGTCAGGACTGTGAGGACTTGGATTCTGGTCATCCACAGATTAACCCATCTCAAGGCTGAATTCTAACTCTAATAGTAACTCAAGTAATACCTTTATTTTGAAATATCTCTATTCAAACCAGCCAGCAGTAAGTATATATTTTAAAAAGTCTCATTAAATATACATGTGATGCTTGAAATGCCAAAAGAAAATATCCCATACCTGTCTGAGTGAATCCTGATTTGTATCCATTAGTTGTCCCATTTTCTGGGGTCACAGTTGACGACACTGAAGAGCTTGGCTTAATAGAGTGGCAAGAAGCAGAGGATTGTCGGCTTCTACATTCTGGAAAAGAGTAAAAATCACATTGTATGAAGTGACCAATGTTCTGTTAAAACAGGTGATGGGGACGCAATCCATAAAATCTCTAAATTAAATCGCTGCTCCTTAAGCGGCAGCCACTTTAATTAGAGATCACCTTCCCCATCCTGACTCCAACAGAATGTTTCAACTAGTGAACACAATGCTTTTGTTTGGAAGACAAAGAAATGGTTTCAAAGAAATTGGACCTTTGTTCCCTACATACTAGTTCCCAGAGGAAAAATACTCGTAACCAATATAGTCATGCTAGTTTTATGGGTAAGACAGAGGTTAAAACATTAGTAATTTATGAAAACCTAATAGGCCTTTCAATACCAGTTAACATCCTACCTGGGATTGGTTTAAATGTAGAACAGTAACCTAGGGTCTGTCTAGGCTGCCTATAACCTATTCTCTTCTCAACCTTAATTTAGGTCCAAAAACAGAAGCAAAGAAAAATGTATAGGCAGTAGAGAAAAATTTTAAATGCTCAAATTAATATTATTCTCAGTTCTTATTAAAGGAGACAGCCAATAGTCAAAGTGGTTACGGATCATGATATGCCAAGCTTCATTTTAAGTAAGCCAGTATTAATGGGCCTCTGGTATATTTTAATAGTGCTTTGTACTGATTTAGGTAGATAGTAAATACTATGACAGCCTGTGGGACTGTTAACTTCCAACCAAATTTTACCCTATTCGTCTCAAAAAGTAGCATGTGAAAAAGGAATATAAATGATTTTATATGACAAAGTTAATTACAGATGGTCCTTTAGAGTGTCTCCAAGTTTATGAGATACATACAAGGACTGGAAGCAGTTTTCTATAACCTTCTATGCTATGACCTGCTATGAAGAGCTATTGTATTCTGGCCTAAGAGCTTATCTCCAATAGGTAATATACGCATATATGTATATTGATATTATATGTGTATATATATAAATTATATAAATAAATATAATTTCAGCTCCAAAATAGCAACTATTATAAACGTGAGGCTTCTTTCACAAATGTTATTCTTTATTAGAAAAATGAGGCCAGGCATAGTGGCTCATGCCTGTAATGCTACCACTTTGAGAGGCCAAAGTGGGTAGATGACTTGAGCCCAAGAGTTCGAGACCAGTCTGGGCAACATGGCGAAACCCTGTCCCTACAAAAAATACAAAAATTAGCCAGGCACAGTGGTGTGTATCTGTAGTCCCAGCTCCTTGTGAGGCTGAGGTAAGAGGATCACTTGAGCCTGGGGTGGGAGAGGTTGCAGTGAGCCACTGCAGTCCAGCCTGGGCAACAGAGTGAGAGCGTGTAAGAAAGAAAAGAAAAGAAAGGAAAGGAAGGGGAAAGGAAAGGAAAAGGAAAGGGAAAGGAAAGGGAAAGGAAGAAAGAAAAAGGGAAAGGAAAGGAAGGAAGAAAGAAAGAAAAGAAAAAGAAAAGAAAAAAAGATAAATGAAAAGAGAAGGAAAGGGAAGGAAGGAAGAAAGGAAGGAAGGAAGGAAGGATGAATTGCCACTGAGTACTAAGAAGTTAAAAATATTTTATGCAACCAAAACAAGGCTAAAGAAGGGAATTAAAAGGGAGGGAGGTGATACCTATCCTATTTTTATCCTTTTCTTAGGATTCATGACATTCAAAATGATTTTTCTGAGAAAAGTAATTTAATAGGATAAACACTTATCTATAATTCACCAGCTTATGATTCAGTGGTCACAAGCGTTAAGTTCTGATGATACCTGTCTCGGAATTATACCCATTTCCTAAAGAACTATATAATGCTACTTCAAAGATAACTAAGAGAAATTAAGGTGAAGGACTCAGAAACAAATCTGCAGTTGTAATTTGGAATATTATGCTGTTTTTCATAGTCAGGAAAAACATCAAAAATAGTTATTATATGGAGAAAAAAATCTCAGCACCTAAGAAACTGATCAATAGAATAATAATTAAATACTTCTTTTCTTTAGCACAGTGAAGAGAACTTCTGTCAATCCTGTCAAGCACATGAAGATGTGAAGTTTCAACTGGATTCATTTCTATAAATAAGTTAAGTTCTTCCTAATTTATAAGAAATAACACTTGGACAACTTAATAGTGTATTTTCCCAGGTATTATGAAGAGAACATTAATGTTTATTCTAAGTATGTTTAGGTCTAGTTAAAATAGAAAAAATACAGATGTTTGAGAATCTCCAAAGAAATTAAATAGAGTAAAAACGGCATCTAACCAAGGAGCTGTCACCCTGAGGTCCTCTCTAAAGGACAGAAGAGCTGGAAAGAGTCCATTTTTCCCCTTGAGAGCTGTACCCCCTTCCCAAGAGACGAATACAGAGACATTCACTTTCCTAAACTTGAATTGTCTCTGTTAAAATTAGTAAGGGGCAAGTCAAATAACCTACCAGAAGGCTTTAAATTTTGGGATATCCTTCTGAACTTAGGATATTTATCTGTATCCCACCTGAACTCTGAATCTTGTATGGGTCACTTGTCACCACCGTAAAATCTCCATTCCCTCCCCTTTTCTTCCTGGAAATTGACTACCTTTCCAGCAGATAAGAGGTCCTTTAGACAGTACACCCTGGGAGCTTCTGACTAGGTAGTACTTTAAGTGCTTCTGCTTCTTTGGCTGAGTGGTGAGCTTCAAGTTAATGTGGTTGGAAAATTCCGTGAAATATCGAAATCCTCTTTCTCCACAGCCGATACAATTTCCAGAAAACCCTGAAGTCAGGAAAACCAATGTTACTAATGGCCTTGTAAGTTGATACAATACTTTTACGTATTAAACAGCATAGAAACATTCACATTCTTTGACCCAAAAATGTCTCAATCTCAAGGAAATAATTCAGAGGGAAAAAAACCAGGTACATGTTTCTTTAGCAGAGTTATTTTATAACAGTGAAAGACTGGAAATAATTTAAATGCTGCTCTAAAAGGAAAGGAAAGGTTAATCTCTAAAAGATTAAGGAAATAGAGTAGATAAATACAGTAGATAATGGTTAAGGTTAAGGAAATAGAGCACATAATATAATGAAAAGCTTGGTTCTAGAATGTCTATTATTTCTTCCCCACATACTCCTTCCTTAGAGAACCTGCGTCCTCACCCTGGTTCTCTGCCCTCTCTACCACTCGAACTTGCCTCCATGGCCACAGCTGGTGAGCTTGTGGCCCACCGTCTGACCCAGTCTGGGACAGTCAGAATCTCTCTCCTGGAATTTTGAAATAAATACAAAAAGTCAGGCAGGTGGTACTGGACCCTGGATTTGTAAGGTTTTAGAGAATTGGAATCCGAATTAGGGTTATGTCAGCCACATGTAAGCTAAGGTACGGGAACCAAGAACCATGAAGGGAAGCTGATCTGCGAAGAGGAAAGCAGAGCACAGGCCAGATGTTCAAATTCAGGGCTTTGTCAGCTTCTAGTTTCTGTGAGATCTAGCTATACTTTCTGACAGGAGTTCCATGAGATTCCTATTTCCCCTTTTCTAACACCTGTTTATTCATACTGGCTTCTTATTCCTTTAGATCTAATATCCAAACAATTCCTCACTCAGACAAATCAAACAAAATAAAAATTTTGGTGACCTGGTTGGAACAGGGGACATGGAAAAAAGAAGAAACAGAAAACTGGGAGGATGAAAAGCCATACTTTTTTTTTTAATTGAAAATCAATTTTTCCATCCCCCTTAATACACAGAGTAAAGCAGACAATAAGAGTGAGTTCTTCTAGTTGTGTCTGATGAGGGCATAACACATTTACTGTTATATAGATGAACAGGAAAAAAAAAGTTGTAATAAGAAAGGGCATTCCATATCGTATAAAGGCAATATTTCTATATGTAAATAACAGAAAACAAATTCACTGATGAAGTGATACACTCTTTTCAGACCCCTAAGCTAACCTGATATATATTAATAATTAACAAAGATATATAAATAGAGAAGAGAAAAGCCACAAGGATTAAAGATAGAATATTTCACAACATCCTAATCTCAGAATGCTAACCATCAATTCAAAGCATTTATAAATTGGAAGTCCAATTTGTTATGATTCAATCAACAACTATTTATTGAGCATCTACCTATATGCTAGGCATTTTGCTAAACACTGGGGAAACAGTGGTGAAGAAGAGATATTCATAACCTCTGGTCAATCACATAGAATTAACAACTTATTACCGCCACTTTATAGACATGCAAACAATATAATTTTATAAATGACTTAAAATATATTCAGAGATGGATTGTATTTGAGAACATTTGACTATTTGTCCAATACCTTAAAGCAGTAGCCCCTCCCCGCCAAAAAAAGGTTGCCAGTGGCTGTCTAGGTCACTAAAGTTATCCATCCATCCATCTATCCACCCACCCATCCATCTATCCATCCATCCATCCATCCATCCATCCATCCATCCATCCAACCATCCATCCATCCAACCATCCAACCATCCATCCAACAAATACTGTACTCTATTATGTGCTAGACACTGTGGCAGGCACCAGGTTTTTTAGCACTGAACAAAGCAGACAAAGTCCCTGCCTTTGTGGAAACTACATTCTGGTCTGATTATGGCATCTTCATGGAAAACTGCCTGACCTGTGAAGTAGATATGCCACACCCAAAACACAGAAAAAAGCTACAAGAACCTTTCAGCCAAAATAATCAAGAACAGTGCCAAAACATGAGGCTTAACTGATAGGTCCAAGTGGTTTAGAAAAGATTAGTGTGAGAATTAACAAACTACTGAGGTTGAGTTTGATCTTTTCCTCTGTCTATTCTGAGGTGAAAAGCAAGAGTGTGAAGAGGAAGAAAAGCCATGGGTCTGAATAATCTGCAAAGGAGAGAATCTTCACATTAATGATGAGTTAACAACATAAAAGAGTTAGAATCCTACAGTCCATTTTAAAAACCCTGTATGGCTTCAGCATTAGCCTTCCTTCAAGGGAGATTTTATCTGCTTGAAGTTCTTGTTGTCATTGAAAACAAAAAATAACACCACTCACAGCCAAATTACCTTCTAGTTTTTCTGGCAATCAAGTCTTCCAATTGCATGGTAGATTTGGGGCACATGCACTACCAACTGGATCAATATATTTTTAAATCAATTCCCCCATGGTCTTTGGAATCTGCATAATTTATATAAAAATTTAGACAAATTGATATTTGAATCCACAGGGGTTCCAGAATAGTGGAAGCTTAAACATTTTTCCACTATATTTTAATGCATACGAAAATCATCCACTTTAAGTAAGAAATGTTGGATGAAAGTTTTTGGACAAGAGTATCAAACATGTAAAAATCCCAGCAATGTGTTTATTTAAGAAAAACCTGCCATTTTGTTATTGCACCACACTTTTACATGGAGAAGTGGTTAGTAAAAAATTATGTCCACTTACAAGGCTAGAGAAAGTAAGCAAGGTTCCAAGTCTGTAAGGGTATTTAATAAATACAATAGTAAATAACTGCCATTTGAAGAGCAAATACTATGTCCCAAGCACTGTGCTGGGTGGGTGCTTTAAGGACATCATCTCATTTGATCTTTATGACCCGGCAAGGTAGGCGTTAATGGCCCCATTATATGCATGAGCAATCTAAGACTTTAAGTTCTTAAAATACTTGCTGAAGTTCTTAAAGTACTAAGTGACAAATCTGGGATTAGAACACAGTTCTGATTCTAAAGCACATGGTCTTTGGTCTCACTCCTAATTTCTAAGGATTATGAAGTCTATTATACTGATGGTGTTTTCTGTGTCTTTTCCATGACATATTCTAAGAGGATTCTCTAGTCACAAAGAATCATTGAACAAAAAATGCATTATGAGAGATTTTCATTGTCGACAGTCAGAGCCACACCTGAACTGTTTATCATTAGATGAGACGATAATGCTTTTCAAATGCTAAAAAGTTTTCTGAAGTTGTTCTACTACAGCCTACTAGGTAGTAAGCTCTGTGAGGAACAGGACTGAGTCTTTTAACTGTTGTGTCCCTACGTAAGAGCCTCGTGTGATTTCTGTCACACAGTACATCCTGAATAAATACTGCTGAATGAAAAAACGAGTAGTTGGATCTTCACTGCTAATTTACTCCAGCATATTAGATTTATCATTAGACTTCTATATTAAACCATCTGCTCAATTTCACTAAACAAAGTGAAAACGTTTTTTCTTTTTTTCTGAGACAGTCTCACTCTGTCGCCCAGCCTAGAGTGCAGGGGCGCCATCTTGGCTCACTGCAAGCTCCACCTCCCGGGTTCACGCTATTCTCCTGCCTCAGCCTCCCGAGTAGCTGGGACTACAAGCGCCACCACGCCCAGCTAATTATTATTATTATTTTTTTTTTTTTTTTTTTGAGACGGAGTCTCGCTCTGTCCCCCAGGCTGGAGTGCAGTGGCGCGATCTCCGCTAACTGCAAGCTCTGCCTCCCGGGTTCACGCCATTCTCCTGCCTCAGCCTCCCAAGTAGCTGGGACTGCAGGCACCCACCACCACGCCCGGCTAATTTTTGGTAGAGACGGGGTTTTTTTTAGTAGAGACGGGGTTTTTTTTAGTAGAGACGGGGTTTCACCATGTTAGCCAGAGGTCTCGATCTCCTGACCTCATGATCCGCCCACCTCGACCTCCCAAAGTGCTGGGATTACAGACGTGAGCCACCGTGCCAGGCCGAAAATGTTCTTTTTTTATGAGAGCCTTATAAAAAATGAAAATTACCATTTCTTTTCCTATGAACCATAAAAAGTCTTTAAGCTATAATTTAAGGAACTTCTATAAAGCGTGTGCAGGCTCACTTATTGATCAGTGTATTGCTAGACTTTCTGATGACACTATATAACTAGGAAGAATGTATCAAACTACAAAAATAAATACACATCATGATCAATACAATATTTGAATTCATTGCTCTATTCTTTTTCCTTTTTACTGATATTTGTGCCTGAAACATGATTTCATCTATAGTAAGACAAATTCTGAGAAACAAAAACAACAGTAGAGAAATGGCAGCAGTAGAAAAGCAACAAATCTCATGTGCTCTCTTATCTTTTTAATTATTTAAAATAAAATAAATCAAGTCTGTTATTTCTTGTGATATAGGGAAGCTATGTTGTGAAAAAGCCCAGACTCTAATATCAGAAAGTAAAATAATTCTAGATAAAGTCATTTACATTTTATATCATATAGATAGAAATATAAAGATACATAGTCCTAGTTATTTTGGGTGAACTAATGTTAAATATAAAGTGAGAATCACATCACACAAGTATAGATAGAAATATCTATCTATATGACATTGGAATGAGTGGTATGGAAAAACAACAAATAACTTACAAAGTGAATAATCCACAGATAAATAATTGAGTTGACTTGATATCAGGTCCAATATCAGAGCTGACTTGATATCAATGACTATAGAGAGTGAATTCTCTTTTCTTTATAAAATATTAATTTTTGATAAATTGCATGCTTTTTAAAAATGTCTGGTCAAAAAAGTCATTTAATTAAGCTAAGTGTTTTGAGAATTAATAAAAATGAAAAGGCCGGGCGTGGTGGCTCATGCCTGTAATTCCAGCACTTTGGGAGGCCAAGGCAGGCAGATCATCTGAGGTCAGGAGTTTGAGACCAGCCTGGCCAACATGGTGAAACCCTGTCTTTACTAAAAATACAAAGAGTAGCTGGGCGTGATGGTGGGCGCCTGTAATCCCAGCTACTCGGGAGGCTGAGGCAGGAGGATTGCTTGAACCCAGGAGGCAGAGGTTGCAGTGAGCCGAGATCATGCCACTGCACTCCAGCCTGGGTGACAAGAGCAAAACTCTGTCTCAAAAAAAAGAAAAAAAAAAAAGAAAGAAAATAAATAAATGTTTAAGAAGTTACCGCCTGTAATCCCATCACTTTGGGTGTCCGAGGTGGGCAGATCACGAGGTCAGGGGTTTAAGACCACTCCGGCCAATATGGTGAAGCCCTGTCTCTACTAAAAACACAAAAATTAGCTGGGTGTGGTGGCATGCACCTGTAGTCCCAGCTACTCGGGAGGCTGAGGCAGGAGAATCACTTGAACCTGGGAGGCAGAGGTTGCAGTGAGCCTAGACTGCACCATTGCACTCCAGCCTGGGCGATGGAGCAAGACTTCATCTCAAAAAAAGAAAAAAAGAAAAAAAAAAAAGAAGTTACTAAAAGAAAAAATGTCTCATAATTGAACTAAACTATATAATCCCCAAATAATCCTCTGGTATATTTTTTAAAATTCTGCAGTAGTTTTAAATAAATGTGTATTTTAACTCCCTCATATTGGAAGGAATTTTATAAGCATGAAACACTCACCTAAAAGTGCATTTTTTCCATGATCATCTGGTAGAAATCGCTTGTCCACAGCACAAACTAGGATGTGTTCAGGCAGATTGGGAGACTTGGCCCCCACCAGGAGGAATCCTGCTGGGATGTCAATTTGTTCCATACACAGTGATACCAAACGCAAATCCTTTCCTGCTTGACAAAAACCTAAAAACCAGTTTAAAAAAAAGGACACAGTGAAATGTTTAGTGAGATTATATCTTCTTATCACTCATTTGGAGAGTAGATTTATTTTTGAGAATCACTATTACAGACTAAATTAAAGTCCCTATACCCCTATACTCCAACCAGAAGACAAATCTGCCAAGTGTGGCCCTCTGAACAAAGCTGAAAAGACATTGAAAGGAAATATTTCCGTCTGCTTCGCTTCAGCCAAAGCGACAACTTCATATTTTTTCTTTTTTTTTTCTTTTTTTTTTTTTTTTTGAGATGGAGTCTCGCCCTGTCGCCCAGGCTGGAGTGCAATGGTGGGATCTTGGCTTACTGCAACCTCCACCTCCCAGGTTCAAGTGATTCTCCTGCCTCAGCCTCCCGAGTAGCTGAGATTACAGGCGTGTGCGCCACCACACCCGGCTAATTTTTTTTTTTTTTTTTTTTTTTAGTAGAGATGGAGCTTCCCCATGTTGGCCAGGCTGGTTTCGAACTCCTGACCTCGTGATCCACCCACCTTGGCCTCACAAAGTGCTGGGATTACAGGCGTGAGTCTGGTCAACAAGTGGGGCAATGGTGAATACACAACAAACTTTGAAAACCACGTAGTTTTTATGTGCATGTAATACGATTATTTTACTTCCAATCCAAATTCACTTCTCTAGATGGGTACAGTGTCAGAATAGAGATACTCTTTATTTTCACAGAGGAAAAGACTGAAGCTCAGAATTTGGTGACTCCTAGATGAACGGGCCAAAACTGTTACAGCATTTCACTTTTTACCATGACATGACATGACAAGATGTGACAAAATCTTACATAACCACTTTGTATATCATAATGTATTATATGAATTCATCTGTTCATTGTTTATTAAACAAACATTTGCAACAGATGCTGTCCAAGACCAGGAGATACAGAATTGAACCAAATATAACTTCCTCCAAGAACTCACATTGCAGTCATTTGGAAGAATGTATAAGGAACCAAGAATCACAGACAGTGTTATAGGGAACAGCTACAGTTCTGCTGCAAATCTTCTGGGGAATGATTCCGTCTGTACTCACTGTAATCATATGACTTCCCCAGGGAGTTGTGACACTCCAAATTGATGTGGAGCTAGGACCTGATCCAACTGGGCCACTTTGATAGCCCAACTTTCTGGCCATAGTTGATTGGTCCAAGGGTGGACATATGACATAAACAAGGCCCATCAAAGCCTTTCCCCTAGAAAATCTGAACATGGAGCCAAGGAGAGCATGGCTCAGACTGCTTAGTGCCAGCCCTGTCTCTTGACTTGGGAGGGAACTCCGTCAGCACAGGCAGGAGGCTGAAAGACTGTTCTGGCAGTATCTGGATCCCTCAGCCCGCTGTATCTGCCTTTCCCAAGGTCTGGCCATGAAACCTTTTCTTTGGAATTCTTTCAGTAATTTCTTCATTTTACCTAAGCCATTTTCAGTTGGGTTTCTGTCATTTGCAACCGAGAAAGGCTGAATAAAAGTATGATAAATGCTATTTCAGGCCGGGCGCAGTGGCTCACACCTGTAATCCCAGCACTTTCGGAGGCCGAGGTGGGTGGATCACTTAAGGTTGCGGTTCAAGTCCAGCCTTGCCAACATGGTGAAACCCTTCTCTATTAAAAATACAAAAAAAGGCCGGGCGCGGTGACCCGCACCTGTAATCTCAGCACTTTGGAAGGCAGAAGCGGGCGGATCATGAGGTCAGGAGATCGAGACCATCTTGGCTAACATGGTGAAACCCCGTCTCTACTAAAGATACAAAAAAATTAGCCGGACATGGTGGCAGGCACCTGTAGAGGCGGAGCTTGCAGTGAGCCCAGATCGCGCCACTGCACTCCAGCCTGGGCAACAGAGCGAGGCTCTGTCTCAAAAAACAAACAAACAACAACAACAACAAATTAGCTAGGCATGGTGGCACATGCATGTAATCCCAGCTACTTGGGAGGCTGAGGCAGGGGAATCACTTGAACCAGGGAGGCAGAGGTTGCAGTGAGCCAAGATCGCACCACTGCACTCCAGCCTGGGCAACAGCGTGAGACTTGCTCTCAAGAACAGGGAAAAAAACGCTATTTCAGAAAATTTTGGAAGCAAGGAGGATGCCTACCTCTCCCTACACAAACCCGAGGAGAGCACCATTATCATTGCCCAATACAAAGTAGGGAAAAACCATGCTAGATTCTCCTAGCATCAATTCATGTTATGATTTTAACCAAGTGTCAACAGATAATTGAATGCTATCAGTTACTGGCATGAGAAATAAAAAAGAAAACACCATGAAAACATTGGATGAGGCGAGGTGCAGTGGCTCACGCCTGTAATCCCAGCACTTTGGGAGGCCAAAGAGGCAGATCGCTTGGGTCCAGGAGTTCAAGACCAGTCTAGGCAACAGGGCGAAACCCCATCTCTACAAAAAAATACAAAAATTAGTCGGGCCTGGTGGTGAGTGCTTGTAGTCCCAGCTACCTAGGAGGTTAAGATGGGAGCATCCCTTGAGCTAGGGAGGCAGAGGTTGCAGTGAGCCAGGATTGTGCCATTGTACTCCAGCCTGGGTGACAGAACAAGACCCTGTCTAAATTTTTTTTTTAAAGAAAAAAAATTAAAATTTAAATTTAAAAAAATGGATGAAGCGGTGGGGCATATTAAATTTACCATATAGTTTGGGTCACCAAACCTCAAAAACAAGCCTAATAGAATTGGGAAAAGTCAACAGAAGAAAGAATAAAATTATCAAGACTGCAGGGCTCAATCATTTCAAGCTTATAGATCCCTTTTTAACATTAATAAAAGTCAATTTAAACTCTAAAAGTCAATTTAACTCTAGAAGTTCATGAATTAAGAAAAAATATAAAAACTTATGAATTCTTTAGCAATTTTAAGTGCATCTGCATTTGTTCAAAATATCATTTATATTTATTTGGAAAATAGTCATTAAATATGTCGGTCATATTACTTCGTTTACAAATATTTTTTGGAGCCTATGGATACATGGAACCCATTGGAAAAAAAAAATCTGCTGTGTCCACCCACCTCTATTAAGGAACAGGGCTCACAGGTTTGAAAGTTGGGAATTGATGATGATGATGATGGCAGCTAAAACTTATGGAGCACTTGCCATAGCCAGGCACAGTGCTAAATACTATATAGATTACCTTATTCAATGCACTCAACACTCAAGACTGGTACTAACCCTGTAGATAATCTTTCTTGTACAGCATGAATATCAAACAGTATATGAATAAACTGATCTAAGTAGGCCAGGTGCAATGGCTCACGCCTGTAATCCCAACACTTTGGGAGGCTGAGGCGGGTGGATCACCTGAGGTCAGGAGTTCGAGTCCAGCCTGGCCAACATGGCGAAATCTTGTCTCTACTAAAAATACAAACATTAGCTGGGGGTGGTGGCATGGACCTGTAGTCCCAGGCACTCGGGAGGCTGAGGCAGGAGAATTGCTTGAACCTAGGAGGCAGAGGTTGCAGTGAGCCGAGATTGCACCACTGCACTCCAGCCTGGGCAACAAGAGTGAAACTCTGTCTCAAAATAAATAAATAAATAAACAAACAAACCAATCTAAAATTACTTTCTATTTAAAATCAAGTCCTTATCACATGCCATGTAATGACAGAATTAATTTTTAAATCTCTGAATTCAAAAGATTACACACTATTATAAGAGACATTTGTGAGTCAACGATTGAGGAACACAGATCTGTTCTAACCTCTTTAATATGTAAATGAAAGAAGGGCCCCAAGAGACTAAGAAAGTGGCCCAAGGCCAAATACTCAACCACCAGAAACAGTAGATCCAGAACCCAGGTCTCTTAACTCCTAATTAACTGCTCCTTTGACCTCATTAACACCTCTCTGACTCATATACAGTCATTTATCACTTAACCACATGGATGCATTCTAAGAGGCGATTTTGTTGTGTGAACATCATAGAGTGTACTTTCACACACCCAGATGATACAGCCTACCACACATGTAGGCTAGATGGTATAGCCTAATGCCCCTAGGCTACAAACCTGGATAGCATTCTATTGTACTGAATACTATAGGCAGTTGTAACACAATGGTTAAGTATTTGTGTATCTAAACATATGTAAACACAGAAAAGGCACAGTGAAAATACGATATAAAAGATAAAAAATGACACACCTGTATAAGTCACTTAAAACAGAGCTTGCAGGACTGGAAGTTGCTCTGGGTGAGTCAGTGAGTGAGTAATGAGTGAATGTGAAGGCCTAGGACATTACTGTACACTTTGTAAATGCTGTACCCTTAGGCTACACTAAATTTACTAAAATGTTTTTTTCTTCAATAATAAATTAACCTTAGCTTACTGTAACTTTTTAACTTTATCACCTTTTTAACTTTTAAAAACCTTCTGATTCATAATAAAACTTAAAACACAAACACTTTGTATAGCTGTATAAAAACGTTTTCTTTCTTATATCCTTATTCTATAAGGCTTTTTTGTATTAAAATTTTTGTTTTGTTTTGTTTTTTACTTTTTAAACTTTTTTTGTTGGCCTGGCGCGGTGGCTCACGCCTGTAATCCCAGCACTTTGGGAGGCCAAGGCGGGTGGATCACAAGGTCAAGAGATTGAGACCATCCTGGCCAATATGGTGAAACCCCATCTCTACTAAAAATACAAAAATTAGCTGGGCATGGTGGTGGGCGCCTGTAGTCCCAGCTACTCAGGAGGTGGAGGCAGGAGAATCACTTTAACCCAGGAGGCGGAGGTTGCAGTGAGCCGAGATTGCGCCATTGCACTCCAACCTGGTGACAGCGCGAGACTCCATCTCAAAAACAAAAACAAAAACAAAAACAAACAAACAAACAAACTTTTTTGTTAAAAACTAAGGCACAAACACACACATTAGCCTAGGCCTACACAGGGTCAGAATCATCAATATCACTCTTCCACCTCCATATCTTGTCCTACTGGAAGGTCTTCAGGGCAAAAACATGCTTGGAGGGTCATCTCCTATGATAATAATGCCATCTTCTGGAATACCTCCTAAAGGACCTGCCTGAGGCTGTTTTACAGTAAACTTTTTTTTTTTAATAAGTAGAAGGAGTGCACTCTGAAATAACATAGATAATAAAATAACTAGGTAATAAAAAATAACATTTATTACCTAGTATCATGTGGTGTACCTAATTGTATGTGCTATACTTTTATATGACTGGCAGTGCAGTAGGTTTCTTTACATCAGCATCACCACAAACACATGAGTAATGCATTGCACTACTTTACAATGGCTACAGTGTCATCAGGCAACAGACATTTTTCAGTTTTGGAACCTACAGGACCAATGTCATATATGCAGTCAGTCATTGACCGAAATGGTGTTATTTGGCACATGACTGTATACTGTTTCACCTTCCTCTAGTCTGATGGAGAGCTCTCCTATAACTTCATCCTTGCCTATTTTTGTTGGGTCCTATCACTTGACTTCCCTGTGGCCTTTTCAGATTGATTTCTGAGCATCATTTGATACACCAGCCCCTGCCAGCCATTGACTGTGTCGGCATTCACCTATTTCATACTTGTTAATGAGTCCTTAAAATTCAAGTTTTGGCAAGCCGCAAAAGTAATTCATGCTCACAGACTGACATTTCTGCTGAGCTTTCTCAAGCAATACATTGCAAAAGGGAGACTAAGAGGGAAAAGTTACAATTTTGTTTCTGGGCTAAAGAGGTATAGAGTAGAGAAGGCACAGTTAGTGTTGAGAAGGCCTGAAGAAAGCAGGATTTTCTAGGGAAGAGAGATTATTTCAGAGCAATTTCTGTGGCAAAATGAAAACTACACAATCCACACAAATAGTTTTTAGTATTACAATCTTTGAGGGTTTTCCCATTTATGAGGACACCTAGAGGAGAAAAGCAATAATTATTAAACAATTACTGTATTCTATGAGAGGTGTGTGCCTAACCTCCTTCCCTTAAAAAAAAAAAAGTCAAGAGGTTCCTGTGCCCGTGAAAAGAGAAAATTCCTATTTGATGAAAAAAAAAAAAAAAAAACCCACCCCATAATGATGGGGGTTTGTAAAAGTGGCACGAGAACCAACTGAGATCCCAATGTCCAAAACTGAACAATTTGAGCAACAAAATAAATTAGTATTGGATTATAAACATAAAATAAATGTAGGTATTTATGGCCATAATGACATAAATAAACGAATGAACCCATCAATAAATGGGAGAGAAGAGATGAATTCCCAGGCAGTAGAATTTCAAATAATTTACGTAGCCTGCCCTCAAGGATGTGGAGTATAACTCCCTGCTCCTTCAGTGTGATCTGGGGATTCCTTCCACAGTATGTAGTGGAAGGAGAGTGGGGATAACACTCCTTCAGCCCCTCAGCCAGGTGACCAAGGTCAACAGCAATAGTGTTAAATCATGTTGATAGTATGTACCCTTGAAAGAATAAGATAAAAATTTACCTCTGTGATCTTCCTCCCCAGATCCCATAACCTCAATCTAATAAGGAGAAAAACATCAAATGAATTCCAATAGGGGGGTCTCCTACAATATGCCTAATACTCCCCAAACGGCCAAGGTCATCAAAAACAAGGAAAGTCTGAGAAACTGTCACAGTCAAAAGGAACCGGTGAAACCCCATCTCTACTAAAAATACAAAAAATTAGCGGGGCGTGGTGATGGGAGCCTGTAGTCCCAGCTACTCGGGAGGCTGAGGCAGGAGAATGGTGTGAACCCGGGAGGCGGAGCTTGCAGTGAGCCGAGATCGCACCACCACTGCACTCCAGCCTGGGCGATAGAGCAAGATTCAGTCTCAAAAAAAAAAAAAAAAAAAAAAAAAAGGAACCTAAGGAGACATAACAATTAAATCTGATGCCGTATCCTGGATGGGATACTGGAACAGGAAAAGGATATTAGGAAAAAACCAAGGAACTCAAATAAACTGTGGACTTTAGTTGTTATTAAAATTAATAAAAATGTATCAATATTGGTTCATTACTTGTAGCAAATGTCCTATACTAAGATATTAATAATAGGGCAAACTGTGTGGGGATATATGGAAACTGTACTATTTTCTTAATTTTCACAAATTTAAAGCTGTTCTTCAAAAATAAAATAAAATAGTTCTATTTTATCTTTTACCATGTAGCTATTTGCCAATACAAGCCACACAGGCAATTTAATTAAGAAGAGAATAGGAAAGAAAGGCACAGCAGGGCTGTGTCTAGGAACAGGGTCCAGAAGAAATCAACTCCATGCCAAAAATGCTCATTAAGTCAAGCAAAAGTTTATGAATTCAGTTTGTAGTTATTCTAAGAATAAGTTCGCCTGCCAAGGGTCTGGTCTATTTCTGTAAAGTATGTATCTATTTACTATTTCCTCCAAATCCTCATTGCTGGGATTCAGATCAGCTAATGATATACAAAATATATCATGAGGGATCCCTACGAGAGTAAAAACATTATGCAAACAGCAATATTTAATTTAGTTTTTTCAGATGGAAAATAAGCTGTGTATGTCTGTAAAAAAGAGTGGATAGCTAAAAACAAAATCTATGAAACATTCTATCTCAAGACATAGGATCCCAATATCCAGTGTGATAGGTAGTTCTATTTTCCCACTACTAGAAATATGTCTGATTAATAGTCTAATAAACATCAAATATTAAATCTCAGTTAAAACCTTGAACTAAATGAAAAAACAAAACAAAACCTTAGGACTCCCCAACAGGGTAATTCTGAATTACATCTAAATAATTCTGAAGGACTGATGTGATCTTTCTTTTAGAGGCTACGAGAAGATCTGGTTAAGAGTATCCTAAGGGAGGATCTAAGCCTGTTCATACTCTACAAGCAAAGAAACGTAAGTTAGTGATAACAGGCATACAAATAATTTTTTTGACAAATCTGCCCCTGAAATAATTTCATTTTCTGAAGATAACACTGAAATGTTGCTCTAAAACCAGAGCAAATGATTTTAATTTTTTTAAAAAGGAATAATAGTAGACAGGTCTTCTTTATAAACTTCATCTGCATTTCCTTAAGAAAACAGCCAAAGATTTCACTTCACAGAAACAGATTAGCATTCTCCAATTATCTCCAACTTGAAGGTTACAGAGTAAACTAAAAGAGGGCAGGGAAAACTTTACAGAACCAGCTATAAACACAAACTAGAGTAATCAAAGCAGTATTTGGAGGCCTAAAATTTGGTTGTCCTTTACCCCTCTGGACAATCAACTGCCTCCCAGCAGGGTAGGAACCTACACTACTCCGATAATTTACATAAGAAATTAGCAACCAAAATTTACATCTGAATGGTAAACCCCAGCAGCCCATCAGGTGTTAAGTATTTGCTTATCTAAATTGCCTCTAAAAATAGCTTTACCTTTCTTTGAGCCTTAAGTAAATAGAGGATTTCCCATGAAGGGAAGGTGGTATGCTTATTTAGGTTCAGGCAGTATATTGCCCTATTTCACTGCCATTTTCATAAGGAAAATTTCAGAACTGTTCTCCCTTTGAGTAAGAAGGCTCTTAAAACTATCTTAGAATGAGTTCAATTGAAAGAGCTACTGGCTGGGCGTGGTGGCTCACGCCTGTAATCCTAGCACTTTGGGAGGCCGAGGCAGGCGGATCACGAAGTCAGGAGATCTAGACCATCCTGGCTAACACGGTGGAATCCTGTCTCTACTAAAAATACATAAAAAAGAAGCCAGGCATGTTAGCGGGCGCCTGTAGTCCCAGCTACTCAGGAGGCTGAGGACTCAAAAAAAAAAAAAAAAAAAGCTACTGGCCAGGCACAGTGGCTCACGCCTATAATCCCAGCACTTTGGGAGCCGAGGAGGGTGGATCATGAGGTCAGGAGTTCAAGACCAGCCTGGTCAAGATGGTGAAACCCCATCTCTACTAAAAATACAAAAATTAGCCAGGCGTGGTGGCGGGCACCTGTTATCCCAGCTACTTGTGAGGCTGAGGCAGAGAACTGCTTGAACCCGGGAGGTGGAGGCTGCAGTGAGCTGAGGTCGCGCCACTGCACTCCAGCCTGGGCAACACAGTGAGACTCCGTCTCAAATAAAAAAAAAGGTATCTACAAACTATAAACTACCAAATTAATTATAAACTTTGTGTTTTAAATGCCTTCCCCCAAGGTGAATTAAAACGGGAAAAAAATGGACATTAATTATAAGAACCAAAAGTAGCTGATACAGGAATCTAAGTGTAGGACTAGTGTTTTTGAATTGTTTTGGAATATAAATCTTGAACTTGAGTGAGACAGTTAAAAAAACTGCACCTCCTTTATCTTTAAAATGATATTACCCTTCCCATACACTCTCATATTCTCATGTTTTAAAGTTTAAGAAATACTGGCTATCTCTAGATCACTAAGTTTATTATACCTTGGTGGGTACTAAACAGCTCTCCATACCTGCTTATAAAAAACACCAGTGTCAGATACCCTGTAAGGCAAACTAAAAACATACCTAGGGCACAGGAAGAATGGAAACCTCTCTCCCATGTTTTGGTATAAAATTAGATATTTGAAAATTATCCTCTAAAGCTTTTACTCTATGTAACTCTCACACATAACAAGATTCTCAATGGGAATCCAACAACGTTTTAAGCACTATTTCACCTTCCATTTTGTTACCTGATAAATGAGTTGACAGCTCAATTAAATAAAAGGCATGAAGATGGACGTAAAGCAAGTAAGAAGAAACATAATGCTAGTCACCTCCTACACCTCCACAGGCTTAAAGGCCTGTATTATGTCAATAATGAATAAATCCATATATATTATATTAAGTTTGAGCAATCATAAACAAATTCATAAGGAATAATGCGCTACAGGCAGGGCCGAATCAAAGAGCAGTAGTACTAATTGCTAGAGGCCACCTTTAGTGAATTGGGCACTTAAGAAGCTACCAGAATTATTCAGGTTTCCTCATCTCCTAGGTAGGGGATTTTGACTCCTTTACGGTTTATCACATTGTCCAAAAAAAAAAAAAAGTCAAGAGAAAATAAAACTCCCAAGCAGGGCTTTCTGACTTTCCATATTTGAACCTCTAGTTTTTCTCTAATTCTTTGCACTTTAAGCTTTGTAAGAGGAATGTTCTGAAATTATATCCCTTTTCTTCTTCTCCCATTTCCCCCACTCCAAAATTTTCATGCACTGAAATCATCCTAGGTCCAAGTCATTCTGGGTATAAGAACAATACTCTGGCTAATCGGGACAAAGTATTATTCATGAACTAATTAGGCTGGGATGGTCAGAAAATAGCACAGTAAACTATTAAATGGAGGGAAGAGAGTGTAATTTAAGTTATGATATCACCAAAACCATGAAATACTGGAAATGCTTTATACTAGGATTTTCTTGTAAAGTGTGAAGCCTTGGTGGAAGAGGAGGTTGACCCTAATAAATAAAAAGGGATTAACAAAATATACACATTTTAATCCTCTATAAATTTTTACATTTATAATATGTATAAAATATTTTAATCCTCTATATCGGATGAGTGTTCAAAATAAATGTAAACGGTAAATATGAAATCTCTAATATCTCTCTGATTGTTTGCAGGGCCGGGGGCGGGGGGGAATAGAAAGAAGTACGAAGAGGGAATACTAAAAAAGTCCTAAAATAGTAGCATTCTTGCAGAAAGTACTTGGAATACTGGAAAAGCCTTGACCTGGGTTTAGAATTGCCTCTGCAATTCTAAACAGACCATCTCAGGGAAGTCAACAACTGTGAATTTCAGTCTCTTTATCTGTTAAGATGGGATGATAATACTTGTCTTTCTTACAGACATCTGTTGTGAAGTCACAGGAGATAATGTGAATGAGAGCATAATCATTTCTCATTCCTCTCCATACGATAATTACTAGTTTCCAGCCTTGAGCACCTCATGTAATAATTAGAAATATGTCAGACAATATTAGAGACAAAATAGCAAAAAGAAAACACAACTGAAACCCACCATCTGTAGTGCAAGATCCTTCTGGGGCAGGTTTTTGTGAATAGGGAATTGGTGGGCTGTTTGAATCAGACATTTCTTCATCGTCTTCATCATCTTCCATTTCATTAACTGTTAGATTGTTAGAAAAATCCAGACTTCCATTTTGAGTGTAGCGGTTTACCAAATCTTTGTCCAGATCCTCCACCTTGGGTTTGACATCTGGGTAAGCAAATAAATCACAGCAGATTTAATAAAAAGATGCTTATGGAAAAATGCACAGTTCTGAAAGACATAATTGAAGAAAAAAGGTCTAGCATTTTCTAACATTTAGCCAATTTATCTCAGAGGTCCCAAGATTTGGAATCCCCACTTCTAAAACAAGAATCCCACTTTTTAAAAAAGGAGTCCAGTGGCCGGGTGCAGTGGCTCATGCCTGTAATCCCAGCACTTTGGGAGGCGGAGGCGGGCGGATCACGAGGTCAGGAGTTCAAGACCAGCCTGACCAACATGGTGAAATCCTGTCTTTAATAAAAATACAAAAAAAATTAGCCAGGAGTGGTGGCGTGCACCTGTAATCCCAGCTACTCAGGAGGCTGAGGCAGGAGAATTGCTTGAACCCAGGAGGCAGACGTTGCAGTGAGCCGAGATCACGCCACTGCACTCCAGCCTGGGCAACAGACGGAGACTCCATCTCAAAAAAACAAAACAAAAAAAAAGAATCCAGAAATGTGTGTGATTGAGAAACTTACCTGCAGATGAGAAAGGATGCTGGTCAGGGTCCAGGTATAGCTGGGAAAAAATTGGCCGTGGTACCACACTACTACATCTGAGGGAGGCTTCTATGGAGTTGTGGAGAGCTTCCTCAAATCGAGCAGATTTCAGTTGCCCAGCATATGAATTCCCCATGATCTACACCTACCCATCCCCAAGAAAAAGAAGAAAGGATAAAATTGATATAATTAGAGGTTCTATGTCTCAAAGTACAGGTAGAGCTAATTTAAACTATGTCCATATATCTTGTTAAGATGTGAAATATATGAACTACCCAGAGATCTTAAGACAGCTTGTGTAAGTTACTTGTTATCATGTCACGTGTGCTTTTTGTCTTCACAGCCCAAACCCAACTCAAAAAGCCCCTTTGAGGGATTTTGTATCTATAACAGTAATAAATGCTTAAGTCAAGGCTCTCCAACCAGTAAATCAAGACTGACCTGTCAGTCATGAATCCCAACCTGGTTAACAATGTGGCCATATCACCTTTATAGGAGGCTACTATAACTCCCTAGAAACTCTATCAGTGGTTTCAGAGTAAGTAATGAATTTTCTCTTTACAAAGATCTATTACTCTAGATGGGGGAAAAAGGCTCTCTTCTGGAAAAAAAATGAAAGTTTTATGGTTATATATTTAATTAAATTTCTGAAAGCAAGACGAGCGTTTTCAACTTGAATAATTCATTTATGTATTACTAGTATTTGAAAAACACTGTTATTTCTTTTGCTTCATCTGAAGTACAATCTTATTTGGGACCCTTCAATTAAGTATATGGCAAAAAACTTTGAAGTCATGACCTTTACTTCTCATCACTAATATTTATATAGTACTATAGTACTTGCTGGTTATAAAAATTTCCATGTATAGGGTGGGCATAGTGGCTCATGCCTGTAAACCCGGCACTTTGGGAGGCTGGGGCAGGTGACATGAGGTCAGGAGATTGCGACCAGCCTGGCTAACATGGTGAAACCCCGTCTCTACTAAAATACAAAAATTAGCCAGGCATGGTGGCATGTGCCTGTAGTCCCAGCTACTCAGGAGGCTGAGGCAGGAGAATCACTTGAATCCGGGAGGCGGAGGTTGCAGTAAGCCGAGATTGCGCCACTGCACTCCAGCCTGGGCGACAAGAGCAAAACTCTGTCTCAAAAAAAAAAAAAAAAATTCCATGTATAACAATAATAACTACAATTTATTGGGTGCTAATTAATGGCTAATGATACTCAAAGGGTCTTGGGGGTGGAGGTGGGGCCAAGACCCTACCCTTCTGATGGTCCACAAAGTCAAAACTATTTTTTTAAAAATTTTTTTGAGACACAGTCTCACTTACTCTGTTACCCAGGCTGGAGTGCAGTGGCACAATCTTGGCTCAGTGCAACCTCCGCCTCCCAGGTTCAAGCAACTCTCCTCAGCCTCCCAAGTAGCTGGGACTACAGGCACACAGCACCATACCAGGCTAATTTTCGTATTTTTAGTAGAGACGCAGTTTCCCCATGTTGGCCAGGCTGGTCTCAAACTCCTGACCTCAAGTGATCCACCTGCCTGGGCTTCCCAAAGTGCTGGGATTATAGGCATGAGCCACCACACTCAGCCAAAACTATCTGAAACTATTTAAACAAAATTTTTTTTTGTTCAAAGCTGGTAGGTAAGGCTTGTAGGAGCTGGTTCAGCTGTTCAACAGTGCTCTCAAGAACAGAGCTCTTCCTGTCATTCTGCTCCATCACCCTGAATGTGTTGACTTTTACTCTCGATCTTGTCCCCAAACAGCTGTGACAAACCAAAGCATCATGTCTACATTCCAAATAATCAAAAGGGCAAAAGACCTTCTTTTTAGAAACCTTGGTCTCTTTATTTGGAACGGAATGCCTCTTCCCAGCAAACTTTTCCTTGAATCTCTGGCTAGAAATGGGTCAGCTGTCCATTCCTGGGCACATCATCAAACTACTACTAGGATATTATTTGTCTTTTTGACTCTGATTCACTCATATGTGTACATGGAATTTTCCAGAATCTGCAGGATGTGTGATATTGCAACAGGTTGAATGCAGAAGCACATAAGCTACTCACTAACTTGTCTTTGGAAAATACAATTATTTTTCATAAAATATGCTATCTATGTTCATATACAGTGGGGTTTTATTATAATTTCTAAAAGTAATACATATTCATAAAATTTTTCAGTTTTAATTTTTAATAAACAAAAATGCTATGGGGTCCTCAATAATCTTTTTTTTTTTTTTCTTTTTTTGAGATGCAGTCTCACTCTGTCGCCCAGGCTGGAGTGCAGTGGCGCAATCTCGGCTCACTGCAATCTCTGCCACCTGGGTTCAAGCAATTCTCCTGCCTCAGCCTCCCGAGTAGCTGGGATTACAGGCGCCTGCCACTGTGCCCGGCTAATTATTATTATTATTTTTGAGACGGAGTCTCGCTCTGTCGTCCAGGCTGGAGTTCAGTGGCACTATCTCGGCTCACTGCAAGCTCTGCCTCCCAGGTTCACGCCATTCTCCTGCCTCAGCCTCCCGAGTAGCTGCGGCTACAGGCGCCCGCCACTGCACCTGGCTAATTTTTTGTATTTTTAGTAGAGACGGTGTTTCACTGTGTTAGCCAGGATGGTCTCGATCACCTGACCTTGTGATCCGCCCACCTCGGCCTTCCAAAGTGCTGGGATTACAGGTGTGAGCCACCGCGCCCGGCGTGCCTGGCTAATTATTGTATTTTTAGTAGAGACGGGGTTTCACCATCTTGGCCAGGCTCGTCTTGAACTCCTGACCTCGTGATCCACCCGCCTCAGCCTCCCAAAGTGCTGGGATTACAGGTGTGAGCCATTGCGCCTGGCCAATAATCTTTAACAGTATAAATGGGTTCTAATACTAACAATCTGAGAACTATTGGGCTAGATAGTCTACTAAGCACTTTACAAAAATTGTTGTATTTAATCCTCAGTATTCTGAAAAAGGTATGACCTCTTTCCATTTCACAGATTAAAAAACAAAACAAAAAACCAAAACTTGAAGAAACGAAGTGACCAGTTCACTACCATTCAACTATTAAGGGATAGAGCCAGGACTCAGTATCTAGTCATGTGATGACAAAGCCCGCACTCTTACTGTACAGCCTCACCTTGGATAAATCTCATTTCAAGACAGGTAATTTTGAGAATATCTTAGGCCCCCCTTCTATCAAAGAGAGGGATCGAATTTAAAATTTATCTGGAATGCCAACTCTGATTAACTCCCTGGAGAGAGTCCCTGGAGGACTGGTTGAGAAGAACCCTGAGGATGCATCAGTGTTCATCAGGAAAGGGCGCCAACACCCAGCGTGCCCACTCATGAGCAGGGAGGAGATGATGCATGGGAATCCACAACTCTATCTCAAGTTTCCCAGACACACACTAAAGCTCTGCAGAAGATTTTGGTGCCCCTGAGCTACTTTTACACAGCAAAGAAGACTTCTGATGTGATTCCTGGTGGCAGTGCGTAGTATGCGATGATTTCCATCAGAGTGGCTGGGTTTGTCAAAGCTTTATTAGAGATTCCTATGATTTGAAGAAAAAGCCAGGGTCCTATTTTGGCAACTTTTCTGATATAAGTAATAAAAACAAAATGCCATGAATTTAAATTGTTAGGTTTCTTTTTTACAAAAAGTTTATACTCAAAATGTACAATACCCAATTACAAGTTGCATATGTATATAAAATACCCAATTAAAAGATGAAGAAATAGAAGAAAATCAACAAAGTCTGTCAACTGAAATGTTCCTGAAACACCAAGTTTTTGGCCAGGCTCCTAAGACTCCCCACCAGTACAATACAAACATTAAAAATTTTTAAAGCTCAGAAGTAATTTACTTTTCAGCAGCACCACACGTGATCAAAACAGGGGGAAGGTTGGAGGAGAAATAGGCTGTGCCACTAGTTTATGCGTCTAAACCAAAATCCAACAACCATTTCACCTTCCTTGCTAAAGAGAGAAAAGGACCAGGAACTAGCACAGAGTTAACCATAGGATTGCTTATCTGTGAACAATGAAATAACATCAAAAGTGAACTTTCAGCCTTTTTCCAGAGCACCAATGTCTGGAAATATTGCTGCCTCTTAATCTATTACCACTCCAACAAGTTATCTTCCTTTCATCATTGAAAATCTTGAAAACCTCCTGGCGTGGTGGCTCACATCAGTAATCTCAGCACTTGAGAGGCCAAGGCGGGCAGATCACCTGAGGTCAGGAGTTTGAGACCAGCCTGACCAACATGGAGAAACCCGCTTTCTACTAAAAATACAAACTTAGCTGGGCATGGTGGCACCTGCCTGTAATCCCAGCTACTCGGGAGGCTGAGGCAGGAGAATCGCTTGAACCCGGGAGGCGGAGGTTGTGGTGAGCCAAGATCATGCCATTGCACTCCAGCCTGGGCAACAAGAGCGAAACTCCTTTCAAAATAAAAAAGAAAATCTTGAAAAGCTACATTCTCCAACAGGTCTTTTTAGTTTAATTTTTAAAAAGTACCCAGTTATACATGGAGGATCACATAATCTCAATCTCTTCAACTTAGAGTTTAAGGAGTAATACGACAGAACATATATAAACAACAGATAAATATCATGCTGAATAAAAATATTAAATCAGGCTGGGCCTGGTGGCTCATGCCTGGAATCCCAGCACTTTGGAAGACTGAGGAGGGAGGATCACTTGAGCTCAGGAGTTGGAGGTTGCAGTGAGCTATGATTGTGCCATAGCATTCCAGCCTGGGTGACAGAGCAAGATCCTGTCCCCCCCCGAAAAAAAAAACACTAAATTAATTTAAAAATGGGCAATGGAGTTTCACCATTACAGAAGACATACAGAATCCTACAAAAGCATTAGCAATATTCAGATGAAGTCAATGGGAAGTATCTATTCCCTGCTGAGACTTGGTAGAATAAAAGGAATTAGCTGACTCTATTCCAAATAAAAACATAACAGGGCATTTAAAAAATGATAATGGTGGCTAGGTGCGGTGGCTCACGCCTGTAATCCCAGCACTTTGGGAGGCCAAGGCAGGCAGATCACCTGAGGTCAGGAGTTTGAGACCAGCCTGGCCAACATGGCAAAACCCTGCCTCTACTAAAAATACAAAAAATTAACCAGGCATGGTGGTGTGCTCCTGTAGTCCCAGCTATTCTGAAGGCTGAGGCAGGAGAATCTCCTGAGGTCGCAGTGAGCCAAGATGGCGCTGCTGCACTCCAGCCTGGGCAACACAGCAAGACTCTGTCTCAAAAAATAAAATAAAATAAAAAATAAAAATAAATAATGGTAATGTAAAGAATTACGTAACTGACCCCAGACTTAATTTAGTGCTGACTATGGAGTTCTGCCCTTGATATCCCAATGCTACCCAAAGAAGAAGGGTGGAGTTCAAAGGACGTCTGTGTAATATATTCTAAATGTCATATGCCATGGTATTCAGGGTCACTGAAATTGTTGGCATTATCCACCAGCCTCCGTTTCCTCTAAATCTCAAAGAGCCCCCATGCCTGAGATGGTGTAACACCTGACTGGAAGTCAATGTGAATAAATTTGACTTCAGGCAGAAGATGGAAAGATACTTTTCAAAACTAGTCATTACATCAAATGCAAAAAGAAAGGCAACTTCTGGACAGGCATGGTGGCTTGTACCTGTAATCTCATCACTTTGGGGGCTGAGGTAGGATTGCTTGAGGCCAGGAGTTTGAGACCAGCAACATAATGATACCTTGTCTCTGTTTTTTTTGAGACAGAGTTATACTCTTGTTGCCCAGGCTGGAGTGCAATAGCGCTACCCCGGCTCACTGCAACCTCCCGCTCCTGGGTTCAAGTGACTCTCCTGCCTCAGGCTCCCGAGTAGCTGGGATTACAGGTGCCCCCCACCACACCTGGCTAATGTTTGTATTTTTAGTAGAGATGGTCCATGAAGTCAAAACTATTTTTTAAAAAAATTTTTTGAGACACAGTCTCACTTACTCTGTTACCCAGGCTGGAGTGCAGTGGCACAATCTTGGCTCACTGCAACCTCCGCCTCCCAGGTTCAAGCAACTCTCCTCAGCCTCCCAAGTGGCCAGGCTGGTCTCAAGCTCCTGACCTCAGGTGGTCTGCTCGCCTCGGCCTCCCAGAGTACTGGGATTACAGGTCTGAGCCACTGTACCCGACCTCTCTGCTATGTACTTAATAAATACTATAGAAGTACAGTTTTAATAATAAGAGTAATTATTAACTAAGAAACCTTTCACAAAAAGGAAATGAAAACATACAGGTTAAGGAGTACTGTCCCTCAGAGTGCATTACTACTTTTTTCCATTTTCAAAAGGAAAAGGAGAATTGAGGAGAGGCGTGGAAGCATTAGCAGGCACCTATTTCCCAAGCTACTCTTTTTTTTTTTCCTTCCAACCTCTCTAGCCCCACTTTCTAAAGTCACCGGGGATAGAGGCTGCCTGTTTTACCCACATCACCATTCTGCAATTTTTCTTTCTGTGGAAAAAGGGAAAAGGATAGAGCAGAAAGGCTGCAAACCACAATGTTGTGGTGGTTTGTAGTTGATCCAGTCTGCATTTGGAGCAATTAATTAGGGGTGCAGAAAGATTTGCTCATATTTTTTACTGTCCTTTTCTTTGACATTTTCTCAAAGTCACAGAAGTGCTTGTTAATATCTCAGAGGTCTGTAGTGCTATGACAAAATATTTAATATAGTTTGTCCTTTTGTAATTTTACAATAAAAATTATGGAAAAGCAATGTAATGGAGTCTTATAAACTTGATGTCAGCCAGATACATACAATACATAAGTATATACTGGAAATTACAAGTTGGCTTTCTTTTTTTTTTTTTTTTTTTTTGAGACGGACTCTCAGAGTCTCGCTCTGTTGCCCAGGCTGGAGTGCAGTGGTGTGATCTCGGCTCACTGCAAGCTACGCCTCCCGGATTCACACCACTCTCCTGCCTCAGCCTCCCAAGTAGCTGGGACTAGAGGCGCCTGCCACCATGCCCGGCTAATTTTTTTGTGTTTTTAGTAGAGATGGGGTTTCACCGTGTTAGCCAGGATGGTCTCCATCTCCGGACCTCGTGATCCGCCCACCTTGGCCTCCCAAAGTGCTGGGATTACAGGCATGAGCCACTGCGCCCGGCCCTGTCTATTTTTTCATAATTATGTCTTAGAATCTACAGAAGTGACGTGAGATTTTTGGGCCCCTCAGTTCTTTGTTTTTGCTTTTTTTTTTTTTTTCTTAAAAATAGGCCAGGTGGCTCATTCCTGTAATCCCAGCACTTTGGGAAGCTGAGGTGGTGGGTGGATCACCTGAGGTCAGGAGTTTGAGACCAGCCTGGCCAACATTGCAAAACCCCGTCTCTACTAAAAACACAAAAAATAGCCAGGCATGGTGGCAGGCGCCTGTAATCCCAGCTACTTGGGAGGCTGAGGCAGGAGAATCACTTGAACCCTGGAGTGGAGGTTGCAGTGAGCCGAGATCACGCCATTGCACTCCAGCCTGGGCAACAAGAGCAAAACTCCATCTCAAAAAAATTTTAAAAAAGTATACAGCAGAGAGAGAGAGAGAGAAATGCCCTCCTCAGTGATAAAATTTTCCCTTAACTCTCAAAGACTTTTTAGAATTAAAGCATTGATTTCAGAATATACAGTCATACTTGTAGTTAAAGTTGTATGTGAAGCACATGTTACAATGGCAGGCATTACTGGCAGTTAATATAATAGTAGCTGTTGTTATTATTACTAGCAGTAGTGATGGTGGTGGTGGTGGTGGTGATGGTGGTGGTGGTGGTAGTTATTGTCAAAAAATGTGAAAGAAAGCATCCCTTCAGTGATTGCAAGAGTAGCATGGAGAGCTTACTAAGTGCCGAGCAAGCACTATTATTACTCACATTTTCAAGATAACTGAGGCTTAGAGAAGTTAAGGAACTTGCCTAAGATCACCCTACAAGGAAACAGGTAAACAGGGTAGAACCAAATCAGTTTGGCTCAGAAGCAGCTCTCTTAGGTGCTATCTTTATCACTCAGACCATTAAGCTACTAACCCACTGACCAAGATGGCCCAATTGGGTAAATGAATGCTTGGTAATGTACTATAAAACTGCTGACCTCCAAAGAAAAAAATCAGAAAAGAAAATGTTTGTTTGCTGATGTGGCCTCATCTCTATTTATCACAGTTGCAAGACAGGCTGAAAAGGAAATTTTAACTTAAGATATGAGCCTAAGAGTCACAAAGCCAAATAACAATTTTAAAAATCACAACAAAATAACCGTACCGCTCTAATAAAAAACTCCTCACATCAGGGCCAGGTGCGGTGGCTCACGCCTGTAATCCCAGCACTTTGGGAGGCTGAGGTGGATGAATCACGAGGTCAGAAGTTCGAGACCAGCCTGGCCAAGATGGTGAAACCCGTCTCTACTAAAAATACAAAAATTAGCCGGGCGTGGTGGTGCGTGCCTATAGTCCCAGCTACTCGGGAGGCTGAGGCAGAAGAATCGCTTGAACCCAGGAGGCGGAGGTTTGCAGTGAGCCAAGTTCGTGCCACTGCATTCCAGCCAGGGCAACAGAGTGAGACTCCATCTCAAAAAAAAAAACAAAAACAAAAAACAAAACAAAACAAAACAAAAAACCTCCTCACATCAAAAATTAGCCAAGATTGGTGGCAGGTGCCTGTAGTCTCAGCTACTTGGGAGGCTGAGGTGGGAGAACTGCTTGAGCCCAGAAGTTGAGGCTGCAGTGAGTCATGATCATGCCACTGCACTCCAGCCTGGCTGACAGAATGAGACCCTGTGTGGAAAAAAAAAAAAAAAAAAAGGAAAAGGAAAAAAGTTCCCCTTTTGATTAAGTATAAATATATTTTCAAGTACTGCACTTGGGGTTTTAATAAAAGTTTCTTTTAATACCAACTATCTGGAACAAATAAACATTAATTTTTAAAAGTATTTTTAAAAAGGAAATGACAAGGAAGAACAAGAAAAACACTGATTTTTAAAAAGATCATGTACAAGCTAAAAGAAAAAGAACTGAATCTAAAACACTAATTTGGGGTTGTGTGATTTTAACAGCAAAGTAAGCTGTGGTACAGGTAGATGGGGATGTACATATTCTAAGTAATAACTCATTTGAAGTTTTAAAATATGTATTTCTAAGCTTTGTCTACTGAAAAATCTGAGAAGCAATACCATTCAATTACTATTAATAAGCACTTCCTATACTCTGATTGTAGTGGCCTAATGCCTTCCACACTGAAAGGAATCAAGATTTTTTCAAGGTATGACCAGTTCCAAGTCTGGGGCAGGGAATACTCCAGATGAGCCTCGAACATCTGAACAAGAAAGCAAAGGTTATCAAGAACTAATAAGGCTGGGTGCAGTGGCTCACACCTGTAATCCCAGCAATTTGGGAGGCCAAGGCAGGCAGATGACTTGAGTCCAGGAGTTTGAGACCAGCCTGGGCAACATGACGAAACCCTGTCTCTACAAAAAATACAAAAATTAACTGGGCATGTGGTGGTGTGTGCCTGCGGTCCCAGCTACTCAGGAGGCTGAGGCATGAGAATTGTTTGAGCCTGAGAGGTGGAGGCTGCAGTGAAGTGTGGTTGTGCCACTGCACTCCAGCCTGGGTGACAGAGTGAAACCTGGCCTGAAGAAAAAAAAAAGAACTAATGAAGCATGTTAGAAGACATACGAGACTACCTGAAGAGCTCCCATAGGCTAAAGATTAGAGAAACCAAACATAAAAGAGAATAAATCCAACTGACCAAAGCAATTTAAAATATAAAAATTCACAAATTAATTTTGCTACTACAGGAGAAAAAGCAAGAGCTCCTTTGGAAAGACAAAAACAAAGCACTACAAGCAGGAAAAGAAAAGAGCAAAGCATTTATTCTACTCTTTCTGTACTTCAAAAAGAAAAGAACAAAGCATTTATTCTGCTCTTTCTGTACTTCCAAGTAACCAAATAGTCCTGATTATTGAGAGTTTGAATTTTTTTAAAAGAAGAATTCCAGCTAAAAAATGTTCAAAAAGAGGGCCAGGCACAGTGGCTCACGGCCTGGAATCCCAGCACTTTGGGAGGCCAAGGCGGGTGGATCACCTGAGGTCAGGAGTTTGAGACCAGCTTGGTCAACATAGTGAAACTCTATCTCTACTGAAAATACAAAAATTAGCTGGGCACGGTGGTAGGTGCCTATAATCCCAGCTACTCGGGAGACTGAGGCAGGAGAATCGCATGAACCTGGGACGCGGAGGTTGCAGTGAGCTGAGATAGCACCATTGCACTCCAGCGTGGGTGACAAAAAACTCTGTCTCGAAAAAAAAGGAGGCAGGGGGCAAAGAATGACAGAATTATAAAATTATCACTTTGTAACCCCTAATGAAAAATTCATGCAGGCAATGGTAATAAGTGAAACCATGAGACAGAAGGTTGATAGGGAACTTTATAATGGAGAGATCCCGCTGTCACCTCCTGAACCCACTGGTTGAGCTTAGCATCACTAAAAGTGAGGCAGTGAGATGATGCGTGCCTTCTCAGTGGAGACGATATGAAGCACACTCACCACCTAGGAAGCATTCCTGCCAAAGGGTATCATGAATTTAGTCATCCCTCTAGAACAGGGGTGTCCAATCTTTTGCCTTCCCTGGACCACACTGGAAGAAGAAGAAATGTCTTGGGCCAAACATAAAATACATGAACACTAACAATAGCTGATGAGCAAAAAAAAAGAAAAGAAAAGAAAAAGGAAAAATTGCAAAAAAAATCTCATAATTTTTTGTTGTTGTTTTGGCATGATCTCGGCTCACCGCCACCTCCACCTCCCAGGTTCAAGCGATTCTCCTGCCTCAGCCTCCCAACTAGCTGGGATTACAGGCGCCCGCCATCATGCCCAGCTAATTTTGTATTTTTAGTAGAGATGGGGTTTCTCCATATTGGTCAGGCTGATCTTGAATTCCTGACCTCAGGTGATCCACCCGCCTCGGCCTCCCGAAGTGCTGGGATTATAGGCATGAGCCACCGCACCCGGCAAAAATCTCATATTTTAAGAAAGTTTACAAATTTGTGTTGGGTCACATTCAAAGCCATCTTCGGCCACACTGGAAGAATTGTTCTGAGCCACACATAAAATACACTATCGACAGCTGATGAGCTAAAAAACAAAACAAAAAAAATTGCAAAAAAAATCTCTCGTGTCAGGTATAATACTAAAAAGACAAATTTGGGGCCGGGCACGGTGGCTTATGCCTGTAATCCTAGCACTTTGGGAGGCTGAGGCAGGTGGATCACAAGGTCAGGAGTTCAAGACCAGCCTGGCCAAGATGGTGAAACCCTGTCTCTACTAAAAATACAAAAATTGGCCTGGCGGGGTGGCGGGTGCCTGTAATCCCAGCTACTTGGGAGACTGAGGCAGATAACTGCTTGAACTCGGGAGGCGGAGGTTGCAGTGAGCCGAGATCATGCCATTGAACTCCAGCCTGGGCAACAGAGCGAGACTCTGTCTCAAAAAAAAAAAAAAAAGAGAGACAAATTTGTATAACTTCGTAGTTTTCTATTACCTTTTTCTTTACAGATGTCACTTTCTAAACTTTAACAATTAATCACTCAGCATTTATAGAAATACTACTGTCATAGGGATTAATTACATTGACTCAGGAGTCCAATGACCTTAATTCAAATCCTGTACCCACCTACTCCTAGTATGATATTGGGCAAATTGTTCAATCTTTCATCTGTAAAATGGAGACAGTACTTTCAATTTCATAGATTTTTGTGAAAACACATGAGATTTTACATACAGTAATAAGTTTTTAGAATAGTGCCTGGCACAGAAAAAAAGTGCAGAAAATGTTGGTAGTCATAGTAGCACCTTTTTTTTTTTTTTTTTGAGATGAAGTCTCAAACTGTCTCCTAGGCTGGAGTGCAGTGCTGTGATCTCGGCTCACTGCAAGCTCCGCCTCCCAGGTTCATGCCATTCTCCTGCCTCAGCCTCCCGAGTAGCTGCGACTACAGGCGCCCGCCACGCCCGGCTAATTTGTTGTATTTTTGGTAGAGACAGGGTTTCACCATGTAAGCCAGGATGGTCTCGATCTCCTGATCTCATGATCCGCCCACCTCAGCCTCCCAAAGTGCTGGGATTACAGGCATGAGCCACCGCACCTGGCCAGTAGCAACCATTTTTACTTTAAAAAAAAAAAAAAAAAATTGTATCATTGTGCCACGTTGAGGATATGAAGAAAAGTAAGATGCATTCTTTCCTTTATAAAAGTTGGGCACTACAGTAGATTCTGGAGCCTTGTTTCTAGGAAAAATAATGTAAAAGTTCCAAAGGCTGCTATTTGGCACTATATACAATTTATTTATTAAGAAATTGTACAATCATATATACAAATCATGAGATGACCTTTGACACCAAGAACAGCACTGCCCAAAAGAATTTTCTAAGATAATGAAAACGTTCATATTCTGGACTGTCCAATATGGTAGCCACTAGCCACATGTGGCAGCTGAACACTTAAAACGTGGCCAGTGTGACTGGGGAACTAAAATTTCAATTTTATTTAATTGTAATTAATTTTTTTTTTTGACACAGAGTCTTACTCTGTTGACCAGATTGGAGTGCAGTGGTGTGATCTCAGCTCACTGCAACCTCCACCTCGTGGGCTCAAGCAATTCTCCTGCATCATGCCTCAGCCTCCCAAGTACCTGAGACTAGAGGCATGTGCCACCTGCCCGTCTATTTTCTGTATTTTTTTTGTAGAGACGGGATTTTACCATGCAGGCAAGGCTGGTCTCGAACCCCTGGCCTCAAGCAATCCACCTGCCTCAGGCTCTCAAAGTGTGGAATTATAGGCGTGAGCCACTGCGCCCAGCAGTAATTAATTTAAATAGCTACATGTGACTAGTAGCTGTCATACTGAACAGTACAACTCTAGAGTATGTACAATGATTGAGAGATAAAAGATTTCTTAAGTTCTAAGAGGCTTGGCTGTGTCCCTACTAATGTGATCTTGAACAAGTCCCCTAACCTATCTCAAGCTCAGTTTCTTCATCTGTAGAATAATTCTATAGGATAGATTATGACTGTCCCTTACAGTGATAAAACTCTTTGTATAACAAAATTATTTGTTACTGTATTTCTGCTTATATGCTCTTTCTCTATTAAAAACATTCCCTGATGAGAGTGAATAATGTATGACTCTCAGACAAATAAACCAAACACACTTCCTGTAAGTTTTCAGTCTCAAATCCAAAATATTAAACTATTACATATTTTTGTTCTTTCTCTTTTGTGCTCTCTGAGCATTTCATTTATTCTTTTAAATTGATATTTGTCATTCTCAATTATAGTTAGTTGGGTCTAGTATCTGTCTAACTTCCCCCAATAGATTGTGAGTTTTGGGGGACATATAATTTGTTTAAAGCTGGAACTGAGTAAAAAAAAATGAATAAATTGAGCTTTTGTGTCTTATCCAATTATATATTAAACAGGTCTGAAGAGATATCTCTTCCCAAGCACATTCCATAAAAGCACAAAGCTAACCATGCATTCAAAACAGAAGTGCTTTATTTCATTTTTATTCATCCTTTTGCTGAGAATGTTTAGAAAGTGCAAACAGATTAAAAGACAAAAATTTTAAACTCCTTTAATAGTTTTGTACATTTAAATTTGGAAATTTGGATGAATTTCTTTTTTCTTTTCTTTTCTTTTTTTTTTTTTTTGAGATGGAGTCTCGCTCTGCTGCCCAGACTGGAGTGTGGTGGTGCGATTGTGGCTCACTGTAACCTCCGCCTCCTGGGTTCAAGCGATTCTCCTGCCTCAGCCTCCTGAGTAGCTGAGATTACAGGCGCGTGCCACCACGCTTGGCTAATTTTTGTATTTATTTAGTAGAGACAGGGTTTCACCATGTTGGCCAGGCTGGACAAATTTATTTTTATAGTTTGTAAAGCCAAAAGTATTTTAGGTATTCAAATAAAAACCCAACCCTATTAACTTAATCCTAAAATTTACCCTTCTTAGCAATATACTTACAGATATGCAATATATATTAAATTTTTTTAGAAATAATTATTGTACTATGCTAACTAATTTCATAATAATGACTAAAAACTATCATGACTACAATGCTGTTTTTCCTTTGTAACAAAGAAGTACACGTTACCACTGGAAATCTTTACTTTTCCTTGAAATGCCAGAAATTCTTCTGTAAAATAAACACCTCTTGTCAAGACTCTCTGGAACTAGTATAATTACCAGAGGCAATCCTTGTGTAAGATCAAAGAAGCAAAACAATAATAGGCAACGTGTGACCTCTACCATGTCACCAGAGACCAATTTTTCAACAGGGAGAACAGTCAATAATCCAGAACAGAAAACATTAAATAACCAGAAATGCTTCCAAAGTGTGGCTCACCACATCTTTCAACGCTGTCACATTCAGAGTTCAGAGTCTCTATGGTTTCCGAAAACAAACTTCTGGGGATTTATCACAACAATCATTAAAATCTGCATAAAACACCAGAGGCAAAAAACAATTCGCCAATTTCCCAAATGCAGAGTAGAATTTCAAAAGATACTATAATAATTTTCCAAATTTCATCTGATGCTTTAAAAAGTATAGTGAGAAAGGCATAGATAACTAAATATTTTCCACCTAACACTCAACTGATTTCTCTTATTTACCTAGCCCCATTTAATTTTCCCAAAAAAGTTGTTTGCAAAGTTGGCTATGAACATTAACCAGATAATTAGTAATAATAACACATTAAATACTTCTACAGGTTTTTTTTGGCTTTGTTTTGTTTTTGATAATGGTGGGTCACTAAACCCAGAAACAAGGTCTCCTGTGTAATATATTTGAGTGACTAAGCATTACAAGGGCACAAAGAGGGGTAAATAAATTCCCAAAGTAATTACAGTAAAACAGAAGTACATTTAAAACTGACTTCTAAAAAGTACCGCAAATCAAATTGTGCCTTAGAATCAGCAAAACTTGATTGTTTTTCTTAAATACTATTGCCAAATAGCTGTCTTCTTTCAAAATCAGATGTGAATTAGGGGCTGAACAAATATATTTGAATTATTTAACCTGCAAAGCACACATTCCACTGGTAATTCAGAGAGTAAGTAATAAAAGAAGGAGACTTTGCTTGAAAGAAAAAGCACTATAAATTCAAAGCAACCGTGAACACTGTTTTTTTTCTTAAACATTCTATTCTTTTATGATTTCTTGCTACCTCCATCTTTCCACTCTGTCATCTGCTCCTGTCTTTCCATCTTCTTAGCTTATTAACATTGCTAATCGTATTTGTCAGTTTTGCCACAATTTTAAGGCCTCTTAAACAGCTGTGGGTTTGCTCTAGGCAATTATCAGTCACTATACTTAGGTTTCTAAATTAGTTGTTGAAAGGTGCTTTAACCTTGAGAAAATAGAAAATGAGCAGACTACATGCTAAGCCTTACATTTATGTGTATGTTCCTTTAACACGAGTGATTATCAAAAATTCAAAACAAATCACACACAAGTAGTAGATATTGTAAATTTATAAATTAACAAGGCCTATTATAGGCCTTATCATTTTATCTTTCTTCCCTTACTATATACATTGTAATATATGCTTTCTCTCTATATATGTGTATAGATTGAAATATAAATGATAGTATATAAACTGGAATATCAAAATACTGCCAAATTCCTCTAACAGTCTCCTTTCATAACCTGTCAGGTGGCTAATACCTTTCAAAGGTATCCACAATCATATAAGCGGTCTCTTGAGGTCATGGGTTGTGGTAAAGAGAGCTTTTACAATATGCAGATTTTTCCCTTCTCCATTTCCCTTCAAAGAGAAAACTCCTTACTGTATTGCTTTTCTTATTCTCTATTCTTGACTCTGACACTGATTTTCTTCTTGACCACATTCAGGAAGAAACACAAGATTTAAGGTTGTTTGTCAACTGACAGCCCTTTCTATCAACAACTAAATAAAAAAATCTGTATTCCAGAAACATGACACTTCATGTACCACCCATTTTCCTCGTAAGTTAAAATAAATTCAAATATTACTTTTTAGAGTTAACAAGTTTTGGTGTTTTTAAAGGTTTAATAATAATACCTTGTTTGCAGATTAGGCCAAAAGCTTGTAGAATGATTTTTAAATTAATGTAAGTTCCCGGCTTACCTCTCCCCGTCCACCCTCCCTCACTCCCCACCCGCTACCGCTTTCTGCTCCAAGGAAAGAAAAAGGTGATATTTCAACAGTGCAAAATTCTTCCTGAGAGAGAAACACTAAAATGATAAACATTTTGAAAAGCAAAGTACACTTCAAACTCCAACTGTTCTTTCAGACCTATATTGACTCTTATAGACGTTGCCAACATTTGGTAAGGATTATCCTTCCATTAGACAAAAGCGAGCATTCCTTAGATAAATCAGGAGTTTTTGCCATAAGACTCATAAAACCTTTTCACAACACAGATTTTCAAGAGAATCCTTTAAGGTTTAGGAGGCTGCTCCTTTTACTAAGTAACAAAATACACCCCATGGTGTCTCACTGACCCCACTCAGCTGTCCTTTGACCTCCTCAATTGTTGCAGCCTAACTCCAGGGTCCACAGAATGTGCCTCCCATATCAAAAAGGCTAATGTTGCTTCCTCCTAGCACCTGGTGAAACAAAATGCAACAGTTCTCTTTCTTCTGCCTCCTCCGCTCCCTCTCTGACCATTTTCCAGATGTTCCAGGCCCAAATGTTAAGCCCATCCTGGGTTTCAGTATCTGCGTGGTCACCATGAAGGAACAAACAGGGACCAGGCTGAAGTGGCAATGACCCTCTTGTTCTTTTTGGCCTCAAAAGGATACAACGTGTTATAAAAGAGGAAAAGATCTTTGGCCTCTCTTGGAAATGCCAGGCTATTTAAGCACATTGTAACTTCCAAAAGGAGAGAAACAGTCTTGGGATATGCCCCTTCTGACAGACAGGAGTTACCTAAACAGTAGCCTTAAATTCTCAATTCTAAGCAAGCATCTGATTTTCTTTGATGGGGGTGGGGGGTGGGGAGCATCACCTTTTTCCTTTTCTAAATTAAAAGCCTCCTAAAATAGAAAAAAAAACTTTTATAAAATCTTTAGAACATATATCTCAGGATAGTGTTATATGAGACAAATATATGCAGTCAATAGGGATAATCTGGGTATTTATGCAGAAGCCTATAATCTAGAAGTCTCATTTATTAGACAATTTGAAGCATAAAATCATAATCAACAAAAGGGAATAAAGAACTGAATTCTTATTTTCTTAATTTAGGTATATAGGAAATACAGGGGTTGTTGTAGAGAAAGAACTCTGCAGAAGCTTTCTGGTATGGGGTAAGGGGATGGGGGAGGGGAGAGGAAAGCAGGGAAGGAGAGGAGCTCATGGAAGTATCTTATTCACTTTAAGAAGCAAACATAGTAGTTTTATTTGAATTCTAAATACAACTTCCTAAAACAAATTTGATCTTGAAAAATTGGGGAGGGTCATATATAATTGTACAATACCTTGGTTTATTTATTAACATTTTTGAATCACAGTCATGATTAAGTTGGGCAGTCAACACTTCAGGGAGTCTGTTGCCTAGATTTTAACTTGTTTAAAGCTTTTTGTGCACCTGCAAAAACATAAAAAATAAAAATATATACATAAAGACATGAGTTAATTTCCAAATACATATTCTATAATATAATAATCTAAATATTTATAATTCCATGAAAATCACAGTTAGAAATTATCAAAGTCTCACACTTTCCAACTCCATATACATTATAATGAGCAAATATACAGATACTCCACTTTTCTCAATAGTCTCAAAATAATTACTCCTAATTATATATACTCAAAGATAATTTCTGTTGTTCTTATGATTTCCCCCACTAAAAGTAAGTTGAATAAGTCTGTCAAGTCTGCATTTATGGCAGATGTTACCATAATATCAAAAGCCAACAGACTACTTTTAGGAATGAAATTAGTGGAAGGTAATTTTCTTATCTAAGGAATTTAGGAGTAATAATCCCTGATACCCGGCCCAAATTTATCTACTCAAAGAACTATCAAAAACGTAAAACATAATTACTATTGATTGAAAATTTTCCAGTAAGAAAGCCTGCAAAAAGAACAAGAGCTATTGTTTCTTACCCTTCTGAGTAATGTATTCCTAGAAGATATTAAACTAAATAATTATAATTGCATATAATTGGTTGAAAAGTATAGTATGCATGTTCATCTCTCCTCTAAATAGATTATGGTCAATATAAACTACTGCATGGGAAAATAGGAAATATAGTTGTAAAACATAAAGTGAAATGAAAACTACTTGTCATTGATTTTTATAGATAACATAGAAGCATTTCTAGTCCTTTGTTACTTTGTTTAAAAAGAAAACAAAAGAGGATTTTCCTAAGAAACTAACTTCAATATAAATATCTATATAACTAAAATATTTGAAGTAAAATTAATTTATGTTGTCTAAAAATGGTTTTTTTCATTTTACTTTTCTCTTATGCCGACTTGAAAGAAAAAAAATTTTAGATTTTTCGAATAAAAATATTTATCTTACCTCTTACTGTCAGAAGAATGTCTTCAGGCAAAATAATAATTAAAAATGGAAGGTCTAGGTTTTCAAACTCACATATATCCCACCCGCCCACACATAAATAGACATCTTTTCCTAAGTCAGCAGGAGCCTTGCTACCTACATCCAAACCCAAGATTACCCCATATGGTCAACAAGGTCAAACTGCATTACTGCCAATGAAACTATATTACTCCACAAGGACCCTAATGATTAAAAAAAAAAAAAAAGTCAGTAATCTAATTCCAATAGCTTCAGAGTCTAAAATTGCTAATTTTTGGCCACGTGCTGCACACTTCACCTGTTAGTAATGACATTTTTGTATTTTCTTCTAATTACACTCAAAGCTAAGACCTTTGGCCCTGGGCCACAGACCCCTATTCAGGCTGCACACATTCTCTTAAACGACCTGATCCTTTGTTGTCACTCTTACTCTTTCATCTATTATTTACATCCATAGAGAAGGAAGATACTCAACCATTTGTATAGCTTAAAGCTTCTAATCATCTTAATTTCTTTGCCTTTCAACCTATGGTCTTTTTAATAGACAAATGCCAAGAAGTTTGACAAAATCATTTTTTTTTTTTGCAATCATATTGCCCCCTCTTCTCCTTTCTTACTCCCTGGCCAACCTCCTTCCTGTTCCTTGTCTTTCACAGGAGGGACTTTGTATTAGCCAGGATTTATAAATTTTGACCTTCACCAACAAAATAAATTTCTAAATACAATACAAATCTCCAACTTGTTCTGACAGATCAATAACAATTATATTTCTTTTTTTGACCAAAGAGCCCCTTAAGTTGAAGGTTACTGAAAATAACTTAAAATCTGTCCCCAGCCTCCCAAAAGCCTGAGCACTGAATTTTCAGAATTCCTCTACAAAAGTGCCAAAAAGCATTTAGTAAACAATAAGAATATTAGTTATGTGGCCAAAACTTTTCATTTTAATGTCTATGCTTGCTCACTTGTTTACAAAAAGAAAATTTAGAAAAAAAGAGGAAGGAAAGAAAAAAAGAAAAAACAAAAATTTTAAGGTTAGATTTCTAATTTAATCTTTAAAACATTTAAAAGACTACTAATTCTCCAAACAGCAAAATCCTCACATAATATATTCTGTATCATTATGATTATTTCCCAATACTTTATCAAGATTAAAAAATATATATTCAAACACATTTTGCAAATCCAAAGCATGGAATTGTTTACCATGATGCAGATGTCTCCCTCAGATCACGAAAGCCACCAAAAGATTCTGATTTCCAAGATGTTTATAAAATGACATCTGATCCATCTTTGCTCTCTTCCTCTATTGCTCAGCTTACTCTTGATTTCTAACAGTGTTTCCTTGTTGTCTGTCCCCTCTGCAGACCCTGAAACCCCTTGATTTTCTTATTTTCACCATTTGCTTCAACCAGCAGTTCACTGGAGACCCATCCATCTTGTAATGCCTAAAGTGACAGATGCTCTCAGAAACGACCACACTGCTGAGTGAACAAAAGATAACATCACCTCCAGGAACTCCAGAGAGAAATACAACTGCAAGCTTAAGACAGGGGCTGACTTGACAGACATTGGACCATAAACCTCTTCTAAGCAAAAAAGAAAACAATTGCCACACACACAAAAAAAATCTGACACAATCAAAGGCAGAAAAGAGTGATTATTTGTGGATTGCCTTTTCACTCTGTAACTCACTTTTCCCCACCCAATGCTTTTATATCGGGGCAATTCACTCACCAATAGGCAGGAGGAGTTCTTGTGTGTGTGGGGGGGGGGGGGCGGGGGGGAGGCGGAGTGGGGGCAGGGGGAGCCTTTCTCAAGTATCTTCTTTTATTCATCAATATTCAAAGTGAAATTCATTCACAAGTGTTTCAGGAAATCTAAGTCTACCATACAGCATTCTTAAGCCTGACTCTTAATATCTGGACTCAGAAATGCTGACTCAATTCTACTGCGGTGAAAGGCACATGCATGCTTTGCAAATTAAAAACACATTAGAAATTAAAAAGCAACCTGTGACAATGTCAACAATATGTGCAGCACATTTGAAAAAGCCAACCATTCATCAGACAACCTCCAACTTGGGTTAAAAAGACATTTTACAAGAGGATTCTGGGAAGGGCTGCACAGCTCTTTTCTAACAAAGGAAAGGTCATATTAACATCTCCCAGCAACAAACTAATGACAGGGAAGCTGTAGATGCAGGAGACTCTGCTTGATGCCATCTAGGTTCTAGGACTTTCGTTGTGACTGTTGTTTAAAACATCTTATTTAAAACTATCAGACAGAATAGGAAGTAAATATAACTCTAACATTCAGACAAATACAGTGAAGGGGAAATTTCGAAGAACATAAAAACAAAAACTAACCTGGAGGTCAATTAAGAACATCATGTGGTCAATGCCAATTATGGAGATTAACAACCCGTTTTTAGAATAGATATCGAGCAACACAGGAAAACCTCTGTTGGAGCTAAATACATTATTCTTCTCAAAAAGGGCAAATGATACAAATATTTATGTTACATCTAAAGAAAAGAGCCAAAATGCTTAAGAAAATTTCCATTGACAATATTTCTAAGAAGAAATCTAAATACTTATAATGGCATTTCTTTAATAAAAATATTTTTTTCTCTAAAATGTTTGCACACAAAGTCTTTAAGTTATGCTACAATCATTTTTCTTTGGGGTTACTAATGACTCCTCTCCTCCCCACTTTCCAAAAAAAACACAAATTTTAAAATATATTTTGTCTCCTGTGATTGAATTACTTGTGGGGAGGAGGTTAAAAAAATTTCAACTTATATAAATCAACATATCAGTTACTTAAACATTTTTATGTCTCTCTTATTTCCTCAAACACTTCAATGTATCTTTCATAAATAACAGTATAATATTTCATAATCTCAGAATTTTCTGGGTTTTTTTTAAGGCTGGCAAAGTAGAATACATACAAAATAATAAAATGAGTATGTAAAATCATATCACAATAGAAAAAAGATTAAATAATTATAGAACACTTATATAAAATACTTGTTCTAATATGGACTGGATCTTTAACTAGGAGACTTTATAAACAAAGCCTTATACACACTGGCCCTAAGTAATCTCCCACAATCTATTAATCCAAAACTACCACATCATTCAACACTTTCAAACTCTGGCATTAATAACAAGAAAGAGAAGTGACCTTGAAATGACAGCTCCACTGCAGAAGGCTCAAAAAAAGATCCAATTAAATGATCTACTTTAAAACACAATAGAATCAATATGCATGCTAGAAAAGTACATCCCTGTGGAAAGTTCTTATTGTCTGACTGATCAAAAACAAAACTTTTTTTTTTTTAAGGGCCCCTTCCAGATCACAGTCTGTACCAGAAATCCACACAGGAAAAAAAAATCCATCAAAATGAAACCCTAAAAGGGTTTACTCTTCACCATTCTATTTGCACTTCAAAACCCTGTCAGTCCTTCAGTTAAACCCCAGGGCTGTACCATTTCAATAATAAGAGAGGTGGCCAGTGGTGATTTATCTCCCATTTGGCCTCTGGACAGAGCTGTAATGTCTAGGAAGCTTCCCTTCCCTGACTGGATCCCTCCCCCAAGTCTCCACCTTAATTTGTGCAGCCTTGGGTCTGCAATACCTTAGAAACAATTCATGTGCCCCTTCCAATCAGATGCAGGAACACTCTGTACTCAAGATTTGGGTACATTTTCTCAGCAATAATTTCACAAAATGGCATGCTGCTGAGTACTCAGAGCATGGCAAATACCAGCTTAAATTTCAGATTCTCTTTGTTATAAGTTAGAGCAGAAAAGAAACTTCCTTAACTGTAGCCTCTCTCTTCTCACATACGTTATCGGAACTTCACAAGCTTTTCCCAGTGTATACTTTGATATCCTTTATGTTTTGGACCACATTAGCCAGTATCCTTCAGTGTGGTACTCATCTAAATTTAAATCTTTGCATTGTAAAATACCTTAACAAATCCAAAAAAGTGGAGATTTCATAGGTCACAGACTCCTGGGTCAAAAAGACCTAAAAATAGATAACAGACCACCACGACTTAACTGATTTATTCTACCCTTGTTATCCAATATGTACTGTAACTGTCATCACATACACTCACCAATTTTCCAACAATGTCAACAGTTATTTAAATGGAAATATAGATCCCAGAAGTCACCAAATGTGAAACACAGTGAAATTATTCCTTAAAAATGGAGGATATTTTATCATTAGGCATGACTTACCTATTTCATAATTATGTTCATTTGCTTTCTAAAATGGAAAGAGAATAAAAAGCATGTATAACCTTTTCTCTACGTATTCAATTTTTTGTTTTATTTAAATGAGAGGAGTTTTTCTAATTGAGTCTGATAAATTCTATCTCAATGTCACATTAACACTTTGCACCAAATGATTCAACTATAGTGATCTAATTTTACCAGTTGAAAATGTTCAAGCTATTTCACTAAATTCATAAGTTTAGAGACTCCATAGGCAAAGATATATGTATTTCATTTAATCCTAATATCAGTCACCGGGTGCAGTGGCTCGTGCCTGTAATCCCAGCACTTTGGGAGGCCGAGGCGAGTGGATCACCTAAGGTGAGGAGTTTGAGACCAGGCTGGCCAACATGGCGAAACGCCATCTCTACTAAAAATACAAAAAAAAAAAATTAGCTAGGTGTGGTGGCAAGCACCTGTACTCCCAGCTACTTAGGAGGCTGAGGCAGGAGAATTGCTTGAACCCGGGAGGCGGAGGTTGCAGGGAGCCGAGATCGTGTCACTGCACTCCAGCCTGGATGACAGAGCGAGACTTCGTCTCAAAGAAATAATAATAATAAAACAAAAACAAAAACCCTTTGTTTTAAGTTAAGAAAGCTTAAAAATAAGAAAAATAAATATATGACTGATAGTTTAAAATACAAGAAATATAACTGTCAACTGAAAGAATTATTCACAATTTTGGAAGTATTTATCAATAAAAGTTATATTTCTTCCATTAAAAAATACACCACAAACATCCTTATACCACATTAGCAAATGTTTTTCATTTTCAGAGCCCTAAATACCACAAATTCCAGAAAAAACAACCCTCCTACCAAATTACTTTATTGCATGCAACCAGATCAGTGACTCTCAGATGACACATTTGAGATGATATATTTGAGATGACACAAATATCTAAACTGGCATTAGTAACAATATTCAAGAAAACAAATTTCTTAACCTACTTCATGAAAACAACCATAACAAAAAGAAGCTTTCCTCAACAGTCAACAAGAGTAATTGATGTACCACAGAGGAAATATCCAATCTTCATTAAGTATTTATTCAGTGCAATAGACTGTTAAGTGCTATTTAGACCTCAAAGAAGAAGCAGTTCCTGTCTGGTAGGAATCAAGTCTTAGGAGAACTGAATGGAGATGAGACGCAGTTCCTCAAGTCGTGACACTATACTTCAAAATGACAATGCTAAAAACTGGAAATGTGCTATAAAATGTATATTATCACTTTGAAGTCTAATACCAAAGAAAGTGATACCTAAGGGAATACTAACTTGAATAAGACTTGACTGAGTAGTTCTTGATTTTATTTATTTATTTTTTTTTGAGATGGAGTCTCATCCTGTCACCCAGCCTGGAGTGCAATGGCACAATCTCGGCTCACTGCAACCTCCACCTCCTGGGTTCAAATGATTCTCCTGCCTCAGCCTCCCAAGTAGCTGGGATTACAGGCGCCTGCCACCACGCCCAGCTAATTTTTGTATTTTTAGTAGAAACGGGATTTCACCATGTTGGCCAGGCTGGTCTCGAACTCCTGACCTCATAATCCGCCTTGGCCTCCCAAAGTGCTGGGATTACAGGCGTGAGCCATTGTGCCCAGCCCCTGATTTCTTATTAATGTAGCATGAAAATATTTGGATACTCAAGTTGTGCAGTTCCCAAATCTGCCCGAGTAACCATGGCCAAGACACCTATCTTCCCTGGGCCGCCATTTCCTTATCCATAAAATGAAGATAAAAGTAATACACTTCTAGATTGAAAACATTTATGGTGGTCTCTGCAGATGACATGATCTTGTACATAGAAAACCTTAAGATTCCACCAAACAATTGTTAGAACTAATAAACGAATTCAGTAAAGTTGATACAAAATCAACATACAAAATCAGCATTTCTTCTTTTTCTTTTATTCTGTGAAGTTATTATCTTTTCATTTTATTTCAACAGTTTTTAGTGAGCAGGTAGTTTCTGGTTACATAAATAAGTTCTTTAGTGGTGATTTCTGCGATTTCGGTGCACCCGTCACCTGAGCAGTGTACACGCTACCCAATGTGTAGTCTTTTATCTTTCACCCCCACTCCCAACCTTTCCCCCAAAGTCCATTATATTATTCTTACACCTTTGTGTCCTCACAGCTTAGCTGACACTTATAAGTGAGAACAGGCTGGGCGCGGTGGCTCATGCCTGTAATCCCAGCACTTTGGGAGGCCGAGGTGGGCGGATCACGAGGTCAGGAGATCAAGACCATACTGGCTAACACAGTGAAACCCCATCTCCACTAAAAATACAAAAAATTAGCCGGGTGTGGTGGCAGGCGCCTGTAGTCCCAGCTACTCAGGAGGCTGAGGCAGGAGAATCGCTTGAACCCAGGAGGCGGAGCTTGCAGCGAGCTGAGATCTCACGACTGCACTCCACTCCACTCTAGCCTGGGTGATAGAGCAAGACTCCGTCTCTACATAAATAAATAAAGAGAACATACAATAACTGTTTTTCCTCAAAAATCAGCATTTCTATATGCTAACCACAAATTATCCAAAAAAGAAATGGAAAAAAATCTTATTTATAATAGCTACAAAATAAAAAAAAAATTTAGGAATACATTTAACCAAGGAGGTGAAAGGTCTGTACACTGAAAACTATAAAACATTAATTGAAGACACAAATAAATGGAAAGATATCTTGTGTTTATGGATTTAAAAAATGAATATTGTTTAAATGCCCATATTACCCAAAGCAGTCTTCAGATTCAATGCAATTCCTATCAAAATTCCAACACATTTTTCTCAGAAATAGAAAAAATAATCGTAAAATTTATATGGAACAACAAAAGACCCCAAATAGCCAAAGCAATCTTGAGCAAAAAGAACAAAGCTGGAGGCATCATACTACCTGATTTCAATTATTTACTACAAAGCTATAATAATCAAAAAAGCATGGTACTGGCATAAAAATAGACCAATGGAACAGAACAGAAAGCCCCCAAAATTAATCCACGCATTTATGGTCAACTGATTGTCAAGAAAGAGGCCAAGAACACACAATGGGGAAGAACAGTCTCTTCAATAACTGATGCTTGGAAAACTGAATATTCAGGTGCAAAACAATGAAATTAGATCCTTACATCATATAGAAAAATCAACTCAAAATAGACTTAAATATAAGACCTGAAGCTATAAAACTACTAGACGAAAACATGGGAAAAGCTCATGACATTGGTCTGGACAATGATTTTTTTGACTATGACTCCAAAAGCACAGGCAGTAAAAGCAAAAACAGACAAATGAGATTGCATCAAATTAAACAGCTTCTGCACAGCCAAGGAAACAATCAACAGGGCGAAGAGCCAACATACAGGATAGGAGAAAATGCTTGCAAACCATACATCTAATTAGGGGTTAAAATCCAAACTATAAATAACTCAAGTAGGCTGGGCGCAGAGGCTCACGCCTGTAATCCCAACACTTTGGGAGGCTGAGGCGGGCGGATCACGAGGTCAGGAGATAGAGACCATCCTGGCTAACATGGTGAAACCCTGTCTCTACTAAAAATACAAAAATAACCAGACGTCGTGGTATGCACCTGTAGTCCCAGCTACTCAGGAGGCGGAGGCAGAAGAATTGCTTGAACCCAGGAGGCAGACGTTGCAGTGAGCCGAGATTGTGCCACTGCACTCCAGCCTGGGCAACAGAGTGAGACTCCATCTCAAATAAATAAATAAATAAATAACTCAAGTGATTTAACAGTAGGAGAACAAATAACCCTAATTTTAAAATGGGCAAAGGACTTGAATAGACATTTCTCAAAAAAAGACATACAAATCGCCAACAGTATATGAAAAAATGCTCAACTTCACTGATCATCAGGGAAACATAAATTAAAATCACAATGAGGTATCACCTCATATCTGTTAGAATGGCTATTATAAAAAAGATGAAAGATAACAGGTGTTGGAGAGGATGTAGAAAAAAGGAAACTCTTGCACCATGTTGGTGAGAATGTAAATTGGTACAGCCATTACAGAAAACAGTATGGAGGTTTCTCAAAAAATTAAAACCAGAACTACCATATGGTCCAGCAATTCCACTACTGGGTATGTATCCAAAAGAAATGATACTGGGATCCTGAATAAATATGTGCACCCCCCTGGTCACTACAGCATTATTCATAATAGCGAAGTTATGAAATCAACTTAAGTGTCCATCAACAGATGTATGTACAAGGAAAATGTGGTATATATACACAATGGAATACTATTCAGTCTTTAAAAAGAATGAAATCCTGTTATTTGGAACAACATTGATGAACCTGAAGGATATTATATTAAGTGAAATAACCAGGCACAGAAAGACAAATACTGTATAATCTCAATTATATATGGAATCTTAAAAAGTCAAACTCATTGAAGCAGAAAGTCAAATGACAGTTATCAGGGGCTGGACTGGGAATAGGTTGAGATGTTGGTCAAAACACACAAAATTTCAGTTAGAAGGAATAGGCTGGGTGCTGTGGCTAATGCCTGTAATCCCTGCACTTTGGGAGGCTGAGGTGGGCAGCTCACCTGAGGTCAGGAGTTCGAGACCAGCCTGGCCAACATGGTGAAACCCCATCTCTACTAAAAATACAAAAAAAAAAAAAATTAGTTGGGTGTGGTGGCACATGCCTGTAATCCCAGCTACTCAGGAGAATGGCGTGAACCCGGGAGGTGGAGCTTGCAGTGAGCCGAGATTGCACCACTGCACTCCAGCCTGGGCGACAGAGTGAGACGCCATCTCAAAAAAAAAAAAAAAAAAAAAAGAAGCCTAATTATTTTAAAAATAAGTATTTCTCATACAAAATTAGAAACAACACAATTCTAATTAAATCTCAGTAGAATTTTCATGGAACTTTACAAAAACATTTATAAGTTCACAAGGAAGATAATTTAAGACAAGAAAAAAATCTTTTCAAGAAGATTATAAGGGGAGGTGAGTAAGAACCACATTAAACCATGTCATAAAGAAAGAACTCTGGGTCAATAAATCCGTGTCACTAAATCCAGTGAACATTTTTCAGTTCTCATCTAACATGCCTTTGAGTAGATTTCTGAAACTTCCTTCCCTTCTGCTGGATTTCATCTCATTGCTTTTCTGGTTTTCCTGTATCCATAGGCTGCTTCTCAATTTCCTAAATGTTAGTGTTCCACAGGGTTTAGTCTGTGGTAGCTATCTTCCAAGGTGGACTCCAGTGATTCTTACTTCCTGTGAATCAAGGCTGACTTGTGTGATCAATAAAATATTGAACAAGAAGGCCAGGTGTGGTGGCTCACGCCTGTAATCCCAGCACTTTGGGAGGCCGAGGCAGGTGGATCACGAGGTCAGGAGTTTCAGACCAGCCTGGCAAACATAGTGAAACCCCATCTCTACTTAAAATACAAAAATTAGCCAGGCATGGAGGCGTGTGCCTGTAGTCCCAGCTACTTGGGAGGCTAAGGCAGAAGAATTGCTTGAACTTGGGAGGTGGAGGTTACAGTGAGCCGAGATTGCACCACTGCACTCCAACCTAGGCTTCAGAGCAAGCCTCCATCTCAAAAAAAAAAAAAAAAAATTTAACAAAAGACAGCATGTGATTCCAAAGGTCATAGAGGATACTGCAGCTTCTGACTTGATCTCTTGGATCACTTTCTCTGAGGGAAGGCAGTCACCATGCTCTAAGGACACTAAAGCAGCTCTGTGGAGAGACCTTCATGGGTTGGAACTGAGGCCTCTTCCCAAGAGCTGGTATCAACTTGTCTAATTGTCCTCCTTGCCTCCTCTCTAGCACCTTCCAATCACTTCTCTGCATTACAATGCAAATGCAATCATGCTAACCCTTTGCTAAAAGCCTTCGAGATTTTACATTTCTCTCAGGAAAAAAATCAACATCCTAAGTATCCCTGCACATCTCTCCAGCCTTATCTTGCAATGTTCTCTTCCTAAATGCTGTGTTCCAGCAACACTGATCAACCTTTAAATGCTTACATTCCCTCTGCCTGAAATACCACCCACCCCATCTTTTACTTTTGTCTATTTAAACTTCTTTTGCCCTTTAGATTTCAACTCAAGCATGGCTCCTAATGGAAGCCATCTTTGACTCCCTCCGTCCTTTGCTAAAAGCTCTCATAGAACCTTGTTCATCTCCCTCCTAACAATTAACTCACTTTTAAGCTGCATGATAATCTGTATGATTAATGTTTATCTTCCCTATTATATTCTAAACTCCATGAAAGCAAAAATTATGTTTTTCTGTTTTTGCCTATTCTGAAATCACAGCACCTACTGTAGTACCCACCAACATAAGAGGCACTCAAACTATTTTTTTAAACTTCTTGTTGTTGTTGAAAACTGGGTCTCAATATGTTGCCCAGGCTGGTCTCTAATAACTGGGCTCACGCTATCCTCCCACCTCTGCCTCCCTAAGTGTTGGGACTGCAGGCATGAGCTACCATACCTGGGCAAAACTATTTTTTGAATAATAATCTAACGTATCAGATTGGCACAAAAATGAAAAGCTCAATGGTGACAGTCTGAAAAACTTTATTATTTATAAGAATTCTTATGTGACAATTGAGGCATTATAAAATAATAAAGGGAAGGACAAATTACTCATTTAATGATCCTAAAATAATGATCAACAATTTTAAGAATAACAATTACGAAAGAATTAATTTATAGGCTGGGTACAGTGGCTCACACCTGTAATCCCAGCACTTTGAAAGGCTGAGGTGGGTGGATCACTTGAGGTCAGGAGTTCAAGACCAGCCTGGCCAACACGGTAAAACCCTGTCTATACCAAAAAATACAAAAAAATTATCTGAGTGTGGTGGTATGCACCTGTAATCCCAGCTACTCGGGAGGCTGAGGCATGAGAATCACTTGAACCCAGGAGGCAGAGGTTGCAGTGAGCCGAGATTGCACCACTGCACTTCAGCCTGGGTGACAGAGAGAGACTCTGCCTCAAAAAGAAAAGAAAGAACTTATATGAGACACTAAAAATAAATTTGAAAGAATAAAAGATTAAATTTAAATGTCTATACATAAATGCATTTACATGCCCATTCATATCAAACCATATAAAAACTAAGAGGAAACAGAAGTATTTATTACAGATATATATCACATATATTACCAGCATTTATTATGTTATAGTGAAAGTTTAGCTTTCTTAACCTAGAAATCACAAAGGCTGACATAGTTGACTAGTGAAAATATAAAACATCTGTATATTACACACCTAAAACAAATAAAATGAAAAAAGAATCAGCTAAGAAAAATGTTCCTGAGGAGCTAATGTCTATTATATATATAATAAAGTAAAACATTAGTACCCCCACCCTTGAGAACAAATATTCCATCAATAGAGAAATGGTTAAGCATATTCTAGTAACAGTAATAGCTGCTACTATTGAGTACCTGCCATGTACCTTGCATACCCTGTCTCGGTTAATACTTACAAATCCATCCGTAAGTGAAACACTATCATACTATATTTTTGACATAGATATGTATTTACAATACATTAAATGGAAAATATGTTATAAAAGCAATATGGTCCCATTTCTTTCTTCTTTTTTTTTTTTTGAGACAGAGTCTCACTTTGTCACCTAGGCTGGAGTGCAGTGATGCGATCTCTGCTCACTGCAAGTTCCGCTTCCCAGGTTCACACCATTCTCTTGCCTCAGCCTCCTGAATAGCTGGGACTACAGGCGCCCGCCACCATGCCCGGCTAACTTTTTTGTATTTTCAGTAGAGACGGGGTTTCACCGTGTTAGCCAGGATGGTCTCAATCTCCTGACCTCATGATCCGCCCACCTCGGCCTCCCAAAGTGCTGGGATTACAGGCGTGAGCCATCGTGCTCAGACTATATGGTCCCATTTCTATAAGGAAAAAATAATTTAATAAGATATAAATTCATACAGTGATATAATCACATTATGTGGGTGATGTGATTATAGAATATAAATTTTTCCCTTTATGCTCATTATTTTCCAATTTTCTACAATGAAATTGTTACTTTAAAAATATAAAAGCCGGGTGCAGTGGCTCATGCCTGTAATCCCAGCACTTTCGGAGGCTGAGGCGGGTGGATTGTTTGAGCTCAGGAGTTCAAGTCCAGGCTGGGCAACATGGAGAAACCCTGTCTCTACTAAAAATATAAAAATTAGCCAAGCATGGTGGCATGCACCTGCAATCACAGCTATTCAGGTGGCTGAGGCATGGGAATTGCTTGAACCCGGGAAGCGGAGGTTACAGTGAGCCGAGATCTCACCATCGCACTCCAGCCTGGGCAACAGAGTGCATAAAAAACATATATATATATTTATATATATATAAAAGCACACTGCAAACTTAATTAAGCCCTGTATTTATTATTATTATTGCTAATACCATTATTGACTTTGGACATTTGCTATTGCAAAACATTGACGTTTTCATGACAAGTAATACCTTTTCACATCAGTAGGTTTATTGTAGATAAATGTACTGTGACAAGTACAGTTTATGGATGTTTGCATAGTAAAGACTACAAATATAACTTGTTTTTAATACCCCATTCATATATTATTTTTATCATAAGCCAATGAATTTGATAAATTTATTTAAAATAGCTTGCATGGCTGGGCGTGGTGGCTCACGCCTGTAATCCCAGCACTTTGGGAGGCAGAGGCAGGTGGATCACGAGGTCAGGAGTTTGAGACCAGCCTGGCCAACATGGTGAAACCCTGTCTCTACTAAAAATACAAAAATTAGCCGGGCGTGGTGGCGCGTGCCTGTAATCCCAACTACTCAGGAGGCTTAGGCAGAAGAATTGCTTGAATCCGGGAGGCGGAGCTTGCAGTGAGCCAAGATTGTGCCACTGCACTCCAGCCTGGGCGACAGATTGAGACTCTGTCTCAGAAAAAAATAAATAAATAAAATAAAATAAAATAAAATAGCTTGCATAGGTGAAGCTTTGCAAAACTTTCCATGACCATACAGGAAGTAGTCTGAAACTGATAACCTGCAGGATGAAACACAAGTTTCACAACCTAGTGTTTGAAAACTTTCGTTATCTTACCTTTCTGTGCCTATTGAAACTTATCACCTATCATACCCCAGAATGTAATATCTATTCCTTTCCATTTGATTTTATTGCCATCCCCAACAATAACAAGCCCATATCCATCTCTGTGCCTTTTTTTTTTTTTTAAGACAAAGTCTCACTCTGTTCCCCAAGCTGGAGTGCAGTGGCACGATCTCGGCTCACTGCAACCTCCACCTCCTGGATTCAAGTGATTCTCCTGCCTCAGCCTCCCGAAGAGCTGGAACTACAGGCATGCGCCACCATGCCCTGCTAATTTTTGTATTTCTAGTAGAGACGGGGTTTCACTATGTTGGCCAGGCTGGTCTCAAACTCCTGACCTTGTGATTCACCTGGCTCAGCCTCCCAAAGTGCTGGGATTACAGGTGTGAACCATCACTCCTGGCCAACAGTTTTAATTTTTAAATAATTGAATTAACCAGTTTTCAAAATGTTAAGCAGTTGTGTAGAAACATCTACATAAAGCAGTATTATATTTCCTAGAGGCTCTAAGAAAGCAAAACAGTAGAATAGAGGGAGAAAGAGACAAGAAGGAAAAAAACCTATTTGAATAAATGTTACATTTCACTTAAAAATAAATTAAACTTTTTCAGTGTATTGATTATTTTGTAAGGGGAACAAAATATATATATTTCCATCTTACCCATTCTCTCTTGCTATTACGAAAGGGGCAGAAACTCAAACTCCCCCACCACCACCACCTCCAAAAAACAGAGAAGAAGAATGAGAATAAATAAGATGAGGTTGAAGTAGCCAGCCAGGAATATGGGGTATGGGGTATGAAGGGAGAGGATCTCAGATAAAAGTGTCAAACAGTTTTTTTCCAGCAAGGTTTTTTACGGATTTTCTCCCTGCATACCCCAAATTCCCACTACAATCTTTTCCCCACTTCTTATAGATGTTCTAACTTTCTTTAGTTCATTCCTGAAAAACATGGGATCCAATCAGTTGTTTCCTATCGTCTGTGCTGGTGACTCCTCCATCTACATCATTGCCCATGAAGTCTTTTCTGAGTTGCTGCTCCCAAGCTAGAAAAATCTAGGAAACATCATTTTTGTGTTATGCCATCCTGTCAAACTCAATATGCCAACTCAACATGTTCAAAATATGTAAAACATAAATTATTATTAAAGCAAAATCTAGCTGGGCGCAGCGGCTCACATCTGTAATCTCAGCACTTTGGGAGGGTGAGGCGGGTGGATCACCTGAGGTCAGGAGTTCAAGACACGCCTGGCCAACATGGTGAAACCCCATGTCTACTAAAAATACAAAAAATTAGCCGGGTGTGTTGATGTGTGCCTGTAATCTCAGCTACTCGGGAGGCTGAGGCAGGAGACTCACTTGAACCCAGGAGGCGGAGGTTGCAGTGAGCTGAGATCACGCCATTGCACTCCGGCCTGGGCAACAGTGTAAGACTCTGCCTCAAAAAAAAAAAAAAAAAGAAAGAAAGAAAAGAAAAATCTATTCCCTTTCCCTGATTTTATTATTTTATTCATGTATTCACCTAGAAACTACTGAGAACTGTGCTAGGAATGATGATAAAGGCAGTCCCTAATCTCAAAGAGAGTCCAATCTAGACATGCAGACAGACCTGTGAATGTATAAATGTTCATTAGAAGTAGGAAAAAAGTACTATAAAAGCTCATAGGATGTAGCAACTCTGAAGAAACAGAAACAACATCACACAAGAGGTGATATTTTGGGTGGTTTTAAAGCAGCAGTCCCCAACCTTTTTGGCACCAGGCACTGGTTTCGTGGAAGACAATTTTTCCACAGCCAAGGGTTGGGGTATGGTTTCAGGATGACTGAAGCCCATTACATTTATTGTGCACTTTATTTCTATTATTATTGCATTGGAATATATAATAAAATAATTATACAATGCACCATAATATAGAATCAGTGAGAGCCCTGAACTTGTTTTTCTGCAACTAGATGATCCCATCTGGTGGTGATGGAAGACAGTGACAGATCATCAGGCATTAGATTCTCATAAGGAGCATGCGACCTAGATCCCTCACACACACAGTTCATGATAGGTTTTGGGAGCCTACGAGAATCTAATGCCGCCACTGATCTGACAGGAGGTGGCACTCAGGTGGTAATGCTCGCTTGCCCACGGCTCACAACCTGTTGTGCCGGCCCAGTTCCTAACAGGCCACGTGGCCAGGGGACTGGGGATCCTTGCTTTAAAGGACAAAGTAGGAATTCATCAAATTAGGAGGACCTCACAGGTCAACAGAACAGACTATCAAAGGCATAGTGTATTTTAGAAATACTAAAGTTAATTGTTGGGTGCATGATTTGGGGGATGGAGATTGAGTGGCAAGAGAAAAAAAATTTAAAAAGTAAGTTGGGGCCAGTCTCTGTAAGGAGACTTATACACTAAATTAGGGATTTGAATATAATTCTAGAAGCAGGAAAAAGCCAATGGAAGTTTTCAAAAAAAAAATAACATAATTAGATGTTTTAAAACATAAAAGGTAACTTTGGAAGTGTGAAAGCGTGATTAGAGACCAGATAAAAAGTTTCTGCAGGAGTCTAGGAAGAGGTGATGGAGCTTGCACATAATCAGGGGTGGAAGGAACAGAGAAGAGAAGCCCTTTCATTGTGCACTGAGAAATTCAGGACTTGACTTCAGGATGTGAGGACTGAACAAGCAGTCCCTGGAGACAGAGGGCAGCCACACAGATGGCCGCTATGGACACTGGGTTTTTTGTTGTTGTTCTTGTTTTAAGACAGGGTCTCACTCTGTCACCCAGGCTGGAGTGCAGTGGTGCAATCATGGCTCACTGCCACTTCCACCTCCTTGGCTTAAGTAATTGTCCCAACTCAGCTTCCCGAGTAGCTGGGACTACAGGTGCATGCCACCATGGCTGGCTGATTTTTAATTTTTTTTTTCTTCGAGATGGAGTCTGGCTCTGTTGCCCAGGCTGGAGTGCAATGGTGCGATCTCAGCTCACTGCAACCTCTGCCTCCCGGGTTCAAGCGATTCTCCTGCCTCAGCCTCCCGGGTAGCTGGGATTACAGTCACCTGCCACTACGCCTGGCTAATTTTTGTATTTTTAGTAGAGACAGGGTTTCACCATGTTGGCCAGGCTGGTCTCGAACTCCTGACCTCAAGTGATCCACCTGCCTCAGCCTCCCAAAGTGCTGAGATTACAGACATGAGCCACTGTGCCTGGCCTAATTTTTAAATTTTTTGTAGAGATGGGGTCTCACTATGTTACCCAGGCTGGTCTCAGACTCCTGGGATCAAGTGATTCTCCCACCTAAACCTCCTAGAGTGCTGGGATTACTGGCATGAGTTACCATGCCCAGCTGCTATGGGTACTGGTGAGATTACCTGGTGACTGCCTAGGTGGGAGAAGTATGTGGAATGAGAGAGGGTCCAGGAGGAAACCATGAGAAACACTGTCATTTAAGAGTCAAGCAAGCCAGGCGCGGTGGCTCACGCCTGTAATCCCAGCACGTTCGGAGGCTCAGGCGGGCGGAACACGAGGTCAGGAGATTGAGACCATCCTGGTTAACACGGTGAAACCCCGTCTCTAATAAAAATACAAAAAAATTAGCCGGGCATGGTGGTGGGTGCCTGTAGTCCCAGCTACTCGGGAGGCTGAGGCAGGAGAATGGCGTGAACCCGGGAGGCGGAGTTTGCAGTGAGCCAAGATCGTGCCACTGCATTCCAGGCTGGGCGACAGAGCAAGACTCTGTCTCAAAAAAAAAAAAAAAAAAAAAAAAAAAAATTAGCCGAGTGTGGTGGCACGTGCTTGTAGTCCCAGCTACTCGGGAGGCTGAGGCAGGAGAATCACTTGAACCTGGGAGGCGGGGATTGCAGTGAGCCGAGATTGTGCCACTGCACTCCAGCCTGGGCGACAGAGCAACACCCTGTCTTAAAAAAAAAAAAAAAAAAAAAAGGTCGGGGGGCTGGGCATGGTGGCTCACGCCTAATCCTAGCACTTTGGGAGGCAGAGATGGGTGGATCACCTGAGGTCAGGAGTTCGAGACTAGTCTGGGCAACATGGCAAAACCCCGTCTCTACTAAAAATACAAAAAATTAACCAGGCATGGTGGCAAGCTCCTGTAATCCCAGTTACTTGGGAGGCTGAGGCAGGAGAATTGTTTGAATCTAGGAGGTGGAGGCTGCAGTGAGCTGAGATCTCACCATTACACTCCAGCCTGAGCGACAAAGCAAGATTCTGTCTCAAAAAAAAAAAAGAGTGAAGCAAAGGAAGAGTAAAACCAGCAAAGAAGATGGAGAAGGAGCAGCAGAAGCAGGAAGGGAGCCAGGAGCAGAACAGTGTGGTGAAAGCTGAGGGACAAGACAATCTGGAGAAATGGAAGGTGGTAGACAGTTACAGTTGTTGTTGGTTTTTTTGTTTTTGTTTGTTTTTTTTTTTTGAGACGGAGTCTTGCTCTGTTGCTCAGGCTGGAGTGCAGTGGTGCAATCTCAGGCTCACTGCAACCACTGCCTCCTGGGTTCAAGCAATTCTCCTGTCTCAGCCTCCCTAGTAGCTGGGACTACAGGCACCCACCACCACGCCCAGCTAATTTTTATATTTTTAGTAGAGACGGGGTTTCACCATATTGGTCAGGCTGATCGGTGGTAGACAGTTTTAAAAGGTAGGAGAAGTCAAATAGGATCAGGAATGAAAATGTCCCATGGCATGCGATTAGCCTTTCAAGAAGCAAGTGTGGTGAACAAGGGTGGAAATAGGTTGGTAATTGTCAGAAAGGTACAATGGCAGGAAGAAATAATTAGAAGGAGGGATGCTTGCAGGATGAGGTTCTTTCCTTAAAGAAAAGGAAGAGTTGATGACTAATGGAATAAGGTTCTAGAGGGGGCAGAGAAGAGAGAGAGAACAAGGATGGAAGCCACACATTGATGGCAGAAGCACGAGACAGGACCGAGGCTCCCTGATGATAGCAGAGATGCTTTATCAGTCTTGGACTGTTACCTCCAAATGTTATGCCAAGAAGAAAGAAACTTCTAACTTGCTGTTTCAGGTTTCCTGTCATTTGCAGACAAATGTAAACCTAATTAGGACAGGAGAAAGGGCTGTGGAAAGAACAAGAATAACCAGAAACCTCTTAAAAGCATGAAGACATGAAATAGCACAGTATGTCCAGAAGATAAGACCAAGACCAAGTAATCTTGGTCTAGACTCCCAAGTGTGAGAGAGGGCATGTTAGGAAAGAAAGATGGAAATATAGCCCAGGTCTCAATTGCTGCAACTAGATCCTATAGATAAAAGATAGCCGTGAATGAGTGTTAAGCAAAGAAATGACATGTTCACATTTTAGCTTTGAACGGATTTCCCCGGTGGCAGTCTGGTAGGGGCTTGTGAGGAAGTAAAACAGGATGCAGGGAGAGTGTTTAGAAACTCCTACTATAGTCCTAGTGAGTGGTCATGATAGCCTGTGTGGGTGCAGTTATGGGAGGGTTACAGAGGGTGGGATGAGCCTGGGAAATATTTAGGAATGAAATCAGTGGGAATTAGTGATTGATGACACGGCGAAGTAATTCAGGAGGACGTCGAGGTTTCTGCCTTGCATTGCTTCTTTTCTCCACCCCTATTGTCAGTAGCTTAATCTAGGCATGCCGCTACCTCATTTTCTCATTCAACGAGTATTTACTGAGTGCCTTCTTTGTGTCAGGACTGGCAGATACAGAAGTGAGTGAGTCAGAAATGATCTAAATGATCTCTGCTCTATTCGGTCTTAGGGATACCTATGATGAATGCTTCATATGTGAGAACTCATTTAATCCTCAGAATACCCTGTAAGTACTTTTTTTTTTTTTTTTTTGAGATGGAGTCTCACTCTGTCCCCAAGGCTGGAGTGCAATGGCATGATCTCAGCTCACTGCAACCTCCAGCTCCCAGTTTCAAGTGATTCTCCTGCCTCAGCTTCCTGAGTAGCTGGGATTACAGGCACATGCCACCATGCTTGGCTCATTTTCGTATTTTTAGTAGAGATGGGTTTCACCATGTTGGCCAGGCTGGTCTTGAACTCCTGACCTCAAGTGATCCACCCACCTCGGCCTCCCAAAGTGCTGGGATTACAGGTGTGAGCCACCGCACCTGGCCTGTAAGTACTATTATGGTCTCCATCTTTCAGAAAAGGTAACCCAGTCTTAGAAAGTTTAATAGTTGGCTCAAGGTCACACAGCTGACTGACAAGTGATGGTGCCAGGAATCAAACACAGATCCATCATACTTCAAAGCCATGTTTTTAATCACTTGACAATGCTATTTCTCATGCAATTATACACAACGTGTTAAAGACCACGACAAGGATTACTGCAGCCTCCTACCTGGACATGGCATGTTCCAGCCAGAGTAGTTCTTTTTTCAGGCAAACTGGGGTGGATGATGGTACCTTTTCTGATTCAGGGAACCCTGAGAAAGAAGGTGAGATTTCTGGACAGAAGGTGATCCATTCAGTTCTTAGACATATGGTTTTCGAAATGGCTGTGAAACAACCAAATGGAAATATCCAGCAGTAATCTAATAGGGTCTGAAGTGCAAGGGAACCCAGGGTTGGAGATAAAGAACTTGGCTTCACTAGTACTTAGGGTCAGCTAAAGTCAAGGCAATTAATGGGACTCTTCAGGGATTCCTAGAAGTGAGAGGAGCAGCCTGCTGAGAAAGGGGCAGGTGGGTACAGGCTTGAAGAGAGTGGAATAGATTTGGAATAATTGATTAGATAAAAAGGAAAGGAACTCAGCCAAAGGCAGTCAAAGATATAATTAGGTCACATTTAGGGATAGGGACAATGAATTTAGAGTGATCTCAGTCTGCAATGATGAGAGATTTTCTCCAGTAGCGATCACCAACTCAAGAGTAGGAACACTGGCCAGCATTTTACTGTAAGTTTCTTTCATTTCTTACAGTCTTATTTAAGACTGCCTATGAGTTCCCAGATGACCCTGAATTTACCTTTGACCAGCTATTAAACACCTGGCCTACGAAGTTGTATTAAAATCCATCTTTCCTTTAGATTTTGAAATCTTTAGAGTCACAGTTTGTGTTTTATTCATTTTTATTCCCACTAACTCACACAGTACTACTTGTATACTTGTTTTATTCCCAGATTAGACTGTAAATTCCCAGAGGGGAGGAACTATAGTTTCAACACCTTTGCAGGAGCATCACCTCAGTACAACATCTGTGAGATCAGATTGACTTTACACTGTCAGTTGCAATGGAGAAACAAGCCAAATGTCTAACACTATCAAGCAGTTGTTGTTGTTGTTGTTGTTGTTGTTGTTGTTTTTGAGACAGAGTTTTGCTCTGTCGCCCAGGCTGGAGTGCAGTGACACAATCTCGGCTTACTGCAACCTCCACCTCCCGAGTTCAAGCGATTCTCCTGCCTCAGCCTCACGAATAGCTGGGACTACAGGCGCCTGCCACCAAGCCTGGCTAATTTTTGGTATTTTTCATAGAGACGGGGTTTCACCATGTTAGCCAGGATGGTCTCGATATCCTGACCTCGTGATCCGCCCGCCTTGGCCTCCCAAAGTTCTGGCATTACAGGCGTGAGCCACCGCACCCAGCCTCAAGCAGTGATTTTTAAGTGTTCAGACTTGGAGTTAACAATCCAGGCTGGGCATGGTGGCTCATGCCTGTAATCCTAACACTTTGGGGGACTAAGGCAGGTGGACTGCTTGAGGTCAGGAGTTCAAGACCAGCCTGGCCAACACGGTCAAACCAGTCTCTACTAAAAATACAAAAATTAGCCGGGCATGGTGGTACACACTTGTAGTTCCACCTACTCGGGAAGCTGAGGTGGGACATGCCTGTAGTCTCAGCTACTTGGAAGGCTGAGGTGGGGGAATCACTTGAATCCTGGAGGCAGAGGTTGCACTGAGCCAAGACAGTGCCACTGCACTCCAGCCTGGGTGACAGAGCGAGACTCTGTCTCAAAAAAAAAAAAAAAAAAAAAAATCTCTCTTCTCAACCTTCTGCTCCCTGTGTTTCATTAAGAGGTAGCGAGGACATGTCCACCCTGGTATGCGGCCATTTTGTCTTTGGGGTTTGGGCTCTACTGGCAGCTCGATAAATTCTGTGACCAGGGACAAACTACTAAGCACTTCTGGGTCTCTTGATCCTCATTAGTAAAACTGAGTGGACTGAACCCAATAATTGCTTATGCCCTCTCTTGTTGTATAATCCAAAGATTCCATGACCTTTGGGAGACCTTTAAACCATACCTGAGAACCACTGTCTTGTGAAGCACAATAATACATGGGCTCTGTGTTTCCCTACTGGAAATGGACAAATCCCTCTCTCTATAAAATTGGGTTATAATCTAGAGATCATAGCATTTCTAAAATGAAGACACTAACATTTTATATTTATTGCTTTGACAGCTAGGCAAGACATTTTATCAGATACAAGGTTGTTTTTCAATGGTAGGTTTACCCATGAATCCAGTCGGGGCACTTTAGTTCACTATGATAGTAGAAAAGAAAGCTAGAAGAATATAAAACATCATCTTGGCTCTTATATGTACCTTGCTGACTAACTCCCTTTTTTTTTTTTCCAGATAAGAAACCAAAAGGTGTCCATGACTTAGGTACTAAATGGCAAGGCTGGAACCAGAATCCAAGTTGCCCAGTCACACAGTTTTTGTTTTTTAAATAACCAAATTGGTCAAAAATCTTCCTCAAAGACAAAAACAGATGAAGGTAAAATGCCAATTGGTTAAATTTAAACAGAGACTTCACTTTGTTCTTTTCAGGTTCAATAATAAACAATTCTAGTGATTAGCATGAGGGGCTGGCAGAGGAAACATTCTGACTCCTAAACAAAAATATTTATATTTTTGCATGGTGGTTAGTAAATCAATTGTAAAAATTATATGGAAAACAAGGAGAATTAGAAAACCCACAGCACAATTTCCTCTACTCTTTTGGGGGACAGATGAAAAAACAAAATGAAATCCCTGTGGCTACCTTCATTAGCAGCCAGGGTGGTGAGTCCCATTGTAAATCTCACTTATAGAGGCTCATGGCTACCTGCAGAGCCTAGGAGAACAAATCACATTAGTTAAGACACCAGATGACCAAAGGAAGCAGTGAGCGTCTGGTAAAGCTAGTAAACAAAAGGCAGCATTCCAGATGAATGCCATTGCTAGAGCCTGCATTGTAAAATGCTTGGATTTGAGAACCCTAAAGCAGATTAGCTTAAAGCAACAAAAGATTCAAATAAGATACAAAGAACTCATTTTGGCACATTAAGAAATTGTCTTCATTAGATCATCAGGTGCTTAAGTGTAATTATTACAGAAAAAAAAAATCCCATCTAAGTTTTGTTTGAGGCAGTGAAGCCTAGAACAAGGACCTAAGGATGGTTCTTGAATATAACATGTTCATGACCAAAATTCACCAACCAGACACAGTGGCCTTTTTCTCTTTTAATCTTCTTAACATTTTAAAGGTCTGTAATGACATTAAAATTTGTTGTGGACATCATTTCAACATTCAGTCCATGATGATGGACTGAACATCAATTCAGGCCATCAATCAGTCTGAAATTTTACAAATGCATTTAGAGACCCTATAAGCACATAGGCAAAAATGGTTCCAATAATTTAAATGCTAATCCTAAAACCCTAAAGCCAAAATTGAGGTTTAATAATGAAAATCTTTCCCTATAATTTCTATTTTCAGGAAATTAATTTCTCATCATATCTCCCCAGTTTTGTTTGATTATAACAATGGCCCCTCACCACCAACAAAAGCAGTTCAGCTCCCACTTTCCCTTTGAAAAGTATTCCCATCGTTTTGTCAAAGCCTAATAGGGTCATAAGCAAGGCTGCACTGACATGGAAGGAAAGACCTTACACCTAATACACTGCTGTCACCTGAAGCTTTCAGGCCAGGTGAAAGCTTTGACTTCATTTGTGTTCAAGCAGAAAAACACTAGAAAAATTCAGTCAGTATGAACTCCAAAATGCTTTTTGGCTTCACCACTCCTTTAGGTTTAAAAATTATAATAAGTAGCCAGGTGTGGTGGCTCACACCTATAATCCCAGTGCTTTGGGATGCTAAGGTGGGAGGATCCCTTGAGGCCAGGAGTTTGAGATCAGCCTGGGCAACACAGCAAGAACCTGTCTCTACAAAAGATTTAAAAAATTATCTGTGTGTGGTGGTGTATGCCGATAGTCCCAGCTACCCTGGAAGCTGAGGTGGAAAGATGCCTTGTGCCCAGGCTGCAGTGAGCACTTGCAATCACATTTGTTTGACAGAGGACAAGGGAAGTACAGAAATCAAGAAGCTTGTGGCTGAGTCATATTTCAAGATGATTGCAGATGAGAGGCACGGCTCCCCACCACAAACTTTCAACTGGAGGAACCCTTGCCAATGCTGTGGCCTCTCCTGTCTTTCCAGTTTTGTCATAAAGACAAGTGGCAGGTATCTATCCTATCAAGTCAGTGACTAGTACAAATTCTCAGATAGCTCCTTATTTGCTGACTGCAACACACAGGGTCTCCTTCCATTTTCTCATCTACTCCTTTCCTCTCTTCTTGGTAGCCAAGGCAGGACCAAAAATGGCCTGACCATTACTGCTCTGAAAGCCAAGACAGGCAGTGGTGATCATGCTTCACTACTTCATAATCATGTAGCTTGAGGCTAGTTATCTGTAAAATGGATATATCTCCTACTTCATAGTGTTACAGTAAAGAAGATAATGTATGTGAAGTACGTTGCATGTATTAGGTATGCAACAAATGTTAACACTCCTCCTTATATAAATCCCTAACCATGGGAAGAACACACTTCTCTACTTTATAGAATTCTTTCATGTATATTATTAACATCTTGGTTAGGGCCGGGTGCGGTGGCTCAACGCCTGTAATCCCAGCACTTTGGGAGGCCCAGGCGGGTGGATCATGAGGTCAGGAGTTCAAGACCAGCTGGGCCAACACGGTGAAACCCCGTCTCTACTAAAAATACAAAAAAATTAGCCAGGCATGGTGGCGTGCGCCTGTAATCCCAGCTACTCAGGAGGCTGAGGCAGGAGAATCACTTGAACCTGGGAGGCAGAGGTTGCAGTGAGCTGAGATTGTGCCATTGCACTCCAGCCTGGGCGACAGAGCAAGACTCCGTCTCAAAAAAAGAAAAAAAAAAGAAAGAAAAAATCTTGGTTAATCTTTATAAAATTACCACACTCATAAGTAGCCAAATACTGACACTCAAATGCATGTCCTCTGACTCCAAACCAATGTGGTTTTTTTTGTTTGTTTGTTTTTTGAGACGGAGTCTCGCTCTGTTGCCCAGGCTGGAGTGCAGTGGCACAATCTCAGCTCACTGCAAGCTCCACCTCCAGGGTTCACGCCATTCCCCTGCCTCAGCATCCCAAGTAGCTGGGACTACAGGTGCCCACCACCATGCCCGGCTAATTTTTTTTTATATTTTTAGTAGAGACAGGGTTTTACCATGTTAGCCAAGATGGTCTTGATCTCCTGACCTTATGATCTGCCCGCCTCAGCCTCCCAAAGTGCTGGGATTACAGGCGTGAGCCACCACACCCGGCCCCAATGTTTTTCTATTGTGCTGCAATGAGGGGTTGTGGTAGTGGGACCACAATTATATTCCTGTAGCATCAGATCCTGCGGGTGGGGGCGAGGAGCATGGCCTGAGCCAGGAGGGATCTTAGAAGCAAACAAATGAAGCAAAAATAGAGACACAAATAAACCCATACCACTTAGGTAGCTGCCAGAGAGGTGAGGTGGACTTGGGTTTTGTCAATAAAGTGTCCACTGTAAAAGGTAATCAGAATAAAAGTGAAAATAATTGTATTGTTGTAGGTTCTAGATCTTTGTAAGAATGTTATTATTTTAGGTTGCTCAAAAAAAATCTTATGAACACAATAGACCCAACAAAATGTTATCTTAGTCTAAGGTTGAGAGAGGTTTCCTAATTGTCATTAGACATAACCAATGTCTAAATTAACCAAAATTTTATAAACAACATCTCAGAACTGCATTGAAAGCTTTGAACACTTTGCTTCACTTAATTCTTATAATGACATTATGAGATAGAGCCTTTCATTCATTACATGAGAAAACAGACTCTAAAAGGTTGAGTGACTTGTTCAAGAAAGTTAGCAGTGCTAAGATTCAAACCTAGGTCCTTTAAAATCTATCATATGCTTTTCAGGCTAAGCTACACTAAATTCTCCATAGTCACAGAAAAGAATATGTAAAATGGTCCAAACTGTAATCAAATTGTTAATCAAAATTCAAGGGAGAAATAACTAATGCTATGTTGGTTAAACATGATTTTACTTACACAGCTTGTGAAAATTCCTGATTAGAAATATCTGAGGTCAGACTGACAGCCTAAAACTGCCTTAGAATAGAAGAAACAATATGGGATTCCTAGTCCACTCTTACATGATTCTATACAATCAAATACATTCTGACTCCACTATGTGCCTTTTAAATTTCAACTTTTCTAATAAGATAATTTTTTTTTTTTTTTGAGATGGAGTCTGGCTCTGTCACCCAGGATGGAGTGCAGAGGTGCGATCTCGGCTCACTGCAACCTCAGCCTCCTGGGTTCAAGCAATTCTCCTGCCTCAGCCTCCTGAGTAGCTGGGATTACAGGCGCCCGCCACCACGCCAGGAATTTTTGTATTTTTAGTAGAGACGGGGTTTTGCCATGTTGGCCAGGCTGGTCTTGAACTCCTGACCTCAGGTAATCTGCCCACCTCAGCCTCCCAAAGTGCTAGGATTACAGGCGTAAGCCACTGTGCCCGGCCTAATAAGATAAGTTTAAAACCTAACTCAGACTGATAATTTTTGATCCACGGACATGATCCTCACTCTCCTTTATAACCTTTCATTCTGTTATCTGCCTTGGGAAAGTCTTTGTTGAGAAGTAAAATATAAGGAACCTCCTAAAGGAGTTGAGATATGTAGGCTGGTGGCTTAAGTTGAAAAACAACTTATTTTTATTTTGGGGTAAAAAGTGAAGAAACACAGGAGAATCCTAGGAAGAAACAGCATGGAGAAACAAGTGATCATAGCTGTGGATGAAGACAATCAACAGACAAGTGAGGTGGAGTGGGTCAGCCCTGAGGCCTGGTGCCCAGAGATAGGCTCTGAAAGTCATTTTGCTGGTCTGACAGTGATGGTGGTGGTAGAAAGTGCTGAATGATAAACTGGAGTAGCAAGGAAGAATAGAACAGATATTTCCATTTGTTTCAGCAATGGCTACAGCATGGGCTATATTTGATCTGAATATAACAAAATAGAAAATCTCTTTGGAATTACTACTGATTTTCCCTGATGTGACTGGTGTGGCCAATGAAACACTCTTTACATTCAGAATTTTAGATCAGTGTTTCTCACAAAGTCTAGCTCAAGGACTGCATCAGCATCACCTGAGGAACACTGTTGCCATGTAGAGCTCTTATTCCCTCTCAGAGATTCATGAGTCAGTGGGTCTAGGAAAGGACTCAGGAGTTTGCATTTTGAACACCCCAGAAAGGGTTGATGGATTAAGAAAATAGGCAGCCCTAAGCTTGATTCTATGACATTAGAGTTTGAAAAACCACTTATTTGGATTAAGAGAGAGATCAAAATTGTGTATAATTATTAAATGGGATGCTTATTTGTAAGGATTAACCAAACATATTAAAAAGAAAGGAGAAAAAAAGAATTTTTTTTCTTTTTTTTTGAGACGGAGTCTTGCTCTGTCGCCTAGGCTGCAGTGCAGTGGTGCGATCTCGGCTCACTGCAAGCTCCGCCTCCCAGGTTCACGCCATTCTCCTGCCTCAGCCTCCCGAGTAGCTGGGACTATAGGCGCCCACCACCACGCCCAGCTAATTGTTTGTATTTTTTAGTAGAGACGGGGTTTCACTGTGTTAACCAGAATGGTCTCGATCTCCTGATCCCGTGATCTACCCGCCTCGGCCTCCCAAAGTGCTGGGATTACAGGTGTGAGCCACTGCACCCGGTGAAAAAAAGAATTTTTAAAAAGACCTCTCACTGTCTGACTTTAGGACTAGATAGTTGACTGCTCTGTGCTTCTATCTCCTCCTTCAGAAAATGGAAACAAATCAGTTATGGTGCCTCTTAAGCCCCTTGCCATTCTATGGTTCTGTTCACAAAGTGCTCAGAATTCCTCAAGAAGGGTGCTTACAAGCACCAGAGAGTTTTGAAAGGCCGTTTTGCCATTACAGCAGCAACTGGTCCTGGGATGAGTATCACGTCCACTCTCCACTACTTCTTGGATGCCTGTAGCATTTGACCTTTACCTTTTCCTCTCAGGCTAGCACTATCCTGGAACAAGAATACTAAACACAATTAAACACTGTTTATCAACTAGGCTCTTTATTATAAAACATAAAAAAAAAATCAAAACACTAAAAACAAACAGCAAAAGAATCCCAAAAGCTTCATCAGAAATAAAACCTCACAAAATCACTGAGATTCAACAGTATGCTTAGGATCTGAAGAAAAAGGGATTCCTCCAAGTTTTATATTCTACTTTTTCTTCTAAAATGGCTTTTAACCAAGCTTTCAATAATCATCACTGGATCCTGCATCACATCAAGGGTATGTGTTCCTAAAGAACACTGCGGAATGTTCAACTATGTAATAAGAGATATCAAGTCTGTGGAATTTTGAGGTTAAGGAGGCTGCAAATGATACTTGACACCCTCATTTCATGGAAAAGTTAAGCAATAAAATCACATTATTGAATACTAATTACTGAAGTATTTCACTAGAGAAGGATAAACCAGAAAGGAGAAGAGTTCTGATAAAGTGGTCCAGAAGCAAAAAGGCTGGAGCGGGGTAGGGAGGGTATAGAAAGATGCACAGGGAGTCTGCAAAGATAAATTCTGACCACTAGCAGTATGCTGGTGGTAAGTAAATGCCAGTGTGCCTGAGAAATCATGGTGCCGCTGCCTATAGCATCGTGCTCTGGCTTGCTAAAGTTAGTGTATGCCAGAAAGGGAAATAGATCACTGTATAAACTGAAAATTAGTCCCATTAAGTAGAGCACATGCAAAAGAATAAGTATAATCTGACTCCATATAAGGGGGACCCAGCAGAATTTATGTGCTTATTCAAAGTTTCCTTGCAGCATTACTGTCATAAGGTCCTGTTGCTTTACTACTAATAGGTATGCGGGCAGCTGGGGTGAATGTCATCCCATGTAATTCCCAATGCTAAGGGATTTATTTTGCTTATTGCTATATAATAATGCTATTGGATTACTGGTAAAGCAATCAGGGTCTCTCACTATGGCAGCTACGCAGGTCACTTCACGGAAGGAAGGGAGACACCTGGTTCACATGGCCAAGCACAGCAAAGGGAGCATGTGAACTTTCAACAGAAGAGAAAGCTTTCTACCAGATGTGAAGAAGTAAAGTTTATTTTTCCATTTAGCTTGTTTATTTAAGTAAGAGGGAAGAAGAGGGTGGTTGCTTCCCATTCCATACTACTCAGGGAATGGCTTTTCTTTTTTTCTTTACAAATGAACAGAGTTGGCTATTACAGTTTCCAGTGGGATCTGGAAAGGTACCAAACTACTAGTGATTACCTTTCACCTGTAGCTAGTTTAACCTTTGAAACCTGCCACTAACAGAGGAGACCAAGATAGAACGTCAGTGCAGCCTTGCTCATCTAGCATCCTCTCACTGAAAGAATGAAGAATGTTTTAATGATGAAATTATTTTAAGAAATGCAAAACACGGCCGGGTGCAGTGGCTCACACCTGTAATCCCAGCACTTTGGGAGGCTGAGGAAGGTGGATCACGAGGTCAGGAGATCGAGACCATCCTGGCTAACACGGTGAATCCCCGTCTCTACTAAAAATACAAAAAATTAGCCAGGCATGGTAGCAGGCGCCTGTAGTCCCAGCCACTCGGGAGGCTGAGGCAGGAGAATGGCATGAACCCGGAAGGCGGAGCTTGCAGTGAGCCGAGATTGAGCCACTGCACTCCAGCCTGGGCAACAGAGCAAGACTCTGTCTCGAAAAAAAAAAAAAAGAAAAAAAGAAATGCAAAACACATTATAGCTATAATCAAGGCCTTCATAAGATTAGTTTAAATGCTCAACAGCTGAGAAACTCTCAAGTCTTAAGTTAATTTGCCTTTTAATCATTGTGTATAAGAAGCAGTGTGATAGAGCTTTTACATGTAAAACAAAATAGCCCTCCAAAAAAATCTTTTGTCCTTGATTCATCTAACTTCTCAGATTAATTTTGTCTTACAAACCATTTGTTTTTGGAATGAAGACCTTCTTGATATACATCCAAAGACACACATGATCTTTTTCACAAATTGTTTTAACATTATTCTTAATGCTAAAGGTATGATATGCTATTAATAAATAATACAAAAAATAACACAAAACAATCATGGGTATTTTGATCATGTATCCATACTCAAAAAGGCTAGGCTCCAAAGTATTAAATGGCCTTTTCCTATTATACAGTCATTTAAAAAACGTTTACCGTCTCCTCTTTTCCCATAATAACCTGCTGTCCTGCTTATTACGGGGAAAGAGAGAACACTGTCACTAAGATTAATGGAGCATCAGTAAAATATGTTAGGTACAAATGACCCACTTTTATGTACTGCCAGAACAATTTAGCAAGGGTTTAGGAAGGAGAAAACCCAAAGTTCTTTTCCACTGAATTCATACAGCTAGTGGGGGGATAAATTGATTGTTCTCTTTTAATGGTAGGCTCACAAAGACAAAGAGAGAAACATTTTCTGTAACTGGCTATATTTTTTATTAATTAGTAAACTTTTATCTTCAAATGTTCTAAGTCATCAAGATGAATTACCTCCAGTTTTAATTAAAGCCTCTCAAAGGTTAATTCATCCTGCTAAAAGAGAGCACAAAAGGATAATAATGGGGCAATTTTTTTTTTTTTTGAGATGGGGTCATACTCTGTCACCAGGCTGGAGTGCAGTGGCGCAATCTCAGCCTACTGCAACCTCCGCCTCCTGGGTCCAAGTGATTCTCCTGCCTCAGCCTCCTGAGTAGCTGGGAGTACAGGCGTGTGCCACTATGCCCGGCTAATTTTTTTTGTTGTTGTTTGTTTTAGTAGAGACGGGGTTTCACTGTGTTAGCCAGGATGGTCTCGATCTCCTGACCTCGTGATCAATAATGGGGTGATTTTTTTATCCAGCAAGACAAAATGTAACAGAATCATCAATTCCCTCTTCACAAAGGAAGAAGAAAACTTTTTTGGACTTTTATTTTCCTGGAACTGTTTCTTAAACACTTTCTATGTTTCATGAGAATCATCACTTTAGTTTTATCATCTTCAAAAAACTCAAACTGGATATGGAACTGATAATAAAGTTTAGATCCTGCTCAAAACTCAAAATTTCTAAATTTTGAACCTAAATCTATTTACCCAGGTACTGATACCAAGTGGAATTAAAACAAGACTCACTCACTTCGTCATGGCTACAAACTCTTACAAAAATCTGAATCGGACCCTACAATTACTATAGTTACTGCAAAACTTACTAACATTAGCTAATATTTAACGCACATTTTAATGATTTTGTCTTGAGGAATGTAATAGTTCATTTTTATTTAAAACCAAGGTTTGACTACCATTTCACAATAGCAATGTTGGGGCCCTAGGAAAGGTAGGGAAGAAGTATCTAAAGTGGTACAGTCACTAGAAATGTAATTTTTTTTTTTTTTTAGGCAAGATCTTCGTCAGTCGGTCACCAAGGCTGGAGTACAATGGCACAACCATGACTCACTGCAGCCTCAACCTCCCAGACTCAAGCAATCCTCCCACCTTAGTCTCCCAAGTAGCTGGGACTACAGGTACATGCCATTACTTTGAGCTAATTTTTAAATTTTTTGTAGAGATGGGGTCTTGCTGTGTGGCCCAGGCTGCTTTTGAACTCCTGGCCTCAAGCAATCCTCTCACCTCAGCCTCCCAAAGTGTTGGGATTACAGGGGTGAGCCACCAAACCCAGACTAGAATTCTTTTTTTTTTTTTTTTGAGACAGAGTTTTACTCTTGTCCCCCAGGTTGGAGTACAATGGCATGATTTCGGCTCACCACAACCTCCACCTCCTGGGTTCAAGCGATTCTCCTGCCTTAGCCTCCCAAGTAGCTGGGATTACAGGCACCTGCCACCACACCCAGCTAATTTTTGTATTTTTAGTAGAGACAGGGTTTCACCATGTTGGCCAGGCTGGTCTCAAACTCCCAACCTCAGGTGATCCGTCTGCCTTGGCCTCCCAAAGTGCTGAGATTACAGGCATGAGCCACCATGCCCGGCCTTAGAAATCTATTCTTAAGGCTCTGATATAAAACTATTACCCTGATGATATAATCACAGAGTAACTAAGATAATACATTATACATAACATAAATATTGTATCACTATCACTATACAATTAATAGTTAATAAATGAACCCAGTTATAATAAATGAACCCAGTGCATGCGAGTGTGTATATGTGCATGTATAGTAATACATCCTTCCAGGCACCAGACTTCTGGGAAACCTCTACTACCTAGCCTAGAACCAGTTAGATACCCAGAAATAAGAGAGACCGTATGTGCGCGCGCGCGCGCGCGTGTGTGTGTATTAACATAGGGTCTCTGTCACCCAGGCTGAAGTGCAGTGGTGTAATCATGGCTCACTGCAGTCAGCCTCAACCTCCTGGGCTTAAGTGATCCTCCTACTTCAGCCACCTAAGCAGGTGGGACTACAGGTATATGTCATCACACCCAGCTAATTATCTAACTTTTTGTAGAGACAGGGTCTCACTATGTTGCCCAGGCTGGTCTCGAACTCCTGGGCTCAAGTGATTCTACCATCTCAGCCTTCCAAAGTGCTGGGATTACAGGTGTTGAGCCACTTCACCTGGCCAAAAATAAATTTTTACAGTGGTAGGCCAGGTGTGGTGGCTCACGCCTGTAATCTCAACACTTTGGGAGGGTGAGGCAGGTAGATCACTTGAGGTCAGGAGTTCAAGATCAGCCTGGGCAACATGGTGAAAACCCACCTCTACTAAAAATATAAAAATTAGCTGGGCATGGTGATAGGCACCTGTAATCTCAGCTACTTGAGAGGCTGAGACTGGAGAATCGCTTAAACCCAGGAAGTGGAGATGGCAGTGAGCCAAGATTGTGCTACTGCACTATAGCCTGGGCAACAGAGCCAGACTCCATCTCAAAAGAAAAAAAAATTTTTTTTTTTTTAGAGTGGAATAAGAAAATAAACGGAACTGGTTTGTTTTGTAGGTACAGGCTTACCCTCAGGTATAAAGCAAAATAGCCATTTACCAGCAACATGATAAATACATTCTAGGGAGAAGAGATAACATAACTTACCTGAAAGAAAGAGACTCCATTTGTATAAAAAGTGACAGTAGAAATAAAAATGCGGCTGCTCAGGCCACTTAGCATAGAGGCAAATAACCCTACACCATGCTTCAACAGTCCCTGAGGATGACAATGTATTTCAATGTAGTACAACAGCAGATCTTCATATTTATGACCCTGGGTCAGTTAATGTGCATTATTTAAAAGCCAGAGTATTAACTAATGAATTTTAGGAAGATTTTTCATTGAAATCTTTTTTGTTGTTGTTGTTTAAGTTTTGAAGTTTCAGTTATCTGGAAAATAAAGTTACTTGGAACAACTTTACTATTCTTATGTTCCATGAAATATATTGAGTCTCTAACTTTCAAAGGTTTTTCAGAATACCAATTTGTTTTGTTCAGAGTGACTGTGAAGAATGTAAATACCTTAAATATTATCACTATTTACAACTAAATTAAATCATACAATTAAGTGAATTTTTTAAAGATACCTTTTCAGATTATAGAATTCATTGCCTTGTTAAAAACTGTGTTTATTAATCTTCTGTACAATTTTTGGTTGTACTGCCCGTATCTCCTCTGCCATATCACTACAAGAAACTGTTCCTGGTTTGTAATAAGTTATCACCTACATTATTATGTCATTGTTAAAGCTGATATACAAACTCAGGTATTAAGGTTTCTGAAGATCTGCATGAGGAACAGGAGGAGGAATTTCTTGAAACAGAAATTCCAGATTCATTCATTACTCCTTGAATGTCATGGATGTAATCCAGGGGTCTCCAAGAATTCTTAGAAGACAACAGAATAAGAAGATTTTAGAGCAGCTGAAATCTTTAACTCTCTTTCTTTGAAAATCTTCTGTCACAAGTCAGAAGGATAATGTCTCTTTTTACCCAATGAGAAAGCTGTTCTCACACGAGCATAATTAATCTTCTGACACCATGACAAAGAAATTCCTTAAAGGGATTTCTCCGATTTCCTCTCAAGACAGAAGATTGTCTTTATCCATCATCTGTTCTTCCTGATCCCTTCTTTTTGAATATCCACATCAGCAGAATTGTCCATCAGAGGAGACAGCAGGAGGGAAATCTCTGCATGATTGATAGGGCCCCAATGCTCTGCATGCCTATTTAAGTGCAAGCATCTATTGTTGCAAACTTACTTTACAGCAGTTAAACAAATATAATAGTCACCAATTCAACCATTGTGTAGCTCAGACTTGACTAAAACTAGTAAGTGAAGTTTGCTAATGACAAGGCACTGATTTTGAAGCCAGAAAAAAACTCCGCAGATGAAATAGCCTGATGTTGATTTATAAAAAAGAAATTCTCAAAACTATGGAACAGTATATGTATATTAGAAAGTGTTATAACCTATACTGTATGCAGATGGACATTTCCATTAAAGAGCAAGAAAAAGCCAATACTTATATAATGTTGTGATTTTTAAAAATTCTAACAGTCACTCAGTGCTTTTTACCTCCATTAATGCTATCTAGGTCGGGAGGAAGTGGGGAGTTGGGATGGCATATGTTATCATCCAAAAAAAAATTAGGTATGTCAAGGAAGCAAGTTTGCTTCTGACACTCCCTTAAAATTTTTTTTTTCAGACTCATTCTAGTAAAGTTTTTTCAAAGAGAGACTTAGGTATGTCTGTGTGTTCTTACCCCCCTCAGTGGAAGAAAACCAAAGGCCATTTGAGACTTCCTGTGAGTACTTGCCACTTCCATGGGTGGGACTAATGAGTCAGAGCAGTATAGGTCAGTTTCAAGTGGAGGAGCAAAACATGCAGGGCAAAGGTCCAATCCACAGAAAATGCAAGCTGGGCTCTACATTCAAAGCAATCAACACGAAATGGAAACGGATCTAGAGATTTCTAAGTGGTGGTAAGAGCGCACCCAGTATCAACAGCAGAGGTTACAGCATGCTCTGTGTTCTTTACAGATGCTGCCAAGAGAGGCCACTTAAGGCCAGACACTAGGACACACTGACACCATGCATTCTGTCTGTACCACAGTGACCTTGAATACTCAGTTCTGGACGCACCCTGTGAAAATATTTGTTTATCCTTCCCAATTTCCAAATAATGAGGCCAGCCCTCACGAGCCAGGGCTGCAGCTCGTTGGTGCTGCCCTTGGCATGGTTAGGACAGACTGCCACTGCCTGGCCCTACTCTGGGGCTTCTTCTCCAGCTGACCTGCCTGCCCAGCCAACAGAGCAATTGACAGCTGACCCATAGCCAGGACCCACATGTTCTATAAGAACTGGCTTAATTATGGTTTTTCTTCAGTTACAAAGTTAAATGCAGGATTGATGACCCCTTTGAAGACCTAGGGAAAAAGTTATATCCAAGATAAAGACCCCCCCCCCCCAAAAAAAAAACCATTGTGGGTAAAGAGGAGTGCCAAGAAATTGGAATGTAGGATATACTCCAGAATTTGAATACAGAGAATCTGGAAATCAAGAAAGAGTGAGTTGGTAGTGAAAGTAACACAGGAGAGGGGGCTAGATGGGAAATGCATGCAGCAGCCCAGAGGGAACTCTAAAGTGTTCCCTCAGCAGCAGAGGACCAGAAATTAACAGGATTGTGAGGGTTGTTTTGGGGAAGGGGGACCAATCCTCATTGTTTTTGTTTACCTATTTTGCATCATAAGGCATCTCGTCAAGGAGACCAATAAACATTTACTAATGGTTAGAATGAAACTTGAGCAATAGGCTACTAATGCTGCTCAAAGCCAGGTGCGTAAGACCCAGGAAAAGGTCTGGAAAGTCTTCCTTGGACACTCTGGGTGGAAAAGCAATCAAGTCCTTGAGATTAAGTCCAAGTTCAAAAGGAGTATCTTTTTGCCCACAATTATCCTTGGAGTTAAATCATTCATGAGAAAAAAAAATACCAGTGCTCACAAAAAAACTCAAGGAAAAGCAAACATTTCATTATTTTGCCCTTCAGAGATCTTTGTAAGACAAGGGTCAATTGTAATATGGTCCATTACAATTTTTTTTTTTTTTTTTTTTTTTAGACAGAGTCTCACTCTGTCGCCCAGGCTGGAGTGCAGTGGCCTGATCTCTAATCACTGCAACCTCCACCTCCCAGGCTTAAGCCATTCTCGTGCCTCAGCCTCCCAACTGGTTGGGATTACAGGGACACACCACTATGCCTGGCTAATTTTCGTATTTTCAGTAGAGATGGGGGTGGCACCATATTGGCCAGGCTGGTCTCAAACTCCCAGCCTCAAGCAATCTGCCTGCCTTGGTCGCTCAAAGGGCTGGGATTACAAGGTGTGAGCCACTGTGCCTGGCCTCCATTACAATATTTTAAGTCTAATTGTGCTTACAGCAGTGACTCTGGATTAAGACATATGCTGACTGGATCCCAGCTCCCCCACATTTCAAGGGTGTGTGTGACTCAGTCTCTCTTTGCTTCAGTTAACTCATCTGTAAAGTGGGGATAATAATAATGGTGACTACCATTCACAAGGTGGTTTTAACAATTAAATACAAATCCTGACATTTGGCAAACAGTACATAATAACTGATTACTATCATTTCCTGTTTTCCCCTTTCCCCCTGATTCATACAACCCCCTAAGTGGACACACCCAGTTCTATGTCTGGGAGTTCATCTTGAGACACATACACACACATGCACACATATTCACATATGCACGTACACACACACACATGCACGTATCAGATGCATCAGCCTTCAGTGCTAAGAAAGGAGCAGGTCCAACAGATTAAGCCAAATAGACCCCCCTGAGCAAGTGAGAGAATAGAATGAAGAAGTTAGGCAGAACAAGCAAAGAAGATCAGGGCAGGCCAGGGTGACATGAGGGCTGGACACAATTTCTCAGGACTCCATTTGAACTACTGCAGACTTTCTGTGCCTAATTCTGCTTCATGCAGCTCAGCTGGACCACTGGTCAGTTTCCTGGTTGTCTTGGCACTATTTTCAGGTTGGGGTCTTACTGGGATACACAAAGCATATCCTGTACTTGCTTTTATTTCACTCGATTCAATGCATTGGGACAGATGCTGAGGATACACACATGAACAAGACTACACTATCCAGAAGTTCACAGCTCAGACAATTCCATCCAGTGTGATTAGGGCTCTCATAGAGGAGCACACACAGTGCTTAAACATCCTGGGGAACGGGGGGGGGCAATGGCACTGAATCAGGACTTCAAAGATGACCAGGAGTTCATGACAGAGAAAGGTTGAAGCTGAAGACATTCTTCATAAAGAAACAGGCAGAAGTAGGTGTAGCTTTATGTGGGTCCTGAAGTTAGGCTAGAGAGTGGAGCTAGGTTAAGAAAGGCTGGGGTTGGCCGGGCGCTGTGGCTCACGCCTGTAATCCCAGCACTTTGGGAGGCTGAGGCGGGCGGATCACGAGGTCAGGAGATCAAGACCATTCTGGCCAACATGGTGAAACCCCGTCTCTATTAAAAATACAAAAAAAATTAACCGGGCATGGTGGTAGGCACCTGTAGTCCCAGCTACTCGGGAGGCTGAGGCAGGAGAATGGCGTGAACCCGGGAGGCAGAGCTTGCAGTGAGCCGAGATCGCAGCCACTGCACTCCAGCCTGGGTAACAGAGTGAGACTCCGTGCCCCCCACCTCCCCACCCCACCAAAAAAAAGAAAAAAAAAGAAAGGTTGGGGCCTTCTTCTTTCTTCCTTTTTTTTTTTTTAACAGATAAAAGGGAGTCCTTGAAGACTGTACTCAAAAGAATGGTGTGATCAAATGTGCTTTTCAAAAAGATAATTCACAGGAGATAATTCAAAAAGATAATTCAAAGATAAAAATGGAAGAGTGGGAACAGGAAGAGGAACAGTCCAAAAGCAGGGAGCCCAGTAGGGAGATGACTACAATGGTCTAGATGAGAGATGAGGAGGGACTGGCAAGGAGAGTGGAGCTGAGATGTCGTTTATTTAAGGCTTACGTAGGATGCTGAGTCGACAGGGTTTAGTGACCCAACAGGTCTGGGACATGAGGAAGGGAGGGAAGCCTAGGATAACTGGGAAGTTTCTAGTTTGAGGACTTCAGCAAATGTCATCCCATTAATTTGGATGGGAGTGTTGCCCTTTGTATGTGTGTGAGTTGAATTTGCATCATGACATGCCTGAGGGCCTTTCTGTTTACCTTGTGTTACTAACACCTGGACTCCCCAGGAGGGAATTCAAGAACAGATTGGAACCTTAGGAAAATAACATTTTAAAATTTGTTTGTAGTAAGCTATCCTTTTACTTCTTTTCCGAAGGAATCCTATGACACACACTATTGATTGTAATTTTTAAGTTGCCCCAGAAATTCAAGGTTTCATGATTTATTTCATAAACTCAATGTCTCAATGGATTTTGTGGCTAGACCAATCTTTAAGCCTGATACAGCCAGGTGAAAAAAAACAACAACAAAAAAAGAAGAGCAGACATCTACCAAAAGGCTTCATGTGCCAAATGGGAAATGAGAGCAAGTTTAGGGAAAAAGGAGGAGGGAACAACAGGCTGGTTAATACTTCTATTTAACAGCTCGGGAAGTTTCTAAATGGGAAGAACTTGTTTAACGATGAGTTTAATAGAGATCCAGGTCAAAGAGAACTTTTCAGAAGGCAGTAGCAGTCTTATTCTCATGTTATTGTTTTACATGTATCTATTATATCAGATTAAAAATGATTTGTATTAACAATGAACTAAAGTGTTACAAATGTAAACAAAATTAACATGATGCTTTAGTGAAAAGCAACTTGGTTTATTCACTAAAAGACATGATCATCCAACAGGTTCACTTTTATAAAAAGAATATAAAATTACTGCTGAGAGTCGGGGAGGACTGTAGACAGGATGCCTGGAGCCCCAGCGACCGGCTATCGGTGTCTGTAGGAATGTTGGGGATCTAAAGACAGAAAAAGCCTGGGTCCCTGACACCATCTTGGACCTAGATTGCCTCCCTTGGGACTTCCTAAAAGAGAGAAATAAATTCTATTTTATTTAATCTACTATTTCTTAGCTCTTTGTTACTTATTGCCAAACCTAATCCTAACAAAATCAACTCCTTTTAACATTTTTTTCTATATGAACTTTTTTTTTGTTTTTGCATGTGTGTGTGTAATTTCTCGCAAAAACGTGGGTATCATATTATACACACTGTTCTTTTTTCCATGTATCAATTTATGATATTTTCATATGCTAAAAACAACTATGAACAAATCTTTGAAGACTGTTTGAATCCTACAGTATGAAAGTACCATCATTTATTAACCAATTCCCTGCTTGGGGACATTTGGTAAATAGTTTTATTTAGACTTTCCTAATTTATTATATACATTATGTAAAGTTTAGACACAATTTTAGTTTTTGAGCTTCCTCATGACACCAATCTCTTTGGTAGAAAAATCCCAAGTCTTATCTACTTCTGTCCAATTAGGCTAGGGAATTTGTCATAGAGATTATAAAGAGAATGTTTTTGCGCATGTGAACCCCGTAGTCTGGGACATGGGACTTTTTTTTTTTTTTTTTTTTTTTTTTTTTGAGACAAGGTCTTGCTCTGTCACCCAGGCTGGAGGGCAGTGGCATAATTCACGGCTCACTGCAGCCTCAACCTCTAGGCTCAACTGATCCTCCCACCTCAGCTCTCTGAGTAGCTGGGACTACAGGCATGCACCACCTCACCCGGCTAATTTTTTACTTTTTGTAGAGATGGGGTCTCCCTCTGTTGCCCAGGTTTGTCTCAAACTCCTGGGCCCAAGTGATCCTCTTGCCTCAGCCTCCCACAGCGCTGGGATTACGTATGTGAGCTACCGCAACAGGCCCTAGTTTATTATAATTTACTAAATGACATAAAAAAAATATATACCTGTACCTTCACAACAAGTCAGCATGACCATATTCTCTGCCATATAGTATTGAGCAGTGTGGCCATTATTTCATTCAGTTCAATTTCTGTTGGATTCGAGCATAGAAGAGATGTACAAGAAAAAATGTAGCAGATACTTGGTTATTTGTCTCCCAAAGGTGGAGAAGAATTGTAGATAATGCTGCTAATCTGGATCAACTTATTATAACTAACATTTTACCAAAAAGCTTCAGACTAGAAGGTTCATGTCCACAAAAACGCTCTCTTCATAATCTCTAAGACAAATTCCCTAGCCTAACTGGACAGAATTAGATAAGACTTGGGATTTCTCTACCAAAGAGACTTCAGTGTCATTAGGAAGCTCAAAAACTAAAATTGTGTCTAAACTTGACATAAAATAAGGAAAAGATCAATAAAACAGACTTCTACCAGTAGTTTTACTTAAAATCTTTCTGAAATTCCAGTTAAGTGTCTTGAGAGCAATGAAAAGGCAATCCTGGGTATTAAATTACCAGAATCTACACCCATGCCATACGGAACTGCTTCTGAGGACTGTGACTCCAGGACCAGAAGGAGTCCTCATATGCAGCAATTAACTTATGACAAATATGGTTTCCTTCTACAGCAGAAAAGTAGAGTAATTCTCCTTAGAAGCATTTTGTTTGTTTGTTTGTTTTTTGAGACAGAGTCTCGCTCTGTCGCCCAGGCTGGAGTGCAGTGGCACGATCTCGGCTTACTGCAAGCTCCACCTCCTGGGTTCATGCCATTCTCCTGCCTCAGCCTCCCCAGCAGCTGGGACTACAGGCACATGCCGCCATGCCTGGCTAATTTTTTGTATTTTTAGTAGAGACGGGGTTTCACCGTGTTAGCCAGGATGTTCTCGATCTCCTGACCTGTGATCTGCCTGCCTCAGCCTCCCAAAGTGCTGGGATTACAGGCATTAGCCACCACACCCGGCCAGAAGCATTTTTTAATGATAAAGATTAAAACAAAAAAGTTTTCTGGTTGATTTTGACAGAGACAAAAATTCCCAGTTACCTAGAATTTCCATTTATCTGTTATTTTCTCATATAAAAATGCCTTTCATATTTAATCAAGATTTATCTTTTCCCCAACAGCCAAATTATACCATAGAAATAGGGAGTACATCTGCACCCAAACTCCCACAAACTAAGCTCTTGAACACAGCTTTTATCCTTATTTGTGATAATAGGACAATACAGTACTGCTTCAGTTAGATTCGGTAAGTGTGAATTGGCCATCTATGTGCTGAGCATATTTTATTAAATATTATTAGTTAAGAACCATAAGTACATGCCCAAATTTTCCAACAATTCAAATATAGTAACAACTTCTCTATCTGGGAGTCACTGACTGGAATTCCCAGTGACTGGAAACAGTATCTAAAAGTAATCAAATACCCAACAGGTAATTTTCCATCCCTCATCCCCCTCCCATCCTTCTCCCTTCAGAATCTCCAATGTCCATTATACCACTCTGTATGCCTCTGTGTATCCATAGGTTAGTTTCCACTTGTAAGTGAGTACACGCTGTATTTGGTTTTTGATTCCTGAATTACTTCTGTGCCTCTAAAAGTTTGATAGAAGTTACTAAATTACTGTCCACAGAAATTATATTAATTTATAATCCCACCAACAATGTGTGAGAGCACCTCTTCATCACACCTTCACCCATGGAATGTTATCCTAACTTTCAGAACTTTGATTTAAAAAAAAAATTTTTAGAGATGGGGTCTTGCTATGATACCCAGGCTGGAGTGCAGTGGCAATGTATAGGTGGTATCATAGTGCACAACAGCCTCGAACTCTGGCCTCTCAAAAAGATCCTCCCACCTCAACGTTTGGAGTAGCCACAGGTACTATGCCCATCTTAGAAGTTTGATTATTTAATTGAAGAAAACCAGTAGTAGCTCACTGCAGTTTTAATTTGTATTCCTCTTATTTTGAGTGAGGCTAAGCATGCTTTCAAGTTTAAGAGCCATTTATAGCTTTTCTGTGAAATGTCTGTTCATATTCTTTATTCATTTTTCCATTTTTTGTTGGTTGATATAGAAGGACTCTTCACAAAGTCAGGATAATTAGCCCTTTGTCTGTAGTATCAGTTACAAATATTTTTCCAGTTACTCTTTTGTCTTCTGACTTTAACTTATATTATTCAATTTTGATTTTTTATTTCATTTTTGAGACAGGGTCTCACTCTGTCACCCAGGCTGGGGTACATGGTGCAATCTCGGCTCACTGCAACCTCCTTAACCCCGGGCTCAAGCAATCCTCCCACCTCAGCCTCCCAAGCGGCTGGGACCACAGGCACACACCACCACATCCCGCTATTTAAAAAATATTTCTAGTAGAGGTGGGGTCTTGCCTTGTTGCCCAGGCTGGTCTTGAACTCCTGAGCTCAAGCAATCTGCCTGACTTGGCCTCCCAAAGTGCTGAGATTACAGGTGTGAGCCACTGTGCCCAGCCAATACAATTTTTATTTCTATGTATTGAACTTAACAATCTTTTATATGCAAACTTAAAAAGTCCTAAGATTAAGAAAAAAAAAATCCCATGTTTACTACCATAAGTTTTACACTTAAATATTCAATTAATTTTTCATTTATTTTGGTTTAAGATGTGGAATATGGGCCTAATTTTACTTTTTTCCAGATTGCATCCAATTAACTTAAGTCTGTTTACTAAATAATGTATCTTTCCCCCTCTGGTCTGAAAGGTCTTCTCTATTATATCCTAAATTCTAGTATGTATTTGAGTCTATTATAATTAGTTCACTGTTATATTTATCATAGCTTTAGATACGTTTTAACATCTGATAGGGATTACTCTCTATACACTACTACTGTTCTTATTCAGAATTTTTCTAGAATTTTTTGCTTAATTTTATATATGAACTAGAGAATCAATTTTTCTGGTTCACTTTATTTTTACTGACATTTCATTGTATTTATATAACAATTTAGGAAAATTTTATGTATTCTACCATTTAGGAGCTTCTTATCCAAGAACACAGATTAGCCTTCTTTTGTGGTCCTAAGTAGCATTTTAAAGTTTTCTTTACCTAGATCAAGGCTCCTCAACCTACCACTACTGAAATTAGACAATAAAAAATGTCTCTAGGTATTGCTAGATGTCCCCTGGGTGGCAAAGTCATCCCCAGTTGAGAATCACTAATCTAGATCAAGCATACCTCTGTTTAAATTTAATACCAGCTTTTTTGTTTTTTTCCTTTACTTGTTAATCTAAATGATTTATTTTCCTCTAGTTTGTCTTCTAGTTAGTTGTTTATACATATACGCTACTTACTTTCACATTTAAATTATACATCCAGCCACCTTCTGAATTCTGCTTATAATAGCTTTTCAAAAGTCGATTTTCATGAGTTTATGAGGTAATCACATCTGCAAATAATAATTTCACCTCCTCCTTATTCTAATTTTTTTTGAACTTTATTGTCAATAGCCCACAATGATGATAAATCAAGCTGCTAATAGTGAACATCCTTATGTGGAATGTTCCTAGTATTTACCCATTAAGCATGACGCTGGTTTGGGGTTGGATATATTGTGTATCATGCAAAAGAAACATCCATCTTTTGTTACTTTTTTAAGGAAATTTTAACCAAGAACAAATGTTAAATTTATAAAGTGCCCTTTTGACATCTATGGAGATAACGACATGCTTTTTCCATTAATGCACAAATTATTTGAACAATTCTAGAACTGCTAGCAGAAGCCCTACTTAGTAATGGCATAGCATTTTTTTTGTTTTTGTTTTTTTTGAGACATAGTCTCACTGTGTCGCCCAGGCTTGGAGTGCAATGGCGCAATCTCAGCTCACTGCAAACTCTGCCTCCCGGGTTCAAGTGATTCTCCTGCCTCAGCTTCCCAAGTAGCTGGGATTACAGGTGCCCGCCACCATGCCCAGCTAATTTTTTTGTATTTTTAGTAGAGACGGGGTTTCTCTATGTTGGCGAGGCTGGTCTTGAACTCCTGACCTGAGGTGATTCACCCGCCTCAGCCTCCCAAAGTGCTGGGATTACAGGTGTGAGCAACCGTGCCTGGCCTATCCTTCATTTTTTAAAAAACTGGGAAACAGTATTTTCAATCTGTTGATGGAAGATTTCTTTAGTTTCTGATAAGGTTTCTTAAGATTTTATTTTATTTATTTAATTTTATTTTTTGAGACTTCTGTCGCCCAGGCTGGAGTATAGTGATGTGATCTTGGCTCACTGAAACCTCCACCTCCCGGGTTCAAGCGATTCTCCTGCCTCAGGCCTCCTGAGTAGCTGGGATTACAGGCGCATGCCACCATGCCTGGCTAATTTTTGTATTTTTAGTAGAGACAGGGTTTCACTATGTTGGCCAGGCTGGGCTTGACCTCCTGACCTCAGGTGATCCATCCGCCTCAGCCTCCCAAAGTGCTGGAATTACAGGCATTAGCCAGAGCACCAGGCCAAGTTACATCTTTAAATATTATTTTTGATATTTTTCATCTTATTTAGGAACAGTAGTTATGCAAATATCAGACTTGTTTTCCATATGTATCATTTTTCCTCTAATTTTTAAGAACTCTTCATTGTCATTTCATTTTCTCTTTTCAATCCTCCTCCTGTCCTTTACTGTGTTTCAAAATGTTTCTCTTCCTTTGTGCTGCTTCTAGGAAGGCCTTTGTTGCTAAAATAGTTTTTTCTTTTTTTTTTTTTGAGACAGTCTCGTTCTGTTGCCCAGGCTGGAGTGCAGTGGCGCGATCTCAGCTCACTGCAAGCTCCGCCTCCCGGGTTCATGCCATTCTCCTGCCTCAGCCTCTTGAGTAGCTGGGACTACATGCACCCACCACTACGCCCGGCTAATTTTTTTTTGTATTTTTACTAGAGACGGGGTTTCACTGTATTAGCCAGGATGGTCTCAATCTCCTGACCTCGTGATCCACCCATCTCGGCCTCCCAAAGTGCTGGGATTACAGGCGTGAGCCATCACGCCTGGTCCAATAGTTTTATTTTTCTAATCTGTTTTCTTGAGCTTTACTGTATTTCATCTTTCATTTGACTTGCCATATAGTCCCTGAGCTCTTGTATCTGCACTTTAAGCTCTTGTTTTTTAGCAGTAATTACAATATTTTATACATACATTTTATATATATATTTTAGTGTATGGCTTATTTGGTGACAATTTCTATATGCTCTTCTAAGGCAACCTTTTTTCTTGTTAGTGGGTGTTAGTATTCTTCATTTACCAATTTTCTCCCTTTTTCTGGTTGTAACTTTGTACATATTCTGTGCAGTTTCCTTTTTGATTACTCATTCTTGAATGAGACAAGTTCTAGGACCAGCAATTTATAGCAGATTCATGTAGAACTGAGACTAGGACCATATTTTGAGCTAGCAGGAATTCTCTCTTTGACACAATGTTGTGTGTGTGTTAGCTTTAACTTCTTGATCAGAAGAGAAGTGGAAGTTAAAGTCCTATTCAAAAATTTGAGTCTCTTTCCTTTACCATGCCTTACCCACAGACTGCTTTATACGAATGATATTTCTGTGGGCATTCCTTATTTAGCTCCAACCACCTTGCTTTTTCTTTAGGCCAAACCAGCTCTGGGGAAGCTCTTGCATTAGTTTGCACACCTATTCTCAATGTTCATAACTAAAAATTATTGGTTTTGCCTCTAAGGGTGCTCCTTTTCCTTTCATAACTGTTCTGCCAGCTTTGTCTCCGATCTTCAGCACAGGGCTCTCCCCTCTAAGCCTCTACCCATGCCCTGGTTTACTTTCACTGTATTTGGCAGTGCCTGCTCATGCATTATAGTTTGGGTTTCAGATGTTTCAAAGTCTAAGTTGGAGGTTTAACATCTGTTTCTCTTTTTCCTAGTTGCCTTTTTAAGATCTCTGAGAAAAAGGGAAAACATACTAACTTTTCTCTGTAACTAAAATTGGAAATTCTATCCAGCTAATTACACTAATTCTAAAACTAAAACATTCTAACTTTTGTTTATTAACTCTGAAAATACAATATAAGAGTATAGGGCCTTCCGGCATAATTTCCTAACATTTATCAACATACTTGAAATGTAGATAGGAGAATAAATAATAGGAAAAGCCTTTTAATTTGGCATGATTGGGATCTACAATTGGTTGGTTAACCGAAAGAAAGAGTTAAAGTGGATGTGCAGGATTGGGCTTCGTCAATTTGGTTAACCTAGGAAATATGTTTCCCCTTCTCTGTATGATTTTGAATTAGACTTTGTAGGTATGGAAGAGGTTGGCGTGAGATTTGGAACTGGAAGTGAAGAAACAGCCATTACCCTTAGAATATTGCTTCAGTTAAAAACTGACAAATGGTCACTGGTGCCAGAATGGATATCTGCTTGTTCTTGCTCTCCTCTCTTCCACATCTAGGTTTTCTTCCTGACTGTTGGCCAAGAGGGACTCCAGGCCCACCACCAGTTACTGGCTGCGCATTCACAGAGGCAGCTACACGGGGGCTAAGCAGCTCCCCATAGACCTCTCCATGCGGTGAAGTCCTTCTTCCAGAGCAGGCCACACTCAGCTTCCACAAAGTTCCTACTGTTCACTCACACCAGTGTTTCAGGATGACTGGTTAGCGACCCTGTGATCCTCTGAGTCCTCCTTTCAGATCTTCACTTTCCCAGCTCTTCTTGGTCAGTGGGCATCTGTTACGCATGTTTTATATATGGGAAGGAGAGCCCTGGTGACTCCTACAAGGTTAAAAGAGCTGTCACTATAATCTGAGTCTGACACATCTCACAGATTGTTTTTGGAATACATTTCTTATACTGGCATATTTACCAGTGACTTCCTCTTTAGGAAGGTAGAGTATAGAATATGCATGAAAATGTATCTGAGTTTCATACTCACTGGATTTACATTATTTAAAATTTTCAAAATTGTAGATATTAGAAGGTACAGACCAATTATGACTGGGTTTTGACCCATAGATGTGGGCCCTGTTGTGAAGATCGCATTATCCTTGGAAGAATCTAGACCAATTTTTAAGAGGCACATAATGAAAAGAATTAAGAAAGGATAAGGAAGAGTCTTTAAGGTCCCACCTGGGAGGAAAAGAAAAACAAAATCCGAAAAACCTATAAGATACCAGGGGTTTTCATCTGAATTTAAGGACTAGTCTACTATTACTTGCTGTTTTTATCCTTATCATCCTTCTTTTGCTGTGGCCTGATCAAACAGATTTAGATTCTCTAGACATTTGTTGAATACTTTCTACATACCAAGTTCTGAAATGGGTATTTTCACAGCAGCATCTCATTGAACTCTTACACCAATCCAGGAGGCTATTCTCATTTTCTTTCTGTTCTTTCTCTCTTTGTTTTTTTTTTTTTTTTTTTTGACGGAATCTCACTCTGTTGCCCAGGCTGGAGTGCAGTGGCATGATCTCAGCTCACTGCAACCTCCACCTCCCTGGTTCAAGCAATTCCCCTGCTTCAGCCTCCGGAGTAGCTGGGATTACAGGCACATGCCACCATACCCGGCTAATTTTTTTGTATTTTTAACAGAGATGGGGTTTCACCATGTTGGCCAGACTGGTCTCCTGACCTCAGGCAATCCACCCGCCTTGGCCTCCCAAAGTGCTGGGATTACAGGTGTGAGCCACCGTGCCTGGCAGATTTATCCTCATTTTCTAACTGAGGAAACAGATCAGCAGGATTGGGGACTTGACTGAGGTTACCCAGATGTAAGCAGCAGAGCTGAAACTGACTGCAGGTCAGCTCATTGGCTTTTAGTTCATAGCTGTGAGGAAAATGAGCAGCAGATCATACTTCTTAGTCACATAAAAGATACTTGATAAACTAAATTTTTTTTATACTTGCACATTTATTGATTAATTGATTGAGAAAGGGTCTCACTCTGTTGCCCAGGCTGGAGTGCAGTGGTGCAATCTTGGCTCACTACAACCTCTGCCTCCTGGGCTCAAGTGATCCTCCTGCCTGAGCCTCCTGAGTAGCTGGGACTACAGGTGCATGCCACCATGCCTGGCTAATTTTAGTATTTTTTTTGTAGAGGCACATTTTCGCCACGTTGCCCAGGCTGGTCTTGAACTCCTGGGCTCAAGTAATCTACCCACCTTTGTCTCCCAAAGTGCTGGGATTATATGTGTGAGCTACTGCGCCAGGCCTACAATCACAAACTTATTGTATAATGAGTTTGCAATTTTTTTTAACATTGTATAACTTTAGATAGGGGATCTTTTGATTGAATTGATTGATTAATCCATTGATTGATTTTTAGAGACAGGTCTCACTATGTTGCCCAGGCTGGCCTTGAACCTCCGGGCTGAAGGGATCCTCCTGCATAGCTGCGATTATAGGCACGTAACACGGCACCCGCTTGGATAGGAGATTTAAAAAAATATATTAGAAAAGAAGACTCCTGGCCAGACGCGATGGCTTACACCTGTAATCCCAGCACTTTGGGAGGCCAAGGCAGGCGGATCACCTGAGGTCAGGAGTTCGTGACCAAGCTGGCCAACACAACGAAACCCCGTGTCTACTAAAAAATACAAAAATTAGCCAGGCATGGTGGCCCGTGCCTGTAATCCCAGCTACTCCGGAGGCTGAGGCAGGGAGAATTGCTTGAACCTGGGAGGCAGAGGTTGCAGTGAGCCAAGATCATGCCACACTCCAGCCTGGGCGACAGACCAAGACTCCGTCTCAAAAAAAAAAAAAAAAAAAAAAGACATAGTCATAAATCATGGTAACACTGGTGACAATACAACTTTGTATTTATACAGATACTTTATTTTCAACAACTTAAAACAACTTCTGAAACTATTATCTATTATCTTTTGCAACAGCCCAATAGCAAGGAAGTGGTTTTTACAGCCAGGTAACATGGGAAAAGGCAAGCTCAGAAAGTTCCAAGAGCACAAAAGCATGTGGATAAAACAGGAATAACCATCTCTGTGCTTGATGTTCTGCCTGTTAATTCTAGCTTCATCTCTTCAGGTGCCTTTGAAATGCGTCACTGCTATTTGGCAGAGACAAAAAGATCTGGGAGACAAATTTCAGTTGTAACCTCAAGAGTATTCTAATATAACATTGTACCTTCTTTGAGTTTTTATAATTTGAGCCAGATCTATCTTCTACCACTTAGACAAAGATTGGTACAAAAGGAAATTGCTCATGCCCTACTTTTGCCAATAAATAATGCCAACGTACTCCAGCCTGGCGACAGAATGAGACCCTATATCAAAAAATAAACAATAAACAAAAAATAAAACCAGGCAAATGCTCCCTTGCCCTGGACCCTGTGTTTTAAAGCAGCCTCACTGTGGCCCTCCTCTGGCTCCTTTCCTCATCATGTGATGGGCGGGTACACAGAGAAAAAGGTTATCTCCATAGAGTCTGAGCCATCCTTCTAGACCAATTCTCACAGTACTTGGAGTCCTGAAATGCCACGATGAAAAGGTGCTGCTTAGCCTCCTTCCTCAGGCCTATCCCCGAGGGCAGACTGCACAGCACTGTGTGCACCCCAGGCCCACAGGGGGGAGGGTCGGGTCACAGAGTGTTGATGGACTTCGATGTGCGGGTTGTGTAAGGCTCCTCTTGCTGCGGGGCTGAAACAGAGCTGGGAGGCGGAGCAGGCTGGCTGCCTCTCCTCAAGCCACCACATTCCAACAGGGAATTCCAAAGAGTCTGAGAATTCTGGATTTAAACCTGGCCTTCCAGGTCATTAAGAAGGCGTATTTGTCCAAGCAGAAGGATGAAACGTACTTTAGCAGTCTGTTAGCTTGATTTATAACTTTAAAATATTTAGACATATATTAGTAGGCCTCCCTGTGTCCTCTTGCCCTGGGCCACAAAAATGCTGGGAGGAGGCTGGTAACAGATACATATTTTTATGTAAATACATCATAATAGACTTTACCATTCCTCTAATGCTGAACATTTAAATGATTCCTAAATTTTTATTTAAAATGATATGTGTTGAACATCTGTACATAAATATTTGCCTTTATTGCTGATTATTTCTTATGACATACTCTGAGATGAAAAATTACTGGGCCAAAGGGCAAAAATTCTTAATGATCAATGTCTTAAACTAAGCTGGGCGTGGTAGCTCATGCCTGTGATCCCAGCACTTTGAGAGGCTGAGGCGGGAGGATCACTTGAGCCTAGGAATTCAAGACCAGCCTGCGCAACATAGTGAAACCCCATCTCTACAAAATAATTTAAAAATTAGCTGCACATGGTGGTGCGTGCCTGTAGTCCCAGCTACTTGGGAGACTGAAGTGGGAGGATTGCTTGAGCCCTGGAGTTTGACGTTAAAGTGAGCCATAACCATGCCACTACACTCCAGCCTGGGTGACAGAGTAAGACCTCATCTTCAAAAAATAAAAATAAATAAATAAATAAATACCTTAAACTAATAGATTATAAGCAGATCTTACTGAATGTAATCCTTACCTCTCTACCCTCTACCTACATGCCAAATCCACTGACCTACATTAATGGTTACAAAGGCAAAGCCTAAAGACTTTTACATGTGCTCATTTTGTTTCAAGACAGGAAGCTGACTCACCTAGTATCTTTTGATCTGAGGTCCATTAAATTTCCACCCTTAAAATCAAGGATGGGTAAACCATGCTCTCCCACCAAATCTAGCCTATAGGCTATTTTTGTAAATAAAATATTTTTGGAGCACAGCCATGCTCATTCATTTTCATATTGTCTAGAGCTGCTTTCACATTAACACTGCAGAGTTAAGTAACTGCAACACGGACCATAGATGATTGGCTTACAAAGCCTAAAATATGTACTGTCTGGCCCTTTAGAGAAAGTTTGCCTATCCATGATCTAAAATTGTCACAAAATACAAACCATGAAACAGGGAATTAGGAAATACGAAGTCATAAATCTGTAATAAGTTCTTCTTCCCCATTTCACAAGTCAGATGCCCTGGCCTTGTTTTGATGTTCCTGCTGACATCTTAATCAAGCTACCATCATTTCCTATTCAACAGACACTTATCAAGTGCCTACTATGTGTCAAGCAGACCTTGTTTCAGGTGCTGTGGGCTTATGAAACAGTAGTTAATCATTTTTGACCTCGTGTGAAAGTGTGGAAACTGTGAAAGTTTCCACGCTTTCACACAAAACCAATGGGGTCTTCCTAAACTATCTAAACTATATCCTAAACTATCTTCCATCACATCTGAGATCCTAGGAATGGGATGTGTAAGGAGCAAGCATTATAAAGAAACTGTAGCAAAGAATAGAAGCATCCTCACCATAGCAACTTGGAGTTTGAACCACAATACTTAGGCCACCTTGGTGAAAAGTCACTAATAGCAGATACAGGAAGAGCAGGTGAACAGGCAAGACAAATAATTCCTAGGTACCAGGTAATCACTTCTGCAGAAATTCTCTTATTGTTTTTGCTATAGCCAGTCAGGGAAAAGAATGCCCACTTTTTGACAGTAGGATAAGCAAGAGATTGGTCAACAGTTATTTCGTTTACTTAAAAAAATTAAAATTCATGTCTAGGAGGGAAAAAACCCATACAAACAGTGAGTAAAGAGAAATAAAAGAAGCTACCACTGTTGTTTTTTATTCTTTGTAAAGATGAGGAAACAGCAGAGTAATTTGGCTTTGGGAAAGAACATAAACCTGAGCCAAGTACTTTGGCAGATTCTAAGAAATGTGGTTTGACACAAGATGTTTTTGTTTTTTGTTTTTGAGTTTTAGCGGAAAGACAAATGGGAGGAGAAAGTATTTAAAACCCAGATACCTTCTTTTTTTGTGTTGGTATGATTAGCTAGTTATCAAATTACATTAGAAAAACTACAAACCAAAAACAAATGTCTTGAAATGCTCTGTTGTTTTAAGTCACTGCTGGTATGGCTGTCCTACATCATGGGGTGAAAGAGAAGATTCTGCATCTGTGGACTTGCACTCCTCCTTTGCCCCTCATTAGCTGGGCAACCTTGTCTACATTTCTTTACCTCTCAGAGCCTCATCTTCTGCAAAATGCTGACAATACCAGTGACCTTGCCAGGTTGTCTTAAGGATTAAATGAGGTAACAGGAGTTAGCTCATAACAATAATTGGCTTTTAGTAAGTACTCAATAAAATATTGCTTGCTATTGTCTTCATATTGTATAATACATGTTAAAGCACCCAAAATGGACTTTTCAGAGTTGGTGAAGTAGACATAGTTGCCTACATGATTTTGTATGGCGATTACCTTCCTGGCTCTTATTTTTCTTTCTTAGTCACCAAAATTCTACTACCAGCAATATTAAATAAAAATATTTAATATTTTTTAATATTTTAAAAAATATTAAAATCTTCTCTGTTAGCTTCTGCACAGCAAAAGAAACTAACAGAGTAAACAGACAACCTACAGAACGGGAGACCATTTTTGCAAACTATGCATCTGACAAAGGTCTAATATCCAGCATCTATAAGTAACTTTAACAATTAAAAAGTGGGCAAATGACATGAACAGACACTTTTGAAAAGAAGACATACATGCAGCCAACAAGCATGTGAAAAAAATCTCAGTATCACTGATCATTAGAAAAATGCAAATCAAAACCACAATGAGATATGATCTCACACCAGTCAGAATGGTTATTACTGGACCGGGTGCAGTGGCTCACACCTGTAATCCCAGAATTTTGGGAGGCCAAGGTGGGCGGATCACAAACTCAAGAGATCAAGACCATCCTCGCCAACATGGTGAAACCCCATCTCTATTGAAAATACAAAAATTAGTTGGGCATGGTGGCATGCGCCTGTAGTCACAGCTACTCGGGAGGCTGAGGCAGGAGAATCACTTGAACCCGGGAGGCGGAGGTTGCAGTGAGCCGAGATCATGCCACTGCACTCCAGCCTGGCGACAGGGCGAGACTTTGTCTCAAAAAATAAATAAATAAATAAATAAATAAATAAATAAAATAAAGAATAAAAAAAGAATGGTTATTACTAAAAGGCAAAAATAACAGATGCTAGTGAGGTTGCAGAAAAAATAAAATGCCTTTGCACTGTTGGTGTGAGTGTGAATTACTTCGACCACTGTGGAAAAGCAGTGTGGCGATTCCTGAAACAGCTAAAAACAGAACTGCCATTTGACCCAGCAATTTCATTACTGGGAATATACCCAAAGGAATATAAATCATTCTATCATAGAGACACATGCACGTGAATGTTCACTGAAGCACTATTCACAATAGCAAAGACATGGACTCAACCTAAATGCCCATCAATGGTAGAACTGGATAAAGAAAATGTGTTAAACATACACCATGGAATACCATGCAGCCATGAAAAAGCATGAGATCATGTCCTTTGCAGGGACATGGATGGAGCTGGAGGCCATCATCCTTAGCAGAGTAATGCAGTAAACCAAATACCACGTGTTCTAACTTATAAGTGGGAGCTAAATGATGAGAACTCATGGACACAAAGAGGGAAACAACAGACACTGGGGCCTACTTGCGGGTGGAAGGTGGGAGGGGGATGGGATCAGGAAAAATATCTATTGGGTACTAGGCTTAGTACCTGGGCGATGAAATAATCCGTACAACAAACCCCCGTGACATGAGTTTACCTATATAACATACCTGCACATGTACCCTTGAACCTAAAATAAAAGTTAAAAAAAAACCTCTCTGCCATTGAGAGTGGCCAGAAAAAATGTATACATTTCCACATGCTTGTCATCTCAGCATGCTATAATTAATTGAGATTTTTGCCATTACTTTTAATGGCAAAACCTAATATAGCCAGGTTATATTCGATTGCACCAACCCAATATAACCAAGCTGTTTCTGGAAATTAGGTGGTATCCTGCAGCGCATAGTATCTTTAGAATAATGTTTCCATATTGAGCAGCACATGTACCTGGAGGGAAAGATACATTGAGTAGGCAGATGGACGGGTGCCGCTTAGGGCAAAATTTAACATTTTTCAGAGGATTATCTTCAACGACTCATTTGTGGAAATATGTTCATTTGCAAAGAGGAACACCCATCTGCTAAAGGAGTGGTCACTCCTGCCTGGTGATGCCAATCCAAAACCATTGGAATAACTTGTTCTGACCAACTTAGAATAAACCTCTATACCCCTATTAACTATTTATATTGTCTGACTCTGTTACAAAAACACCACTGTCAGAATATCTCCAAATTTTATGTGTAATTTGCTTTGAGGCATTTATCACCCCACTGTCAAAGACATTACAGTTTTGTTTATTTTACTCTTGTGAGAGAAGTCAAAATAACTAATGCTTGCATTGATAACTGGCTCTTTCAAAGTGTCTTGATTCAAGTGTAACTTCGGCTTAGTCCTTGCCTGGAAAATCAACTATTGTCCTCTGTCCCTCACCAAGTGTTAAAGTAGTTTATCTCAACTTCCTCACCCTCCATCACTCCTGTCACTCCTTGTAAACATTACTTCTACAATCACCATTTTATAGATATTGTTTTCTCAAAGTTTGGTGATATAGGCCCTCTACTCACCAAACCCAAAGGCCTTACATTCAAAGACTTCATCCTCTACAATAATGGGTCTCCAAGGAGGTGTGCGTTGTGCAAGACAGCACTTGAGGTGCAGGAAGAAAAAATGTTTAACTCTTATTCATGTTTCTAATTTCAAACTTAAAATTTTTTTCTATTTTTTTAACAACGTATTTAACATAACAGTATAGCAGAGAGAATGATTACTAATGATGGAAATGTCAAACTCTTAGTAATAGAATATGAAATCAATAAAATTTTGCAGCCTACTTTTCGGTTTAGCAGTAGTTCTCAAAGTATGATATAGGGACCTGTGGGGGTATCTGAGATCCTTTCAGGGTGTCGGTAAAGTCAAAACTGTTTTAATCATAACATTAAGATGGAATTTATCTTTTTCACTCATTCTCTCATGAGTATACAGAAGAGTTTTCCAGAGGCTACATGACATGTTACATTGAATGCAGAAGCAGATATGAGAACCCAGTTGTTTTCTAGTAAGTCAGACATGAAAAGGACTTGCAAAAAATATAAAACAATTATATCTTTGTCATTACATTTCTTCTTTTAGAAAATAGGTATTTTTCATGTAAAAAAATGCAGCAGCCTTGAGCTTTTGGGCTCAAGTGATTCTCCTGTCTCTGCCTCCCAAAGTGCTGGGATTACAGCACTTGATGAGTCTCATGGCTTCTTGAAGATACACTTACCTTGCAGCTTCCTCTAAACTCCTTCATCGGTCCTCTCTTCTCTCAGTTACCAACCTTTTCTGCCCAACATTTGTAAACCAAGGTATTTAGACAGGATACATGGTCTAGATTTGCACTGTCTAGTATGGTTGCCTCTAGCTAGAGTGCAGCTGTTTAAATAAAAGTTAAATTAAAAATTCAGTTTCTCAGTTGCCCTAGCCACATTTCCAGTGCTCAACTGCTACCTATAGTAATGACTACTGTATAGAACATTTTTATCATCACAGAAAGTTCTACTGGACAGGTTAAGGTCTAGATTAGGGTTTCTCAACCTTAGAACTATTGAGATTTGGGGCTAGATAAGTCTTCACAGTGTGTGTGGGGAGGGGATGGGGGGCTGTTTTGTGCATTGCAGGATGTTTTTAGCAGTATCCCTGTCCTCTCCCCACTAATTCCAGTAGCACTCCCTCAGTGTGACAACCAAAAATGTCTCCAGACATTGCTAGACCGTGATTTGGATGAAACCATACAGCTATGGGTTATGTTTTGCTCACCCACAGAGAAGGGGCAAGATGAATTGAGAGAGAAAATGGGAGAAATATATTTAGGGCAGGTTACAGGGGACAAAGTAAGGGAAAAAGGCCAGAGGGTAAAAGGCTGATTATGACTTTTACTTTTTTATAACAGGTCCTAGTCATTTCGTAAGGTGCAGTAGTAGATTTTCTTCTGGCTACCCCCATGGCCCTTAGATCACTCAAACAGCATCGTGCAGTGCCCCAGTTGTAGTGTAGCATTCTGGCTGTAGTACAGAGTGATGATGTCTCTTGTTCAGAATACGACATGCAGGGCTGCCAAAACACTCTCACATAATGATGCTAAAGATGACCGTGAGGCCTTCCCAACTGGGCAGGGGCACTCACACGGACAGAATAGGGAGTGTCAGATCTTTTTTAACATGCCTGATACTGTGTCTTCTGACTGAACAGCTCTTCTGGGTTAGCAGGCATTGACAGCCATGTAGGGAAAAGTCTACAGCCTAAGGTTCTGGTGGATACAACTCAACTATACAAAGCAGGTTTTCCTAAAATGTGGCCAACAGCCTTAAGAGTTGCCCTATAGTGAAGAAACTTTTTAAAGACAATGTCCCAGTCTATTTAACTACAGGCTCCTTCTTCTGAAGTATATCCACTGAGTATGTTTTACCCAATGCCAACATAAAGAAAAGACTTGTGCTTAACTGAAATCTTCCATCTGCCCAGAAGGGCTTCCTTGATACTCTACAAGATTCCCACCCAAAGAGACGAAGGCACAAAAGAGGTCCTGTTATGAACTCAGGAAATGGTCACGCTTGAGAATCACAGAGGTCACCATATAGAAGTAGGAGGTGGAGGCTAGAATAGAACAGGACAGGCCCAGGCATCAGGCACAACTAAACAAGCTGATGATTTCTGCTTATCAAGCTCCCAAGACAGGAGATTTACTGAGGACTAATGAGTGTCAATAGCACCATGAGCTGTAGGGACACAGAAATCAGGCTGACATCTCTCTCCTCAGTCCAGGGCCACAAAGCACTGACAAAGGTTCAGGAAGTGGGCATCAGAGAGGTTTACAAAACTGGTGGTATGACCCAAGAAAACAAAATAAATCACGGAGTGAGAGTGAGAGACACCGGCAGGCTGAAGCAAGGCACTGTGTGGTACCAATATTCTAAAGATGAATTAGGGCAAAGCCCATCCCTCCACGTTCTCCCAATCAGCTCCCTATGGACCAATGACGATGATGACGACGGTGATAGTGGCGATGATACTCTCAGCTATTGTTTAGTTTTGGCAAATGTGTGAGGCTGCGATGGAAGGACTTCATCTCTGTCTGGTCCAGGACTGTGAATTACAATTATCTGAACACCTAGAATGTTCTGTAAATACACAGTTAAAATAAAAATTTATAATGGCAGGGACCAAATAGTGTTCAGCTTTGTATCTGCCTGAGATGCATACTCCATGTCTGGTTTACAGTAGCTATTTCATAAACGTTGACTGAATACTAAAGAAGGTAAAGGAGAAGCTGTCTATCTCACATGACAGACCAGAAGGCAGTGACTCTTCTATTTTGTGCCTACTCCACAGACTGTATTAAGGTGATATGTATATAGTAGGTACTTAGTCAAAAATAGTTGATAGTGTCAAAATTCCAAGAAACAGTAAGTCATTTGTATCAGATGGGATCCAAACAGGAAACAGATGGCACATCCAAATTAGCATAACTTGTAGAAATTTATCTGAAAGCAACTATTTGCAAAGATATGCACATGGTATCGGGGTACTAAAAGGGATACTGCTCTAATTTGGCAACAGTAACGGCAGAACTGTTACCACTCCTGGAGGAAAAGAGATGAGAAGGATTGATTACAGGAACCCCAAAGGAGAAAGTCTTATAGGGAAGAACCATGACCTTAGGTCGAGGGGCACGGGCAGCCCAAGGCAACCCCACAAGGAGGGAGCAGGAGAATAATGAGCCTGACCTCACTCCTCCCCCCCGCCCCCGAGTCTCCTGCTGGGGCTTTGCTACTGGCAGAAGTCAGAGGGCACAGGAGACCCTCACTGTGGTCCTCACAGACAGCCTCCCGGGTAGGGAGACTTAGGGTAGAGGAGGGTGAAAAGGTGACCAGAAGGGGTAAAAGGAAGATATCTTCAACACAGTAATCACCATCCCTGAACCAGTGATGTTTAGAAATTTTCAAGGTGCCAATTCACGATCAATCTATCCATAATCCAATGAGAAAGAATCACTTTTAAACTCTTATTCTGTATTGCTGATTAAAATCTCAGTGTTAGGACCACCTCTCTAATTTAAAAACAGGATATCATCCAGGACAAAAATCAGATCCCAATTAAGAAGAAAGTTATATTCAAATAACAGAGAAACAGTGAACCTTAATTCTACCAGGCCAAGTCGGTCAGCCCCAAATCCACCAGCTCTAGATTCCTGCATAGTTCCTACCAGGGGAACTGATCGAAGGATTAATGGTAACTGCTGCATGTAACTAAAGCTTTTATTGTGAGAGAATGTAGCAGAACTCAGATTTGGGTACTTGCCATTGGAACAGGGGAAGGAAAGGGGCTCAAAACTCCTAAAGGAAAAATTGCTACCGTGCAGTGGAACACAGAAGACAGTTGGGACTGGGAAATTTGTGAATGTCAGTGGGAAAAGTTCTTAACTTTGAAGTCTGCTACTTTTACTAAGAATGTAGAAAGGAAAACATTATCAATCACATGACAGAAAATAACACAATGGAATAATGGAAAGTAGAATCTAAGAAGATTCCTAGAGTGGTCTGAGAAATAAAAAAGATAAAACATATCACCATCTTTTAATTTTGGTGAGTCTGTGCCCTATAACCTACTGATATTTATCAGCAAAGAGCAGCAAGGGAAAGAAAAAGATCTTTCTGTTTTCTTCTCCCTTCTCCCTTAAGCATAGGCATATGCCCAATTTATTATGCTTCATTTGTAAAGATTTAGTCACAAAAGAAATAGTAAGTTGTCATTATCTACATGTTCATTAATTCCTGGAAAATCATTATATATTCAGAAGCTTTGCAGTTAAATGAACTGCTGTTTACCACACTGAGTCTGCAATTTGATGTTTTCTTTCTTAAGAGAGATGTATGCATGGCTACTGCCTGTTCAGTGCAAGCTGTTCTCATTGTAATGAGTACTTACCACGATTTCAGACTCTTATCTGCAAGGAGTACACTTCGTACTGTTGTTCAAGCACATAACACATCAAGTTGCAAAGAAAAGTATGCAGAACTGATAAATGATGACCAGTTTATATACACAGGCATTACAAGAGAAAAAGCTATGATTGCTAGTCTCTTTTCCTTGCCACAAATTGATTGAATAACCAGAAGAGAAGGTTCATTCCCTTGCCCATAGACCACTTAATTATCATGAAAAATTGGCAGGAATATCCTCCCTAAAATACAACCTATACTTACCTTTAGTGATTCAGCAGTTTATATGCCTCATGGGCCTCAATATTCTCATTCACTAATTCAACCATAAACATGTATTGAACACCTACTGTACATACCAGGCAATGTTACAAGCACTGGGGATACCTCAGTGAACAAGACAGACAAGGTCCCCACCCTCATGGTGCATAATTCTAGTGGGGATGGCGAATTACAATAAACAGGTACCTAAATCAATGAGAATTTTAGATAGTGATGTTTGCTAGGAATACAATAAAATAAGGTAATGGGATAAAAATTAACACAGGAGGGAGGAATATAATTTAGATGAGATGTTCAGGGAAGGCCTCTCTGAGGAGTTGACATCTTAGGAAAGACTTGAACAACAGGAAGAAGTCAGCCATGTGAAGATCTGGGGAAAGAGTATTCCAGGACAAAGATCAGCTAAGATAAAAGCCCCTAGCTGGGAATGAGCTGGGCAGGCTTGGGGAATAGTCAGAAGGCCAGTAAGTGAAAGGAAAGTGATAGGAGATAAGACAGTAAAGGTAGCTAGATACCAGACCAGCAGGGTCTCACAGGGCAAAGAATTTAGATTTTGTTCCAAGAGTGATGGGAAGTTGCCATAGGGTTTTCAGCTGGAGAGGATCTGACTTCTGCTTTAAAAGAATCATTCTGGCTTTGCATGAAGAATAGACTGCAGGGGAGAGAAGGCCATTGTAGTCAGTCAAGTAACAGGTAATGATGGCTGGAACTACAATGAGAATATGAACATGGGAAGAAGCGTACAGGCTGGGAACCCATTCTGGAGATAGGCTTACTAGCAGATTGAATGAAGGATCTGTTTAGAGAAAGAAAAAATAAAAAGAGCAGGTAGATATTGTCAATAACTGAAAGGGGGTTGAAATGGAGACAAGCAAGAATGAGGTAGATAGAACAGTTATGTAAGGGAATCAAACAGGTACGTAAATCAATAAGAACTTTACATAGTGATCTTTGCTAGGAATAAAATAAAATAAGGTAATGGGATAAAGATTAACATAGGGGCCGGGTACAGTGGGTCACATCTGTAATCCCAGCACTTTGAGAGGCCAAGGCAGGTGGATCACGAGGTCAAGAGATCGAGACCATCCTGGCCAACATGGTGAAACCCCGTCTCTACTAAAAATACAGAAATTATCTGGGCATGGTGGTGGGCACCTGTAGTCCCAGCTACTCGGGAGGCTGAGGCAGGAGAATCGCTTGAACCCAGGAGGAAGTTACAGTGAGCCAAGACCGTGCCACTGCACTCCAGCCTGGCAACAGAGCGACACTCTGTCTGGAAAAAAAAAAAAAAGATTAACACAGGAGGGAGGGGTATATAATTTAGATGAGATGTTCAGGAAAGGCCTCTCTGATAGTTGACATTGTAGGGAAGACTTGAACAACAGGAAGAAGTCAGCCATGTGAAGATCTGGGGAAAGAGCATTCCAGGACAAAGATCAGCTAAGATAACAGCCCCTAGGTGGGAATGAGCATTTTCCATTCCCATTCCCCCTCTCCTCTCAGTTATTGACAATACCAAGCTGCTCAGGCTATAAAAACCTAGGGGTTATTTTTTATTTTTTCTTTCTCTAAACAGATCCTCCATTCAATCTGCTAGTAAGGCTATCTCCAGAATAGGTTCCCAATCTGTCTGCTTCTTCCCATTTTGTACATCTTACATGTCAGATACCTATTTGTATCCAAATGGAGATATAGACTGGACAGCTGTATGCATAAATCTGGGGTTCTAGGGAAAGGTCACACGTACTTTTTTTTTTAAATAATCCAAATGAAAAATAGTAAAAACATACACTTGAGAAAGGTGGGGACTGTGTCTTTAAATGTCCTCTATAGGCTGTTGTGCCTCACATAGTGAAGTGCTGAAAAAACACAGAATGATGTGAAGTAGCAATCATAAAAACAAAAACTTAAATATCATCTTTTGTTTGCTCAATGCTCTTGCCAACTTTGTTCAATTATTCCCCTACCAAAGACTGTATGACTGACAATAACTTATATCAGAGAATGACCACAATCAGGAAATAATAATAATAATAATAATAATAATAATATGGGCTTAACTAGTGAAGATTTGAAAGTAAGTCAAGGCAGTACTCTACTGATTCACAACCAGACGCATTGCTCTGATAGTTTAAGCCTGACACATAGGTCACACCCAGATGATATCTAAGAAGAGGCATGACAATTGCAGGAAAGGTTTATCAGTACTGCTACATCAAAAGAGTAAATTCTATGGGGGGGCAACTGACTAAAAGGTGTTAAGAATGCATTAATGCTTTTTGCTATTTTGGTTGTAGATCAACAAAATTTCACAGAAATGTGAACATCTCTTGACTAGGCTGTTCCCCAACACAGTGTCAGCTTCTGATTGACCCTCGTTTACTTTACTGCATAATCCAGGGAAGTAAACAAAAAGCATTTCAACTCTCATAAGACGAACTCTCAAGTCCCAATAAGTATGACCTTATATTATACAATTAAAAATATTCAATTAAAGGTTCAAATGAAAAAGCAAACGTGTTAAATTTAATAGACATGCAAATATCAAGAATTTTTCATTGGGCTGACTTCTTTACAGTAAGGTTACTCACGAAATCCCTTTGTAAGGACAATAGGGCCGGAAGTGGCAAAGTCATAATCAGTGAATGACCTTAGATCTTTTTGAAGTGCAAAGAAGCAAAGTAACAGCCTACAGGGTAAAACTAACATCACACCTTTGAATCAGTAAGTGAAGAGTGAAAACCATTAACAGCTAACCAATTCTTTAGTGACAATTTCAAAATCAATTATAAAGTCTCCGGAAAAATGTTATATTTATGCTTAATAGTTTAGTTCTCCCAAACATTTATTTCCAATATATTTCAGAATTTTTTTAAAAAACAAAAGAACAAGAATTTTTCCATTTGGGAACTTTTCTCCCCCTATTTTTTGTTTAATTCTAAGAGATTAGTTGGTGATTTCTGTGCAAGTCTAACAGATGACAGTAACTGCACCCAGAGGGTGAAAATACAGTGCATAAAAACTTCAAGTTCACCTTAAAGGTATCCATGTGAAAACCTAGACTTCAAGAACACATTGCATTCAAAAGGCTTGCCAATGTAGAGTGAAAGTAATGCTAAATAAACATAGGGCTGGGCATGGTGGCTCCCAGCACTTTGGGAGACAGAGGTAGGCAGATCATCCGAGGTCAGGATTTCGAGACCAGCCTGGCCAACATGGTGAAACCCTGTCTCTGCTAAATACAGAAAAATTAGGCCGGGCACAGTGGTTCATGCCTGTAATCCCAGCACTTTCAGGGGCGGAGGCGGGTGGATCACGAGGTCAGGAGATCAAGACCATCCTGGCTAACATGGTGAAACCCCGTCTCTACTAAAAATACAAAAAATTAGTCAGGCATGGTGGCACATGACTGTAGTCCCAGCTACTCGTGAGGCTGAGGCAGGAGAATTGCTTGAACCTGGGAGGGGGAGGTTGCAGTGAGCCGAGATCACGCCACTGCACTCCAACCTGGGCGACAGAGCAAGACTCCGTCTCAAAACAAACAAACAAACAAACATTATGGAAGGCCATTGTTTGGAATGAACTCCTGCACTAAGCTCCAACAGACCAGACCAAACCAAAATGAAGTCACTCATGTTAAATGTCACATCATCAAACTGAGGCTTTAAGGAAGCCGCTATGTCCCAGTGTGCCTGAGGCAGTACAGTAAGGAAGTCCTTCTGCTTTAACCCTTACAAAACAGTAACCTGAAATAATCTGATATTAACCAATCAGCTTTCCCTCTCTATTGTTCTATTTTTTTTCCACCTTACAAAACCCACTATTCTGCCATTGCCTAGTAGGAGCTCTCATTCTATTTTGTAGAATGGAGGCTGTCCTCTTTCATGAATTGCAAATAAAAGCCAATTAGATATAAAACTAAATTTGTTGTAATTTTGTCTTTTGACAGTAATAATTAAAATCCTCTGAATGTGGAACCCCCACCTCCTCCAAAAAAGCATACTACTACTTACTATTCATTCCCAAGGCACTCTTTGGGTAACAAGGTGTCTTTCTTTGAATCTTCCACCCTCCATCCCAGAAAAAGTTGCATACCTTAGATCTTAGTTGGCTTTTCCTTAGTTTCAACATATTTATAGCCATACATGGGAGGGGAGGAGGAGAAGAAGAAACAAAACAGAGAAGGAAGAAAGTAAAAGGCTATCAATGTTCATTTCAACATACCAGAGTTAAAATGTGGTAAATGCTGTCAAAAGTATGTCTACCAGGGTATCTATGTTCTCAGCCTCTCTTCCTGAGTTTCCTCCTTTTTCTCCCTTAGTCCATTCTTCCTCCCTTAAGCAACCTCCTTCCAATTCCTCGTGCCAGCAATGGCCAGATCATGCAAACGCAGGCCAAAAATTAAGTTATGAATATGCTTCAATGGCCTGTACCATATTAGAACTGGCCATTTTTAAAGTTTGCTAATTGGTTTGAGCTGAGCTGAATAAATATTCAAGATTAGTGATTCTTATTCAATAAATCTGAAAAAAAGTTCGTTTGTTTTATCTCATCAAATATCATAACCAGCTATAAAAGACTGATGAGGATTTATCTAAGACCATGTAATTAAATTATATCCCATGAGCTATTTCTAGAGTTTCCTTAGGAAAGATGGCCATAAGAAACCTAACTAATATTTAAATTCTACCACTTCTAGGCTTTCTCCCAAAATTTCCCTAGCATCTGGGGTTCTAGAACATGAAAAGAGTCCAGATATCTCAAATGCTTTCCATTTATTGACCTAAATTTCTTTGTGAGCACAGTATTCATGAATATCATTTGCTAAAAGGGGTAACTGGGAAGGGGTAACTGGGCTCCATGAAAGCCTCTCAGAGAAATCTGGTAGGAACTAAAATGTTCTGTGTCAAAAGACAGCCTCTGGGAGGAAAAGTTTGGCTAGCTTCCCTTCCAAGATACCAGCACCTCAAGGAAAGCCAAGGATGGCCTCCTCCTGTTAAGTTTTACAAAGCAAACAAAATAACCTGTTGTCAGCTTCACTCTAACAATGCACATAGATAAGGAGGCTCAAAATCCCTTTAAGAAGCCATGAAATAAATGGCAAATTATCTCAGTCAGTTACATTAAATGCTTCTAAGACAACATGCAGGAATATTTACATTCTCTTTTCCGAATAGCATCCTGCCAGATATCAAACACTCTCAAATGCCAGTAGCACAGAAAGCATCATGCTACTGAATTAAACACAGGCTCTACCTCAGAGATAAACATCACAGACATCAAGAAAACACAGGAAAGACTCAAACTTCCTTTAGGCACATGTGAGGCATGACTAGATCTTGAGTAAGTCTTACAATGCCTCCCTGAAAGTAAGCTAGGGAATAATTTTCTAAGAGCAAGATCCTAGATAATGTGATCTTGTTCAAATAGGCAGCCTCCCTCCCCCCACCACCCCTCACACACGGATGGTGTGTGTGTCCTGTTGGGGAAGAAGGGGTGAGGAGGGAGTGTTTCAAGAAAAGATGATGAAAAAGGAAAGAAAATAGGATAACAGCAAGAACACAGCAGTGGAAGAAGTCCTCCATACTAGTATAAAACCTGCCACCCAGATGGACAGACTAGGTGAAAATATGTTCCATTCTTTCTGCTTATGTTGGGTTGATTTTATAGATTAAAACAACGTAATTACATCAAAGCATCTCTGCAAAGATAAAATCTGGGGCGTTTTCAAAAGAGAATGTTTAGAGAGGGGGATGGGAAAGGGAAGAGGTAACAGAAGTTAGAGCAGGATAAGAGAGTCACAAAACTGGCTTTGGAGCAAAAGAAAATAGAAGCATAAAACATTTAAGAGTGTTTCTATTTGTATAATTTCTTCCTAAATCAATGAAAACATTGGCTTATGATGGATTTACACCACAGTGAAACTCCTGACAACTTCAAAATCAACTTCATGTTTGGGTTCCATTCTTTCAGGTGATGAATAGTGGGAAATCCGTGAAGGAATGTCACTTGAAGTCAGCCATTTATCATGAACCAAAATGGCTAAGTACCCCATAAACTGCAATGATCCATTTCCTATTAGCATCACACAACAGAAGGCAACCTCATCTGCATTAACAATTTTTATGACCTCCGTAGGCAGAAAAGCTAATGTTAGGAAATGGCTTATTTCTGTTCTCTTATAAATGTTATTATACCATAAAGAATTCTTTAAGGATATAAACTACTGATCGATGCATTAAGGAATTCTTTAAAAAGATTTTCTCCAGGTTTAGATTTTTTTTTAAAGCGTTGATTTAATTTCAGTAAAGTAGTTTCATTCTTTCTGGTCAAGCTCTAGCTGGTATTCTATATGTAATATACATTTATTTTATCATAATGTCTAATATCATAACAGACTACAATTAAAATATTTTCCCCTTCAAAATTTAGGTGACACTGACAATTTTCAGTAGTCCCAAGTTTCAAAATATATCTGCCTTTTGAATTTGGCAAATAACTAGGTTTCAGAATTCCAAGAAAGGGCGTGAAAATAGCATGTCAAGATTTGAAACTAAGTGAAATTGTTAAAGCATTTAAGTTCAATACACTGCCCATAAAATACAATCTAACGGTTTAAACATCTTAGTGGGTCACATCCAGATGGCTAGTGACACTCTTGATGACAAACACAGCCAGGGATTACCTTCCTACGACAAATGGTATCACTTCCGAACAGAGGGGAAAGAAAGAAAGAAAGAAAAAAAAAAAAAGAAACCCAAATGGTAGGAGGAGAAAAGCAACTAAGGAAAATGAGTACCATATAAAAAGGTGAGGAAAACAGGGATATTTACTAAGAGTCTATATATTTATAATTTTTAAAAAACTTGTTTTGAAATGAGTCATTGAAAGCACAAAAAGATCCGAATATTTTCTGGCTTAATTTTAAACCATGTAGCTTAAAATGAATACTGGATATTTACTGTATTTTTGAAGATTTTTTTTTTTTTTTTTTCGAGACTGAGTCTTGCTCTATCACCCAGGCTGGAGTGCAGTAGGCACAATCTAGGCTCACTGCAACCTCCGCCTCCAGGGTTCAAGTGATTCTCCTGCCTCAGCCTCCCGAGTAGCTGGGATTACAGGCACCTGCCACCATGCCTGGCTAATTTTTGTATTTTTAGTAGAGACAGGATTTCACCATGTTGGCCAGGCTGGTCTCGAACTCCTGACCTCACGTGATCTGCCCGTCTCAGCCTCCCAAAGTGCTGGGATTACAGGCGTAAGGCACCAGGCCCAGCCTTTTGAAGATTCTTTAGCCTTTCCTTCCTACACCCTCAATTCCTCCTCAACCCCCTCCCCAGAGACAGGGTCTCGCTTGGTTGCTCAGGCTGGGGTACAGTGGCATGATCACAGCTCATATGCAGCCTCAACCTCCCAGACTCCAGTGATCCCCCTACCTCAGCCTCCCAAGTAGCTGGGACTACAGGCATGCGCCACCATACCCAGCTAATTTTTACATTTTGCATAGAGACGAGGTCTCACTATGTTGCCTAAGCTGGTCTCAAACTCCTGGGCTCAAGCGATTCTCCTGCCTCAGCCTTCATTTTTTTCATTGGAAATATTACAAACTTGAAAAACACAAATGTATATGGCAAAGTATTTTTAATTGGTTACATTCAGTCAGGAGCACCCTTGAAAATAGCTATTTTATAAAGTCACAAATCCCCCAAGGAAATGACTCATCTTAGAAAATCATCATTATTTGTACATACTTAGCAAAAAGCCCTAAGAAGACAACGAAGAATAAGATATGGTCCACGTCCTCAAGGTGCTTACCATGTATTTTTGGAGATAAGATATAATCATAAATCAGAAAAATGAAATAAACTCTAAGTGAGTTATTAGAAAATAAGTAGATACCACAGTTACTTTTCAAATATCGAAACTAAAAAAATACTTGTTGAACTAGTAAAGAGAATTTTAGGAAGTGAGAGAGACAAAGAGAGAAAGAGAGAAAAGGAGAACAAGAAATAGAGCCTGAGACTGAGAGTGAATGTGGACGCACAGTGAACTGGGGTAACTAGGGAAGAATTCCCAGAAGAGGTACAATTCTAGCTTGGCCCTGAAGAATAAATCAGTTTGACATACCAATAATTTCAACATTTATTTCCAAATAAAACAATCTCCTGTAATGTGTGGGTTCCCTTTTGAGGGCTGTCCCTACTGGAGTATATAGTCCTGATTCCACAAAAGCAAGCCTTTCATACTTGGACTTTTAACCTCCCCATTTCCTAAAACTCCTCCTCACTGCCCAGTCACCAAATGATGGCCATCATTGTTTTCCTTTCTCCTTTGAAATCCACTAATAACCCTCAAGTCAGATGATCCCACCCACCAAGAACTAGGGGGTCATGCAGAGTGAGTGCTGAATGTTTATGACCTTATTTATGCCAAGCAGATTTTAATCATCAGAATTCTCCCTACCCTTAGAGATAATGCCACACAAGCATAAACCAAAACAAAAACAAAGTTAAAAGGTGTCTTCAGAAAGGCATAAGGGAATCTGTTGAAATTCCTTCCAAGCTTTGCTCTGAAGACTTGGGAATGGTATATAAGTGCTATCCCGATTCTTAAGCATGACCATGCTCCTTAGTTGTGGCTTCTCTCACCTTGTGTGTGAATTATTGCAACTTTCTCCTAACATGCCTCCCAGACCCCAGATCACCCCCAACACAGTCCATTCTATATGTCTCTGTCAAGACCTTCTTCCATCACAACATGACACACATAACATCCTTTGATCACAAATCTTCAGGGGATCCCCACTCCTGACAGGTGCTCTGTGGCTGGTGCTCCCCTGCCCTTTTCCCTCAAGGCGCCCAAAGAACTTGCAATATCCGAGGAGCACAAAGAGATAACCAGAGGAGACTTCTTGCCGACAAGAAGTACAAGCATTCCTAATGGCTTGAGGGGACAGTATTATCACTGCACACCTGTAATTCATGCCCAGCCCAGTATAAGGGCTGGGAAACCTGGTTAGGTAATCAGGCCCTCTGCAACCATATTTCTCATCTTTTCTCTACAGCAGTGCTTCTCAAACTTTAATGTGTATAGGGGTTACCTGGGATCTTGTGAAAATGCAAATTCTGTTTCCCTGGGTCTGGGAATGGGGCCTGACATTTTGCATTTCTAAAAAGCTTCCAGGTGGGGCGGCTCTGCTGGTCAGAGAACCACATTCTACGTAAAGAGACTCTAGCAATGGTCCCTCACCTCGGCTGTACACTAAAATCATGTGTAAAACTCAAAAATCCTGATGCTCAAGCTATACCTTAGATCAATTAAAGCAGAATGATGGCTCATGCCTGTAATCCTAGCACTCTGGGAGGCCGAGGAGGGTGGCTCACTTGAGGTCAGGAGTTCGAGACCAGCCTAGCCAATACGGTGAAACCCCGTCTCTACTAAAAATATAAAAATTAGCCAGGGGTGGTGGCATGTGCCTATAGTCCCAGATAATCAGGAGGCTGAGGCAGGAGAACTGCTTGAACCCATGAGGTGCAGGTTGCAATGAGCTGAGATCACGCCACTGCACTCCAGCCTGGGCAACCAAGTGAGACTCTGTCTCAAAAAAAAAAAAACAAAAAACAAAGAAAAGCTGAATGATTGGGGTGCTGTTGTATTTTTTTCATTTATGTGTATGTACTGGTGATTTTTTAAAAATAATTTCCACTTTTATCTTAGATTCAAGGGGTATATGGGTAAACTGAGTGATGCTGAGGTTTGGAGTATGGATGATCCCATCACCCAGGAACTGAAAGTAGTACCCAATAAGTAGTTTCTCAACCCTTGCCACCCTCTCTCCATCCCCTCCAGTAGTCCCCAGTGTCTACTGTTCCATCTTTATGTCTGTGTGTACCCAGTGTCCACCTCCCATTTATAAATGAGAACATGTGATATTTGTTTTTCTGTTCTTACATTAATTCACTTAGGATAGTGGCCTCTGGCTGTATGCATGTTGCTGCAAAGGACATAACTTCATGCTTTTTTATGGCTGTGTAGTATTCCATGGTGTATATGTACCACATTTTCTTTATCCAATCCACTGCTGATTGGCAGACACCTAGGCTGATTCCATGTCTTTGCTATTGTGAATAGTGCTGCAACGAATATGTGAGGGCATGTGTCTTTTTGTATAATGAGCTATATTCCTTTGGGTATACACTCAGTAATGGGATTCCTAGGTCAAATTGTAGTTCTATTTTAAGTTCTTTGAGATATCTCCAAACTGCTTTCCATAGTGGCTGAATTAATTTACACTCCCACTAACAGTGTGTAAGTGTTCCTTTGCTCTGCAGCCTCACCAGCATCCATTGTTTTTTGACTTTTTAGTAATAGAGAAGTGTTGTTAAAGCTCCGCAGGTGATTTTCATGTGCAGCCAAAGTTGAATTTTCTACTTCAGTCAAACCATTCTACTCTTTCCCTCTACCCTGTGCCTTTGTCCCTACCTGTGTTCCACATATAGCCTGACCTTTCTCTCCTCAGGTAAGTCCTGCCCTCCTTGAAAGACCTCCAGGAGGACTTGCCTGCTTCTGTCCTCTCATCCTGCATTAGCAGTGGAGGGCGCTCCTTGAAGCAGGTGTTGTTTATTATACTCCTGCATATGCTCAAGGCCTGGCAGGTACAAATGTTAGATGAATCTTACTATGACTCTGTCATGGATTTTTAGGGAAATTCAGCAAATAACATTAAGTGAGTTCTTCCGCATCTGAAAAGAAAAAACAAAACAAAAAAGTCCTCACAAAGCACACTTTCCAGCCAGAAGGGACATTTTCAGGACTTGACCCTGCCTGCCGTACAGGTGCAGATATCCAGTTCCTCTTCACTAAGAAAAGCAAAGCCTCTGTCCAGTCACTAAGATTTGCTCTTAGGAAGAGTAAAAAGAAAAAAAAGAAGTCAGAGGTTAGGGTCATGACCTTTAGGTTAAGATGTGGAGAGGCTTGAATAACAAGCCGTTCCTCACCATGAGGAAGCAAGGTTCTCTGACCTGATGGTCACAGGAGCCCATTCAAATTTGGGAATGAATGGACTGGGTCCTCCAATTTAACTGACGAATTCCCTAACCACCCCATTTTAGGATATAAAAGGCTCCTAGTGCCATAACTATACAGAAAAAGAAGAGACATTTTTAGTAATTTCCAAAATCTGAGTTCATGAAATTCTTTGTTAATGGGATAGACTCATCTTATAATACCTATCTCTTAGCCAGAAAATATTTTAAATATGAAATTAGAGACAAAAAACTAATAGAAGATGTCTAATGGCCAGAAATGAATCATGGGACACATACCAAGGGAAATTCATCACAATGCCAAACTGAGAAAAATTTAAATTGAAAGACATATTGTGAAGAGATTGATCTCTAAGTCAAACAGGCCTGGATTCAAATCCTGACTCTCCAGTCCTTGTGTCTTCCCTGGCAAATTTCTTTAACTTTCTAGGCCTCAATTTTCTCTCTGTGAAATGAGAATGCTAATGACTATTGTAAATGACAAATATGGCAGTTCTTCTAACAATGTATACCATAAAATAAATGCTGTGTTAAAATTGTTTTTAATCTTTACCCTTTACCATAAAAGCCATTTTTGTCATTATTATATTATATATAACTATTATATTATATACAACATTATTATATTATAATAACCACTAAACAATTGACCCTACCAAGCCACATGGCTTTTCTGGAACTTGCATACATGTTCCTAATGCCTCAAGGATTCTGCAAATCTGCCTGAAATGAACCTCCTCCACTCCCTCCCCACCCTTTGTATTATTATTATTATTTTGTTTTCAAAGTCTCACTTCCATGTTATCTCCTCTCTGCTGGGCGTTTTTCTTGTCACTTCCACCACCAGAAGCATCTCTTGAGCTTCTAGGGCATTTTATAGGGACCTGTATTGGAGGATACATCACACCCTGAATTGTGATTACCTGTTTTTCTATCATTTGACTGTGAATTTCTAGAGCTGTGCTATCTAATGATAGCCACTAGCCTCACATGCCACTATGAATATTTAAATTAATTGAAAATAAATAAAAGTTAAAGTTCAGTTCTTCAGTCACATGAGCCACATTTCAACTTCTCAAAAGCCACATGTGGCTGTGACTACCATACTGGACCATGCAGAATAGGACATTTCCATTGTCACAGAAAGTTCTGTGTGCAGTGGCTCATGCCTGCAATCCCAGCACTTTGGAAGGCTGAGGTGGGCAGATCACTTGAGGCCAGGAGTTCAAGACCAGCCTAGCCAACATGGCAAAACCCAATTTCTACACAAAAAATACAAAAATTAGCCAGGCATGGTGGCACACACCCATAATCCCAGCTGCTCGGGAGGCTGAGGTATGAGTATCACTCGAACCCGGGAGACAGAAGTTGCAGTGAGCCGGGATCACTCCACTGCACTCCAGCCTGGGTAAGAGAGCAAGACTCTCTCTCAAAAAAGAAAAAAAGAAAGAAAGTTCTGTTGAACAGCACTATTATAATCTAATGGATAGGGACCATGTCTTATTCATTCCTAGAGCCTAGCTCTAACTATAGTGACTTTGTAAATGAGTGACTATATTGGCAAACAGGCATATTTACACATACTGTTTTGGCTGAATAAAAAGGGATTAATTATTAGTATCTAAACCCATAAGAGAAAATATACACAATATATACAAAATACCTAGCACGAAGGTCATCACATAGCAGGCAATAAATGGTGCTTAATTAATTAGTTGGTTAAGAAGTCCAACTCCTTGCCTTCTTCTGGTAATTCATAATTCATATTGTACCAGAAGACCATTAAATAATTTTTTTAAATCAGGTAACACTTCATTACATAAAATAAAATGATTGTTCCCATTAAAGAGATTTTATGTCAAGGGTTACCACCTTCAATGGGTGAATGGTCAGTTCTGTTTAGTAGTTTGGCTGTATTTTATTTGCCTCACCTTGCCAAGTCTACTTGCTCCTTAATCGTAGAACCAGAGTGTATCCCTCTCATGTGAGAGGGTGCAAATCAGTTCTGCAGTCTCTTACATGCACAGACAAGGCCAGTGGCATAGCCAACAGAAAATATTTCTGCCAAGGCCATACCAGAGCTGCAAAATCACTCATTTTGTGATTACTGCTTTCTTGCCAATGACTTCCCCAGCCCCTCTTTGTTCCTTCTCCATCCTGAACAGAGATTGTTAAGATATCCAGTTACTAAACTGCCCCTGCTTCGTGATGCCACCCAATCCAATGTTGATCCTCTCTTCCTGGTCCTTCTTTAGAATCATTCAACATAAATCTAAACCTTACAAAAAGACCTTTATGCCTCTGAGATGCCCACAGTTCCCCTGCTGTGCTCTCTTCCTTGCTTCTCCAAGTTAAAAAACCTAACTACAACTACAGTAGCATTCCTGAAGTCTTTCCCAGTGACCAAACTTCAGAACCTAGTCTACGATGGCATTCATTTCACTCCATAAAATTTCCCATAGCAGGAAGTAACAAAATGTCTTTTGCTCATCTGATTTTTGATCAAGAGCTGCATTTCTCAATTCAGCCTTGAAAAGAGGTGAAGTACTGATACATGCTTACATGGACGGACCTTGAAAACATCAGGCTAAGTGAAAGACGCCAGACACAAAGGGCGACACATGATATAATTCCAATGAAACATTCAGAATAGGTGAACCCACAAACACAGAAAATATTAGAGGTTGCCAAAGACTGAGGGAGGCAGGAGTGAGAAGCGATAGCTAACGAGTACGGGGTTTCTTTTGGGGGTGATGAAAATGTCCTGGAATTAGATAGTGGTAATGGTTGTACAACCCTCTGAATATACAAATAACACCAAACAGTATACTTTAAAAGGCTGTTTTTTATGGTACGTGAATTATGTCTCAATTTTTAAAAAGAACCAAATTTCTGCCTTTGACTTAGAGTACAGTTTTTTGGTACAAGCATCAAAGCCAGCTTTATCCTCCTAACACAGCACCAGACAGTGCATCAAGGAAGATCAGCCTCTTAAAGCATCTCATTAAGCTATGCTGGACAGTTACTTATTGATGCCAGTAGCACCTAACAAGGCTTCCCATGTAAATCCTTCTACCTTGTCTTCATCCCTAATTTGTTTCCCCTCATTCTGGTACTTCGATTTTTTACAGAACTCATCAGTTCTGTATCTTTTGAAATTTTACTATAAAACTGCCCCAGCAGATAATTTAACTCTTCAAATGTTGTTCTATACTTAAAACCAAGGTAGAAATATTGCTTCCCTAGTCCACTGAAAATAACATCCAAGCCCATCCTGTATCCTCTACAGTTCATGTTACACAAATATTCAGAGTAAACTATGTAGACCAGTAATTCTTTACAGTGGTTTTTGTTATTCTTAACAAATCTTTCAGCCTTTTGGTGTCATTATGTAGAGATCCCTGCACGTACGGCCAGGGGCGTTTTCATGGTTCCACGCGTGAGCCACCATGCCCAGCCTCCATTTCTCTTTAAGGTTTTAGTCCCCAATGAGCTGCATGAGTTCAACCTTATAAGGAAGTCTTGGGGAACCACCTTCTTCACAATATTGTGGAAGGTTGCCACTGATTCATGATTTCAGTATGCTTTTTAATACACAGCCATTGTGTTCACAGTATTTTCAAATAACATGGGCTCTTCACTTCCTCCCTCTTTTAATAGTATAAAGGAATAAAAAAGGATAAACATGACACAGGCTGCCTCTTTGTTCATTCAGCCAACCAAGTACTGCACTAGGTATTGAGAATACAAAGGAGAAAAGGCACTTACTCTACAGTGGTGAAGCAGACACGTGAGCTCAACATGGAAATGCCCCACATGTCTCTAACATGAAGAGTGGATAGTGAGTGAAGGGTAGATAGCGAGTCAGGGAAGGCTTTAACAAAGAGGTAACCCTAGGGCTCAACTGAGCCAGGCTGTCATCAGGCAAACAGGTTTGGGGAGAGTCAGGGCGGGACAGCACTCCAGGTGAGCAAAGAAATGGTGTGTACAAAGTTGCTGAGATGTGAGAATGCTTGGGTTTCAGGAACAATGGGTCAGGTCCTCAGTATAGCTAGGGTACTGCCTGGGGGGAGTGGGAGAGGAGGTGAAACAGGGCCAGATTGTGATGTGTGATCACCTGGCTGAAGAACATGATAGAATATTGGCCTAGAAATTAATTTTTAGTTGATGACATCAGTAGAATAAATATAGAACTATGTTTAGAGAATAAACTGCTTGGCTGGACAAATATCCTATAGGACAAGCGTTGCTCATTATAAAGCATTTCAAAAGGGGAAGTCTCGTTATATAAACAACAGCTACTAATGTCAGCTCACAGGTCTGCTAAGTGTTACATGACTTGACTCGACAGTAAAGTTCACCATAAACTTGAGATGGTCTATCTTTTTTTTTTTTTTTTTTTTTGAGACAGAGTCTTGCTCTGTTGCCCAGGCTGGAGTGCAGTGGCTCCACCTCGGCTCACTGCAACCTCCACCTCCCAGGTTCAAGCGATTTCTCCTGCCTCAGCTTCCTGAGTAGCTAGGATTACAGGCACATGCCACCACACCCAGTCAACTTTTGTATTTTTTAGTAGAGACGGGCCTTCGCCATGTTGGCCAGGCTGGTCTCAAACTCCTGACCTCAGGTGATCCACCTGCCTCAGCCTCTCAAAATGCTGGGATTATAGGCATGAGCCACTGCACCTGGTGAGATAGTCTATCTTAAATGGATTTGTTTTGGGGGGAAAAACCCAAATCATGATTCAGAAAAGTGAAATGGAACCATCTGCCCAGTAGTTAAGGATTATATAAACATTTATATAAGCTGTGTTTTTAAAGGGAATTTATATTAGAGTATTGTGATTTCAAAATAAAGCAGTGATTTACATATAAAAAGATGACTCATCCATTTAATACAAAATACAGCAAGGCTGCCTGAAAATTAAAGGCTAAGAAACTTATTTCATCCTTAAAAGGAATATGGTACTACCATTAGCATGCATTGAAACCCCTCACTCTCTTGTTTTTGCTACATCTAGAGGGCGATTAAAATGATCCGTTCGGTAGTTGAATGAAGAAGTAGAATATGAAAGCAGGTGTTCTATCTACTGTTATATTTTCCACAGAAGCACTCCAAGGCCAAAGCCCACTCTACCTTTTCCATTTCCCAGAAGCCAAGTAACAGCATAGCATTTGTCAGCAATCACAGAGACAAGGCAGTAGTAAGTCACTGGTAAATCCCAGGAGTCTCATCTTTTACAGTCACTGCAGTCAGTGAGCTGCTGATTCTGAATAAAGTAGCTCTGACAGCACCCTTTTTGCATGTTCTACAAACACTATGTGTCTTGTCAACAAAAAACCCTCCATGTCCTCTTAATTCTGGAGGCAATTAGTAGCCACCAAGAATGTAGCCTGTTGTTACAGTAATGGCATATCACCATCAAAAATCACCCATGGACAAATATACAATTCTGATTTAATTGCCTAAAGCAGAAAACAATCCAGATTATCACAGTGACTGTACATTTGTCCTCCAAATAAACATGGATTGTTTCCCTTCCTATGCTAAATCAAGGGTGCAAAGTAAACTGGAATCACAAAATATACAAAATAATTATTTAAGTCAGTATCAGTAAAATGATAATTTACATTCTATTTAAATAGATACATATGTTAAGGATAAGACCAGAAAGCCTTTTTTTTGCGGGGGGGGATGGTCTCACTGTGTCTCCCAGGCTGGAGTGCAGTGGCATGATTATAGCTCACTGACTGCAGCCTCAAGCTCCTGGGCTCAAGTGATCCTCCCACCTCAGCCTCCCAAGTAGCTGGTACTTTGGGTGCTAATTAAAAAAAATGTTTTTTTGGAGAGAGGAGGTCTCTCTTACATTGCCCAGGCTGGTCTCAAACTCCCGGGCTCAAGTAATCCTCCTGCCTCAGCCTCCCAAAGCATTGAGATTACAGGCGTGAGCTACCACACCTGGCCTAAAAAGCATACTTTACAGAAGATCCTCTCTGGTAAATTTTTACCATTGTAGGTCTAGGAAACAGAAGGAAAGAGAGGTGGCTGTTAGCAGTTTCCTTTCAGTAAGTCAGAGTTCCTTGAATGTACAGAAGGGTAGCTCAGCCTCTAATGAAGAGTATGATGCACAGTCTTCATTTTCTTGTCCTCAGTCACTGGGAGGGTGATCAAGAAAGAGAAAGAAAGCATGGTAGCTGGCCAGGTGCAGTGGCTCACGCCTGTAATCCCAGCACTTTGGGAGGCCGAGGCGAGTGGATCATGAGGTCAGGAGTTACAGACCAGCCTGGCCAACATGGTGAAACCCTGTCTCTACTAAAAATACAAAAATTAGCTGGGCGTGGTGGTGGGCGCCTGTAATCCCAGCTGCTCAGGAGGCTGAGGCAGGAGAATCACTTGAAACCAGAAGGTGGAGGTTGCAGTGCACCGAAATCGCACCATTGCATTCCAACCTGGGCGACAAGAGTGAAACTCTGTCTCAAAAATAAAAAAAAAAAAAGGATGGTAGCCTTACAAGTTCTATGCCATCTATTTCAATTCCCTGCTTTTTGTAAACAGCATAACTTCCCACATACCCCCAGAATTTATCTCAAAATTAAACCTGCACAAAAGTTCTTAGACTTACATAAAAGGGAAATAGTTATTTCAAAAAATCTGTATGTATGATTGGGGACAAACTATAAAAAGAATATCCAATTAATATAAAATGGGAGCCTTTTCATTTTTATTTACTGTTGAAAGAAATAACTCTCTTGGTATTTTTTCGAACCTGCGCTTACCACTATTCATTAATTACTGGTGCTGACTGGTCAGCCCAGACAGTGGTCCTTGGTCCAAAAGCAGTAATCTGGCTACAGCCCTGCAGTGGCACAAATGTGTTCACACCAGAAATGAGGGACCAGCATAGCTCCCTCCACAGAGAGATTCACACCCATTTCCCCCAGGTGGAAGAAAGATCACAGCTCTTTTTTTTTCTGGATAATCTTCTTGTTCTGGGAAAAAAAGCTTTTGGGGCTATTTTTAGCTAACACAACCCAAAATGTCTTATGCATCATACTCCCCACTAAAAAAAAGAATGGGGGAAAAAGTAATAATATTATACTGACTTTTAATAAGTTAAAAATGATTTTTAAGCCAGGCGCTGTGGCTCACGCCTGTAATCCCAACACTATGGGAGGCTAAGGTGGGCAGATCATGAGGTCAGGAGATAGAGACCATCCTGGCCAACATGATGAAACCCCATCTCTACTAAAAATACAGAAATTAGCTGGGCATGGTGGTAGATTACAGGGTATGCCTGTAATCCCAGCTACCCGGGAGGTTGAGGCAAGAGAATCACTTGAACCCGGGAGGCGGAGGTTGCAGTGAGCCGAGATCATGCCACTGCTCTCCAGCCTGGGCAACAAGAGCGAGACTCCATCTCAAAAAAAAAAAAAAAAAAGATTTTAAACTTATTTCATGCAGATAGGTTTAAGTTAATGTTGATATTCTTTTCCTCCTCTCACAGGCTGCGAAAACCTATTAGACTCTTCCTCCACTTCCCTAGAGCAACAACTCTACCCATATGAAAAGATGGTAACTATTAACTCTCATGCTTGGTACACAAATATATTCAAGGGCAATGTTTCCCTTGTTAAAAGTAGGAGTGAGTCATAAAATACTAGGCTCCTACAGGGAACAAAAATATTGGCTATGTTTTAAATTAAAATTCATTTTTAGTAACATGTAAGAAAAATAGACAATTCTTCCGATGATCTTCTTTCGAAAGAAGATACAGATGACAGGGCTATGAATGCTTGATAAAAGACAACTGCAAATATCTGGGCCATTTATCAAGGAACATATATCTCAAATGGCAATGAACATTGCACTCCATTTTAACAAAAGACCTCTCCTACTCCCCAAGGAGTTATTATTTGACATCTACAGAGTGCCAATAGTGTGGAGTATGCAATTCTTTAGAACAATTAGTGCAAGTTCTTGGTGTAAGTCTTGGTGTGGGGAAAAAATAGCATGTATGACTAATCACATACTCTATTCTATTTCTTTTCTGTTTTTCGAAACAAACAAAAAACTCAGGCAAAAAAAAAAATTCCTATATAATTGCTCTACTAGAGGGTTAGCTCATTTTAAAAGGCATGGCACTAACAGGACTCAAAGCAGGCTAGGTGAAATACTTTATTATATTCAAGGTAGACACAGGACCTTAAAAACCTAAGCATGTAGTTCGGAGAAGCTACATGACTAGAAGTAGAGTATAAAAGGTCCCTTACAAAATGTTAAGATCTGACCAAGTGCAGTGGCTCACGCCTGTAACCCCAACACCTTGGGAGGCTGAGGTGGGAGGGTGGCTTGCATTCAGGAGTTTGAGACCAGCCTAAGCAACATGGTGAGACCCTATCTCTAAAAACAAAATCAAAATAAAATCAAAACCATAGGCCAGGTGCAGTGGCTCATGCCTGCAATCCCAGCACTTTGGGAGGCCAAGGCAGGCAGATCACTTGAGGTCACTGCACTCCAGCCTGGGTGACAAAGTGAGTGCCTGTCCCAAATGATAATAATAATAATACCACATGGGATTGTTGTGAAGATTAAGTGAGATTATATATGTAAAGTGCTGGGAACCATATTCAGCATGTAAGAGAGGCTCACTGAATACTTCTGCTGTTGCTCCATTTTTACTTCCACAGCCTCAGACTTGACCACATATTTATTTGTTTGTTTTTTGCCCAAAGTCTCATGACTTATTTTTTGAAAGGCTCATTGTGTTTCATTTTCCTCCCTATAATCAATCTTAAACATGAACATTATTTCTAGAGATGCCATTTCTATTTTATTACACCCTCCTCCTTCCTGTTAGAATCTTTTTACCCTACAGAATGAAGAATAGCTAAATTTTTGGCCTCATCTCTTGGAAGACATAATCATCTCCTGTTACCCCTGAGTATACATTCTAGTCAAAGAGATCTCCTAATCAACTTCACATACAGGTAATCCAAGCCCTGGCATAAGCTTATCAGGATAGTTCTCCCTCTAAACCACTGCTTCTGAAAGTGTGGTCCTCGGACAAGTACAGAACAGCAATTTGACAGAGTTACTTTATGCCTGTTTAATCTAATATTGAAAATGTGGGAGTTGTATGTTGTATGTCTTTTAAAATTTAATTTTTCTAGTTATTTATGTTTCTTGCATTTTATAAAATTATTGTCCTATTCCAAGTTCAAAAGAAAATAAACTGGTCTTCATCACAGACCATTTGAGAAGCACTGCTCTAACATACTACCCTGCTCTATTAAATGCTGTCTATTAAAAAGGGTGAGCTCAGGTAATCTGAACACTGAAGACCATGCTAAGCTGTAGAGAACCACCTCTACCCCACAAGCAAGTATAGTCACCTATTTACATACATGTGTTAGCTGTAATTTTTCCCACTGGAATTTTGCTAGATAACAACTTAGTATGGCATTAAATTCTATATAGGGTTAGTCCATTTGGGGCCCCTTCCAAGCACCTTTCAGGTTTTCATTCACTATTTTAATAAGATGCTTTAGATAGAAATTAATTTCAGACAAAAATATTTAAATAAGTGCTCCTATGGCATGAACCACAAAGAACATTTTGAGGAGGTTCTGGTTGATTTGTTCTAACAACAATTATATTCCCAGGGATCTTTGTACCTAGATGGACTCTCCAAGTTCTTCCTGCATTGGTCTCATTTTCCACTACTCTCCCAGATATGACCTGGCCTCCAAGAAAACCTGCATTTATTGTATTCTCAAAAATTCATGTGCTTTCAACTATGTTGACAGATGTTTGTACCATAAAACTTAGGAAAATAAGAATAATATTTGAGCTATGTGGCAAAAAGGATATTTTCCACTAAGAAAACCATAACATAGGTGTAAATCTCCATGACCTTGGATTAGGCAACGGTTTCTTAGACACAAATCACAAAATATAAGTGACAAAATAAAAAGATAAACTGAACATCATCAAAATTAAAAACTTTTGTGCTTCAAAGTATACATACATCAAGAAAATGAACAGAAAATTTTTAAAATGATAAAAATTAAAAAGTAACAAAAAAGAAGAAAAAAAGAAAATGGACAAGCCACAGAATGAAAGAAAACATTTTTAAGCCGTTTATCTGATAAAAGCCTTGTATCTAGAATATGTAAAGAATTCTTACAACTCAACAATAAAAAGGCAAATATGATCAAAAACTGGGCAAAGGATTTAAACAGGTATTTCTCCAAAAAAGACATATAAATGGCCAATAAGCAGATGAAAAGGTGCTCAATATTATTAACCATTAGAGAAATGCAAATCAAACCCACAATGGGATACTACTTCATACCCACTGGGATGGCTAAAAGAAAAAAAACAGACAGTAGCTAGTGTTGGTGAGGATATGGCGAGAGAACAAACCTCATACCTTGGCAATGGGAACATAAACTGGTACAGCCACTTTGAAAAACAGTTTGGCAGTTTCCTTAAAATGTTAAACATAGAGTTACCACATGACCCAGCAAATCCAGGACTAGGTACGTGTCCAAGAGAAATGAAAACATACATCCATACAAAAATTTGTACACGATGTTCACTGCAGCAGCAAGCACTATTTATTATAGTCCAAAAAAGTGGAAACAGCCCAAATGTCTATCAACTGATGAAGAATAAACAAAATGTGGTATAATCATGCAATGGAGTAGCATTTGGCAATAAAAAGAAATGAAGTATTAGTACATGGATGAACTCTGAAAACTATGTTCAGTAAAAGAAGCCCGTCACAAAAGCCCCCCCAATTATATAATTCCATCTGTATGAAATTTCTAGAATAGGCATATCTATAGAGACAGATACATCAGTGATTCTCTAGGACTAGGGGATTTGGGGAGTAATGAAGGTAACTGCTAATGAGTACAGGTTTCTTTTGGAGGGTGATAAAAACGTTCTAAAATTAATCGTGATCATGGTTGTGCAACTCTGTAATTATACTAAAAACCACTGCATTGTACATTTTAAGTGGGTGAGTTTTATGTGAATTATAGCTCAATAGAGCTTTTTTTTTATTTTAACAGACCATTGAATCAACTGGGGGATGAAGTAGGGGTGTGTGACAGGCTGACAGGTACAACACATACAAAGGGGGTGGCAGGGACAGAGCATTTTGTGCCCCTAACATTGGGCTTCCTGGCTGTCCAGGTACTGAAGTGGGGTGAGAAGGAGTTGCATTTGCAAAGGAGGAAGCTGGCTTTAAAAGTTTTACAACCTTTGAAAATTGTCTTTTTAAATGTTTGTGACAAGGCTTTGGTTGTCATGCCCTGGCTATAGCACAGAGGAAAGTGTAGGGAAGATTATAGGAAAACACACATTGTTCCTTAGGAACCAAGTTGATCCTGGGCTTGCCCTTACCATCTAACTTGTCCATTGAACAAGATGTTCATATCCTAAAGACAGTTAATACAGACTGCAAATAGCTAGTCATTTCAGAAGAGCAAAACTCTCAGACTCGTTGACTCCAGTGACTTGAGTACCCTGCTCATGTTAAAGGATGTTTCCTAGAGGTGTTTCCTAGATGCTGAGAACTTCCAGAGCCTTCTCCAGAATGCCCAGTCACTTCCCCACTTGGCCAAGTAGTGATCTATTAGTGCTAAATGAAAGCTTTTTAAAATTTGTTTTTGGTTTAAAAGAAAGTCTCTCAGCTTGTATCCAGTAAAGCACAGCTCCAAATCAATGATGAGATACCCCAACACAGACAATTATTTAGGATAAACAGGCATTAGAAACCTCAGGCTTCCTAACCTAAAGTGGGTTCTTCACCTCTTCATTTGGGAATTTTAAGTAAAGCAAAAGCACTGTGATGTTGCTGCTGCCTTTCAGCAAAATAATATCTAGGATTTTTTTTCCCACAGAATTCCTGCCTTTCTTCACTCTTTTGGATCAGTATATCTGATAAAATATATGTTCAGCAAAATATCAGAACCCATAATGTAGAACAATTTAACAGGTATTACCAACAAATAACTGATAGGTTCCCTATGCATGGAATTTTCTGAGGTACATTAAAATGGAATTATGTAAAAGCCAGTTTGTTTTGCTCTGAAGTCATTCATGATTAAGTTTAAGTGAAGTGGAGACTTTCTAGGAATTTATTCTAAGTAAAAAATCAAAAAAGGATGAAAAAGCTAAATGCATAAAAGTATGCATTACATCATTTTTGGCAGTAGAAATTTTGAAACAGCAAAAATGCTCATAGAAAAATAGGTAATTAACGTACAATACATGTACCTTATGAAGTACTATGCATTAGGTTGCCATTAAAAGTAATGGCAAAGGCTGGGTGCAGTGGCTCACGCCTGTAATCCCAGCACTTTGGGAGGCCAAGGCAGGAGGATCATAAGGTCAGGGGTTCGAGACCAGCCTGGCCAATATGGTGAAACCCTGCCTCTACTAAAAATACAAAAATTAGCTGCGTGTGGTGGCAGGCGCCTATAGTCCCAGCTACCTGGGAGGCTGAGGCAGGAGAATCACTTGAACCCAGGAGGCGGAGGTTGCAATGAGCCGAGATTGTGCCACTGCACTGCATCCTGGGTGACAGAGCAAGACTCCGTCTCAAAAAAAAAAAAAGTAATGGTAAAACCCACAGTTACTTTTGCAACAACCCAATAACTGTCAACAATAACTATGTAGCATATGGAAAAATGGTTAGCGTGCTGTTTTATCATCACAATTTAAATTTCATACAATAATTATAACTATGCATCAGTATGTAAGCATATAAACAAGAATGAAAAGAGGTAAGCAAAAATTTATTATGAAAGTGGATTTCATATATTTTGTAAGGTGAGGGGAAAAGAGTAGGGGAGAAATACAATGTGTTAATTAAACACCATTTATACTTTATAGATCTAAATTTAATTTGTCGACATGAAAGGTATTCACCATAATTTTTTTTTAAGAGATGGGGTCTTGCTCTGTTGCCCAGGCTGGAATGCAGTGGCTCCATCACAGCTCACTGCAGGCTTGAACTCCTGGGCTTAAGTGATCCTCCTGACAGCGTCTTGAGTAGCTGGGGCTACAGGCACATGCCACCACCCCTGGCTTCTTTTTTTTAAATTTTTCGTAAATGTGGGGTGTCACTAAGTCACTCAGGCTGGTCTCAAATTCTTAGGCTCGAGTGATCCTCCTGCCTTGGCCTCCCAAAGTGCTGGGATTACAGACATGAGCTGCTGTGCCTAGCCACACAATAAATTTTTAAGTGAACAGATATTTATAATATATATGTTATAATGATTTGAGTTTTCTTTGGCTGGTTAGTGGGAAATTTCTAAAACAACTTTATCCAGTTATAACTTACATACCATAAAACACACCCATTGTAGGTATGTATTTCAAAAGTTTTCCACAAATTTGTAGAGTTATGCAACCATTACCACAATCCAGTTTGAAGATGTCACCTCAAAAATATCCCTCATGCCTGTTTACAGCCAATTCTCAACTGCTTTCTATCTCTAATAATTGTATCTTTGAGACACACAAAAATGAAAATAAATCATGTTATGTATTCATACAGAAAAGTCAGAATGGACATGTACCAAAATTTTATGCAAGGGTCTGTTTATAGCAAATATTAATTAACATTTTGAAAAATATTTTTCTGACGTTTTTAGCCAATTAGCTTCTATTACCTATAGAGTTTTTAAACCTTCCCTTTAACAAAAAGATACATGAGTATTCCACATAAATATGGCAGATTGTACAAATGCATTTATTTTCTCTTCCTACCAAAACCCAACTAAAAGTATAGTAAAGAGGTTTTTAAAGGCATGAAATCAGAAGGACAAAAGACAGAAGTAAATGAAACAGCAACAACATTTATAAACTTGAAAGCAAATGGACAGGCAATAATTGACCTTGCAGCAATGAGAAGTTGAATCTCAACTCAGCAATGAGGGAAGCTTAGAAACAACTAGTTTTACACAATAAACCACACCACCTCCCCAAAGGCAGCACCAGGTTAGGTTCCAGGTATGGAGACAAAGGTGAGGTTATTAACAGGAGAAATTAACTGAAATTCTCTTTTACAAAGTCAGATCAATCCCCAGATACCTTCTTCACTTCCAGGCAGGCAACTATACCTTCCCTTTTCTACAGAAAGCTGGACAGCCAGAGTTGTGGGTGGGGGTGCCATTCTGCAAACAAGGGGATTAGGTGAACATTGTATATACTGAAAGCTGAGTCCACCTACCTCCAGACCTCTTTTCCAACTCAGCTCCCAGAAAGATAGTAACCAGTCCTACACCATCATGACAGGAGGCTAGGTTTCTCTCTGTAGAATCTAACCAGTCCAAGGAGAAATGCTTAACATACTGACAGTAGGCATTTCTCAGTGAAAGAGCGAGAAAGCATGGATTACAGCTTCTTATCAGCTTTATGGGGCACTACTCTTAAATAAGAGCAGACAACCAGAATTATTAGACAACTGAGAAACATCTCAGACATGGAAAATAGAGAACAAAACAAGCAAACAAAAAGCAACCTGGAGAAAACAGGCTCTGAAGGGAGAAAAAAAGTGTTTAAACACTTATTTCATTAATACATTCGAGATGGAAGAGAAGACAATATATGTATTAAACAATAACAAGTAGATATAAATACATATACTTTACCCACAAGTTGAAACCTTATATCTATACAAACAAACCTGCACACAAGTGTTTTTAGCAGCTTTATTTATAATTGCCCAAACTAGAGGCAACCAAGATGTTCTTCAAAAGGTGAATAGGTAAACTGTGGTACATCCACACCATGGAATATTATTCAGTAAAAAAAAAAAAAAAGAAAGAAAGGAGATATTAAGCCACAAAAAGACATGGTAGAACCTTAAATGTATATTGCTAAGTGAAGGAAGCCAATCTGAAAAGCCTACCTACTATCTGATTCCAACTATATGACATTCTGGGAACAGGCAAGATTCAAGAGGCAGTAAGACCTATGGTTGCCCAGAACTCACAGGGAGGGAGAGAGGAATGAACTGGTGGAGCTCAAAGGATTTTTAGTACAACGGTAGAGCACAATCAAACTATCCTGCATGATATGCTAATAGTAACAGATGAAACTATGTATGTGTCAAAACCCATACAATGTACAACACAAAGAGTGAACCCTAATATAAACTATGAATTTTAGTTAATAATGTGTAAATATTCATTCATCAACTGTAACAAATATACTACAGTAATGCAAAATACTAATAATAGAGGAAACTGGCAGAGGGGTTCAAAACGGTATATTTGGGAGCCTCTGTACTTTCTGCTTCATTTTTCTGTAAAGCTAACACTGCTCTAAAATAGTCTACAAACTAAAAACAAAACAAAAAACAACCAATAAAGTACTGTTTTTTAAAAACCTGCTAAATCAGGACAGCCACAGGTGGCATGCACCTGTAGTCCCAGCTACTCTCATGGCTGGGGTGGGAGGATTGCTTGAGCCCAGGAGTTTGTGTGGTGCGTGATGATCGATCCTGTGAAAAACCACTGCACTCCAGCCTGGGCAACATAGCAAGACCCCACCTCTTAAAATGAACACAGCAAGACCCCATTTCTTTAAGAAAAAAATTTTAAACCCGCTAAATTCGCAGTGAAATTGGTACTCTTACATTCCGGGGGAATTAAAAATTGGAAGAATCTTTTGGAAAATTATTAAGATATTATGTATCTAAAAGTATAACTTTCAACTGAATACTTTACTTCCAAAAATCTACCCTAAGGAAAAAGTACAAAGTATGCTGGGAAGGGATCCGTAAGTACAGAGTAAAACACTGGATCTCATTTAAAGTATCCAGTAAATGATAAAGAAATTTAGGCATATAATTAGATGGAATTAGGCTTCCATAAGAAATTATAATAATAACTATTCAGTAACATCACAGAAAAATATTCATGAGAGAAATACTAACTTTAAAATAAGAATATAAAATTACATATATAATTACAATTATGAAAATAAACGTTTCTGCAAAAAGCTATAAGAAGTTGGTGGGATTATAGATGCCCTTTTTCTCTATTTCTCAAATTTTCTAAAATGTAATCTTTTCTTTAAACAAGGAAGGGATTTGAAATGATGAGACAAACTGCATTTTTAGAATGATTTTAATATAAATATTAGATTTGGTAATGTCTTAATGATTTTTTTACTTTATTGAATGCTTATTTTTACAATAAGGTATTTGTCAGGAAAATTAAGAAACATGGAGTTAGCTGTAAATAACACTACTTCATAGGACATGTGTTCAGATGTATAGGAACTATTGCTATTCTAATGTAACTATTAGACTATTCTAATGTTAATTAGTTTCAAATTTCCAAAAGTCTTGAGTTTTTCTTAATGAAACATTGACATTAAGACAATCTGAATTTTAAAAATACATAATCAATTGGTTTCTGCACTGAGTTTGGCATACATATCTTTTCCTTATGATTTCTGACTGATATTTTATTCAAATCTGGACTCTGAAAATCATAATTTTTCTACACATCTACCACATGACTGGTGTTTTTTTGGTTGCATATCTTTTAGTTGGTGTTATGAATTGCTCAAGGATTAGTATTCTGACTTCAAAGTACTGAGAAACAGTTGATACCAGAACATTTTACACCCAGAACACTTTACACTGAGTGCTCTCAATACCACCAAGTACCAAAAATTCAGGTACGAAGCAAAAGTGTGCTAAATGTTAAATGTAAAATTCTCAACATTTACCACTAAACTTCATGTTTTGAGGAGGATGCTGTTGTAACTTTATTTATTTATTTATTTATTTATTTATTTATTTATTTATTTTTTTTTTTTGAGATGGAGTCTTGCTCTTGTTGCCCAGGCTGGAGTGCAATGGCACGATCTCGGCTCACTGAAACCTCTGCCTCCCAGGTTCAAGCGATTCTCCTGCCTCACCCTCCCAAGCAGCTGGGATTACAGACGCCTGCCACCACGCCTGGCTAATTTTTATATTTTTAGTAGAGATGGGGTTTCGCCATGTTGGCCAGGCTGGTCTCGAACTCCTGACTTCAGGTGATCCACCCGCCTCGGCCTCCCAAAGTGCTGGGACTACAGGCATAAGCCACTGTGCCCAGCCTTGTTGTAACTTTAATATCCTTCAATCTATAAGCCTAAATGGCTTCAACACTAAATAAAAAGTCACTTGTCATGGCTATACCCATTTCGACAGGCCTCATGAGTTTTTGTTGTGTTTTATCAGCAGGCCCTAGAGTAAGGAGAACATTTTTGGCACTTTCTTGCTTTCACTCTTCTTCCTTACTTCCATTCTCTCACACATTCATTGAGCAGACTCAATGTACCGGACACTGAAGATACAGAGATAAAAAATGAGATCCCTGCCCTCAAGAAGCTCAAAATAGAATTGGGCAGACAGACAAGTCACAGAGCATGACGGTCTGGTGGCTCATGCGGTATGACAGGGTGCAGCACGGCATGGTGTGGATGGCATGACAGGGGTGACAGGGAGTTGAGTTTTGACTATGTTCAGTTTGAGATCACATTAGAACATCTAGGCATGCAGATCTCCTAGTAGGCACTTAATGGAGGAGTTTACACAAAGGCCTAGGCTGGGACTAGAGATTTACAAATCATTAGTACAAAGGTCATGGGATTGCCTAGGAAGAAGGTGACAAAAGGGGCTAAGGATTGAAATTCTACTTAAGAGGCAGGAAAATGAGTAAGAGCATGCAAAGCAGCTGAGGAAAAACCAAAGTGGGAAACTAAAAGAGAACAGTATCAACAAAGAAAATGAAGCACATTTTAAGAATGAGGCAAAAGCCAACTCTATCATAAGCGCCAAAGAATCCAAGAAGACAAGGATGAAAAGGGTACCCCTAGCATGGCAACCTGGCCAGGGCACCTGCACGAGCCTCACAGGAGGCTAAATCTTATGACATAGTGAGGAACTGGTGACAAGTGGACAGCCTGTATTCAAAAGGCTGGGCTGGGCCGGGCACGGTGGCTCACGCCTGTAATCCCAGCGCTTTGGGAGGCCGAGGCAGGCGGATCACAAGGTCAGGAGATTGAGACCATCCTGGCTAACACGATGAAACCCCGTCTCTACTAAAAATACAAAAAATTGGCTGGGCGTGGTGGTGGGTGCCTGCAGTCCCAGCTACTTGGGAGGCTGAGGCAGGAGAATGGCGTGAACCCAGGAGGCGGAGCTTACAGCGAGCCAAGATCGCACCACTGCACTCCAGCCTGGGCGACAGAACAAGATTCCGTAAAAAAAAAAAAAAAAAAAAAAAAAGGGCTGGGCTGTAAAGGGAAGGAGAGCTGTGTAGGACAATTGGTGAGAAATGGAGGATCCAAAGAAGTATCAAAAACGCTTCCTTTCTTCCTTTTCTTTCTTTCCTTCTTTCTCCCCACCTCATCTCCCTCTCTCTTCCTTCTTTCCTTCCTTCTTCCCTTTCTTCCTTTTTTTAATAGAAAGACTAGAAATGAACTAATTTATAAGCTAAAGAAAACATTTTAGAGATAAAATGCTTACAATAAAGCAGAAGGAAGGTGTCACAAGTGGATTCCTCACTCTGAGGAATGAGACAAGGTTAAGATCCAGGACTTACTACATGAAGGCCTCCATTTTCTCTGTGCAGTAGAAGCCAAGTTCATTTTCAGAGAGCTGGAAAGGATGGTGGAACAGGCATGCTGATGTGAGAGAAGAAAGGTTAGGCTGGCCACCCTTTAGAGGTAACTGGAGAGGAGCTTATTTGGAATCATGTAAGATTTCAGGGCAGCGTTCCCAGCCCAGGGGAGAGACCGTGAATGTAGAACGGGTGGGAATGAACCACCCATTTCCCAGGTTGTGTGAATTTCTTCAATAAAACTCAACAACCTGAGTGCAAGAGCAAAGAAGAATAAATGGTTGGAGAGTTAGGTATTGATGAAGGTCAGAGAATGGGTCTTAAAAACACCGAGGCCTCCGGGACTGGTTTACCACGGAAGAGGTGGTGTCGCAGAAGAAGGTCATCAGGGTAGAAAGACTGGTCGATTGAGGACTGATCCAATGGGAATAAATGCATAAGAGAGGACAGGTCTTATGTAGGCATTCGCATGTAAAAACCTGACCCAAGACAAGTTCAAGATAAAACAGAATGAGAATGAGGAAGGAACCTCAAGAGCCCAACTGGTCCATTCTCCTGAAGCTAAACGGAACCACCAAAAACCATCCCAAAGAGAAGAGACTCTACATTGTCTTCCAAGACCACCAACAGTGGATTTTTCTTTATATAAGAGGTCAGGAAACTGAGACTAAACATCGCTGGTTTTGACGTCACATTCAACGACGTCACATTCAACTCCGTCACTGTAGCTCAAATGCAGTCAGAGACGATATGCAAGTGAACAAGCATGGCCATGTTTCAATAAAACTTTATTTTCAAAATAAGACATGGACTGGATTTGGTCTAGGATGAGTTTGTCAACTTCTGCCCTAGATCCCTTTCTTCTGAGGTATTTGTTCTTTTAAAATTGATTGGAAGAATGTTTTATATGTAGAGAATATTAACACTTTATTTTATTTAATCCTGTCATCCAGGCTGTCATCCAGGCTGGAGTGCAGTGGTGCAATTTCAGCTCACTGCAACCTCTGCCTCCCAGGTTCAAGTGATTCCCCTGCCTCAGCCTCCCGAGTAGCTGGGATTACAGGCGAGCACCACCACGCCCAGCTAATTTTGCATTTTTAGTAGAGATGAGATTTCACTATGTTGGCCAGGCTTTTTGTTTATTATATATACTGCTACTGCACTTCAGCCTGGGCAAAAGAAGAAGACCCCAGCTCTAAAAAAATAAATAATTAAAAATTTTAAAATAACATACTTGTAACAAAAATATTTTCCCCCACTTATTTAAACCTATTTCCTACATTTCTCTCAACTAGTTTAGTTTCTCTCCTTCCCTTTATGAAATATAACCAACATTTTTATTTATTTATTTAGAGACAGAGTCTCACTCTGTCACCAGGCTGGAGTGCAGTGGTGCAATCTTTGCTCACTGCAACCTCGACCTCCTGGGTTCAAGCTATTCTCCTGCCTCAGCCTCCTGAGTAGCTGGGATTACAGGCGTGTGCCACCATGCCTAGCTAATTTTTGTATTTTTAGTAGAGATGGGGTTTCACCGTGTTAGCCAGGATGGTCTCGATCTCCTGACCTCGTGATCGGCCCACCTCGGCCTCTCAAAGTGCTGGATTACAGGCATGAGCCACCAAGCCCAGACTATTTTATTTTTTTCATTGTTATTACAAGTGTGGTATTTTAAAATTTTTTAAATTAATTATTATTATTTTTTTAGAGATGGGGTCTTGCTGTGTTGCCCAGGCTGGAGTGCAGTAGCGCACTCATAGTTCACTGCAGCCTTGAATTCCTGGGCTTAAGCGATCCTCCCACATCAGCCTCCCAAGCAGCTGGGACTATGGGTGCACTCCACCAGGCCTGCCTAGTTTTCTTGTAGAGACAGGGTTTCACCATGTCACCCAGGCTGGTCTCAAACTCTTAAGCTCAAGTGATCTGCCCACCTCAGCCTCTCAAAGTGCCAGGATTACAGGCATGTGTCATTGTGCCTAGCCGGTATTTTTAATTGAAAAATAAAAACTAAATAAATTTGCCGGGCATGGTGGCACATGTCTGTGGTCACAGCTACTCAGGAGGCTGAGGTGGGAGAATCACCTGAGCCTGGGAAGTGGAGACTGCAGTGAGCCGTTATCATGCCACGGGACTCCAGCCTGGGCAACAGAGTGAGACCCAGTCTCAAAAAATAAAAATAAAAATTGTGTTGTTTGTGTGTGTGTATATATATATATACTTGGTATTTGCTATGATCTGAATGTTTGTGTCACTCCAAAATTCATATGTTGAAATCCTAACCCCCAAGGTGATGGTTTTAGGAGTTAAGTTTTTGGGAGGTAATCAGGTCATAAGGTTATATCCCTCATGAATGAAATTAGTGACCTTATAAAAAAGACCCCAGAGAGCTCCATTGCCCCCTCTACCATGTGAGGATACAGCTAGAAGGCATCATCTGTGAATCAAGAAATGGACCCTTAGCAGATACCAAATCTGTTGGTGCCTTGATCTTGGACTTCCAAGCGTCTAGAATTGTAAGAAATAAATATTTGTTGTTGATAAGCCAACCAGTTTGTGGTATTTTTGTTATAGCAACCAAAATGCACTAAGACAGTATTTACATATCTTATTCTAAAATATTTTATGATGGCTAAAATGTTTATTATACATTGTCATCTAAAACAGTAAGTTTTTCTTTCATTTTTTTTTAATCACATGCACAAATGCATTAAAGTAAAGATCCAGTGGCCTTACCATGGTCTGGAGGCCCATGCTTACATCTCCACCTGTCCTGTCCCTCCAGCCGATGGCCCTAGCCTTCTTTCTCAGTTCCTCCCGTGTGTCAAGCACTTCCTCTTAGCACCTTCAAACATTCTGAAGTGCTCTCTCCCCTACTCTCCATTGTGCTTTGTCTCAATCTTCCTCTTCATCTCAACACAGAAAACCTCTTCAAAAACTTTCTTAAATCTCCAAGACAAATTATGAACTCCCAGTTAGTCTAACCTTTTCTAGCCCTCATCCCAACGAATAAAATCATTTAATTATATAATTACAGATTAGTGTGTGTATTAGTTATCTTCTGTTTGCGTAGGAACTCACTGAATGTTGGTTGAATTAATGAATAGACAATTAAAATAGTTAAGTATGACAAATATTATTAATAAAATAAAAATCTCATTTATTCTTCACAGATGTGAAATATAAGGCCACTCAAACTGAACAGCATACTTAATATATTTATGAAAAAAATTTAAGATCTTCACCTCATAATCACTTGAATAGAACTAGATGTGACAAAATATTACTACATATGTTAATTATTTGTGAGCAGCTAGTTCAAATTATCATTATCATTTATGCTACAAACTTTTGTTTTTTGTTTTTTTTGAGATGGAGTCTCATTCTGTCACCCAGGCTGGAGTGCAGCGGCACAATCTCAGCTCACTGCAACCTCCGCCTCCCGGGTTCAAGCGATTCTCCCTGCCTCAGCCTCCCCAGTAGCTGGGATTACAGGCACCCGCAACCACATCGAGTTAATTTTTGTATTTTTAGTAAAGATGGGGTTTCGCCATGTTGGCCATGCTGGTCTCAAACTCCTGACCTCAGGTGATCCACCCGCCTCAGCCTCCCAAAGTACTGGGATTACAGGCATGAGCCACTGTGCCCAGCCTGCCAGAGAAAAACATTTTTATAAAAATTATATAAATAAAAATTTTCATGAATTTAAAACTAGCTTTTTCTCTTTTTAGTCTGAAGTTTTACTCTTGTCAATACATGCATTTATCTATTTGGACATTAATTCAATTACATCTTTTTTTATTATCTTCTTGGCATTAGGCCCTGGTGATTAAAAGATGAACTGTACATAGTCTTCACCCTCTGAGTTTTGAGCCAAGTGAGATGTATGCCAACCAGTTATTACAGCTAAGGGGTAGCCCAGCACAGAAGTAAATGCAGTGAGCTGCTTATTGTCTGGAGAGGTCAAGGAAGGTGTTTTGGAAATAACGTGCTTGAGGCTGCCTCATATTTTAACCGTTGATAAAGAGGAAAAGTAGGTGAAATATCTTTAAGAAATATCAAAAAATTATAAGTCCATTTATAACTTCTTATGAAAGCCATTTTTTACATTTGTAAAAAAATACCTTTATCCATTTTGTCAGCTGTCTTCAGTGACAACTAGATTTCACTCAACTGCAGTGTGGCAGAGGCTGGCTAGATGCACAGCAAACCCACTTCCTCTCCCTGGAGACAAGGTCGAACATTTCCTAGCTCTGACAATGGAACGTGGCTGATGTGAAGGACAAGACAGTTAAGAGTTGTTTGCCTTCCCTATATGCTCTCTTCCTTCCACAGCAATCTTGAAGTCTAGAATTGGAAGATAGTAGTGGAACAAGATGAAAGGACCTGGATCCCTGAGTGACGGCAAGGAGAAGTGTCTCACCGTGTCAGACTACAGCATGAGCAAGTAATTAAGCCAGTGGAATTTTAAGGATGTGTGCTACAGCAGTTAGCTTATCCTAATGAATCATTCCATTGTGAGGGTAGTGTGTAGTCAATCATAATTTTAAAGAACATAATGAATGACAGATATTCTTAGTCCTGTTTTTAGTATCTACCCCCACTTCTTTGCTAACAGGACTCCAGTTTTGTTTGGGGTGCCAATTTGCACAGCTTTAAGGGAAGATTTTGGTTGGTCTAAACTCATCATGAGAATTCTGTTCCCCACGCTTTTAGCCTCCCCTGTAGTGAGGGATGGTCATGCAGCCCAGTTCTAGCTAAGAAACCTAATGGAAAGTCCACCGCAGGGATTTCTGGGAAAGGTTTTCCTTCCCTGATAAAAGAAACCTGCATGGCTGGCATCATCCCTTTTTCCCCTCTACTTAACTTAAACAGCAACCTGCATGAGTGGGGGCTACATTCTGGACTAACATAATAAATGCATTCTTTTTTTTTTTTTTTTTTTTTGAGACAGGGTCTTGCTGTCACACAGGCTAGAATGCAGTGGCAAGACTATAGCTCACTGCAGCCTCAAACTCCTGGGCCCAAGGTATCCTCCCACCTCAGCCTCCCAAGTACCTGGGACTACAGGTGCATGCTACCAAGCCTGGCTATTTTTTTTTTTTAGCTTTTTATAGAGACAGAGTCTCACTGTATTGCCTAGGGTGGTATCAAATTCCTGGCCTCAAGTGGTCCTCCTGCCTTGGCCTCTCAACGCGCTGGGATTACAGGTGAGAGCCACCATGTCCAGTCAATAAATTAATTCTGAACTAACATGACAATACACTAATGCCATAAATTTGTGGGGTGATATGGGACATGCATGAAAGAAGAGTGCATGCCCCATCTAAAGACATCCAAAGATATTTTTATTTAAATATTAAAATGACAAAACAAAGGCCTCAATGGGCCCAAAACCACTCAGTTCATGAAATTTGAAATATAAAGGTCTGTTATATACTGTTAAATAACAGTCACACTTCATTGTTTGTCATCATCTATTGAATACAGAACATGTGTCTCTCATACTTTCTTAATGTGTTTCCTTTAAATCAATATGATGTACTGGCTAATAGTTCAGGCTTTGAAATCAGGCTGCCTGGATTCAAATCCCAGCTCTGGCACTTACTGTGTGAACTCAAGTGTAGTGTACTAGACTTCTACCTGTTTTTTTATTACTAAGATGGAGATAATCATAGCATATATGTCTAAGGATGGTGATAAGGATGAAATGACACAATCAATACAATGTACTCGGTTGAGTACACAATGCTCAATAAATACAAGCAGTTATTTTTATTACTTCCAAATGTCACCAGAGAGCTTCAAGTAGTGAAATAACCCATTGAGAAAGTCCTTGCTGACTATGCGTGTAAGTGTACTTTATGTTCAGGGACTACTGATGAGTAAACTAAAGAATAATTAAGGTTGCCTGGCAGCCTGTGGACTCCTTGGATTTTAGGCAGGGTTAAAACAACATCACAGCTTAGTTGTTTTAAGTAAAAGATTAGTCAGTGACTAAGAGTCAAGGGCGGGATGAGAGAGGACACTCGAAGAGTGGGTGTGTGCCCTCTCCTATCCCTATGAACTCTTACACCCTGGGCTTATAGTATCTGGGGCCTGGCTCTAGACATGATGAGAAAGAGATAAAAGCCAAGGAATAGCCACAGATGATAATCCTAACAGCGCAGGCAGCCAGGCTTCCCTCCTACCACTCCATCCACCTTCCCCATGATTCTCCAAAATGATTATTTGCCCTAACAAGGATTAAGGCCCATGTTTTTCTGCCTCTACATCTCTGCTCATGCAACTCCCTTCCCTAAAAAACCCATCAGCCCATCTCTGCCTGTGAAACACTATTTGTTTCTCAGAGTTAAGCATAAATGTCCCCTTTTTCACTTTGTTGAACAAGTGACACTTCTCAGATACATCACAAGATAGCATGTTACACTGTTAAGAGCACTAGCTCATAGACAGGTTTTCATCAATCTCCAAAGTACCAAACGATATGTTCAATATATTTTCCTAAATGCATGTACATACACAGAATTATCTCAGGAAGGGTATACTAGAAATGGAGTTATCTCTGGTTAGGGGATTTGGGTGACTGGGAAACAGGTGTAGAATGCAACCTAATTTTCATTATTAGACTCTTTAATATATTTAACAGTAAAGTAAAATATGTTTTAAGTTCTTTCTTGTTGTATGTTTTATCTTCCTCTGTGAAATTTTTATCCTAATCCTACCTATTTCTGATCTCTAGAGATGCCCGGTATAAATCAAGTATGCTGACTAATTAATTGATAAACATGTTAATGAACTGTTGCTAAGAATCATATAAATATGTATATACAACTGAGTTTTTACTAAAGCCCTGAAAGTATTAATAACATATTCTTTTAAGTGAGTTAAAAATTTGTTCCAGTATGCTTAAACAATCCTTTTTTTTCTTACTATTACACCATTTCCAAATCAGTTGTCTTCATTAGTTTATTTCCTCTTCTGACTCTCATGTCTTGTTTTAATTAATTTTTTCCATAGGCCTTGTATTTTCATTCCTACTGGCAGAAAGCACTTGTTGCCTAAGGCATTAAGTTGTTATCTTGTATACTACATGAGCAGCTCTACAATGTTCTTGACACCTGTAGTGCCCTCTTATTGCATGAAGCCGTAAGACATGTTCAGTAGCTTTAAGGATACATAAAGAATTCCCAGAATTGGGCATAATCCCCAAATTATAAAACATCTTTGAGAAGAAAGGCCATTCCTAAATATTGTAAAAAAAATTATGGAATGAATAAAGATATCCTCCTTTACCATTATGAATAGGTGATTATACTGGGAATCAAACAGCCTATGCTCTAATCCTGGCTCTTTAAGTATCTCTGGGGCCCCAATTTCTTCTCCATCAGTAAAACAGACATGAGTATTAGACTAATTTTGAGATCGCTTTGCACTCTAGTTTTCTGTTTATGACATCTTCATCCCAGAAAGTACCCAGGCATTACAGTACACGTATTAATAATTAGCATTTATAACTACTCACCTAATGAAAAGTAACCCTTTTCCTGGGGTATGGCAAGGCTTCTTTAGTGCTGGAATCATTTACTGGCTCCAGACATTCTTCTTGTCACTTACCAACAATGAACAACTTGTACGGAGATCTTCACAAGCCTATTTGTGTTTTCAGATATGACCAATCTCCTCATTTGAACTCTAAGAGACTGACACCAGGGCCGGGCACAGTGGCTCACACCTGTAATCCCAGCACTTTGGCAGATCACTTGAGCCCAGGAGTTCAAGACCAGCCCGGGCAACACGGCAAAACCCCATCTCTACAAAAAAATACAAAAATTAGCCAGGCGTGGTGGGTGCACCTGTAGTCCTAGCTACTCAGGAGGCTGCAGTGGGAGAATCACTTGAGCCTAGGAGGCAGAAGTTTCAGTGAGCCAATATTGTGCCACTGCACTCCAGCCTGGGCAAGAGAATGAAACCCTGCCTGAAAAAACATATATATATACATGTATATATATATATATATATATATATATATATATGTGTGTGTGTGTGTGTGTGTGTGTGTGTGTGTGTGTGTATATATATATACATATATATATGTATATATATACACACACACACATATATATAGACATCATGAAACTTGTTCCTAAACTCGCCTGACTTTGTAGAGGAACAGGGGACTTCAAGCAAGAAGAACTATGATTCCCACCTACGGTGTGTACTGTAATTGGTAATTCCTCTGAAAGTACCATTAATAAAATTCAGCTTGATTCCATAAGTACTTCTTTAGTGTCTACTTGGCACACGGCAATGTGCCAGAAGCTGGCACAAACACTTCTCCCTTTCCCACACAAGACAAAGGCAGGAAATATGAAAGGCCTTCTATGGATGAAAGTGCTGCTTTTGATTCCGCTGTGCTCATCAAGCACCTGCCTACCCCTATTAAGTCTACCACCATTACTAGATTCCAATAGTGCATCTGGAAGAACTTTCCTGTAATTCATATCCTTTAGTCCTAGTTCTCAATATCATGAGAACCAACTGAAATCAGGGGGCAAAAGACCCTGAAGTCAAGGCTGCCAATGTGATCCTCTTACAACATATTCCCCTATTTGCACTTGGAATATCTGGAAATCTCCTCACTTCACCATTCTACTGTGCCTCAGTTTCTTATTTGTATGGAGAATCCTGATTTCCATGTTAAATTTTTTAGCTATTAGGCTCTCTGGGAGCAATGATCACTTTTTCAGACAATGCAGTATTCTGGCATCCTGGGCAAAAAAAAAAAAAAAGCTTGGGGTGGGACTGGCTTATCTCAACTCTCTGTCACTTCTACTATTTCTTAAGGGCAGAAAGCAAAAGTAGAAAAAAAAATTCCTGCAAATACCTTCCCTTATCATCATTTATGATTGGATGGGGTCATAAGGCAATCAAGCAACTGCTTCTTGCACTCATTTCTCTATCAACAGGTATTTACTGAGCCCCTACATCTGTGCTAGGATCTGAGGAATCCAAAAGCAAAAACAATGAAGACATTGTTCCTACTCTCTGTAACTTCATGATGTAATGGGGAGGTGGGGTTTCTCAAAAAGCCCAATTAAGAACAGCTAAATGTGGCTGGGCACAGTGGCTCATGCCTGTAATCCCAGCACTTTGGGAGACCGAGGCAGGTAGATCACCTGAGGTCAGGAGTTCGAGACCACCCTGGCCAATATGGTGAAACCCAGTGTCTACTAAAAATACAAAAATTAGCTGGCTGTGGTGGCATGCACCTGTAATCCCAGCTACTCAGGAGGCTGAGGCAGGAGAATCGCTTGAACCCGGGAGGCAGAGGTTGCAGTGAGCCAAGATCATGCCACTGCAGTCCAGCCTGGGTGCTCCGTCTCAAAAAAAAAAAAAAAAAAAAAGCGGCCGAGGCAGGCAGATCACGAGGCCAGGAGTTTGAGACCAGCCTGGCCAACATAGTGAAACCCTGTCTCTACTAAACATACAAAGATGAGCCCAGTGTGGTGACACACGCATGTAGTCCCAGCTAGTCAGCAGACTGAGGTAGGAGAATCGCTTAAACCCAGGAAGTAGAGGTTGCAGTGAGCCAAGACCATGCCATTGCACTCCAGCCTGGGAAACAAAGTGAGACTCTGTCTCCAAACAAACGAAAAAACAAACAAAAAAACAGCTAAATGTCAGATTATCTGATACTGACAATAAGAGAAGAAATAAATCACACAATCTTAGAACTGTAGGAAATCCAGGAGGCCATCTAACTCAACCTTTCCTCAAAAGCAGAAATCTTCCAACATCCTTGCCAGGGTCATTAATGTTCTGCTTTAATGTGGAACTCACATCTCACAAAGAAGTTCATTTAATTTTTCAAAGTCTCTTATTGCTAGAACATTTTATTGTAATTTGAACCAAAACTCTCTCACTTATTATTCTATACAGCAGTGTTTTTCAAAACTTTAATTTTTAAAGCATGCAATGTGTTTTTAAAAGAAATAGTAGGCACGAACACAATATATAAAGCAGTTAAAAGTGGAACTCTTCTGTTGGCAGCTGCAGGGGGCCCTCAGCATGTCCACTTGTCTCTGGCTCTTCTCTACCTCCCTGCAGCCCAAGGCTCACCACAAAATCCCTGAAGCTCTGCACAGCACAATTTGAAACCACTGCCTTAAAGGTAATTAGAGTAAATCTAATTCCAGCTGCATATGTCAGCCCTTGAAGACAGATATCTTGTCTCTCTTTAAATCTTTTCTAGATTAAACTTGCCCATTTCAAATGATCTATTCCATCTATGTTATTTTCCCTTTGTATCTCCCCCATCCTAATCATTCTCCTCCTAAAAATGTTGAAACCCTATTTGAACACAATTCTTTTGATACCGTAACCAGCTGAGGATACAGCCTCTCTTGACTATCTTCCGGACACCAGCAGCTGAAGAGGGCTTAGTGAATGGAGAAGGACCTGAGCCAGACCTTGAGACATATAGGATTTAATAGGTAGAGATGAGAAAAGATAAAATTGCAGGCTGGGAAACTAGCATGAACAGAGATACAGAAATTAAAACAAGGGCCTCCTGATACATTTTTAATACTTTTCTTCCAGATCCTTATGGGTTTTTTTCCATTCAGCCAGCTGCCTAGTCTCTTAATTATTTCTTGGAAGAAAATTAAGCCAGATCTTATCTCCATGAACATAGGCTTTTACTGTATTGCTGTGTTGGGGCCAAATTAGTGACATGATCTGATCAATACTAAAATTAGGTCATTTCAATATTACAGTCATTGCTACAGGGAAAAGAGTATTTAATGAAGATGTTTGATAAGCCCATAAAAAAAAAGAAAAACTGTGTCATCTTCCAATTGAGTCAACATCATGGCGAGAGGATTCATAAAGGTTATAACACTATTGAGAAGCATCCCTGAAGAGTCTCAGTTCTAAAGCCAACCCAAAGAACACCTTGTCTCCACAAAATAATCTTTTGCTTATCACTCATCAAACCACAGGTTTGATATGTGCCCCAAATAGACTGTAAAAACAACAGCATTTCAATATAGGTGAGTGCTAATCTATCAAGACAAATCATCCTGTAAAAACAAATATAAAAAAAAATGGTTTCAATAAATATGCCCATCACCGTCCATTTTTTCATGCTACTTGATTTTACCATTTACAGATAGGAATTCAAGCTCATCAGTTTTTTATGTAATTTGGTTTTTCATTCAGGAAGGAAGATCTTAAAGACAGTATAGTTCACTATATACCTTTTTCCTATAAGATACATTCTTTACTGATTATATGAATATGTACTATTTCACCTTACAAGAATGGGAATTTCGTACACACAGCATCACAAAGTTGGGAAAGTGAACTTGTCCTAAATTTTAATGTGTTATGAATCTAACAATTTTAAGGCATTAAAAAAAACTGATCTTACTAGTATTCAGGGTATTTGATTCAGACATTTTATTTCCATTATTTTCTCTTTTTCCTTCATCTCAAAAGGAGATAATCTGAATTGCTCTAATCTGAAAAACAACAATAAGTGTAGCAAATACTTGACAATGAGATGGAAAGCCTCTAAAAATCTGTTACCTTAGTAACAGCAAGAATGTGGAAGAATAAGAATACACTGTCAGGACATCATTTCAGTTTCTACAGATTTGAGGCCTAAATACAGTCAGCTTTCATTAGCTTTTTGTTTTTCCCAGCAGGTCCTTGGACTTTGAAACAAAACCTGAATGACAGCTATGAGCAATTCCAGCCTGGCTCCTGATTAGCTATGCCAAACAAAACAACTCTCTGCAGTGTAAACTTTCCAGGCATCTGCAACCAAGCCTCTGTAGAGACTATAATTCCTCAGTGAGATTTGAAGGAGAGTCAGAGGTTGGGGGGCGTGGGGCGGGGGTGAAGGGTGACCAGGAGGGGGGGAGGGGGAGAAAGGATAAGACCTTCCCCTCTACCTCGAACTAGTCCCCTGAACTAGTTTCGGATTAAAGCAGGGGGAAACTAAAGTAGAACTTGTCTTGGTCTTGTTGTTGTTGTAGCTTTTAACTCTGGCTTATTTTACAGTTTAATTAACCAATCCTCTAAATCCGAGTATTCTATTCCAATGAACATCCATGACACCCTTAATATCAGTGTATCCAAACTACTCATGCATTTAAAGCAAATAAGCAATTCTGAGACCTTATTAGCATCGAATAGAGTAAGGAGTAGATTAAAGTGATCCAAAAGAGAAGAGGAACAACAATTATAAGTGGATAGTGCCCTATATGGATGCAAACTAAGATTTTGTGTCATTTGTTGTCATCGTTTTTTTTTTTTCTGGATGCAGATCTAAAATTAATTACACTAAATAACAGCAAACTGTGCTGTGTGGTCCCATCTGCTACATAATTAGATCCCTAAGGAACTAACAATTAAGCTTTTTTCTTGTGATCAGGCCCTTTGATTCTACCTAAACAACATACCTTTATCTACACAAATGAATTATAGGTTAGATCTCAAAGCAGTTTATTTTGATCAGATGCTTGATTTTGAAGTTATCAGTGGTTTCAGAGAAAATTCTGCACTGGGGAGTCACAAGGCAATTCAACTGTAAAGAGATGAGAATTAAACTAAAAGGTAGACAAAATCTGCCAACAATCTTCCTATAACTTCAGAAGTGAAAATGATTGTTTTTGTATTTCTTGGTCATACAACAAAATGGTAGCAGTGAAGGTTGTTCTTGTCTTATGAAAAATGACACTTAACTACTCTCTGATCTCTATTGCTTCTGAGATAACCTACAAAAACTGATGACTGACTGACTTAGAATGCTAGGTGACAGAGATCCCTACTTCTCTAGTCAATAACCATTTATTAAACAGTGTCACAGTGAGTAGGTAGCATTTAAAGTAAGGAGTAGCTCTACCACCCTAAAATGTAATTTGCAGATATATGACAACAGATATCACAGAAAATTTACCATTTACATAACCATATCATAAAAGTCTAACTTAGATTTAGGACAACATTAAACTTAAGTCATTGAAAATTCAAATGGAAAATTCAAGTTGAGACTTAAGAAAAGATTCTATATAAAGATTTATCAAAAATCACAACCAGGGAGATATGAATTCTGGAAACTAAAGACAAGGAGATTTCAATGTTTAAGACAGGTAATACACAACTAGAAAACTACATGTCCAATTATTTTATTCAATTTTTCTGTAATCTCAGCACAGAAACTACAGAAAACAACCTTAAGGCTATTTTTGTAATGGACGAAGACAAGGATAGTGACCTACCAACAAGTGAAAACCCTTCAATATGAGTCTGTGCTTGCAATCCCAAACCAAACGTGCTGATTCAGCACAAAGTCATCAATGGAGTTCTTATCTTTTCAAGGAACAATCCATTGTCTGGCTGAAACAAAGGGCAGTGCACAGGAAATCAGCCAAATCTGGGCCAGATGGCCACTGATTCAAGTTTCATTCTCCCCATCCCCCACCTTCCCTGGCACTGCAAAAAAAGATGCAGGCAGCACTTTCAGTCACCAGGTAATAATCTGCATGTGGGGTATAAACCTTTTACAATTACATATACTCCCCACCTCAACACCATGTAATTTGTTAAAGCAGAATGTCCTTATAAAATGTTTAATGAGGAAGATCTATAAAGCAATTCTTGAAAATACCCCTGTAAGCCCATCGTTTCTTAGGCATGGCATGAAGTTTTAGCAGACGAAATGATTAAAAATATTCATACTAACTTGTTCTCATCTACTGTTTTTCTCAAACCATGACACAAACTAGAAATGAACCCAGAGAAAACTGCTTTATCATGGCCATTTCCATGGGTTGATATCACTGGCCCACCGCCTTGCTAAGAACTTCTAGGTTTTGTAACCTAGAAACACTTTGTACAATTACAATGACAAACTACTAATACAAGTAATTAGAATAATGATTAATACTAACTTCCAAATCATGTTAAGAAACATAAAATTTTTGTTACAAAATATCTGTCTTAAACTAACTGGGCTTTGATCCAAATGAGGTAGAACATTGCTTTCTGTGTGAAATAACAGAAACAACTGTTTGGGAAAGCAGAAGTGTAACGGAGCAAAAGTATCTCTAAGCACGTAATCTTATAAAAAATTTTATAAAGTATTCACATACTCCATCTGGGATGGGAAAAGCCCAACCACATAAGTAACCCCATAAGGTCTGTCATTCAAAACAGAGAAAGAATTCTAGTTTTTAAAGTTCACTTTCTCCAAGCCTCAGAAGTTAAGAGGAATGGCAAGGAAGTTGGAGAAGGAGCAAAAAAAAAGATCTGTGTTTGAAAGGAGAGGTAGTTACTACCCCTAAGAATGATGCCAATAACTCCTGTTCTCAAGGAAATCACCCCTACATATTATTCTGGAATCACGGAGTAAACAGGAGAAAAATGCTAGTGGATTTTCATAAAAACCAGTGTGTCTGACCGTGTGTCATAGAATCTGTAAATTAGTATACTGCTATAAATACACAATTTGCATCCTTACTGGTTACTATAAAACTCAATTTTAAATTCTAACCAATAACTATTAATTTAAAGCAAATCATACAGAATTATGTCATACTTAAATCATGGAAACATGTATATTAAAGAATGGCATAAGTAAAAATCTAAGACCTCAAAATGTTCAAAACACTTTTACTTTTCCTAGCTTTATAAAATAAAGGTATTTAGAAAATAAAAAATTAAAATAAAATAAAGGTATTTAGAATAAACAAAAGTCTTTTCTTTGATGGCAACCCTTGACTCTATAGGGGTTGCTTGAGAAATATTTACATTTATGTGGCTTAAGTAAATTTTGTCAACCAACAAATAGCAATTCCTTTAGTAAATTTTATAATCCTTTTTATAATTACTTTGGAAATGTCAATGCAGGAGTAAATTTTATTGGCATGCTACAGTGTCGCTTTTCCAAAATTTACATATAGAAAGGTTAGGGTAGATCAAGGAGGTTTTCTGCCTACTTGTTTGTTTTTTTAACACAAGATAATCACAGGCTGGTAATGAAATGACTAAAGACAAAAATGACTTGAAAATATGCAATCAACAGCAACTCACACAAATGGCCTATTTTATTGTAGGGAAGTTGAAAAGGCTGCTAAAAGCAACAGAAGGTAACCTTGCTTAAGAGAACATTCATGGTAGCTGACACAATCCCAACAACAACTATGAAATAAAGCAAAATTACAGAGCTTCAAATCTTGACCTGTTTTAAAGAGAATAGCGGTAAGCAGAAGCTTCCTTAAAAACTTGTCCTCAAGAATTGCTCCTGGAAGTTTATTTATAATTACAGTATCAGACTAAGTGTAAGACTAAATTTTAATCAGTGGTGAAGAATATATTCAAGCCAGCAACTGTGTGTTGGAAAAATATATATATAGTCTAAATATTTACATAGTATATAGATATGTGTGTGTCATACATAGGTCAATGTGTTTCTGCTAATGTTAGCAAGCTTTTTCACAGCTCAGATTTAATTATTAGAAATGTATTTCCACAGCCTGATTTCTCTATAAAACACTACTGTTTTCCTTTACATAGAACTAAAAAATAATACTCAGTATCATACTAGAAACTTTAAAACGAGGTAATTGAGTATTGGCTGTTTAATAGGTTTTCTTTCTTTAGTATAAAACCGATTTTAGTATTCATGAAAAAAAGAAAATGACTATTCAAATTAAAATTCTCTACCTTCTGAGCTCAACTTTAGAGTCTCTAAGATAAATTTACATTTAAATGAAACACACACAATGGCAGCTGGACTATCATAACCACCCCACACACATTAATGTTTTCAGAGATTTAAATCTCTAATTCTTAGGAGAAAGAAAATTGTGACTATACAACTATTTTTAATCAGTCATACAACTATTTTTAATTAGATTTATATGTTAATGCTTTAAATATAAGAGTTAAGGGAAAAGTATTTCTAAACACCTAAGACAAAACAGAATTACTACTAACAAAAGTCAACTCGGAACAAATGGTCCTTTGCATGTTAAGTCTCTGGAAAACCAGCTACTGTGAGGAGCTAAAATTTAGCAGGCTAACTTAAGATTTTTAGTGGATCCTAATATAAAGGACTAACAGTTTAAAGCTAAAATATTATTGTACAAGGAATAAGTTCTAATTAATCTTTCAGTCTCTTTCCTTTTTTTCCCTCCTTAATATGTATCTTCTTTTCTCTGATGGTCCACAAATCAGGTAGAAAATTTAATTTCATTCAATTAAAAGGAAATGTATTTAAAAATAACATACTTATGGTAAATATTTTGTCTATTGTTTTTTAATACTGCTCATGATGAGAAATATATCAAGGACCAAATTAGAGTACACACAGCTTTCAGTGATATAAAATTGCTGAAAATCCAAATTTCTAAAAAGTGAATTTATAAGAAAATGCTTTAAGATCTATGTTTCAAATATTTATTTCTCAATATAATCTACATCAGTAGAATAGTTATGTACTAATTAATCGTGTACAATGTGCTTTAAACATAGTCTGAAGGTCCAAATGAGCTTTCATTCATTTTCTTTCTAAATGATAATTTCTCATGCCTTAAATTTCTATATAAAGAACATCTCAAAAGCGGTATACTAACTAAAGTTAGTTTCTGCTCAATAAGACAAAAAAAAAGGATATGAGTTGAACAGTGGTCAAATTCATACCCCCACCATGAAAAAAAAGGAATGCCACAGTTTTAGTATTATTTATAGGTACCTTAATATCCATGAAGTGTCACTAACAACTTAAGGATCATACCATGATTTTCTTAACATCACCAATACCATTTCAAATTTTATAATACGTTCGATGCCTCATGAACAAGTTAAAAACATCTTCTAGTTTTTAAAAAATTAAATGGGCATAAAATTCCATTTGATATAAGTTCAATTGAATTCTTTTGTAATTTAGGTATTGGGAAACAGGACAAAAAACACCTTTACATATTATGTTATATAAATATTTTCCTATATTAGTAATGGTTTGAGGAACATGGTTTGAATAAAATGAGATCTGAATCTAGAAAACCACAAGTCACATTACTGTGTTTTAACTAGACTGTCAGTTTCCCCAAGGGCAGGGACAGCTCTTCATTTTCCTCTCTCTCTCCACAGCATCCCTTCCAATTATAGGTGCTTAAAAAAGACTTATTAGCTTACTTATTGTTAATTTCCTGCCCATTGGTGTATTCTATTATCCCCACTGAATAAACACCTCTTGCACAGTAGAAAAATTATGAGAAAATTATTTTTAAAGAAGTGACAAATGTATTTCATGAAATCATTCCTTTTACCCAAATGAAAACTGAGAGACAGTTTGATAATTATTGCTGCCAATTATTACTTCAAATCCTTTTTAAAAATCAGTACAGGTTAAACAAACCTTAATCTAGGATAGAATTATGGTGTCTGTTTGCAATATGTGAACTTTAGCTTTCCAAGGGTAAACACCATACAGATGTCTGGTAATCTCCCATGCAACAGTATCTAAAATAAGCCCACACTGTTTTGATTTTGGACGTCTTGTCCATTTAAAATCTAATAAGCAATATGAATTGTAACATCTATACTGTACAGGAAATGTCACATTTTTCAAAACACTTTTTTCCAGACTATCAATTCCATGGCTCTATTCCACTATGCAGTATTATCCTGGAAATACACGGCTTAGACTATTTTTTATTAACTAGGATATTTGTTGGCAAATTTAAAGCCCATATTACTTAAATTATATAGGTACATTTGTAAGTAAGTAAATTTGATGATCAATTGAACACGCACGAAGGATTATAAACACATCATCATTTTGTGTAATTCAAAAACAAAAGGGAAATGAAATGTATCTCCCTTCACCTCTGCCACAGAATTGTTTTGAATTTATTTTTCCTCATTACCATCCTTTATTTAAAAGATAATGCTACTGAACTAGCTTCCAAAGGGCATGGGTCTTGTGTTGGTATTTCCAGTCAACGTAATAAGCTTATGTTGTTCCATTACCCTCCCTTGCCCCAACTCCTGTGTAGTCAGTGGCTTAGATCAGAAGGAAGTTTGGCCTAGGTTAAGGATGTAATACATAGCCATGGAAGAAAGCTAACAGTTCCTACAGACCTGCTACTATTATTTGTCATTAACAAATATTTATTGAGGGGGCAACTATGTGCTTGGTCTTAGGTGCTGGGGATAGAACAGTGAGCAAAAGGGACAAAGCACTTGCAGTCTGGTGAATAAACAAGATCTGACTCCCACTGGCACCATTCCTTGCCAACCAAAATTGAGCCTTGTACAGCCTGTTACCCAAAAATATGGCACTAAATGGTCCCCTAGTGGTATGTGCAAAGGCTAAAATGTCCCTCGGCAGCTACCTATAGCACCTTCAGCAAGAACAGCAACATTTGCCACAAGTTACCTTTCTGGGTAATATAACACATTGTAAGATGCAATTCCTGACATCCCAATCTTATAATCTAGTTGAATCACAAAACAGGTACCCAAGAGTATGACACAGAGGCAGGAACAAAAGTTTTAAATCAGCCAGACTGAGATTTGAATTCTGACTTTACACTTAGTACCTGAAGGCTCTTGTGAAATTTACCTAAGCCTTATCTGAGTCTTAGTTATCTCAGCTGTAAAGGTGAGAATAATGATGCCTACTTTACAGGGCTGTTGTGAGGATTAGAAATGATATGTGCACAATGTGTGAGGTGGGGTACATTTTTAATAATATTGTTGAATTAAATTATTAATTTCTGCTATTAATTAAATCAATAAACAGCAGAAGACTAAGCAGAGAAGACCTTTATGGCAGTTTTTTAAATCAAAAGCTGTGTTTTGTGCATACACACATACTCTGACATACATATGCTCCCTTTGAAATTCCAGATATGCAACTATGCCATGTGTTACACTGTTCCATCACAGTTCCTACTCTGGAGGCAGAAGTTGAGATAATGCATACCACTGGCTCAGAGGTCTTTATGATGGCATAAAACCTCAAATATTTAGAATACCTGAAATACCATAACCAGACACACATTTACAGACTCTAAAAGATCTTCAGTAGATTATGCAAATGGTCCATTTAATACCTACTGATATGAAACAATTCTGATACAATTTTTGACCAACAATACTGTAAAAAATACCACAGTTAGTATTTTATTGCTCCATTAAAATGAACAAGGGGGGGAAAGGTTATTTTTACATGTTCTAATTTTTCCAGAAAAGAACCTAGTAACATTTTTAATTCAGAGGCAAACGCTTAAAACTAAGCGTTTTAATTGCGGCTGGGCACAGTGGCTCATGCCTGTAATCCCAGCACTTTGGGAAGCCGAGGCGGGCGGATCACCAGGTCAGTTGAGATCGAGACCATCCTGGCTAACACGGTGAAATCTCGTCTCTACTAAAAATACAAAAAATTAGCCGGGCATAGTAGCAACTAATTGCTACTCTCTAATAAGTCTGAGACTTGTCATTCAAATTCAACAAGTCTAATGAGGAAAAATAACTAACATTTCCTGAGAGTCTTTTTTTTTTTTTTTTTTTTTGAGACGGAGTCTCACTCTGTCACCCAGGCTGGAGTGCAGTGGCATGATCTCGGCTCACTGCAACCGCCACCTCCCGGGTTCAAACAATCCTCCTGCCTCAGCCTCTTGAGTAGCTAGGATTATAGGCGTGTACCAACAAACCCAGCTAATTTTTATATTTTTGTAGAGATGGGGTTTCACCATGTTAGCCAGGCTAGTCTCGATCTCCTGACCTCAAGTGATCTGCCTGCCTCGGCCTCCCAAAGTGCTGGGATTACAGGCGTGACTGGGAGTCTATTTTGTACCAGCCATCATGCTTGGCAGCATTGATTCATTATCTCAGAAATGTGACCTGTTTTGGAATCAAATTATGTGGCAACTGTCTCAGAGTAAAAAATATCAAGAGTCTCAGGAAGGTAGTTATTTGTTCAATAGAGATTTTATTCTTAATAGATTAGATTGATTTTTGTACCAAAAGGTAATGAGCCTACCAGAGAATGTAGTTGTTTTCACATCACCCTGGGGAATGATACAGTCTGTGAAATTATGCACAAAGAGAAATATTCCTCACCTTAGAACTAAGTGAGTTGCTGCTAGTCATGACTACCCTATTACTATTCCACCTTGATCATTCACTGTGCTCCAACTTGTGAAAATGTACACCTAACTATTCTCTAATGTTGCCAAGATCTTAACCTCCTGCTCCAGCGATTTTCAGGCCATTATTAAATCATCAAAGTAGAGCAGCCAGAACAGCTACCTGAATTCTCTAGTTAATCTGGAGAAGAACCCTGGTTCAAGAGGGGAGTTCATTTGCAACAGAAAGTTGCTTTGTCAACTATGGCTTCAGAAGTTTGACTAGTTTATGTTCCACAAAGAGAATCAAAAGATCAGGGCACTTTAAAATAGCCATTTTTTAAAATGATGCTAATTTATTATGGGGAACATCCTCATATACTACTTGTTAGAAATATAACCAAGATTTTCAGGTTTATTTCCAACAAATAAAATTAAGAAAAAAAATTACAGAAATACTCTATCATCCATATTCAATATTGCAGACAGTATTATGATTTTCAAAGAACTGCCAAGTGAATATACTATAGATTGACAATTCTGTAGAATGTAATTAAGCAGTCAATACTTCATATTTACTATGCACCCTATTTTATATTCGATGTTTTGGAAAATACAAGTGATAATATGCCATAGTACCTCCTCTTAAAAAGCTTATACTCTAATATTCAGGAAGAATACTTTCTGAGACAATTAGAGAATATTAATATTGTAAAGAAATTCTAAAACTTTATATATAAACTATGAATGCTATAGAAGTCTAGAGAAGGAGAAAATTAATGAAAACTCCAGTGGTCAGTATATTTCCATAAAAGAAACAAAACTAGATCTCAAAGCAGTGTTCTTCATCTTTATTGGGCATGAAAGTGGCTCAGGGCCTATTCCTAGGGCTCAGAATCTGCATTTAAACAGCATCTCAAACAGCTGATTCTCATCTAGGTGGTCCATAGTTTGACAAACACTGTGTAAATAATAGGTATGCTTTGTAAGAATTTCTAGAGCAGTGCTTTCCGTCAGAACTTCCTGTGATTATGGAAATGTTCCGTTCCTTCATTATCCAATACAGTAGCCGCTTAGTCACAGGGCTACTGAAGTGGGACTTGTGTGCCTAAGGAATTAAATTTTAAATTTTAATTAAAACAGCCACATTAGCTCTAATAAACAGGGAGAACTTTCTAAGAAAGTGAAATAATGTATATCAAGGTACAGGTAGGAATGCACATGAGCAGGATAGATAGGCAGGAAAGACAACTGATTGGCTTGTCTAGAATAGAGGTTTTATATTAAATTATCATGGGGTCAGATTATGAAGAGCCTTGAAGGGAACTAAGTAAATTCAATTTTATAGCACACACTGCTGGTTGCCTAATCAAGCCATTTCCTGATCTTTTTCAATATTAACCCCACAGTTTGTACATGCTTACCTCAAAAAATAGACCCTTTCCCAGGCTCTGGAGTAAATCTTGAATATTCTACATCAGTTATGGTAATCCCATTTTCCTTGTCAGTGACTGGCTGACGCATGACCATACAGTGAAGTCTCACTAAGATTTGGGACATCAATGTGTGTAGGTAAATTCTTTTAAAAGCATTTAGCCTGAACATAAAGAGCCTTTTTCTGACTCCAGTCAAAGCTGTGTGAGGGTATGAGTCGTGTGTGCTGCAAATATCTTGGGATAGTGAAAAGACAAGCTGGAAGACAAACACCAACAAGCTGAGGATGGCGGAGAATGACCAAAAGAATCTTGGTTCTTGAGGACATTGTCAAGCACCCAAATTAACCCAAGAATTGCAGTGCCCTTCCTGCCACCCTGAGAAATGTTGGTGATATAACCAACTCATTACTGTTTAATACCTTTAGTTTTTTGTGCTTTTTTTACATGCAGCTGACAGTGTAAGACTGGGGTGTTAATGTTTAAGCGTTTCCCACCCTTTGGGAAACGCTAAGGGAGGCAACTGGTACCTATAAAAGACATTTGATCATTTGTAGAATGATACAAAACAATGTTCAAGGATTAAAAATGATACGCGTGAAAAACAGAAAGTAGAGTCATGCAGACCAGCTTAAAAAGCCCAAAAGCGGCTGGGCATGGTGGCTCATGTGTGTAATCCAGCATTTTGGGAGGCCCAGGTGGGCTGATCACCTGAGGAAAGGAGTTCGAGACCAGCCTGGCCAACATGGTGAAACCCTGTCTGTACTAAAAATACAAAAATTAGCTGGGTGTGATGAAGTGTGCCTGTAATCCCAGCTATTCGGGAGGCTGAGACAGGAGAATCGCTTGAACCCGGGAGGTGGAAGCTGCAATGAGTCAAGATCGTACCACTGCACTCCAGCCTGGGAGACAGAGCGAGACTCTCTAGCAAAAAAAAAAAAAAAAAAAAAAAAAATATGCCTGAAAGCCTGGACAGCAAAGTGACACCCTATCTCCACAGAAAGTTTTTGAAATTAACCAGGCATAGTGGTACACACCTGTAGTCCCAGCTACTCTGAAGGCTGAGGCAGGAGGATCCTTTGAGCCCAGGAGTTCGAGGCTGCAGTGAGCTATGATTGTGCCACTGCACTCCAGCCTAGGTGACACAGAAAGATCCTAACTCTAAGGGGAAAAAAAAAAAAAAAAAAAGCCTGGAAGTCAAAGTTACCAAAAGATTTGGGAAATATTAGGGAAATCATATTAGCAGTATGTAAAATCATTAATGCATAGAGATAAATACTTGAAGCAGAACTGCAATAACAGTTCACTTTGTAAGGACGGTAGAATTACAAGTAATGTTTCTTTTTCTGATTTGTTAATATCATTCTCACATGCTACTATTTCTATTTAAAATCTAAACACATTACATTTAATTTCTCTAAATGTGGTATATTCGGTTTTTGAAAATGAGAAAAAATCCTTGAAATAAGTGAGCACGGTGGCTCACACCTATAATTCCAGCACTCTGGGAGGCCAAGGCGGGTGGATCACCTGAGGTCAGGAGTTCGAGGCCAGCCTGGCCAACACGGTGAAACCTCAACTCTACTAAAAATACAAAAATTAGCCAGGCATGGTGGCACATGCCTGTAATCCCAGCTACTAAGGAGGCTGGGATTAGAATCACTTGAACCCGGTAGGTGGAGGTTGCGGTGAACCGAGATCGTGCCATTGCATTCCAGCCTGGGCGACAGAGCAAGACTCCATCTCAAAAAAAAAAAAAAAAAAAAATTCTTGAAATATGTTTTCTCTATATTAGCTGCAATTACAAGTATAAGAAGGCACTGTGAAACAATATGGTAAACCAGAAAACATGCAGGACTAGTTTAGTGATCTTGGGCAAGTCAAGTAAACCCTGCAGTGTTTTCCTCTCAGGGTAGATTGATCTATGGCTCTAAAATCCAACAAAGCTCTGTCTTAAAACAGAAGGAAACCCTTTTGAATACAAATGGGCAACTGATATCAAAATTAAATTTTCTAAGCTCTGTTCTCATAATTTGGCTTATGAGCTAAGACTGAAATAAAATAAAAGTCAATCTCCCTCAAATTATCTGAGCAAACAGGAAACCCTGGGAAATTATGTTTTATAGCTTTAATAAAACTTTCTTTTTTGGGGGGTGGGGAGGGACAGTCTCACTCTGTCACCCAGGCTGGAGTGCAGTGGTGCTCACTGCAACCTCCGCCTCCCGGGTTCAAGCGATTCTCATGCCTCAGCCTCCTGAGTAGCTGGGATTACAGGCACCCGCCATGACGCCCAGCTAATTTTTGTATTTTTAGTAGAGACAGGGTTTTGCCATGTTGGCCAGGCTGGTTTTGAACTCCTGATCTCAGGTGATCCACCCACCTCGGCCTCCCAAAGTGCTAGGATTACAAGCTTGAGCCACTGTGCCCGGCCACTTTTAACTTTTTTTTTTTTTTTTTTTCAGATGGAGTTTCACTCTTGTTGCCCAGGCTGGAGTGCAATGGTGCGATCTCGGCTCACCGCAACCTCCGCCTCCCTGGTTCAAGCGATTTTGTTGCCTCAGCCTCCCGAGTAGCTGGGATTACAGGCATGCGCCACCATACCAGGCTAGTTTTGTATTTTTAGTGGAGACGGGGTTTCTCCATGTTGGTTAGGCTGGTCTCGAACTCCCGACCTCAGGTGATCCATCCACCTCAGCCTCCCAAAGTGCTGGGATTACAGGCATAAGCCACTGCACCCGGACTAATATAACTTTCAAAACAAATGTTTCTGCACAGATTTTTCAAAGAACAAATAAACTACTTCTGGAAATTTTAATGTTGATTAAAGTTCTATAGTAATATCAAGTAGGTATCAAGTGATAGTTTACTATTATTTGTAACTTGCATTTCTAAACAACTAATAAGGCTAAGCATTTTTCATACTTATTGACCATTTGGAATAGTGGTTCTGTGAATAGCTAGTGACAATGTTTGCAAAATACTTTAAAATTATGTTTCATAAAATATTTTATTACCATTTTATAAGAGTTCCTTATAAACTAGAGATGGTAATCCTTTTTTTTTTTTTTTTTTGAGATGGAGTCTCACTCTGCCTCCCAGGCTAGAGTGCACTGGCACAATCCCAGCTCACTGCAACCTCTGCCTCCTCGGTTCAAGCGATTCTCCTGCCTCAGCCTCCTGAGTAGCTGGGATTACAGGCATGCGCCACCATGCCCAGCTAATCTTTGTATTTTTAGTACAGACTGGGTTTCACCATGTTGGTCAGGCTAGTCTTGTACTCCTGACCTTGTGATCTGCCCACCTTGGCCTTCCAAAGTGCTGAGATTGCAGGTGTGAGCCACCGTGCCCAGCCGAGATGATAATCTTTTATTTGCATATGGTACAGATTTTTTTCCCCAATCTATCATATGTCTATGGCATTTATTTATGGTTCTTGCTTTACAAAAATGTTTTTAAATTGTGTTATCATATGTCTATCTTTTAATATATACCTCTTGTTTCTTGTTTGGCTTAAATAAATGCCCTTCAATGAAGTAATGGTTGTTTAACTGTGGAATACAGATGCTATAGATTATTTTTATAGGATATTGTATAATAATTTAAAAGAATAAAGACAAGCTATACCAGTTAACTTAGAGTTATGTTCCTTGTGTTTTATTGAATATTAGGTGAAAATTAGAAAGATATGATAGCACATATACAGTACTAAAATATATATAAGGGTACATGATCATGGAAAAAGTTGTAACAACATAAATAGATGAGTGACATTGTTGGAGTGAAAAGAAAGGGGAAAGGGAAAAGACAGCCCTCAAATTTTTAAAAAAGAAGTAACTACAGTTTTCGTTTGTTTGTTTGTTTTTAGAGATAGAGCCTCATTACATTGCCCAGGCTAGTCTCGAACTCCTGGCTTCAAGTGCTCTTCCTCCCACTTTGGCCTCCCAAAGCACTAGGATTACAGACATGAGCCACTGTGCCTGGCCTACAAGTTTTTTAAAAAGCATAATATGATCCTATTCATGTAAGATTATTAATATTGATTATATATAAATATGCATGGAGATGCATAAAAGAATGGCTACCAAAATGTTGATGATGTTTGACTTAGCGTGGTTAGATTTCAAGGAGAGAAAAGGAAGAAGAAAGGAAACAAGAGGAAAAGAAAGAAAACATGAGAAAAAAACCAAAGAGATATAAATGTGCCCTTTCCAAAAAATAGAACAGACTGTATGGGTGAGAGGCAGAACTCTCAAGTGAAAAGGTTCCCCCACCCTCTGATGTGGATACAAGTTATGGTAACAGACTCAGAGTTCCCTGAATACCCCAAACAGATATACATGTTAACTTATATTAGTGTCCATTTAAATTGGTTTAAAAATACAGAGAGATATTATACCAATTACATCTTCTCTTCACACTAACCTATACAGGCAGAGGTGACAACTTCAAGTGCATCTGCTCTAAAAATAACTAAAATTACAGAATGATACATTTGAGTAGTAGTTCTAAGACTTATGTCCATAAAAACCACCTGGGAAGACACTTAAAATGCACATTCATCCTCAGACTATGGCAGAACATTTTTTTTAAATGCACATTCATGGGTCCCACCCTAGAAATTCTTATTAGTGGGTCTAGTGATCAATAATCCGTATTTAACAAGCACCCCAGGCAAATGTGGCAGGAGGAATTGACAGATCACGCTAAAGAACAGTGAATTTCAGGATGTTTGATCTCTTTACAAACTGATTAACCAAAGAATCTGAGAGTGTGGTGCACTAGAGAGAACAAAGAATTTGAAGTAAAAAGATCTAGATTACCTCTCTGACCTAATCCCCCACTCGCTCCCTCGCTTACCTCTCCCCATCTGCTCCCAGGCCTCCTAGTTGCCCCTCTAACAACAAGCTGAAACCCTCTTCCCCTAACCTTTCCAGTGGCTCAGTCCCTCACCTCTTTGTGTCTTCACTCAAGTCACTTCTCAATGACACCCGTAGAAAATTGCAACCTCCAGCTTACTTTCTAATTCCCCTTTCTGCTCTACTTTTCTCTCTGGCACTTCTCACTACCTAAAAAACATCATATTTTCCTCAATTTCTTTTGTTCATTGTTTGATTCTCCTGAGAACAGAGATATTTGTCACTTTTTTTTTTTTTTTTAAAGACAGAGTTTTGCTCTTGTTGCCAGGCTGGAGTGCAATGGCGCAATCTCAGCTCACCGCAACTTCCGCCTCCGGAGTTCAAATGATTCTCCTGCCTCAGCCTCCCAAGTAGCTGGGATTACAGGCATACACCACGATGCCTGGCTAATTTTGTATTTTTTTTTTTAGTAGAGACAGGGTTTCACCATGTTGGCCAGGCTGGTCTCAAACTCCTGACCTCAGGTGATCCACCGACCTTGGTCTCCCAAAGTGCTGAGATTACAGGCATGAGCCACCACACCCGGCCAGATATCTCTCACTTTTCTTCCCTGCAGCATCCCCAGCACTTAACAACAGTACCTGGACAGAGGTCAGATTTAACTTGGCCAAGATAAAACAACTGAAGCTTGAGCAATTCAGTGATAGAAGGCAGATACCACTAGTAAGCAGACAGTTTGTTAATAAAGATTCCTGGGTCCTGCCAGAGATTCTGATTCAGTAAGCTCGGGATGGGGCCTGAGATTTTGAATATCTAACAAGAATCCAGCTGATACGGATGTTATTTAGAGAGTTCTCAAGTGCCTCTGCTCATGTTTTAGTGAAAGTCAACCCATCCTACTATAAGAGCTGTAGGCTAAAAAGGGAAAGCTCTGTCATACTCATGTGCGTTTGTGACAAGAGAAAAAGTGATCCCCAAACCCCTTGTAACTAAGTTATCTACCTAAATAAAAAAAAAAAGATTCTACAATAGAAATAGTTTCACGACATATGTAACACTATTTTCATAGATATTTACTACAACTTGATTTTTAATAACATGGTGTTTAGGTGGTTTCTAATGTTTTTACTTTTATAAATAATGTTTCAAGTGATATTTTTGCTATATGCCTTTGTGCATTTGTCTAATTGTTTTTTTCTAACAAATTCCAAAAAGGGAAATTTCCAAATCAAAGAGTTTAGACCAGCACTGTCCAACAGAACTTTCTCCAGTGATGGAAATGTTCTATATCTACACAGTCCAACATGGCAGCCACCAGCCATGAGCAGCTATTGAGTGCTTGAAATGTAACCAGTATAACTGAGAGACTGAATCTTTGGTTGTATATAATGTTAACTAATTTACATTTAAATAGCCACATGTGGCTAGAGGCTACCATATTGGACAAGGCAGGTATAGACATTTAAAGTCTTGAAACATAATGCCAAATTACTCCCCAGAAAAGTTGTAATCATTTGCCATCAGTCTTAGTATAAGAACAACCATTTATTTATCCAATTGCCAACATTAGATTTTATCAATCTATTGAATCTTTGTAATCTGAAAGTTAAAAAGTGTCTGTGTGATTTTAATATACATTTCTTTGATTATTAATAATGTTGAATGGGATTGTTTCTTCTGTCATCACACTCATTCAAATGCAAATATGTTCACCCATATTATTTAACTCAGGGGTTGGAAGTTATCTGGCTTCCAGATTATTAGGTCCATGTGTTTTCTTTAAAATGTATTGCCAACATTTAAATTCACATAAAAATGTGAATTTCTAGCTTCACCTGAAAAATCAAATGGCCTAGCAACAGTGGCCCACAACCCCAAAAGGCAACAATCAGTGGAGCCTTAGAAACTCTGCCACCCTCAGACTTTCTTGTCCACCAGAACTCATCACCTCTATTACTTTACAAGTGTCTTGCTTCACAACTCAGGTTTACTGCTTGGCCCCTCCACACATCTGAGTTTACAATTCCTACCTGAATTAAATTTAGAGAGATTAAAAGACAAATAGCAGCTAATAATAGCTAATTTTCATTCCATGGTTAGCATGCAAAAATGATTTATGATATTTCTGGATTATTTTATAACTAATATTTAACTATTAGGAGAATACTTTTTTAGTGGGCGCTGAGGTTTCTTACTCCCTAGAACAGTGCTTCAGTATCAGAAGGGTTGTTAAAATGCAGATTGGTAGGCCTTATCCCCAGAATTTCTGATTCAACAGGTCAGAGTGGACCCCAAGAATCTGCATGTAACCTCAAGCTCTAAGTGCAACTCTACATCAAGATGAGGTTTTCTCAAAGATATGGACACTCCTAGAAGGGTAGTGACATTATGTAATTTTGACAACATAATACGAATTTGTAGATCCTTTTTTCTAAAATATGTCTACATTTATTATTTCATTTTATCTTCAAAATAAACCTATCCAGAAGGTTGGTAATTAGAGCAGTAATTGTTAATCTCATTTTACAGAAGAAAAGTAAAGCACAGGAGTTAAGAAAGTCTCCTAAGCACACAAAAAGTTGGAAGAGCCGTAACAAGCAGGTCTCCTCCTAACTCCTAACCTTGGTAATATAGGCAAACACGGGAATACAGGACACAACTGGTGCTTGCTTCTGCAGACTGGCACCATAAAAACAGAACTATGACCAGGAACAGAGAAGACAATACAAGATATAGTTCACAGCAACAAACATTTATCAAGTGATTATGTGTTAATCTATGCTAACATGGCTACAGTCCCTACTGTAGGGACTGCTGAAGATACTCATAAAGCATAGGGAAAAATAAAAATAAAATCTGAAACCACAACCTTGAAAAGATAGTGAATTCTCTACATCATAGGCAGGTCAAAAACAACTGCACTGAAGGGTGGGGTGGTAGGGGCAAATACAGAGTTGGGTAGAAGAGAAGAGTCACTGTGGGACTCCACATCTGGACTTGAAGGAGTTGCTGTCACCAGTCAAGAATGGGAGGGAAGAAAGTGTACACAATAGGGAGCCCTCCTGGGGCTCAACAGCACAAAGAGCTGCTGTTATCCATGTTGGGTGTATATTTGCCAAAAATATCAGGGATGCTGGAACTCCAGAACTCACAAGGGCATGCTTTTTGTAGTCTAAATTACCTTGACTATATAAGAACTCAAGTCAGTGGGCATAACTTCATTATCCATTTGTAGCCAAAAGATAACATGATTGGAGATCATAAATTTTCTCTCTGATTTTTCCTCAAGTTTTGAGAAGCATTCCTAGTAAAATTCCAGCAAACTGTGATCACAATACTAACCACAAATCAGCTCTTCAAGGAAGATTGCATTTTCACTTAAATATCGTTTATATCTTAGTTAACAGCTACTTTTCTAAGAGTTAAATAATAATAATAGCTAATAAATATTACCATAGACTGAAAATACAAGAAAACTACAATTAGTTTGAAAAAAGTCTATTGGAAAATTTGGTTCACTATTCATTAGTGGTGTAACTGACCACCCCTATATGTCTAGCTTATGGTACAGCTCAAAATGACTGAGGTAATGAAATTTCCATCACTCAGTTTGGAAAACTATAGCAATATGGCGGAAAAAACTATCCCTCACTTTGTATAAGACTAAAGAAATGCAAAGCAAAAGAAAGGTATAAAATGTTACACTGATTAAATTAGTAACAATAATATGTTTTAAGATAACATAAGCACACACATAGATTGTTAATGACAGTATAAATTTATATAGTCCTTTTAGAAAGTAATGTGGAAATTACTGTAAATCTAGAAATTTCCTAATAAAAATAAGAGCTAACATTTATGTGTTTCATGTGTTATTGCTTTTTATCTTAACTTTAAAGAACTATTAATATAACCCATTTTACATCTTAGTAAGCTAAAGTTCTGAGAAAATAAATTACTTGTCCAATATTGCCAATGAGTACTAGAGCTAGGTTTAAACCCACAACCTCTAATTTTAGAACCCACCCATTTACAACTACATTATACTATCCCTCAAGAAAAAAAAGATCCTAAGGAAGTTAAGGGAAAAAGAAGAAAAGAAAAGAAATAAAGTTACATGTATAAGAATAGGCATTATAGGCCAGGCATGGTGGCTCACGCCTGTAATCCCAGCACTTTGGGAGGCTGAGGCGGGCAGATCACGAGGTCGAGATCGATGAGATCGAGACCATCCTGCAACACAGTGAAACCCCATCTCTACTAAAAATACAAAAAATTAGCCAGGCGTGGTGGCAGGCGCCTGTAGTCACAGCTGCTAGGGAGGCTGAGGCAGGAGAATGGCGTGAACCCGGAAGGCGGAGCTTGCAGTGAGTGGAGATCGCACCACTGCACTCCAGCCTGGGTGGCAAAGCAAGACTTCGTCTCAAACAAAACAAAACAAAACAAAACAAAACAAAACAAAAAAAGAATAGGCATTACATTTTTTATGCTGCAAAATCAAAAACAGGAAGGCTTAAGTTAATAATGAACATCCATTGCATAAACTTTTATAAAATTATTGTAAATAATGGGAAGTAAGCTATAGAAAAAATGTTTATAAAAAACAGGGTGAAAATTATCTGCAATATAAAACATTTGTAAAAATATTCATTCATATGGCAAGATTGGGAAGGGAGCTGGAAAAAATAAAAACCATTACCATTTTGAAGAATTTCACTACTGGTATTGAATTTTCTTTTGTTTCTGTCAGCTTCATTAATCAATCAATATTACTCTAAGTACCCTTACAAATATATTCTTCTAGTTCTTATTCTTAGGATCCCAAACAATTCCTACAGCGAATTTATAATTTATATTAGACTTATTCAAAATAATTACATATGTTTCATCAGCGGTGCTTTTAGAAAGCTTTAGCTTTCAGTATGAGATCTCTATCTTAACATCAACACTTTTTGCAATCATCGCTTACAGTGTACCTTTGAAATCCCTTAATTTAGACCATACGCAGTCACTAAAATCAGCTAATTTTTACTTTCACAACCTTACAATCACTCCTTAACTCCTGTCCCCATCATTAGCCCAAAGGCTGCAGGTACTTTACAAATTAGAAGTTTCCTAATAAGAACATACTCCCTAGGTGAATATTTATCAAGTAACTAAAATATCTTAGCTATAAGGGATGTTCATAATCTAAACACTTCAGAGAAGTATAAATTAAATTATGTCAAGTCTCTTTCAAGTAGGTAAAGTTAATTTCCACTTTACCAAAAAGAAGAGTTTGGTAAGAGTAATTTTCCTAAAAATGACACTGTGGGCTGCGAGGAGAATTCACTCTCCTTAGCCACACAAGGTGACATGAGAGGCCCTCAGCCCGGTGTTTGGCCTCTATCAGCAACATAAACACACATTCTGTGGGTAAGGAGAGTAGCTGTTCTCCAATGACATCAAACTCGTAAGAGCAGGGATATAGTTTAAACATCTCTAACCTCCTCTTCATGAATCCACCATTCAGGAATGTTTTTTGTCGCCCCACTGTCTAACATCCACAGTCCAATGGTTATCTTTAGCCAGTTTTAGGACAACTATTTTAATCGTAGAACTCTGGAGTTCGAAGGACCCTTAAAAATCACATAGTTCAATTCCTTTATCTAACTGAGTGGGAAACAAAGTTTTCCAAAAAAAAGTTACGTCGTGTGGCGGGTTTGTGGCAAATCCAGGCCTAGAATTAAGAGATGCAACCAAACATCTGAAACTCGGCCTTCGTATTTATCCTTTACCACTAACATCTTTATATTATGTCATGTCAATGGGAGTATACACACGCCCTTTCAGTGTTTTCAGATACACACTGCGGTAGACAAAGTAAACTACTACAGTTCTCATTCTCTACTTCATAAAGAATTCCAAAATGGAGGAAAAATTCAATAAAGATTGCAAAAACCAGTGTAGGGAAACTGGTGTGTGTGCAGGAGGAGATATTAGTTTAATAGTTTTGCTTTCCACTGCATACTGTTCTAAGATTTTTAGCCCTCTAACTGATCTTCAAGGTAATAATTGTCCACATTTGGCTAAATAATCTCATGTCATCATGAGTGGGTATCAAGTTAATGGTCATCACCACGAATATATAGTTCAGTCTTATATTCAATCCCTTTCATCATCTATAATGTAATTCCATTTTAATAGACTTACGGAAAGATATACAAAAAATATACAACAGTGGCTGCCTCTGAGAAGGATGAAGGCTTGTATGGAGGAGAGGAAAGAGGGCTTAATTTACACTGTATACTCTTCACTGTTGTTTGAAATGTTTACCCTACTTATATATTCATTCATTAAACATTTTCCTCTTGAAATACATACCTATATGCATGTAACTGTATTACTAAATATTTCAACAATTTAATTTTTTCTCTTTTAAATAATTTTTCAGTATCATTCACAAAACCTCCTAGAAAATTTCAGCAAAGAGAAGAAACAACACAGTCACAACACTCAAAGCAGAGTTCCAGGATTTAAAGTCTAAGAACATATATAGATGAATGAGAGGTTTTATTAAGGGGGACTGAGTTCAAAAACCTTTTGTGGGAAAGCTCTTCCCTGTATTTAAACGGCTAGGTTTAAAAATGTGATTTAAGCAGGGATTCCCGCCTCGAGGCGGGGGGAGGCGGAAAAAAACACCTTACGGTGTGAAAAGCAGAAATTAAAATGTGGTTTCTATCCTCTCAGCCGGGGCCAGAGGAGTGGGTGGGGAGGATAAGGACCTTGGAACCGTCACGTTCACCGGAGAAAGGGGCAAGACTGAGGAGTTTCTCCAGGACCCGCAGCCTCGGTTAGAGGCAGCGGCAGTTCCGGGCAAACGAGTCGCGTTCGGGGACGTTCCTTGGACTCATGTAACTGAGAAACCCCACGCACTGAATCTCCACATGGAGTTTCCTCTTAATGGAGCTGGGAAGAGGGACGGCGGGAATGGATTTCCTTTAACGAGTCTCCCTCACCCTCCCCGGCCAGGGCGCACCTCACTCGCTGTCTGCTTGTGTCAGGGTCAGCTGTCAACACAACTCTTTGTGTCTCATTCGGAATAAGAGTGGTCCTCAGCCATGCACAGAAAAATGGACATGCTGGCCGGAAGACACGCGCGCCCGCTCGTGACGAAGTGACATTTGGTGTTGAGGAAAAAAACCCACAGACGCCGAGCGAGCGCCCAGCCACCTCTGGACGTTCTCAACTTTCCCAGGCTGAACTCCATCCATCCTCTCCCCGCCACCTCCGCGGCGCCCTACCTGTCGCCCGCCCGCCTGCCCGGCACCCCCTCACTGCCCCTGGGCTCGGGGAGACGAACCAGGTGCCCCCTCGCCGCCTCCGCCGGGGGACCCCGCGCTACTCGGCGCGCCGCAGCTCCCTCGTCCCACCCCCGGGCCGTCTCGCTCCCGCCACAAAGGCAGCGAGTAGAGCCCGGTGACAGGCCTTCGGCCTCTGGGCGCGGACAGCACGGCCGGGTCCCTTCGGTGGGCGACGCGAGGCGGCAGGGAAGGCAGGCACGGCTCCCAGGTTGGCACTGGCGCTCCCTCGCCACCCGCACGCGCTCCGCTCACACCCCCGCTGAGCTTCCCATCCCTCCGGAAAAGTCCGCTGCGGCGCTTCCCCGCGCGGCCAGGGCGTCCAGCCCGCCAAAGGGCAGCTCCTGCCGGTCACAGGCGAGCTCCCGCGCCCGGTTCGCGACCTCTCACCTCCTGCCCGCGCCCCGGAGTCCCCGCGGCCGCTCACCTGGCCCTAGCGGGGCGCGAGGGCAGAGGACCAGGGGGTGGCCCTCGGCTCGGCCGGGCTGGTCTCCCCACCCCCAGTGCCGTTCCCTGCGCCGCGCTGCGCTCCGCTGCTCCGGCCGCCCGACTCCGAGGTGCTAGCGCCGCCGGCGGCTGGCGTCTCTCTGGCAGGCGCGCGGTCCGCGCGCTCAGTTCCCCGGGGCGGAGCGAGGCGGCGGCCGCCGCAGCCGGAGGCGGATTCCTCAGGTGCTGCCCCTCCCGCCCGCCCTGGCCTCCGCAGCGGGGACCCCCGCGCCCCCTCCCCCCGCCCCGCCTCGCGCCTTCCCGCTGCCTCGGCGTCCGCGAGTGGCTTTTGGGGGTCCCTCGCCCTCTGTGAGGGTGGTGGGCGCGCATTTCTCCCCTACCCCCCTCCAACGACGCCCCCCGCCCAGCCTGTGGAGCCCTCGATGCGCGGTCCTCACGCCTCCATTCCCAAACCCCGCCGCACAGACGAACGCGCAGCCCCGCGGGGGTGTACAGGGGGTCGTGCGGGGGGGGGGTCTTCTGTGAGGGAGGGCTGCACCCCAGTGTGCTGACGCGCGAAGCCAGGAGGAAAAATTATTTCCCCTGGAGCCCGCGTTCATTCAGCCTGCTCTCGCCTCTGCGCAATTGCTTTCTCTGTTCACTGGACGGCGGCTGAAGAGCCCCAAGCGTGAACTCGGCCTGGGCAGTGGTGGCTCGGAAACCCTTGGCCTTTTGCATGAAGGGGGTAGGGTGGGGGCAGGGCGCGGACAAAACCAAACAAACCCGGGAGCTCCGGGCCCAAGCCGACTTTTGCACCTCCCGGAGGAGCACGCCCTCCGGCCCCGGGCCCCGGCTCGTCGGTAGCCTCCCGGGACCACGGGGACGGCTCCACCCCAGGGCAGCCGCGTCCAGCTGGCCCTGGGCCTTGACGGGTGCTGCGGGGAAAAGGTTCTTGAGAGATGCTGCGGCCCGGTAGAGAGATTTAGCTCCACTTTTCACAGCTGGAGGCTTTTGTTATTAGAGATGCGGCTCCATTTTTAAAACTAATTGTTGCCACAGATAGGCGACTACATCTCTGGAAGCAGCAGCTCCATGCTGGATGTGGTGGAAGAATCGAGGTAAGGAAAGGCTGATGTATTTTGAGTGCCTTTAGTGCAGTACAGCCCGGGGGAGCTCCCCGTGTGCGTGGGAGTGGGGAGGCAGCCGCGGCGCCCAGGCCCGGGTGGGTTGGAATCATTGTCAAGTGATAGGTACCATTTAAAGACATTGTCAATTAAACTAGTTCTCATACGATGTCCCAGTACTTTTGTTTGCTTGTCTTGCATTTTTCTTTTTTGCCATATCCGAAATACATTTTTTTCTTTCCTGTCACTTTTGATCCATGCAGAGGGAATGGACTGGAAGTTTGGAATCACCGGAAAATAACAAGGCATAGCTAAGCTGTGACTAGCAAGATAAACGATTTGTTCGAGGTTTGATTGTCCTTTCCCTCCTCCACTCGGAAGACATAGTTGTCTTTTTTTAAATCATGTTTTGTACCGAAATATTTTTATTTTATAATTGAATCCCTGTTGTTGGGCCTTTAAAAACCCATAGAAACATTGTTATGTGCCACGAAGGTGGGAAACACGGCTTTCTCAGTCATTGCTGTACTCCCACAATTCTGGGTCATGCACACAATACAGGTTTAGTAAATAAAATCCGTATGTTTTTGGCCCCACGCGGTGGCTCATGTCTGTAGTCCCAGCGCTTTTAGCCTGGGTGACAGAGACCCTGACTCAAGAGTGTGTGTGTGTGTGTGTGTGTGTGTGTGTGTGCGCGCGCGCGCGCGGGCGGGCTTTAAAATAACTACAACAGAAAGGTGCAGATGATTAGCAATAGCTAAAAGAATCCAAAGTCACTTAGTAAACTCATCATGAGAACTGGCCATACACGTGGAAAAGACAGTGCTGTAGAAACTGAAATTTTAAGTTCACCTGGTGAATATAAACTAAGCTCATAGAAGTTAAAGCAGGTGAGAATCTTTTGAAAAACTCAACCCATCACAAGGTCTGTAGAGTGTGTGGGGGTTGGGCAGAAGCAAAACACCTTCCAATTTAAAGATAAGGACACTGAACAAGGAGCCGCTTTAAAGTAAAACCACCAGTGCAGTTTTCTCTCTTAGTGCAAGGACCATTTGTTGAGTGCCAGGTACACTAGACCCTAGAAATGTGAAAGCAAATCTGGCAGTCACTCAAGGACCATAGTCTAATATTACAGGACTCTGGTATTCATTCTTCATCCATTCAACAGATATTGAGCACCTAATGTGAGTTAGACGGCACAATATATCAGTAGTAGTGGTGATTTGTCAGTAAACAAGGCAAGTCCCTAACAAGGGTAAAAGTGAGAGTAATCTATATATCCTGGTAGATTGAAAAGAGTTCAATGCCATCTTCATTAGATAACAAACTCCCAGCCGGGTACAGTGTCTCACGCCTGTAATCCCAGCCCTTTGGAGGCCAAGGCAGGTGGAACACTTGAGGTCAGGAGTTCGAGACCAGCCTGACCAACATGGTGAAACCCCATCTCTACTAAAAATGCAAAATTAGCTAGGTGTTGGTGGCACACACCTGTATTCTCAGCTACTTGGGAGGCTGAGGCAGGAGAATCGCTTGAATCCTGGAGGCGGAGGTTGGAGTGAGCCAAATTGCGCCATTGCACCCCCAGCCTGGGCAACAAGAACAAAATTCCGACTCAAAAAAAAAAAAAAAGATTTCACACTCCTGTGTCCTGAATTTGTGTTTCTGCCTTGTCTTCCCTTTGGGATTTCTATGTCCCTCAGCATGCCCAGTAGACCTCCATAATTATAAAAGATGATAGGGTTCAGAGTGAACATTCTGAAAAAAGGTCCCATAGTTTTGAATCCTGACTCCAGCCTGGTGACAGAGTGAGACTATGTCTCAAAAAGAAAAAAAAAAAAAGAAGATGCATTAGTGCCTGAAACACTTTTTTTTTTTTTTTTTTTTTTTTTTTTTTTTTTGAGACAGAGTTTTGCTCTTGTTGCCCAGGCTGGAGTGTAGTGGCATGAACTCGGTTCACTGCAACCTCTGCCTCCCAGGTTCAAGCGATTCTCCTGCCTCAGCCTCCTGAGTAGCTGGGATTACAGGTGCCCGCCACCACGCCTGGCTAATTTTTTGTATTTTTAGTAGAGACGGGGTTTCGCCATGTTGGCAGGCTGGTTTCAAACTCCTGACCTCTGGTGATCTGCTCGCCTCAGCCTCCCAAAGTGCTGGGATTACAGGTATGAGCCACCATGCCCAGCCCGGAACACTATTAAATGTTGACTGTGATCATTGCCTGTGCATCCCTCCACTCTCTCCCATAACAGTGATTCCCAAGTGTTTCTACATAGATACGCTGCCTTAAAACCCTAAATTTAGTGAAAAATATGAGACTCACAACAGAGTTCATACATAAATGGCAGAATCCTTCTGGGTAGTTACTGTGACGATCCTTCACCTTGGCAGTGGAGGAAGTTCTATGATTACATCCTGGTTCTGCTCTCAAGGATGAACACCACTTTGCATTTATTTCTGTGGCCCTTGGCTCCACACTCTGGAATATTCTTCCTTGTTCATTATTCTCCATGACCATATCTGAAGTGCAACTAGGAAGTAAGCCCTCCAGAGACTTCACAGTTTTCACAGCGCATTTCCTGCTGGTATAAGTTTGGAGTCCTGAGGGCTCATTCATACTTAAGGATTTTGTTTTGTTTTTGGTTTTGTTTGTTTGTTTTTCCTTTTTGTGGACAACGAGGTCTTGCTATGTTGCCCAGGCAGGTCTCAAACTTCTGGGCTCAAGCCATCCTCCAGTCTCTGCCTCCCTAAGTGCTGGGATTATAGGCATAAGCCACGACTCCTGGCCTACATGTAAGGCATTTTAAAGGCCAGGTTTATAGCTGATTTGACCTTACGGTTTTCTTAGACACTTAGTAGACTATTCTCTTCCTATGAGTTCCATGGACCAGTAATCATACCCAAAGTTCTTTCCTGGGCAAAGCTGCAAATACTTTATTTCTTTGCTTCCTCACTGTGTTTCCCTTTCTCTCAATTTAAGATCTGAGGCTTAGTGGCTCAGCATACGCATGCATTATAAGAATTCACCTTCTGGCCGGGCGCGGTAGCTCACGCCTGTAATCCCAGCACTTTGGGAGGCCGAGGCGGGCCGATCACAACGTCAGGAGATTGAGACCATCCCGGCTAACATGGTGAAACCCCGTCTCTACTAAAAATATAAAAAATTAGCCAGGCGTGGTGGTGGGCGCCTGTAGTCCCAGCTGCTCAGGAGGCTGAGGCAGGAGAATGGCGTGAACTCGGGGGCAGAGCTTGCAGTGAGCCGAGATCATGCCACTGCAGTCCAGCCTGGGTGACAGAGTGAGACTCCGTCTCAAAAAAAAAAAAAAAAGAATTCACCTTCTACTAGAAAGGGTGCTACTACTTTCCCACTCAAAGCCAATTCACTGGAAAGGAAAACCAACCTACCACCATCTTCGTCAGAGGGGAAGATACACTGTGGGGAACCGAACAAAGGTCTCTCTAATTCCAGATCGGATGCCAGTTACCAATGCTGAATGATCTAGATCTTCACTTAGAAATATGAGCAGATAAAAAATATCACCAATCATAAGGAGAGAATCTACCATTTGAAAGAAGAGGACCAAATGAGAGCAAATATCACCCACTAAAATGGAGTTAATGCAGGAAATAAGACAAAACTTTTTTAAAAATCTTGTTCATGTTCTTAGTGAAATTTAAAGAGTAACAAGCAGGTTGTGAAAATGAAGCAATCTGAAAACCAGAATGATGTTGGAAATTAAACAGTAGATGACTATTTAAGTTGAAAAAACTAAGCAGTTAATAGAAAAAATGGATACTGCTGAAAACTGAATTAGTAAATTATAAGACCATCTCAATATTTCCAGAGTACAGAGCAAAAAGATGAAGAAATTGAAATTGTGAAAGAAAAAATAAAAGAGAAAAAATAAATTCAGGGGAGCTACTATTGATATGTTGGAAGCTTGAAAAATAAAATGGAGCACATGATATACACTATAACTGCAAAACATCATTAAAAGAAATGAAAGAAAACCTAAGTAAATGGAAAGACATCCTGTGTTACTGGATTTAAAGACCTAACATTGTTAAGATGGCAGTAATCTCCAGGTTGATCTACAGATGCAATATAATCTCTATCAAATTCCATTTGCCTGTCTTGTAGAAATTGATAAGCTGATCCTATAATTCATATGGAAATGCAAGGGATCAAAAATAGCCAAAATAAACTTAAGAAAAAAGAACCTAGTCAGAGGACTACACTTCCCAATTTCAAACCTCATGACAAAGCCATAGTAATCGAGACAATGTGGTGCTCATATAAGTACATACAGATCAACAGAATAGAATTAAAAGTTCAGAACTAAACCCATGCATCTGTGGTCAACTGGTTTTCAACAAGGATATCAAAATAATGCAATACATTGGGAAAGAATAGTCTTTTCAATAAATGGTGCTGGGACAGGTGGATATCCACATGAGAAAGAATGAATTTGACATCTACTTTACAGCAGATACAAAAATTAACTTAAAATAGATCACAGATCTAAATGTAAGAGCTGAAACTGTAAAACTATAGAGTTATTTGACACTGGATTAGGTTTCTTAATATGACACCAAAAGTACGAGCAACAAAGGAAAAAGCTAGATAAATTGATTCATAAAAATTGAAAACCTTTGTATATCGAAGGACAGAATCAAGAAAGTGAAAAGACAACCCATAATACGGGAGAAAATATTTGCAAATCATCTATCTGATAAATATCTATTATGGAGATATATAAATATCTATTATGTAGATATATAAAGAACATATATGTATATATATAAAGAATATTTGATGCTTCTTGCAATTAAATAAAACTCAATAAAGAGGTAAATAGAGAAAACAAAAAGTACTGGAGAGTAAAAGCCCCGTGGGATCTAAAAAATTATTGATAATGTTTTTATAAAATCTAATACAAATGCTATATAGCATAGAAAAAACAAAAATTGAAATATTAAAAATAATCTGTAATTAAAATCCCAGTTTATTTCAATAAATTTGGGTGGTATGGGCCCTTGGGGAGTGAATTTTAACCGTTAAAAGTCTCACTATGTTTGGAGAAGAGAATGGGAAATAAGAAAATATATACCACCAGGCACAGTGGTTCACGCCTGTAATCCCAGCATTTTGGGAGGCCAAAGCAGGAGGATCACTTGAGCCCAGGAGTTTGAGACCAGCCTGGGCAACATCGTGAGACCTTGTCTCTATAAAAAATAAACAAATTAGTCGGGTGTGGTGGCATGATCCTGTTGTCCCAGCTACTTGGGAGGCTGAGGTGGGAGAATCACTTAAGGCCAGGAAGTTAAGGCTACAATATCCATTATGGTGCCACTGCACTCCAGTCTGGGTGACAGAGATCCTGTCTTAAAAAGAGAAAAGATACATCCTTTTTTTCTTTATAAGCATATCAGTTATTTATAAACATATCAGGTTTTTTTTTTGTTTTGTTTTAAAGATACTGACCACAACTTCTTGTAGAACTTTCAAATAATTTGAGAAGAAAGAAATACAAAGAAACCAAAACCAATACCACTTCACCAACACCACAAAAGTCAGGAAGAAAAGGGAAAAACAAAGCATAAAAAAGAGAAAACACAATTTAAGGTGTATGAATACATTCTTAGCATCAATAACAACAAATTCAGTGGGCTAAATTTCCCTATTGAAAGACAAAAATCTCTCTGAAAAAACAGAAGAAAATACAGCTATATTCTCTTTATGAATAATATCTGAATTAAAACAACATAGATTGAAATTAAATGAATGGCCAACAAAGGTAAAACAAGTGAAGACAAAAAGAAGCAAAAGTAGCAATATAAAATCAAAGTGAAATTGATGATTTAAAAGAAAGCATGGGCCGGGCCTGGTGGCTCATGCCTGTATATCCAAGCACTTTGAGAGGCCAAGGCAGGCAGATCACAAGGTCAAGAGATCCAGACCATCCTGGCCAACATGGTGAAAGGCTGTCTTTACTAAAAATACAAAAATTAGCTGGGCGTGGTGGTGTGCACATGTAGTCCCAGCTACTCGGGAGGCTGAGGCAGGAGAATCACTTGAACCCAGGAGGCAGAGGTTGCAGTGAGCCAAGATTACGCCACTGCACTCCCGCCTGGCGACAGAGCAAGATTCTATCTCAAAAAAAAAAAAAAAAAAAGCACTGCCAGGCATGGTGGTGCATGCCTGTAATCTCAGCTACTCAGGAGGCTCAGGTGGAAGGATCTCTTGAGGCCAGGAGATTGAGACCAGCCTGGGCAACATAGCGAGAACACCACCCCACCCCTGCTGCCACCTGCCCCATCTCAAGAATCAATGAATGGGCCAGCTGCGGTGGCTCATGCCTGTAATTCCAGCACTTTGGGAGGCTGAGGTGGGCGGATCATGAGGTCAGGAGTTTGAGACCAGCCTGACCAACATGGTGAAACCCTGTCTCTACTAAAAATACAAAAATTAGCCAGACATGGTGGTGCACACCTGTAATCCCAGCTACTCAGGAGGCTGAGGCAGGAGAATCACTTGAACCCAGGAGGCACAGGTTGCAGTGAGCTGTGCCACTGCACTCCAGCCTGAGCGACAGAGCAAGACTCCATCTCAAAAAAAAAAAAAAAATGAATGAATGAATACAAAAAATAAGCATTAAGTAGGACAAGACAAAAGAATAGTGAGTATCTTTTGAACACACCTGTAGTGAGAATGCTTTAAATACATCTCAAATAATCTTTACTACTCCATGGAGTGACTGTGGTTAATGCTTTCTTTCATTTTGCAAATGAGGACTAGACATCAGAGAGATTAAATGATGTTCATAGTTCACAGTGATAGATGGACATGGAACTCAAACCCTGATATGCTAATTCTAAAGTGCAAGCTCATAACACCAAAATATTTAAATAAATAACTAATGGGGATAAAAGAATTTATTTTAAAATTTTTAACCCATTTCTTTAAGAATTTGACAGATCGCATAGACCAAAAATAAACAGAGAGGATTTGGAAAAATAAAACACATATGTCAGGAGGCTGAGGCAAGAGAATCGCTTGAACCTGGGAGGCAGAGGTTGCAGTGAGTGGATATCGCGCCACTGCACTCCAGCCTGGTGTCAGAGTGAGACTCTGTCTCAAACAAACAAACAAACAAGAAAACACATGTAATACATATAGATAACGTTGAACTCTAAAAAGATAGTACATGCATTCTTTTCTTTCTTTCTTTTTTTTTTGGATGGAGTTTTACTCTTGTTGCCCAGGCTGGAGTACAATGGCATGATCTCGGCTCACTGCAACCTCTGCCTCACAGGTTCAAGCGATTCTTCTACTTCAGCCTCCCAAGTAGCTGGGATTACAGGCACCCACCACCACGCCCAGCTAATTTTTTGTATTTTCAGTAGAGACAGGGTTTCACCATGTTGGCCAGACTGGTCTCGAACTCCTGACCTCAGGTGATCCACCCACCTCGGCCTCCCAGGGTGCTGGGATTACAGGCATGAGCCACTGCACCCGGCCTACATGCATTCTTTTCTAAAGTCCAAGAATATTTACAAACATTGAAATGTTCTAAACCACAAGGAAAATCTTAACAAATTCTAAAGAATGGAAATCTAGAGCTTAAGCCATAGTTTTTGACCCTAAAATAAGAAAACTACAAATTAATTATTAAAAGAATAAATCTGCTTGATGAGTTAATTTTTTCTATATAAAAAATAAATATAATCTGCAATTACAGATTAGTTAGAAGTTATGAACAGTTAAAACATACTTACTAAAACCCAGGGGTTCATGACATTGGATTTGGGAATGATTTCTGAATATGACACCGAAAGCGCAGGCAGCAAAAGTAATAACAGATAAAACAGACTACATCAAAATAAAAAACTGTGCATCAAAGGACACAATCAAAGAGGGAAAAGAAAAATTACAGAATGACAGAAAACATTTGCGAATCTTGTTTCTGATAAGCGGTTAATACTCAGACTATATAAGGAACTCCTAAACTCAATAACAACAACAAAAGACCAGGCTGGGCGCAGTGGCTCACACCTGTAATCCCAGCACTTTGGGAGGCCGAGACAGGCAGATCACTTGAGGTCAGGAGTTCAGGACCAAGCTGGCCAACATGGTGAAACCCTGTCTCTGCTAAAAATATAAAAATTAGCTGGGCGTGGTAGCACGTGTGCCTGTAATCCCAGCTAGTCAGGAGGCTGAGGCAGGAGAATCACTTGAACTCAGGAGGCAGAGGTTGCAGTGAACCAAGATCGCCCCACTGCACTCCAGTTTGGGTGACAAAGTGAGACTCCATCTCAAAAAACAAACAAACAAAAAACCAAAAGACCAACCAGATCAAAAAACAGGCAAAGAATTTGAGTAACATTTTCCTAAAGAAGACATACAAATGGCCAACAAGCACATGAAAGATGCTCAACAACACTAATCACTAGGGAAATGCAAATCAAAGCCACAATGAGGTACCACCTTATACCCAGCAGCATGGCTACTATTAGAAAGAAAGAAAAAATAAAATAACAAGTATTGTCAAGAATGCGGAAAAATCGGAATCCTTGTGCGCTGCTGGCAGGAATGTAAAATGGTACGGCTGCTGTGGAAAACAGTATGGCAGTTCTTCAAAAAATTAAAAACAGAATTGCCACACATGATCCAGTAATTCTGGATATACACTTAAAAGAACTGAAAGCAGAGACTCAAGAGAGATTTGTACACCCATGTTCATAGCAGCATTATTAACAATAGTCAAAAGGTAGAAGCAACCCAAGTATCCATTACAGATGAATCAATAAATGAATCAATAAACAAAATGTGATAAATACATACAATGGGATATTATTCTGCCTTAAAAAGGAAGGACCTCTGACACATGGATCAGCCTTGCTTTAAAAGCAAGCCTTGCCAGCTTGCTTTTAAAACTCTCTAGGTTATTTTATTTTGTTTTATTTTATTTTATTGAGATGGGGGGTCTCACTGTCACCTAGGCTGGAGTGCAGTGGTGCAATCTCAGCTCACTGCAACCTCTGCCTCCCAGGCTCAAGAGATCCTCCCACCTCACCCTCCTAAGTAGCTGGGATTACAGGTGCACACCACCACACCCAGCTAATTTTGTATTTTTAGTAGAGACGGGATTTTGCCATGTTGGGCAGGCTGGTCTCAAACTCCTGACCTCAAGCAATCTGTCCACTCAACCTCCCCAAGAGTTGGGATTGCAGGCATGCGCCATCACACCTAGCCTAGGTTATTTCATAATGTCCTCTTTAAATGCTTACCTCTCTTCACAGATACATTTTAGTAGAGAGATAATAATATCTGATTTTTTTGAGACTACACAGAATGAGTTGTTGGAATTTTTCATGTTTCCTTGGATTGTTTTTCTTAGGTTTTTTTTTTGTTTTTTGTTTTTTGTTTTTTTGAGATGGGAGTTTTGCTCTTGTTGCCCAGGCTGGAGTATAATGGCGCGATCTCGGCTCACTGCAACCTCCCCATCCCGGGTTCAAGCGATTGTCCTGCCTCAGCCTCCCAGGTTGCTGGGATTATAGGTACCTGCCACCATGCCCGGCTAATTTTTTGTGTTTTTAGTAGAGATGGGGTTTCACCATGTTGGCCAGGCCGGTCTCGAACTTCTGACCTCAGGTGATCCACCTGCCTCGGCCTCCTAAAGTGCTGGGATTACAGGCGTAATGGTTTTTCTTTTTAACTTTTTGCTTGTTTCTTTCACATTTTTAATTTATTTACTTATTTTCCATTCTTATACATGTTTCATGCTGATATTTTCTTATTTTAATTACTTAAGTAATTCAGTTAATTGCTGAAGAATAGTGTGGGGTGGAGGAACTGGGCAAAGGTTAAATAAATTGAGGGAGTCCCAGCTATGATTTGGAATTTTTGGTCATTAATGAACTCTTATCAAATTTGATATATCCTTTCTCCACGGACATGTCTCCTTTTAGTTTTGGACATTAAAAAGACAGTGTTGGCCGGGCGCAGTGGCTCATGCCTGTAATCGCAGCACTTTGGGAAGCCAAGGCAGGCAGATCACTTGAGGTCAGCAGTTGGAGACCAGCCTGGCTAACATGGTGACACCTCATCTCTACTAAAAATATAAAAATTAGCCAGGCATGGTGGTGCACGCCTGTAATCTCAGCTATTTGGGAGGCTGAGGCAGAAGAATTGCTTGAACCCGGGAGACAGAGTTTGCAGTGAGCCTAGATCGTAGCACTGCACTCCAGCCTGGGCGACAGAGCAAGACTCCATCTCAAAAAAAAAAAAAAAATGCACAGTAAACCTTTACATCTTTTCCCTGTCATCCAGTAATCACTGTCTCCCGTCTTTCCATTTTACCTCTGACAGTCTCCCTTGGCCTCACTACTGAGTTATCAGTGATAAAAATGCCATGGTTACATAATTTCTATGACTTACCTCAGATGTTCTGTAATATAGTACTTTCCCCTTACCTCAGGGGATACATTCCGAGACCCCCCAGTGGATGCCTAAAACAATGGATAGTACCAAACCCTATATCTACTGTGCTTTTTCGATCCGGTAACCAAGACACTACTAAGTGACTAACAGGTGAGTAGCAGAGATAGGGACACCTCTGTTTTATTGTGCTTCACTTCACCGTACTTCAGATACTGCATTTTACAGACTGAAGGTTTGTGGTAACCCTAAATCAAGCAAGTCTATGCGTGCCATTTTTCCAGCAGTGCTTACTTCATGTCTCTGTGTCACATTTTTGTAATTCTTAAGATATTTCAAACGTTCCCTTTTTTTTTTTTTTTTTTTGGAGATGGAGTCTTGCTCTTGTCACCCAGGCTGGAGTGCAGTGGCATGATCTCGGCTCACTGCAACCTCCGCCTCCCGGGTTCAAGCGATTCTCCTGCCTCAGCCTCCTGAGTAGCTGGCGTTACAGGCACACACCACCACACCCAGCTAATTTTTGTATTTTTAGTAGAGACGGGGTTTTGGGTTTTCCCGTGTTGGCCAGGCTGGTCTTGAACTCCTGGCCTCGGGATCCACCCACCTCGGCCTCCCAAAGTGCTGGGATTACAGGCATAAGCTACCGCGCCTGGCCCAAACTTTTCCATTATTATTATATCTGTTAGGTGATCTGTGATCACTGATCTTTGATGTAACTATTGTAATTGTTTTGGGGTGTCATGAACCATGCCCATCTACATACGACGGCGAACTTAATACATAAATGTTGTGTGTGTTCTGACTGCTCCACCAAGCAGCCATTCCCACTTCTCTCTCCCTTACCTCAGACCTCCCTTTTCTGTGAGACACAATAAGATTGAAATTAGGTCAATTAATAACCCTACAATGGCCTCTAAGTGTTCAAGTGAAAGGAAGAGTCACCACATGTCTCTTTCTTTGTTTGTTTTTTTTTTTTTTTTTTTTTTTTGAGACAGAGTCTAGCTCTGTCGCCCAGGCTGGAGTGCAGTGGCACAATTTTGGTTCACTGCAAACTCCGTTTCACAGGTTCAAGTGATTCTCCTGCCTCAGCCTCCCAAATAGCTGGAATTACAGGCGCCCACCACCACACCCAGCTAATTTTTGTATTTTTAGTAGAGACGGGGTTTCACTGTGTTGGCCAGGCTGGTCTCGAACTCCTGACCTCATGATCCTCCCACCTCAGCCTCCCAAAGTGCTCGGATTACAAGCGTGAGCCACTGGGCCCAGCCGTCTCTCACTTTCAATCAAAAGCTAGAAATGATTAAACTTACTGAGGAAGGCATATCAAAAGCTGAGGGAGGCCAAAAGCTACACTTCTTGCACCAAACAACGAAGTTGTGAATACAAAGATAAAGTTCTTTTTTTTTTTTTTTTTTTTTTTTTTTTGAGACAGGAGTCTCACTCTATTGCCCAGGCTGGAGTGTAGTGTGACTCAATCTCGGCTCACTGCAACCTCTGCCTCCTGGGTTCAAGCAATTCTCCTGCCTCAACCTCCTGAGCAGCTGGGATTACAGGCGCCCACCACCATGCCTGGCTAATTTTTGTATTTTAAGTAGAGACGGGGTTTCACTATGTTGGCTAGGCTGATCTTGAACTCCTGACCTTAAGTGATCCGCCTGCCTCAGCCTCCCAAAATGCTGGGATTACAGGCGTGAGCCATCGTGCCTGGCCAGAAAAAGTTCTTGAAGGAAATTAAAAGTGCTACTCCAGTGAACACACAAATAAGACAGTGAAACAGCCTTATTGCTGAAATGGAGAATGTCTAAGTGGCCTGGATAGATCAAACCAACCACAACATTCTCATAAGCCAAAGCCTAAACCAGAGCAAGACCCTAACTCTAACTCTCTTCAATTCAATGAAGGCTGAGAGTGCTGGAAGCAATGGAAGAAAAGTCTGAAGCTAGCAGAGGTTGGTTCATGAAGTTTAAGGAAAGAAGCCACCTCCATAACAAAAAAAGTGCAAGGTGAACCAGCGAGTGCTGATGTAGGAGCTGCAGCAAGTTATCCCGAAGATCTAGCTAAGATCATGGGTGAAGGTGGATACACTGAACAACAGATTTTCTTTTTTGTTTAATTTTTATTTTTTGTAGAGACAGAATCTCGTTTTGTTGTCCAGGCTGGTCTTGAACTCCTGGGCTTAAGTGAGCCTCCCACCTCAGCCTCCCAAAGTCTGGGATTACAGGCATGAACCACCACACCAGACCACAGATTTTTCAATGTAGACAAAACAGCCTTATATTGGAAGAAGAGGCCATCTAGGAATTTCGTAGCTAAAGAAAAATTAATGTCTGGCTTCAAAGGACAGGCTGACTCTCTTCTTACGGGCTAATGCAGCTGATGACTTTAAGTTGAAGCCATTGCTCATTTACCATTCCAAAAACTCTAGGGCTCTTAAAAATGATGCTAAATCCAGCCTCGCCTACATGGCGAAACCCTGTCTTTACTAAAAATACAAAAATTAGCTGGGTGTGACGGCATGCACCTGTAGTCGCAGATACTCTGTAGGCTAAGGCAGAAGAATCACTTGAACCTGGAAGGTGGAGGTTACAGTGAGCCAAGATCGCACCACTTCACTCAAGCCTGGGTGACAGAGTGCAACTCTGTCTCAAAAAAAAAAAAAAAAAAAAGCTAAATCTACTCTGCCTGTGCTCTGTAAATGGAACAACAAAGCCTGCATGACAGCACATCTGTTTACAGCATGGTTTACTGAATAATTTAAAGCCCACTGTTGAGACCTACCGCTCAGAAAAAAAAACATTCCTTTCAAAATATTACTACTCGAGCCGGGCGCAGTGGCTCATGCCTGTAATCCCAGCAATTTGCGAGGCTGAGGCAGGTGGATCACCTTAGGTTAGGAGTTCCAGACCAGCCTAACCAATATGGTGAAACCCCGTCTCTACTAAAAATAGAAAATTAGCTGGGCATGGAGGCGCATGCCTGTAATCCCAGTTACTCAGGAGGCTAAGGCAGGAGAATTGCTTGAACCCGGGAGGCGGAGGTTGCAGTGAGCTGAGATTGCGCCACTGTATTCCAGCCTGGGCAACAAGAGCAAAACTCCAACTCAAAAAAAAAAAAAGTTATATATATATAACTGCTCGTTGACAATGCATCAGATCATCCAAGAGCTCTGATGGAGATGTATGAGTAGATTAAAAGTTGTTTTCCTGTAATCCCAGCACTTTAGGAGGCCGCAGCAGGTTGATCACCTGAAGTTGGGAGTTTGAGACCAGCCTGACCAACGTGGAGAAACCCCGTCTCTACTAAAAATACAAAAGAATTTGCTGGGCGTGGTGGCGGTTGCCTGTAATCCCAGCTACTTGGGAGACTGAGGAAAGAGAATTGCTTGAACCCGGGAGGCAGAGGTTGCGGTGAGCCGAGATTTCACCATTGCGCTCCAGCCTGGACAATAAGAGCGAAACTCTGTCCCAAAAAAAAAAAAAAAATAGTTGTTTTCATGCCTGCTAACACAACATCCGTTCTGTAGCCTATGGCTCAAAGAGTAATTTTGACTTTCGAGTCTTATTTTTTCTTTCTTTCTTTTTTCTTTTTTTTTTTTTTGAGACAGAGTTTCGCTCTTGTTGCCCAGGCTGGAGTGCAACGGCATGATCTCGGCTCACCGCAACCTCTGCCTCCCAAGTTCAAGCGATTCTCCTGCCTCAGCCTTCCAAGTAGCTGGGATTACAGGCATGTGCCACCATGCCCTGCTAATTTTGTATTTTTAGTAGAGAAAGGCTTTCTCCATGTTGGTCAGGCTGGTCTCAAACTCCCGACCTCAGGTGATCTGCCCGTCTCGGCCTCCCAAAGTGCTGGGATTACAGGCATGAGCCACCACGCCCGGCCCTTATTTTATTTTTGAGATAGAGTTTCACTCTTGTTGCCTAGGCTGGAGTGCAATGGTCCAATCTCAGCTCACTGCAACCTCCACCTCCCGGGTTCCTGCCACCACAGGTGCCTGCCACCACACCCAGCTAATTTTTATGTTTTTAGTAGAGACGGGTTTTGCCATGTTGGCCAGGCTGGGCTTGAACTCCTGACCTCAGGTGATCTGCCCGTCTCAGCCTCCCGAAGTGCTGGGATTACAGGCATGAGCCACTGCACCCAGCCTTGAGTCTTATTATTTAAGGAACACACTTTTTGACCGGGCATGGTGGCTCACACCTGTAATCCCAGCACTTTGGGAGGCGTAGGCGGGTGGCCCCTGAGGTCAGGAAATCGAGACCACCCTGGCCAACATGGTGAAACTCTCTCTACTAAAAATACAAAATTAGGCCGGGTACCGTGGTTCACGCCTATAATCCCAGCACTTTGGGAGGCCGAGGTGGGCAGATCACCTGAGGTCAGGAGTTTGAGACCAGCCTGGCCAACATGGTGAAAACCCGTCTCTACTAAAAATACCAAAATTAGCCAGGTATGGTGGTTGGCACTTGTAATCCCAGCTACTTGGGAGGCTGAGGCAGAAGAATCACTTGAACCCAGGAGGCAGAGGTTGCCGTGAGCCTAAATCGCCCCATTGCACTCCAGCGTGGGCAACAAGAGTGAAATTCTGTCTCAAAAAAAAAAAAAAAGAAAAAAAAAAAAATTAGCCAGGCGTGGTGCTGCATGCCTGTAATCCCAGCTACTCAGGAGGCTGAAGCAGGAGAATCGCTTGAACCCGGGAGGCAGAGGTTGCAGTGAGCTGAGACTGCACCATTGCACTCCAGCCTGGGCAACAAGAGAGTAACTCCATTTCAAAAAAAAGAAAAGAAACACATTTTTTAAGGCTATAGCTGCCATTGGTAGTGATTACTCTGGCGAATCTAGACAAAGTAAATTGAAAACCTCTGAAAAGGAATCACCACTTAAATGCCATTAAGAACATTTGTGATCATGGGAGGAAGTAAAAATATCAACATTAACAGGAGTTTGGAAGAGGTTAATTCCAGCTCTCACAGACAACTTCGAAGGGTTCAAGACTTCAGTTGAGAAAGTAATTACAGATGTGGTAGAAATAGCAAGAGAACTAGAAGTAGAAGCAGAGCTCAAAGATGTGACTAGATTGCTACAATCTCCTGATAAAACTTGTACAGGTGGCCGAGCACAGTGGCTCACGCCTGTAATCCCAGCACTCTGCAATGCCTAGGCAGGCAGATCACGAGGTCAAGAGATCGAGACCATCCGGGCCAACATGGTGAAACCCCGCCTCTACTAAAAATACAAAACGTAGCTGGGCATTGCGGTGAGCGCCTGTAATCCCAGCTACTCGGGAGGCTGAGGCAGGAGAATAGCTTGAACCCGGGAGGCAGAGGTTGCAGTGAGCCAAGATCACGCCACTGCACTCCAGCCTGGTGACAGAGCGAGACTCCAACTCAAAAAAAGAAAAAAAAAAAAAGAAAAGAACAGGTGAGGAATTTTTTTACTTGATGAGCTAGCAAAGAAAGTGGTTTCTTGAGATGGACTCTACTCCTGGTGAAGAGGCTGTGAACATCGTTGAAATTTTCAGACAACAAAAGGTTACTCGCAGTGGCTCACACATATAATCCCAGGACTTTGGGAGGCTGAGGCAGGCATATCACTTGAGACCAGGAGTTCGAGACGAGCCTGGCCAATATGGTGAAACCCAGTCTCTACTAAAAATACAAAACTTAGCTGGGCATGGTTGCACATGCCTGTAGTTGAGCTACTCAGGAGGCTGAGGCAGGAAAATCACTTGAACCCAAGAGGCGGAGGTTGCAGTGAACCATGATCACACCACCGCACTCCAGCCTTGGAGACACAGCGAGACTCCAACTCAAAAAACAAACAAACAAAAAATGACAACAAAGGATTATTCCATAAAGCTAATTCATAAAGCAGTATCAAAGTTTGAGAGGACTGACTCCAATTCTGAAAGTTCTACTATGGATAAAAGTGGATCAAACAGCATTGCATGCTACAGAGAAATCTTTTTGAAAGAGTCAATCGAGGTGGCAAACTTCACTGTTTTCTTTTAAAGAAATTGCCAGGCCTGGCACGGTGGCTCACGCCTGTAATCCTAGCACTTTGGGAGGCCGAAGTGGGCAGATCACCTGAGGTCAGGAGTTGAAGACCAGCCTGGCCAACATGGTGAAACCCTGTCTCTACTAATAATACAAAAAAATTAGCTGAGCGTGGTGGTGCACACCTGTAATCCCAGCTACTCGGGAGCCTGAGGCAGGAGAATTGCTTGAACCTGGGAGGCAGAGGTTGCAGTGAGCCAAGATTGTGCCATTGCACTCCAGCCTGGGTGACAGGAGTGAAACTCCGTCTCAAAAAAAAAAAAAAAAAAAAGGAAAGAAAGAAAGAAATTGCCACAGCCCCCCAACCTTCAGCAACCACCCTTCTCATCAGTCAGCAGCCATCAACATCAAGGCAAGACCCTCCACCAGCAAAAAAAAAAAAAAAAAAAAAAAAATGATGATTCTCTGACAGCTCAGATAATTGTTAACATTATTAGTACTGCTACTTTTTTAGCAATAAAGTATATTTTAATTAAGGTATGTACTTTTTAAAGATGTAATGCTATTGCACATTTAATAAACTATAGTATAGGCCAGGCACTGTGGCTCATGCCTGTAATCCCAGCACTTTGGGAGGCTGAGGTGGGTGAATCACGGGGTCAGGAGTTCAAGACCAGCCTGACCAAGATGGTGAAACCCCATCTCTACTAAAAATACAAAAATTAGCCAGGTGAGGTGGCAGGTGCCTGTAATCCCAGCTACTCAGGAGGCTGGGCAGGAGAATCGCTTGAACTCGGAGCGAGGAGGTTGCAGTGAGCTGAGATAGCACCATTGCACTCCAGCCTGGGCAACAGAGTGAGACTGTCTCATAAATAAATAAATAAATAAATAAATAAATAAATAAATAAATAACAGTATAATGTAAACCTAACTGGGAAACCAGAAAATTTGTGTGACTCGCTTTATGGAGATACGTTGTTGCAGTGGTCTCGAACTGAACCCACATTTCCCAAGTATTCCTGTGCAGCATGGATGGCTAGACAAAAGGATGATTCATCTCCCTGGTAGGATGGAGTGGGACGGCATGAGATTTAATCATGCTACTCTGAAGAGCGTGCAATTTAAAATGTATGAATTGTTTATTTCTGGGATTTTCCATTTAATATTTTCAGATCATGCTTGACTATGGGTAACTGAAACCACAGAAAGCAAAACCACTGATAAGCGGGGACTGCTTGATACAATTTGGTCTCATTAAAGGAATATTCCCTGCTTTTACTGAGGCCAATCCACACTCTGATAAGGGGATCCTGAATATGTTGTCAAGTCACTGACATTCTCACCTAGGGTATGAGAAGGCTCTTTGTGAACTCTTTTAAGCACCCTCTCTCTCTGGCCTCCAGCTTTTACAACATTTGACAAATGTGTGTCATAACTTGTTTGTTTTGTGACTGTGATGGTGAGTTTATGTATCAACTCAGCTAGGCTAGAGCACCCAGTTATTTATGTTATTTATGTTGCTGTGAAAGTATTTTGGAGACATTGTTAAGACTTACAATCGGCCAGGTACAGTACCTCACGCCTGTAATCCCAGCACTTTGGGAGGCCAAGGTGGGCGGATCACCTGAGGTCAGGAGTTCAAGCCCAGCCTGGTCAACATGGTGAAACCCCGTCTCTACTAAAAATACGAAACAAATTAGCTGGGTGTGGTGGTGGGCGCCTGTAATCCCAGCTACTCAGGAGGCTGAGCCAGGAGAATCGCTTGAACCCCGGGAGGCAGACGGTGTGGTGAGCTGAGATTGCGCCATTGCACTCCAGCCTAGGCAACAAGAGCAAAACTCTGTCTCAAACAAACAAACAAACAAAAAAAGACGTACAATAATTTACTTTAAGTAAAGGATCTTATCCTTGATAGCATGGGTGAGACTTATCCAGCCAGCTGAAAGGCCTTAAGAGAAAAACTGAGGTTTCCCTGAAGAAGAAAAAATTCTGACTCAAAACAGCAGCAGCAGCTCCTGCCTGAGCGTTTCCAAACTGCTGGCCTGCCCTACAGGTTTCAGATTTGGCAGTCCCCACAATCATATAAGCCAATACCTTGAAATAAGATAGACAGAGAGAAAGAAAGAGAGTGTGTGTGTGTGCGCACGTGTGTGTGTGTATGCTGAAAATACTTTTTCCAGTTGGGCACAATGGCTGTAATCCCAGCACTTTGGGAGGCCGAGGTGGGCAGATCCCTTGAGCTTGGAAGTTCAAGACCAGCCTGGGCAACATGGCGAAACCCCGTCTCTACAAAAAATAAAAAAATAAGCCAGGCATGGTGGTGGGTCCCTGTAGTCCCCAGCTACTCGAGAGGCTGAGATGGGAGAATTGCTTGAGACCAGGAGGTAGAGATGAGCTATGACTGCAACACTGCACTCCAGCCTGAGTGACAGAGCAAGACCCTGTCTCAAAAAAAAACAAAAAGAAAAGAAAAAGAAAAAATACTTTTTCCATCTCATATCTTGTCTTTTCACTCTCTTTATAGTGTCTTTGATGAGCAGACGTTCCTAATGTGAACTTTTATTTATCAATCTTTTACCTCTCATAGTTTACACTTTTTAATCATCCTCTACTCCCAAGTCTTAAAGATAATTATCCTAGGTTTCCTCAAAATCATAAAGTTTGTTTGTTTGAGACAGGGTCTTGCTCTGTGGCCCAGGCTGTAGTGCAGGGTGCCATCTCGGTTTTGCAGCCTCAACCTCCCAGGCTCAAGCAAACTGCCCACCTTGGCCTCCCAAAGTTTTGGGATTACAGGGATGAGCCACCACGTCTGGTCAAATTTAAGGCTTTTACTTTCACATTTACGTTATTAATCCAGCTGAAATTAAGTTTTAAAAATATGATATGAGGGCCGGGCACGGTGGCTCATGCCTGTAATCCCAGCACTTTAAGAGGCCAACACGGGCAGATCATGAAGTCAGGAGATCGAGACCATCCTGGCTAACACAGTGAAACCCCGTCTCTACTAAAAAAAATACAAAAAATTAGCCGGGTGTGGTGGTGGGTGCCTGTAGTCCCAGCTACTCAGGAGGCTGAGGCAGGAGAATGGTGTGAACGTGGGAGGCGGAGCTTGCAGTGAGCCAAGATCACACCGCTGCACTCTAGCCTGGGTGACAGAGCGAGACTCCATCTCAAAAAAAAAAAAAAAAAGATATGATATGAGGTAGGGCTCCAGTTGTCCACACGGCTTTATTCCTTTACATTGTTTTTTTCTTCAAGATACTTATTATTATACTATGTGATATTTTATTATGCATTTATTTATATATTGTCTCCTCTTCCACTAGAATGTACGCTACATGAAGGCAAGGATTTTATTCTGTTTTGCTCATGCTATATCTTCAGCATCTAGAACAGTAACTGACATAGGACAGGAGCAAATCAATATTCATTGGATGGATGGATGGATGGATGGATGGATGGACAGATGCATGGGTGGATGGGTGGATGAGTAAATGGATGGATGGGTGGATGGATGGTAAATAATGAATCAGGGTGGATGGATTCTGCTTGGTTTTATAGCTCTTGCTTCACCCTATGCATTACCCACCAAATTAAAATCTCTGTGGCAGCTGTCTCACTCTGCTTTATAATCCCAAGGCACCTAGCACAGTGCTTTACATTTCAAACATACTCAGTAGATATTTATTAAGTCGAATCAAATCTACCTCCTTATAACCTTTCTCCCTCACTCTTATGCGTCATGCACAATTCTACAGGATTAAGCCACCTAAAATCAGGTCTGATCTACATCTCTGTCCTACTCAAAAATCCTCCAGTAAATTTTTTCCATGAACTTTGACATGAAACCATTGTTTTGAGAAATCTTCTATTTATTATGTACAGATAAAATCTTCTATTTTTTAAGGAAGTAGCATATATGTTATTTAATCCCTACAATTACCCTGTAAGACAAGTAATAATAGCCTCCCCACTCGACAGGTGAGAAAACAGCCTGAGAGAGGTTTAACACTTTTTCCAATGTCAGTTACCTAATAAGTATATGATCTATCTGATTCCAAGAATGTAACTATACTACATTTTGCTGTAACTTCCCTGGTACTCAAAACCTTCCACAACATGATCCCTATCAATTTTTCCAGTATTACTTTTCTACTATAGCCAGAAATTACTATTAAATTTTAGAAGTATATCCTTCCTATGAAGTCCATGTAAATAGTAAAAAATGGGAAGCAAGCAATTGGTCAACCATAGGGAAATAATTTAAAAGAAAATCAAAATTCACTGCAAGAAATATAGCAATTGAAAATAATGTCAGGCCAGGCGCAGTGGCTCACGCCTGTAATCCCAGCACTTTGGGAGGCCAAGGCAGGCGGATCAACTGAGGTCAGGAGTTCAAGACCAGCCTGACCAATATGGAGAAACCCCATCTCTACTAAAAATACAAAAATTAGCCAGGCGTGGTGGCACATGCCTGTAATTCCAGCTACTCAGGAGGCTGAGGCAGGAGGATCACTTGAACCTGGAAGGCGGAGATTGCAGTGAGCCGAGATTGCGCCATTGCACTCCAGGCCTAGGCAACAAGAGTGAAACTCTGTCTCAAAAAAAAAAAAAAATGAAAGAAAGAAAGAAAGAAAAGAAAAAGAAAAGAATGTCTACACGTGTACTTTGACATGTTTCTTATACCTGTAATCCCAGTACTTTGGGAGGCTCATGTGAGCAGATTGCTTGAGCTCACAAGTTCAAGACCAGCTTGAGAAACATGGTGAAAACCTGTATCTACACAAAATATAAAAGTTAGCCAGGCATGGTTCCATGAACCATAGTCCCATCTACTTGGGAGGCTGAGGTGGGAGGATGGCTTGAACCCAGGAGGCAGAGGTTGCAGTAAGCCAAGATGGCACCACTGCCCTCCAGCCTGGGCAATAGAGCCAGACCCTGTCACAAAAAATAAAAAGAAACATGTTTAAAAATAAGATGGATTGAAGGATGAATAGAGAGATATGTGATAGAGCATTTATAGTAAAATGTTAACTGTATAAATAAGCGATGAGAATATAGGTGTTCACAGTAAAACATTTTCAACTCTTCTGTATGCTTCAAAATATTTAAGTAAATCTACTGAGAAAATTGTATATAAAAATTACTATAAATGTGTAAAAAGAGACTCTGCCCTACCCAAGAAAAAACTAAAGGAAATTTACTAAATTATTAATAGTAGCTGTGTTTGGATGGCATCATATGAGTAATTTTTATTTTTTCCTTTTTGTACTTTTTAGTATTTTACAAATGTTTAACAGGCATGTTACCCAATTCTAATAAAAACCATTTTTAAGAAAATAAGGATGCATATTATCTCATACTTTACAATCTTATAGTAAAACTAGTAAAACTAACAGGACATAAGAGAGAGAATGAGAATCAACGGATAGAGGCAGACAGATAAAATGGAGAGTTGGCCCTAAGACTGCCTCCATGCTTTAATAAATATAACCTGAGGAACTTAAAGGACCGCCCCTTTTTACTGAAAGGTCTCTACTGTTAAAATATGTCTATTTTCCTTTTTTTCTTGATGATCAAAAAGACCACTTCTAGTGGAAATCCTTTCACACTCCCTTACGTCCTATTGCTTAGAGCTGAGCCAGCCCTTGGAGCCCTTGGCTGCTGCCAACCACTACTACCCACTTCGTGTGTTAGTGGAGGCCTCCCAGTCCTGTGGAGCTGATGATCTGGTAAATAGCTCTTGAGGCTTTTTAAAAGCATATTCCCCCAGAATTCTGGCTCCCTACTGTTAAAATAAATAAATTCTCTACACCAGCATGCCAGAATGGAGTTGGGCTTTGGAGCTAAGGTCAAGGGTAGGGTCAATCAGCAGGGGTCTCACAAAACCCCAGAGGCTGACATTTCGAGGCAGGGTAACTTTTTTAAATGTAAAAGTAAGTGTTTGCAGATTCTGGAAACAAACAAACAAACTTGACTTGGTATCTTTTCTTGGGGGTGGAGGCAATCTGTAGTTATCAGATGGTAAAATCATAATTAAACAAAGCTCCAGGCTTTATTTAAGGAGGTAACTTTTCTGAGGTTTAACCTTGTTTTGATCAGGTAATTTTCCGCCACAGAAAAATGGGCTCATATCAAACAGAGTCCTTTTAATGGACAAACTTAAGCACAAAAAGTTGTTTCTAAGGTGGCATCTTTGGCAAAAACACTAGAGAATCAAAAGACTATAAAATTAATATCAAGAAAATATTGAACTTCAATTATATAATTGGCACCATTTCAGTCTTTTAGCATAACACACTACCTGTAACTGCCACCTGGTTTAGATTACTTGAGAAAAACAAACAAACATGTTCTCTAAGTTTGGTATGTATTAAAAAGATCACATAATTCTTTTTTTTTTTTTTTTTTGATATGGAGTTTAGTTCTTGTCGCCCAGGCTGGAGTGCAATGGTGCGATCTCTGCTCACTGCAACCTCCATCTCCTGGGCTCAAGCTGTTCTCCTGCCTCAGCCTCCCGAGTTGCTGGGATTACAGGCGTGTGCCACCAGGCCCAGCTAATTTTTGTAATTTTAGCACAGACGGGTTTTCACCATGTTGGCCAGGCTGGTCTCAAACTCCTGACCCCAGGTGATCTACCCGCCTCGGCCTCCCAAAGTGCTAGGATTACAGGCATGAGCCACTGTGCCCAGCCCCAGCCTAATTCTTGTATATTCTAAGTGACCACGCCTGGCCTAATTCTTACATGTTCTAAGTGAAATTAACACTAGCAAAATAATTAGATTTCGTATAGATCTACAAAAATACATTTAATGTACAAATGCAGAATCACAGAATTAAGCCAGAAAAGGCACTCTTCTTGCCCAAGTTTTTAGAGCACAGTCCTACATGACACTTCATTTAAAAGGTATCCTATAGTCAAATAAGTTTGGGAAATGGTATATATTAATACTTTACCCTCATCTTGAGAAGCCACAATTCAAATAATCATATTAAAGGTTGCAAGAAATTCTATTATAAGAACCCAGTATAACTTTGTTTAACCGGTAGTTTGTGAAACACACATGAGCATGTAGCACCCCCCCCGCCTTTTTTTTTTTTTTTTTTTTTGAGATGGAGTTTTGCTCTTGTTGCCCATGCTGGAGTGCAGTGGCGCATTCTCAGCTCACTGCAACCTCTGGCTCCCAGGTGCAAGCAATTCTCCTGCCTTAGCCTCCTGAGGAGCTGGGATTACAGGCATATGCCACCACGCCTGGCTAATTTTCTATTTTTAGTAGAGATGGGATTTTACCATGTTGGTCAGGCTGGTCTGGAACTCCTGACCTCAGGTGATCTGCCCGTCTCAGGCCCCCAAAATGCTGGGGTTACAGGCATGAGCCACCACGCCCAGCCCCCGACCCTTTTTTTTTTAAATATCTATTAACATTTTGTAGAACCTCTTTGGGAAACTGCTCTCTAGACTGATGCCCTCATTTTTATAGAAAGATAGGATACAGGGATAAACCGATTTGCTTAACCAAACAGTCCCTTATTTACTTAGACAAACTCACAGGTAAGTAAGCTACACAGTATTGTTATTTTTATTACTTATTTATTTATTTATTTTGAGACAGGGTCTCTCTCTGTTGCCCAGACTGGAGTGCAGTGGCGTGATCTCGGCTCACGGCAACCTTTGCCTCCCAGGCTCAAGCAATTCTTCTGCCTCAGCCTCCGGAATAGCTGGGATTACAGGCGTGCACTACCACGCCGAGCTAATTTTTGTATTTTTAGTAGAGATGGGGTTTCACCATGTTGGCCAGGCTGGTATCGAACTCCTAACCTCAAATGATCCACCTGCCTTGGCCTCCCAAAGTGTTGGGATTACAGGTGTGAGCCACTGCCCCTGGCCTTTTTTTTTTTTTGAGACAGAGTCTCAGTCTGTCACCCAGGCTGGAATGCAGTGGCACAATCATGGCACACTGCAGCATCTACCTCCTGGGCTCAAGTGGTCCTCCCACCTCAGCTTCCTGAGTAGCTGGGACTACAGGTACACGCCACCACACCCAGCTAATTTTTTGCATATTTTGTAGAGATAGGGTTATGCCATGTTACCCAGACTGGTCTTGAACACCTGGGCTCTAAATATCCTCCTGCCTCAGCCTCGCAAAGTGCTGGGATTACAGGTGTAAGCCACCTTGACTCTTAAATCAGATTATGTAAATCAAATAACTCAGCATCTGATGTAAATTGAACTATTTTGGGGAAGGGAGTAAATTAACTGTTAATGACCTAGCTATGAAAATATCACCATAAACGGCCCTTACAAAGTTCAGCAGAGTTTCCACTACCCTACAGAATCTTCTCTGATAACTCCCATTCAGAGTGATTTTGCCCTTCTCTGATCAATATGTCATCAAATTCTGTCTTCTATTGTTACCTACCTGCCTCGTGTGTAATCTTATCTTCCTGAGCAGATTGCAAGTTCCTAGAAAGCTAGAAGGAATTCTTACTTTTCCTTAGAGTCACTTGAGTCACATAATAGTCTCAATAAATAATTTTGAAAAGCTCACAAATGACCAACTGAATGGAATAGGGTCAGCATGAAGGATTACAGAAGGAGCCAGCCATCCACATCCTTTCTATCTTAAGTGCAACACTCTCCCTTCCTTCTCATTGTATGGCTAGCAATTACCTCTTGGCAATTTTTTCTAGAGGTCTACAGTAAAGGAGGCTGCCATTGCTCAAGGACGCTGCTTGATCCTACCAAAATTCCCATGGATCTGTGAGGAGCTCCTCAAATCAGCAGGACATGCCCCTGTCCTGCCCAAAATCTGTTTGGAGATCAAATGGGCCTTACTCAATAATAAAATGGAAGCCTGAATTTATTTCTATTTGTTTGGCCTCTGATTAATTAGGTACATTCTCCAGAATACAAAGCAGCTGCTTTTTTGACCATTAAACTGTGTTCCTTAAAGAGAAGCGCATCCCCGAGTAGGAACAGTTCTAATGATTTGTTTTAGTTTGTTTTATGGCAAGACCTTAGAGAAGTCGAAGAGGAAGAAAGGAGACTCCCTATCCCTCCTTATTGCTGACGATCCAGGCTGACAGTAGTTGGAGAGCAAGCTCCGTGCTGAAAAGATTCAAACACACCCATGACCCACAAACTGCAAACTGTCAGATTAATTGTTTTTGCCTACAGACAACTCAATGAGTGCTCATTGTGCAGACAGCATGTTCTCAGCACTGCTTTAGGCGCCATGGGATTATAGAAGAGGTATAAAGGTATGTTTCCTCCCTTCCAGGAATTTACAATCTAATAAGATGAGATAAGACTAACATTGAAAGCAGCTGTGGACAATACAAGGCAGGCTATAGGATCTAGTGCTGACTTTGGGGCCTTGGACTTTTAAATGTAACAGAAATTCAGAGAGGGAGGAAAAGTCACTGGGCGTTTCAGTCTTACAAGAAGACTTCATGAAGAAAATACAACAGGAGTTGAACATTAAAGGAAAGGCAGCATTCCAGGCAAAGGAGGCAGGCTGTCCTTTTCAGTTTCAGACAATATTGTGTTAATCATTTTACATGCCCCAATTCTTGATTGCTACAAGGCGAAAAGGTATATAAGCACCCATACTTTCAATCACTGGGCTATTGCTTTTTAAAAATTACCTTTAAGATATGGTTGTCTTAGTGGCCTATAAATAAATTTGCTCAATTTTCCATTTTACCCATTTGGCATGCTCAGATCAATAATTTGACTTATTAGCTTTAGAGTTATTAATTACACGGATGCAGTTTATTAACAAAAAGAAAACAAAGTGCTTACTATGTGCTAGGCCCTGTGTTAGGTGCCGGGGATAAAACAGTGCATAAATAATCAAGATGCCTGTCGAGTTTAAAAGCAATAGCAGGCCGGGCCCGGTGGCTCACGCCTGTAATCCCAGCACTTTAGGAGGCCGAGGCGGGCAGATCACCTGAGGTCAGGAGTTCGAGACCAGCCTGGCCAACAGTGAGAAACCCCGTCTCTACTAAAAATACAAAAATTAGCCGGGTGTGGTGGCGGGCGCTTTTAATCCCAGCTACTCAGGAGGCTGAGGCAGGAGAATCGCTTGAACCTGGGAAGCAGAGGTTGCAGTGAGCTGAGATCGCACCATTGCACTCCAGCCTGGGTGACAGAATGAAACTCTGTCTCAAAAAAAAAAAAAAAAAAGTGACAGCAGACACAGACATACAAAGAACAACATGATTATAATTACAGTATGAGTCATCAGAGAAAAACATAGAGCTAGAAAAACAGATATCAGATAAGTCTAATTTATATTGGAAAGGCAGTGACAAATTTCTTGAGGAATTGATAATTTAGGCTGAGACCTGAAGTATGTAGGAGTTACAGGCAGGGGAACAGGAACAGAAAGGCAGCTAATATGCTCTGAAGAGCAGAGCGAGATGAGGCTAGTCAAGTAAGTAGAGCTGATCATACTTATCTATTTATATTACAAATAAATTATAAATTATAGCAAGCTGAACTATTCAGCAGTGATGACATTTAATTTTTATCCTTTTATCACAAGCTAAAATGATAATTAATTTCTCTTTACAATAAAAACAATTTGAGAAGATGAACTCGAAACAGAAATGCCTTGTTGTATTTCATTCCATGTTGTCTTTCACACAGTAGCTAGCTACAAGATACAAATGAAATGTTAAAATTCCAGCTAAAGTGGTTACCTCTAAAATTATGAAATAAACTGAGAGAAATCAATCCCCCAGGAGGCAACATAGTGAAGTAGGTAGGTGCATGGAATTTTGGAACCAGACTTCCTATCTTGAACTCCTGGGCTCAAGTAATCCTCCCACCTCAGCCTTTCAAGTAGCTGGGACTATAGGCTACCAGCAACTATAGAAACCAGATTCCCTGGGTTGAATCTCAGCTCAAAAAACACCATCAGTCAACTGGATATGACTGACATCTATAGACTACTTCCTCCAGCAATAACAGAATACACATTCTTCTCAAGTTCATGTGGAGAAAGCCTTCACCAAGGTAGATCATATTCTGGGCCATAAAACACACCTTAACAATTTTTTTTTTTTTTGAGACAGAGTCTTGCTCTGTTGCCCAGGCTGGAATGCAGTGGCGTGATCTCGGCTCACTGCAAGCTCCACCTCCCGGGTTCACACCATTCTCCTGCCTCAGCCTCCCGAGTAGCTGGGACTATACAGGCGCCTGCCACCACGCCCGGCTAATTTTTTTTTGTATTTTTAGTAGAGACGGGGTTTTGCCGTGTTAGCCAGGATGGTCTCCATCTCCTGACCTCGTGATGTGCCCGTGTCGGCCTCCCAAGGTGCTGGGATTACAGGCGTGAGAACAAATTTAAAAGAAAAGAAATCATACAATATCTGCTCTCAGATTACCGTGGGATTACACTAGAAGTTAGTAACAGGTGGCTCATGCCTGTAATCCCAGCACTTTGGGAGGCCAAGGTGGGCAGACTGCTTGAGCCCAGGAGTTCGAGACCAGCCTGGGTAACAGGCCGAAACCCTGTCTCGTGGTGCTGCACGTGGTGGCACATGCCCATAATCCCAGCTACTCTGGAGGCTGAGGTGGGAGAATTGCTTAAACCCGGGAGGCGGAGGTTGCAGTGAGCCAAGATTGCACCACTGCACTCCATCCAGCCTGGGTGACAGAGTGAGACTCTGTCTCAAAACAAAACAAAACAAAACAAAAAAAAACAAAAAAAGAACAAGCAAAAAATAAACACAGTATCATTTACATTAGCACCCCCCAAAATGAAATAATTAATTTTAAATCTAACAGAATATGTACAAGGTTTATATTAGGAAAACTGCAGAACTCTAATGAAATAAATTAAAGAACTAAATGAATACAGAGATTATTTCATGTTCATGGATAGGAAGACTCAGTATTGTCAAGCTATTAAGTTCTTCCCAACTTGATCTATAGATTCATGGCAAGTCCAGTAAAAATCCCAGAAAATTATTTTGTGGATTTTGACAAACTGATTTGAAAGTTGATATGGGAGCCAGGCACAGTGGCTCATGCCTGTAATCCCAGCATTTTGGGAGGCTGAGGAGGGTGGATCACTTGAGGTCAGGAGTTCAAGACCAGCCTGGCCAACATGGGGAAACCCCGTCTCTACTAAAAATACAAAAATTAGCCGGGTGTGGAAGCGCATGCTGGTAATCCCAGCTATTTGGGAGGCTGAAGCAGGAGAACCGCCCGAACCTGGGAGGCGGAGGCTGCAGTGAGCCGAGATAGCACCACTGCACTCCAGCCGAGGGAGTAGAGCGAGACTTCATCTCAAAAAAAAAAAAAAAAGTTGATATGGAGAGCCAAAAGCCAAAAGACCCAGAATAGGCAACACAATATTGAAGGAAAAGAACAAATTGGAGAAATGACACTATGTGACTTCAAGACTTACTACAAAACTGCAGTAATCAAGCCAGCATGATATTGATAAAGAATAGACAAACAGATCAATGGAACAGAACAGAGAGCCCAGAAAGAGACCCACATGAATACAGTCAACTGTTCTTTGACAAAGAAGCAAAGGCAATACAATAGAGATAGACTTTCCAACAGATGGTACTAGAACCGAACATCTACATTCAGAAACTTGAATCTAGACACAGATCTTAACACCCTCCACAAGAATTAACTCAAAATGGATCACAGACTTGAAAAACACAAGACCATAAAACTCTTAGAAGACAACATAGGAGAAAATTTAGGTGACCTCAGGTTTCATGATAAATTTTTGATGCAACACCAAAGTTGTGATTCATGAAAGAAAGAATTGATAAGCTAGACTTCATTAAAATTAAAATGTTTTGCTCTGTGAAAGACACTGTTACAGGAACGGGAAGACAGGCCATAGACTGGGAGAAAATATTTTCAAAAAATATACCTGGTAGAGGATTGTTATCCAAAATATACAAAGAACTCTTAAAACTCAACAATAAGAAAACAAATTACCTGATTAAAAAATAGCTCAAAGATCTTAAGTCACCAGAGCAAAGAAGATATACAAATAACAAATAAGTACCGTACACAAATGTTTATAGTCGTCTTCTTCCTTCTTCTTTCTTCTTTCTTCTTCTTCTTCCTCCGTTTCTTCCTCTTCCTCCTCTTCCTCTTCTCTCCTTCCTTCATTCCTTCCTTCCTTCCTCTTTCTTTCCTCCTCCTCTTCCTTCCTTCTCCTCCTCCTCTTCCTTCTTCTCCTTCTTTTCTCTTTTTTTTTTTTTAGACAGGGTCTTGCTGTGGCCCCAGGCTGGAATGCAGTGGTACAATTACGGCTTACTGTAGCCGCAACTTTCTGGGCTCAAGTAATCCTCCCACTTCAGCCTCTTGAGTAGCCGGGAAAACAGGCACACGCCAGCATGCTCAGCTAACTTTTGTTTTGTTTTTTGTTTTGTTTTGTTTTTGTTTTTTTTTTTGTAGAGGTAGGTTTTGCCATGTTGCCCAAGCTGGTCTCAAAGTCCTGGGCTCAAAAAATCTGCTCACCTTGGACTCCCAAAGTGTTGGGATTACAGGTGTGAGCCACTGTGCCTGGCCAGTAGCTTTATTTTTAATTGCCAAAACTTGGACACAAGCAAGATGTCCTTCAGGAGGTGAATGGATAAATAAACTGTGGTATATCCAGACAATGTATTATTACTCAGTGATGAAAAGAAATGAGCTATCAAGCTATAAAAAGATATAGAGTAAATGTAAATGCATTTTACTAAGTGAAAGAAGAAGCCAATCTGAAAGAGCTGCATGTTATAAGATTCCAACTATATCACATTCTGGAAAAGTCAAAACTATGGAGACAGAGTAAAGATCAGTGGTTGCCAAGGGTTGAGGGGAGGGAGGGAAGAATAAACAGCACAGAGGAGTCTTAGGGCAGTGAAACTACTCTGTATGCTACTATAATCATGGCTACATGTCATTACACATTTGTCTAAACCTAGAGAATGTACTCGAAGAGTGAATCTTAATGTAAACTGTGGACTTCTGGATGATAATGATGTATCAATGTGGGTTCATCAGTGATAACAAATGCACCGCTCTGGTGGGGGATGTTAAAAATGGGCAAGACTATACACATGTGGGATAGGGGGTGTGTGGGAAATCTCTGTACTTTCCTCTCAATTTTGCTGTGAACCTAAAACTGCTCTAAAAAATAAGGTTTTGTTTGTTGTTGTTGTTTTACCAAATAAAGTAGGCAGATTTAAAAAAAAGGTCTTTTTTTAAAAAGAAAAAAATTATTGGACTATGAAACTCATATAATTGGCTTCCTATTCCCAACAGCCAAGGCCACACTTGGAAAGATCACCTTGTTCTCGGAGGCACACTAGAGTTTGGAGGTTAAAGACATTTAGAAGGATAAGGCCAGGGCCAGGGCCAGGCCAGATGTGTGTTCCCTTCTATGTTGCAATTTGCTCCTCAGATTTCTGACTAAACTAAAACTAAAGGCATAGTGGTAGATAAATGGTTTATTTTATACCATAAACTGAAGCATGGTCACTAAGAGAAATTTAACTCCAAATTCAACATTTAGTTGTGTGCAAAAATAAAATAATATAGTTGTAGGAGACTAGAACATTTCAAAGTCAACTTATGAATGAAAATGACAAATTCCACTCATTCATTTATTTTTGCATCCTATTGAAACTCTATTAACATAATAATAAAGGGATTTTTTTTTTTTTTTGAGACGGAGTCTTGCTCTGTCACCCAGGCTGGAGTGCAGTGGCACGATCTCAGCTCACTGAAACCTCCGCCTCCTGGGTTCAAGCAATTCTCCTGCCTCAGCCTCCCAAGTAGCTGGGACTACAGTCATGCACCACCACAGCCAGCTAATTTTTTTGTATTTTTAGTAGAGACGGGGTTTCACCATGTTGCCCAGGATGGTCTTGATCTCCTGACCTCGCGATCTGCCCACCTCACCCTCCCACAGTGCTGGGATTACAGGCCTGAGCCACCAAGCCCAGCTGGGATTTTTTTAAAAGACAGAAATCCATAGGGATATAAAGGACCAGAAAGGAGACAACAGGAACAAAACTTTGGAAGCTGGAAAGAGATGGATATATGACAACGGATCTAGCAGATTTGAGAAAGCTAATGTCTAAACTGGCAAACGGGAAAGCATGGAAGCAAACACATATACAAGGATTTTCCAGAGACTTAGGAATTGGTGGCATCAGCTATAGTTGGAAGTTGGGGCTCAAAATAGAAGGCTAAGTTGAAACTCTATGAAGTAGTTACATTCCCAGATCTCCTCTTCAATTCCACAAAGCTGGATGACTGCCTTTTACCTCGCAAAATAATGGAGGTTTATTCTTTAAAGGTGAAACAGAGGTTCCTGGCCTGTGAGCACAACAGGCACACCTGTAGTTGGGGGTATTAGTCTAAAGCAGAAGTATTAAGTGAATATTTGTAAATTTTGTGCTGAATCCTATAAGCCCTCTTCCCCTTTAAAGCTCACAGGGCACTACATCTAGATATTAACCTCCAGGAGGGTGATTGGAAGATCTTCTCTGAGGAAAATTAACCCTCCAAGGGAAACACCTAAAGGTACACATAAAGCGATTCCCCAAATAACTGATCCAGCCAGATCATCCTCTGTTAAAGCCCTACCCATGTGCTCAAAGATTTCTGTCGGCTTCTTAGTGTCCCTCTTTTGAATGTGAACTTATAACCAAGGACCACCGAATACTGGAGAAAAGTCTCTGGTAAAAAAGGTAAAAACCAAAACAAAGTGGAAAAAGAAATATGGAGAGAACAGAGCTATTCATAGTGTTATTAGTCTGTTTTCACACTGCTATAAAGATACTAACCGAGACTGGGTAATGTATAAAGAAAGGAGGTTTAATTGACTCACAGTTCTGCATGGCTGGGGAGGCCTCAGGAAACTTACAATCATGGCGGAAGCAGAAGCAGGTATGTCTTACACGCTGGCAAACGAGAGAGTGCCTGTGAAGGAGGAAATGTCAAACTCTTATAAAACCATCAGATCTTGTGAGAATTCACTATCACAAGAACAACATGGGGGAAACCACCCCCATGATCCAATCGCCTCCCACCAGGTCCCTCCCTTGACATTTTGAATTGCAGTGGGGATTACAATTCAAAACGAGATTCGGGTGGGGCCCCAGAGCCAAACCATATCATGTGGAAATGAAAATGTCAAATAATAAATCAATATCTTTAGAGAGATGAGATGATATTGAATATATAAAAGAACAGGATCATGTAAAGACAGCTCTTGGAAATTAAAAATGTGTTCAGATAAATAAAAATATAAGTAGAAACACTGGAAAATAAAATTGAAAAACTCTTCCAGAAAGTAGGGTTAAAAAAAAAAAAACCAGAAATGGAAAACTGAATAGAAGAGTTAGGAAAAATAAAGGATCAGTTCTAGAGATCAACATACAACTAACAGAAGTTCTAGATAAAGAAATGAAAGGAAGAATATTATCAAAGAAATAATTCAAGAAAAATTTCTAGAAATGAAGGATTCAAATTTTCAATTGAAAATATCCAACACTATCAATAAAAATAGACTCACCCCAAAGCATATCATTTTGAAATGTGTTACAATAAAGAATAAAGACAGGATTCTACAAGCTATTAGAAAAAGCAGGTCATATACAAAGGATCAAGAATCAGAATAGGTTTATACATCTCACTAGAAATAACTGGAATCTAGAAGACAATAAGGAAATACCTGCAAATTTCTGAAAGAAAATTATTTCCCAGTGATAATTCTAGACCAAGCTAAACTATCAATCAAATGAGAGAGTCAAATAAAGACATTCTCAATCACAAAAGGTTTCAAAGCTTTACCTTTCATGTATTCTTTCTCAGGAAACTCAGATAATGTGCTTTATTAAAACAAAGAAGTAAATCACAAGCAAGGTGTAAGAAACAGGAAACAGGCCGGGTGCGGTGGCTCACACCTGTAATCCCAGCACTTTGGGAGGCTGAGGCGGGTGGATCACGAGGTCAAGAGATCGAGACCATCCTGGCTAACATGTGAAACCCCATCTCTACTAAAAATACAAAAAAAATTAGCCACGCATGGTGGCAGGCACCTGTAGTCCCAGCTACTTGGGAGGCTGAGGCAGGAGAATGGCGTGAACCCGGAGGCGGAGCTCGCAGTGAGCCGAGATCGCGCCACTGTACTCCAGCCTGGGTGACACAAGTGAGACTCCATCTCAAAAAAATAAATAAATAAATAAAATTTTTTAAAAAAGAAAAAGAAACAGGAAACAAAAGGCCCAACATAATAGAAAAGCCAAGAGAATTCTCAGAATGATGGTGAAGAAATAGCCCAAGACAATGTCTATCTACCGGGATAGAGGGCAATTGGTCCAGACTGGAACAAGCCAGAAAACACAGGGAAAGCTTCTTAAGATTAAATTGATGAAACACCTGATACATGTGAATGTATTAAGAGATTTAGACAATTAGTGGAGATTTGGGGGTTGACTTAGTGAAAAAATATTTATATATAGATAACAAGGCAAATGAAAGACATTCCACAATAATTAATACTAGAGAAAATAAAGAGTCATACAGAAAAGACTAAATAATTATAGTTTCCTATATGGCTTAGCTGTGAATAGTATTTACATAGTCATAATATGTATATGTATAGTTAGATCCATATTATTTATATCATTATCTTTGTTAGATACATCTTATTTATATAATAATTTTATAATATAATACTTATATAATTTACATTTTTTTTGTTTTTGAGATGGAGTTTCACTCTTGTTGCCCAGGCTGATGTCCAATGGCGCTATCTCAGCTCACCACAACCTCCACCTCTAGGGTTCCAGCAATCCTCCTGCCTCACCGAGTAGCTGGGATTACAGGCAAGTGCCACCATGCCCAGCTAATTTTGTATTTTTAGTACAGACAGGGTTTCTCCATGTTGGTCGGGCTGGTCTGGAACTCCCAATCTCAGGTGATCCGCCCGCCTTGGCCTCCCAAAGTGCTGAGATTACAGGCATGAGCCACCACGCCCAGCCATTTATATATTAATAAGTAATATGGATATGACAAAAATTATAACTGTATTGGAAAGATGGAGGATAGGAAGAACTCAAGTATGTTGTGGGAACATGTAGGGGAGGGGAAAGATCTAAATATTTGTCTTCCTTCATGCAGTTTTATTCATAATGCCTAAAACCGACAAATCATAAAATAGCAGTATAAGTGTATTATTTAGATAGAGGTAAATATCAAAATTATTAGATAAGAGGAGAAGTGGTAAAGGATAGCTGTTTTTCCTAATAAACCTTGAGAAAGAACTACTTGGTTCTTTCAAGTATAGGCATGTATTATTTTGATAAAAGCCAAAGTAAAGAAGTTTAGGCCCGGCACGGTGGCTCATGCCTGTAATCCCAGCACTTTGGGAGGGTGAGGCGGGCGGATCACAAGGTCAGGAGATCAAGACCATCCTGGCCAACATGGTGAAACCCCATCTCTACTAAAAATACAAAACATTAGCTGGGAGTGGTGGCGCGTGCCTGTAATCCCGGCTACTCAGGAGGCTGAGACAGGAGAATCGCTTGAACCCAGGAAGCAGAGGTGGCAGTGAGCTGAGATCGAGCCACTGCTCTCCAGCCTGGGTGACAGAGTGAGACTCCGTCTCAAAAAAAAAAAGTTTATACTGGTGCTGTGGAAAATACAAAATGAACAAGATCCAATGCCTCAAACTGCTTATTGTCAAGTTGGCGGAAGAGGGCTTTTGGGTGATGGTTAATGTGATTTGCTCTGAGAGATTAAAACGAAAACTATGGGAACCCTGAGGACAGAGAGGTTATACGCTTTGGGGATAAAAATATTTATCTTGTCTGGTGAGGAAAGTATGATATGATTTCATCTGATGTAGTGAAAGCAGGATGTACTGAGAAACAAGGCCAGGGAAGGAAATTGAGGACAGACCTCTGGATGACCTTGAATACAACATTAAAGCTTTTGGAACCCGATGGAAAATGGTTAGGTATTTGGAACAGGGAGTTGATATGATCTTAGCTGTAATTTAAGAAGATCATCTGGGAGTAATATATAAATTGGATCGAATAGAGAAAAAAAGAAGGCAAGAAAATGAGAAAGAACCTAATTCAATAACCCAGGGAGGAGGTATGAGAGTCTGAACTTGAACAGGGTTGGTAGAAAGAGGAGGTCAGGGAAGGATAGGAGATATTCCAGACAATAGTTAAACTCACTTTTCATAATTTATCTATTTGCTTCTGCTTTACTCCTGTTGGAAATTCTTAACGGGGACTGCTGCTTTTTTTTTTAGTTGGATTTTTATGATGATTATATTTTTTTTTTGTCTTTTTAAATTTTTTTATTATACTTTAAGTTCTAGAGTACATGTGCACAACGTGCAGGTTTGTTACATATGTATACACGTGCCATGTTGGTGTGCTGCACCCATTACCTCGTCATTTACATTAGGTATATCTCCTAATCCTATCCCTCCCCCCACCCCACGGCAGGCCCCGGTGTGTGATGTTCCCCTTCCTGTGTCCAAGTGTTGGCTGATTATAAGGAGGCCAGGAGCCAAGTAAACCACATTGATTTGTAGCTTATTTAAAAAAAAAAAAAGCCAACCAGTTAATAAGCCTTAGAACATTCTGATCTTGGTACAAATGCTTGATGTAATCTTATTTTCTAACATTATATTTCATTTCAGTTGCTTGCTATATTGTTGACTAGGGACTTCAAAAAGAACTTTGTTTTACTTTTCATCCTCTCATTATTCTTATGAGCCGAACTGTTTTTTTGTTTTTTCGTTTTTTTTTTGAGACAGAGTCTTGCTCTGTCGCCCAGGTTGGAGTGCAATGGCATGATCTCGGCTCACTGCAACCTCCGCCTCCCCAGGTTCAAGCGATTCTCCTGCCTCAGCCCCCCAGGTAGCTGGGATTACAGGCGCCCACCACCACGCTGGGCTAATTTCTGTATTTTTCGTAGAGACGGGGTTTCACCATGTTGGCCAGGCTGGTCTCGAACTCCTGACCTCAAGTTATCCATACGCCTCGGCCCCCCAAAGTGCTGGGATTACAGGCATAAGCCACCACGTCCGGCGAGCCAAACTATTTTTAAATAAATTAAGAAATAATAATAAATTAGCAAAATCAATTACGTTCAGTCACTACAGTGATTACACAGCCAGTCACACTGACTTCAGTTTCTTCCATATTCCCATTCTACCTATCATTCACAACACTGTCAGATTAACGTTCCTATTTAATATTTAACCACCCACTCAAATTTATACAGTGATTCCTTAATGCCTGCCCCCACAAAGCTACAAATTTTCTGCTTGCTATTCAAGGCCTCCAAGACCCAGTCCCATTCACCTGTGCACCTTTACCTTCAATGACGTCTAACACCACACCTCCACTCCATCCTGGCTGTCTCATTACCCCCTACCCTCACCACGCACATTTGCACCTCAGTGTTTTGCTTTCTGGCCTTTCCTACCTGGAATTCCCTCCCTTAACCTTTACCCTTATTCAGATTCTTACTTGCCCTTTAAAGCAGTGTTTTTCCATCTCTGCTTTCCTCTGAGAAAATGAGATCAGGCAGAGTCTTCCCAAGTATCAGCAAAGGTGGTCAGTAGCAACTCAACTTAATTCTGAACAGTTTAGTAAACCCAGGAGAAAGACTACATATAGTTCGCCGTGGTTCTGGAAAAAGACCCAAGGTTGACTCTCATTGGCCTGGATAGGAGCACATGCTCACCCCTGAACCAATTACAGCACTTCTGGCTAATTCGGCTTGGGTCACATGATCAAGCTTTGAACCAGGGGCATGGGGCCAGTTTCCCGCAGGTGCAGGCCAAGAATAGCAATCGCGGCATTGTCCCTGGAAGAGGAGGAAATTATCCTGGGCAGACAAAAACAGTGGATGTGCGCCATACATTTTCTATCTCACATACCATTTAAAATATTATAGAATCTCTTTCAAATACTTAAATAAGATATACTTTCTTGAGGATTCTATTTAATTTTGAAGCACGATGGTAAAAACATGTATGGGCACGATGTGCCATCTAAAAAAGTGGAGAGTTATATTTTTATTCTGCTTATGTAAGCATTGTTAGTCAGGTCAATCATAACCTACAGTAAAATAATATTGCCAGACAGCTGGCACCGGGGCTTATGGCTGTAATCCCAGCACTTTGGGAGCCTGATGCAGGAGGATTGCTTGAGGCCAACTGTTCCAGGCCAGCCTGAGCAACTTAGTGAGAGCGAGATCCTGTCTCTAAAACAAAAATTTATAAGAATAGTAATATTGCCAGATTAATCTTCCTCAGTTATTGATTGACACAGATTTGAAAAGCACTGATTCATGTGGTATTAAGCGTCTTAACTAAATCAAGCATTTTGTCCTTGTTTCCTGTGCCGTTAGACACTGATGAACTTCAGGAATGAAGACATTCACCCTTTGGCGCATTCAAAATAGAAAACAAGTTTGGTAATAAGTCATAATGACCATAGTTATAAAAATAAACAGTAATTTAGCTTTAGGCTGGGTGCAGTGACTCACCCCTGTAATCCCAGCACACTGGGAGGCCAACTTGGGCAGATCGATTGAGCCCAGGAGTTGGAGACCAGCCTGGGCAACATAGCGAGATCTCCTCTCTACAAAACATACAAAAATTAGCTGTGTGTTGGCTGGGCACGGTGGCTCACGCCTGTAATCCCAGCACCTTGGGAGGCCAAGGCGGGTGGATCACCTGAGGTCGAGAGTTTGAGACCGGCCTGACCAACATGGAGAAACCCCATCTGTACTAAAAATACAAAATTAGCCAGGCGTGGTGGCACATGCCTGCAATCCCAGCTACTTGGGAGGCTGAGGCAGGAGAATGGCTTGAACCCGGGAGGCAGAGTTTGCGGTGAGCAGAGATCGCGCCATTGCACTCAAGTTTGGGCAACAAGAGCGAAACTCCGTCTCAAAACAAACAAACAAACAAACAAAAAATTAGCTGTGTGTAGTGGCGTGCAACTGTGGTCCCAGATACTTGGGAGGCTGAGGCCAGGGAATCGCTTGAGCCCAGGAGGCGGAGGTTATAGTGAGCCGACATCCTTCCACTGCACTCCAGCCTGGCCAATGGGAGTAAAACCTAGTCTCCAAATAATAACAATGTAATAAATAAATTAATTAAACGAAAGAGGAGAATGGGGGGGATAGGAAAAGAAGGGGAAAAATTGGAACTTTGAAGTCAGAGTACTCCAAATCCATTTTCCCACCACTTACTAGGTATAACTTTGGCAAAATTTTGCATTTTCTCCAAGCCTCAGTTTTCTCTATGTGTAAAATGAGCATAACAACTGTATATAGGTTGTTTCAAGGATTAAATGAGACCATGCATGTGAAATATTTAGCACAGTACCTGGAGTAAAGCCAGGCGCTAATTATCAACACACACACACACACACACACACACACACACACATATGATTTTATTTATTTATGTATGTATTTATTTATTTATTTTGAGACAGAGTCTCACTCTTTTGCCCAGGCTGGAATGCAGTGGTGCGATCTCGGCTCACTGCAACCTCTGCCTCCGGGGTTCAAGGGATTCTCCTGCTTCAGCCTCCTGAGTAGCTAGGACTACAGGTGCGTGCCACCATGCCTGGCTAATTTTTTGTATTTTTAATAGAGGCAGGGTTTCACTGTGTTAGCCAGAATGATCTCGATCTCCTGACCTCGTGATCCATCCTCCTCGGCCTCCCAAAGTGCTGGGATTACAAGCGTGAGCCACCGTCCCCGCCCCATTATTATTAATATTAATTCTTCAGGTAAGTTATTTGAAGGAAATGATGAACCATCTAATACTTTGGAAGCAGGATTAGAAACAAATTGAATGGGTTAGGCTGGGCGCAGTGGCTCACGCCTGTAATCCTAGCACTTTGGGAGGCCAAGGCGGGATCACAAGGTCAGGAGATCGAGACCAACCTGGCTAACACGGTGAAACCCCATCTCTACTAAAAATACAAAAAATTAGCCGGGTGTGGTGGCGGGCGCCTGTAGTCCCAGCTACTCGGGAGGCTGAGGCAGGAGAATGACATGAACCTGGGAGGCGGAGCTTACAGTGAGCCGAGATAGCGCCACTGCACTCCAGCCTGGGTGACAGAGCAAGACTCTGTCTCAAAACAAACAAACAAACAAAAAACTCGACAGTACATTTGCAAGCATAAACCAAGATGGGTCTTGCTAGATTCCTGAGCAAAGAGGTAGAGGGGTCCCTTGTGGATGTCAAGGGGTGAGGGTCAGCCACGAATGCTTTTGTAAAATCAGGGATTGTTGTGTCTTCCTCACATCTATATCACGTGTGCCTGTATCCCAGGACACAGCTGTGGAATGAGTGGAAGAATGACTCTAGGATACACTCATGAGGACATATGTCCATTCAGAAATCATAAAGTGATTCTGTAAGTATCAGAATTTTATAAACTATCTTTCGGCTGGGCACGGTGGCTCACACCTGTAATCCCAACAATTTGGGAGGCCGAGGCGGGCGGATCATCTGAAGTGTGAGACCAGCCTGGCTAACACAGCAAAACCCCATCTCTACTAAAAATACAAAAATTAGCCAGGCGTGGTGGCACATGCCTGTTATCCCAGCTACTCTGACACAGGAGAATAGCTTGAACCTGGGAGGCGGGGAGGTTGCAGTGAGCCGAGATTGCACCACTGCACTCAGCCTGAGCGACAGAGCCAGAATCCGTCTCAAAAAAAAAAAAAAAAAAAACAACTTATAAACAATCTTTAATTTCTAGAAAAGGAGAGATCGTGGTACCCGAACCTATCTTTGTAAGTGATCACTGAATGTCCTAGCAGCATATGGATCCCTAAAAACCAGCCAATCAATAGCTTAGCCTTGGTTGCTATGTTGCTGCTGTTTCCAGAATACCTGAGCTCTGGGCAGGTATGCAGCACAATGGGCTATGAAGCTGGGATCAGATTCAAAGGATGATTCGTTTTCAAATTCATTTCGGCTGATTTGCTGAATGTGTGTGGAGTGGTCAAATCAAAGCCTCTTTGGGTAGTTTTAAGTACTTAGGCTTGTTTTCCGTGCTTCTTTTTAAAAAAAGCATTGGCTGGGTGTGGTGGCTCACGCCTGTAATCCCAGCACTTTGGGAGGCTGAGGTGGATGGATCACCTGAGGTCAGGAGTTCGAGACCAGCCCAACCAACCTGGTGAAACCCTGTTTCTACTAAAAATACAAAAATTAGCTGGGCGTGGTGGTGGTGGGCACCTGTAAGACCAGCTACTTGGGAGGCTGAGGCAGGAGAATCACTTGAATCCAGGAGGCGGAGGTTGCAGTGAGCTGAGATAGCACCATTGCACTCCAGCCTAGGCAACAGAGCAAGACTCTGTCTCAAAGGAAAAAAAAAAGTGTCACTCTGGTGTATCTTGTCTACCTGTTCAGATCGCTTGCTGGCTGCCATTTGTGAAAATTACTTAAATGTGGGCTGAGACTGCAAATGAAACGGTAGTGACAACAACAAATTTTAATCAATAAAGACCACATACATTGAGAAGGCAATATATAAAGACATAAGAAAAAGAAGTAAAAACACTTTTAACAATTACCTAAGTGCTGTGTAAATAAGGTTTAAGAATGGTGGTTGAGACTGAGCTATATAAAGTTCAATAGGGTGTGATGACAGAGCTATTACAATATGCATGAAAAATGACATTTTTTAAAAAACAAAAGACGTCTTCTATAACTACTACACCATTGGATTTTGGCTAAAAGTATTGAAAAACAGAAGGCTAAAAGAGAAAATTTGTTAAGAAAACTAATATTATAAAAGAAGGTAAATAGGCTACAAATAAAGAAATATGAGATTGAAAGATGTTTGATGAGTTTTTGCTGAACCTGAATTTTTGCAGAGGAGTGGTGAGGTGAAGGTGTTGGGAAGGGGTGGAGGAATCTCTAGCCCTCCATATCAAAGAAAAGCCAGGATTTTAAGCCCAGAGCCTGGAACTTTCTTGGGACTCTGTAATGACCAGCATCTGCCACTGTAATTACGAAACGTGTTACCTGACCAACTTCATGCTACAATGTTAGCTTATTGGTGTGAAGCAAAACAAAATTTTACTTTCTTAACATCCTTTAAGTAGGTGTTACTTCCCTTAATAGCACTGCCATGCTTGGTCGGGGAGGAAGGGAAATCTAAATCCTCATGTAACAGCTTTAAAAATGTTCCAGCTATTATTTTTAAGCCTATACATTTTCCCCTCTAAAATTCTCTAACTTCTTCTAAGTTTTATGTTTTTTTTTCTTCTTTCTTTGATGCTTTAGGTGTTTTTAATGTGCTCTCAATAGAAGTGCCAAATACTTATTAGAAGTTCTTTAGATCTTGTCTTTAGAATGTATAATGTAAAATTCTAAATTTATAATCAGAACAAAAATAATTTTCCTTTAATTTGTGTGGCATATAGTTTCCAAGTATTTTTTTCTCTGTTATAACTGAATATCACAACTTATTTCAGGATCAAAATATAGTGTGAGGAAGAAAAGATTTATCTAGTGATCAAACCTAAATTTAATTTTAACATTTTCCCCTGGGGTAAAATAGGGATGAAAAATAAGTTATAAATGTCTATATTCTGGCCATAGTTTAAATAGATAATATTTTCTGTCTTCAGTGATATTTTCATCTAATATCCAACATTTCTTAAATAATTAAAGCAAACCTCCTAGAGAATAACAGAAATTATGAGGAAAGTCCTATATATAAAATAATGAATTAACTATTGCTAGTTAAATTTATGTTTATGTTTCTTTAAAAAAAAAAAAAGATGGCCGGGCGCAGTGGCTCACGCCTGTAATCCCAGCACTTTAGGAGGCTGAGGTGGGCGGATCATGAGGTCAAGAGATTGAGACCATCCTGGCCAACATGGTGAAACCCCTTCTCTACTTAAAAAAATACAAAAAATTAGCTGGGCGTGGTGACGCGCGCCTGTAGTCCCAACTACACAGGAGGCTGTGGCAGGAGAATTGCTTGAACCCGGGAGACGGAGGTTGCAGTGAGCCAAGATGGCGCCACTGCACTCCAGCCTGGTAACACAGTGAGACTCCGTCTCAAAATAATAATAATAATAATAATAGTTACAGTCTATGACTAGCCTGATCATAAATCAGTGCAGCACCTCTCTGGGTCTTAACAGATGCTCCACTTATTTCGCTTATAGTCATCTCTCCTTTAGCACTCAGTCTATGTTGGTGTCCCAAGGTGCTGCTCCTAAGGCACATCCATCAGCCTAAACTTTCATCATTTTCCCTGGTAGTGTGAGCAGAGGACTACTAGCACTTGAGGGTTTTTTAGGCTCTTAGAAATCTACAGGACTCTTATCTACTTCACAACAAAATCAAATGCCATGCAAGATTGTGGCTTTTATATCAACCATCATGGCCGCAAAACATAGATAATAGATATAGATAATCTCTATATATAATTGTGTGGACTTTTACATATACTATATATAGATAGTAGTTTGGATTTTTTTTTATTATTACTAAAAGTGGTACCTAATTTCTCCGGTTAATTTTGAGAAATGTTTTATGAGTCTGAGGATGCAATTTTAAAGACAATCGAGCAAGTGCTTTCTAAAATTGTCCACTTGGCTCAGATGAGTCTCCATGTTTGAGTGCATTTTAGACTAGTTCATTGAACATGATAGAAAATGTCAAGGATTCAAAATCTCCCAAACACTTGAAGTTTGTAAGTTATTCTTGTGAGTATCCACTTGAGAACATTTGCAGGGAAGAGCAAGCATCAAAGGAATTGTAGTTTGGTTAAAAACAAATAAAGAAACAGATTGAGTCCAGAAAGAACTGGGGCTTGAGCCCTGCAGTGTCACATACTGGTTATGTGGGTTTGGGTAGTTTCTTAACATCACTGACCTCAGTTTCCTCAGCTGTAAAACAAGAGAGCAACACCTACTTGATAGGGTTGATGTGAAGACTAAATAAGTTAAATGGGAAAGCACAGAAAGTGCTCAGCTCAGCCACTGACACATAAAATATATTCAATAAATGGTAACCAATGTTATTAAAAATATATTAAGGAAGCAATATCTAAGGCATGACTCCTATTTATAATGTTGGCTACCGTAATCTGGACAGTTGTTCCCTATCTCTTCTGTCCAATCTTGGAAAAAATATTTTTGGAATAAGAAATGAAAAAATTTTTAATAGTTTTACACAAACTATATTAGAAAACAAATTAACTTGAATTTAGAAGCAATAACTTCTGTGCCTTAAAAAGGGTGCCTAAATATTATTTTCAGATAGTTATATGTGTTTATAATGTTCCTCCCCTGTGGTAAACTGAGGATGGAGGAATAAATTGAATCAAAATACATGGTGAAAAATAACTGGATTCAGAAGACCCTGAGAGACAAAAAAAAAAAAAAAAAAAAAGAAGCAGATGATAGGAACACTTCATTCCAATCCCTTAAAATGTGATTCTCAGTTTCTCTGTTAGATCCAATGACAAAAGAAGCATATTATCTAGGCTCAGGCTGGCTGGAGATTGATCTGCTGAATGGAGCTAAAAACAAATTTCCAAGAAAATTTAATAGATTGACCTTCCCTATACCATACCAATAAATTTTATGGGAGAAATTACCCCTCTTTAATGAAAGGAATAAGATGTTGCTCCATTTCTAACTTAATCCGTGTAAATCACCCGGGAAGGGTAGGCTTGTCCAGTAAATGTTCTCCAATAAAATGAATTGCAAAGAGGCTAGACTATTTAATAACAAGATGAAATTTTCAGTTATTTGAGGAAGCTGCATTCACTATATAACAAAAAGCGTTATTACCACAGGAGAAATACTTTCAAGATTCACTGTTCTTTCACTAATATAAATAACTCCTTTTGGGCAGTTCGGATTATTTAGAATCCAATAGAAAAAGAACATTGCTGGTAATATCTGCTGTAATAGAAAGCAATATCAAATCCTCTTTTCTGGAAGCATAGGATTGTGATGGCTAGACAATGTTCCTACAATTCGTTGCTTAAACTGTTTCATGGTTCTTTTTACTATATGAACTTTCTTAGATTAGTTCAAATTTGAGGAGTTTTTACCTGAAGTTGTTCCTTAAGGGTTCTATGTAAAATAGATTTAGAATGGAGTTGGCCTCTTTCCCAGAGCTGAGGGCTTATAGTGGCTTGGGCAGCTTGGGCAAAGAGACCATTAAGAAAATTCTTGTGGTAGGAGAGAGGCAGTGGCTTGGACCAAGGTGGTGCCAGTGGAGATAAGAGTAGTGGACAGATTATATATATATACACACATTTATATATATTTATATATATATATTTATATATTTGTATATATATATTTTATTTTTATTTTTATTTTTTTTTTGAGACAGAGTCTCGCTCTGTCTCCCAGGCTGGAGTGCAGTGGTGCGATCTTGGCTCACTGCAACTTCTGCCTCCTGGGCTCAAGTAATTCTCCTGCCTCAGCTTCCCGAGTAGCTGAGATTACAGGCACCCACCACCACGCCCAGCTAATTTTTGTATTTTTATTAGAGACGGGGTTTCACCATGTTGGCCAGGCTGGTCTCGAACTCCTGACCTCGTGATCTGCCTGCCTCGGCCTCCCAAAGTGCTGGGATTACAAGCATGAGCCACTGCGCCCGACCTAGAGATATATTTTGAAGGAAGAACCAGTAGATTTATTTGCTAATGATTTGGTTATAGATTATGAAGGGAAGGGAAAAATTAGGAATACCACAAAGTTTGAGGCTATAATAATTGAATGGGAGTGGAGCCATTTACAGAGCTGGTAAACTGGGAGAGTGTTAGATTTGAGAAGGAAGATAAAAGGTAACATGATATGAGTCTTCTGTGTATAAGAAACATCTAAAAAAATTAAAATAATTAAAGCACTATCAAGCCTTTGCTTTTGAAAACATGTTCTAAATTTTTTTCCATGATATAGTATTGTTTTGGTGTAATCTTCAGACCTCTTTTAAACTATTTAACACTTTGATAGCTCTACAGATAATCATAATAGATCATAAAATATTTACTACTCATTTGTATTGCAAAGGGTTAGTTTATCTTTTATGAAGATTAAAAGACAAATTTTTCAGCCCTCTCTCCAAGTTCCATTATTTTACCCCCCAAAACACAATTAATTACATGCTTTTGAAAATCAATATATTTGTTTCAATAGCAGTACTAACTGGGATGGCAGGGCTAAGCCAATTTATTTAATGGAGTAGTTTTTGTTTTGGGATTGAGTGATTCCTTGTTGAACCTGCATACATATAAAGACTTGGTTTCATTAAAACAAACAACAAACAAACAACTTCAGGACAGAAATGCTTTTATTTTTAACTCTGAGATTTAACCAGGAAAACGACAATTTTAAAAGCTGAGTTTAGACGTAGAATTAATAGCAACTCATTTGCTCAAACAAAAGATAAGAGTGCCATCTAGTGTTCATTAGGAGTATCTGTAACTTGGACTACTATTTTCTCAATTACAGCAGAAAAACAAATGAGGGGAGACAAAGGAAAAAGACCACTGTGATAGCCACAGCAATTGAAAATAGGGACATGATTCCTGAGAGCTCAGAGAGGGGCACCAGATCTGAATTTAGAAATTAAGAAGTTGCATCATGAAGTAGCTACCTCCTGAGCTGATAAAGGAGGAACAGTCACAGGTGACAAGGGCAGGAAGAGCACTGATGTCTAAGACATGAGTCAAGGTGGGAAATCAAAGAACAACATAATTTTGTGGGCAAGTTTAACTGCTTGAGATAAAGCAGTGGAAAGTGAGTGCCTGGAAGGAAGGCTAGAGACGGGAGCAAAGCTGAGATCAAAGAGAGTTTGTATTTTCTATGCAATGGGAAGCCACTCAAGAGACAGCCTTTCATGGTGGCCCACCCCTGTAGTACTAGCTACTCGGAAGGCTGAGGCAGGAGGATGGCTTGAGCCCAGAAGCTTGAGGCTGCAGTAAGCTATGGTCATGTCACTGCACTTCAGCTTGGGTGACAGAGCAAGACCCTGTCTCTAAAAAAAAAAATAAAGATAAAGATAGAAAACAGAGAAACAGCCTTGCAATTCAGATACAACCCTGGCACCATATGGGGGATGTATTAGGGTGGGAATTGAGACTAAAATTATGATGTAATTATAGTAGATGATGGTAGTAGTAAGCAGGAAAAAAGGATGACTCAAATAATTGGAAGAAAAGATAAATAATTAGGTTTGATGGCTGGATGTCATCTTTTAGAGTTCAGATAGATTATATTTTTATCAATTAACATTTTAAAATTCTATTTAAAAGAGTAAAGTTAGTGGGAAAGATGATTAATTTCATGTTGACAAGTTAACCTTGAGCTGCATGGGAAATAGTGATGTGTTGATGCTAACAGGCAATTGAATATCTGGTTCTTAAAGCTTTGAGGAGAAGGTTAAGTAGAAGATATAAATTCATTTTCATCAGCACAGTGGTGGTTGCTGAAACAATGTGAACAAGATCACTCAGGAAATATATATAGTATAAAATAAGAGCCTGGATAGAAAAGACATTACTAATGCTTAGTTTAAAAGAATGATTTGAATTTGGATATGTTCAGAATATATTAGAAAGAAAGGAGATAATTTCTTTAATCTCAAATTATAATTCACTGATGAGGATCAGTGTTTCAGAAGTTCCCTGTTGAGGTCTATCTATACAAATATTCAATGAATACATTTTCTATTTATGAACTATATTAATCAGGACCCTTTCAGCAAAGGATAGGAGCTAAAGTTGCAAAATAGTTCGAAGAGTTGCTCATATCCTTCATCCAGCTTCCCCTAATGTTAACTGACATATTATATAATTTTAGTACAATAACTTGACAATTTTTTATCCCAGAAAAGATGGTATCCTTTCTAAAACATTGTGACATAAATTCCTGGTCAATTAAGATGAGATGTGACTATTATATTCAATAGTATTTCCTTAGAATTAAAGAACAAATTTAAATCTGGAAGTTCTTAAAGTCAAGGACATTTGACATCTTTGCTCTTTTCCAGTTGTATTTTAGATAAAACGTTTGCTTGTCTAGATAATAAATTGGGCTGTTTTTCCTCCCCTAGAGTACTGATGAAAAGTACCACAATAATTATTGAATAATATATGGGAAATGTCAACAGAGAAATGGAAACTATAAAAAAAGAGCCAAACGGATATTCAACAACTGAAAAGTACAATTTCTGAAATAAAAACATTCACTGGCTGGGCTTAATAGTGATTGGGGATGGCAGAAGAAAGGGTCAGTGTGTTAATCTGAGTTTTCTGAGAAGTAGACACCAAGAAGAAACCAAACATGCAAGGATTTCTTTTTATTGCAATAGTTTTTGGGGAACAGGTGGTTTTCTTGTTACATGGATAAGTTCTATAGTGGTAATTTCTGAGATTTTGGTGCACCTGTCACCCAAGCACATACGCTGTACCAATGTACAGTCTTTTATCCCTCACCCCCTCTCTCCCTTCTTACCAAGCCTCCAAAGTCCATTATATAATTCTTATGCATTTGTGTCCTCATAGTTTAGCTCCTACTTATAAGTGAGAACATACAATATTTGTTTTTCCGTTCCTGAGTTACTTCACTTAGAATAATGGTCTCCAAATAATGGTCTCCAACTCCATCCAGGTTGCTGCAAATGTCATTATTTTATTCCTTTTTACGGCTGAGTAGTACTTCACAGTGTATATATACCACATTTTATCCACTTGTTGGTTGATGGACACTTAGGCTGGTTCCATATTTTTGCAATTGCGAATTGTGCTGCTATAAACATGCATCTGCAAGTGTCTTTTTCATATAATGACTTCTTTTCCTCTGGATAGGTACCCAGTAGTGGGATTGCTGGATCAAATGGTAATTCTTTTTTTTTTTTTTCAACAGAGTCTCACTCTGTCATCCAGGCTGAAGTGCAGTGGCATGATCTAGGCTCACTGCAACCTCTGCCCTCTGGGTTCCAGCAATTGTCCTACCTCAGCCTCCCAAGTAGCTACAACTTGTAGAAACTACAAGTGCCCACAACCACACCTGGCTAATTTTTGTATTTTTAGTAGAGACGGGGTTTCACCATGTTGGCCAGGCTGGACTCGAACTCCTGATCTCAAGTGATCTACCTGCCTTGGCCTCCCAAAGTGCTGGGACTACAGGTGTGAGCTACCGCGCCCGGCCTGGATCAAATGGTAGATCTACTTTTAGTTCTTTAAGGAATCTCCATACTGTTTTCCATGATGGTTGTGCTAGTTTATATTCCCACCAGCAGTGTAAAAGTGTTCCCTTTTCACCACATCCATACCAACATTTTTTTTTTTATTTTTAATTATGGCCGTTCTTGCAGGAGTAAGGTGGTGTCTCATTGTGGTTTTAATTTGCCTCTCCCTGATAATTAGTGATGTTGAGCATTTTTTCATATCAAAACTGCAAGGATTTTATTAGTGGAAACACTTGCGAGAGAAAATGGAGACAGAGCTGGAGAAGATTGGGACAACCATCAGATTGTAACGCAAGTCTGACCCCAAGTGAAGAGAGGTTTGGAAAGACAACGGAGAGTCCTTGAGTCAAAGCCAGCCAGCAGAGGGCTCCAGTGTCTCCCAGGAGCAGGCTTCCCTTAGCTCCCTGCCACCGTCATTCATGTCAAGCATACTCCAGATGCAAATGCAGCAATAGATTTCAGAGCACAGTAGCTATGGCCTGTGAGCAATTATAGTCCCTGAAACTGGAGATCTGAGAGGTATATTCTTGTGGCTGCTGCCATTGACCACTTCTGCTCCACAAAGTCATGTTTCTACATAAGTGCGAGGAGCAACTCCTTTATAGCTCCTGCCAGCCTTTCTTCCTGAGGGGAAACTCAGAAGAGAGAAGTTAGTGTGATAGACAATAGCCCCTGTTACCATAGTTGCTCTCGGGGGCCACAGTTGGAACTCATCCTATCCCTCCTCTTCATCCCATCTGACTGGATCACAGATTTGTCCACCAGTCCTCTGTCCTTCACATAACAATCCTGCCTTGGTTGAGCATTCAAATGTCTTCGGAGCTCTACAACTCTAACAATGAGGTCTTTAGCCTGTCACTCAGCTGGGCCTACCATTCCTCTGTAGAAATAAGGGCTTCTTTGTAAGCTCTCACTGAAGATCTGTGGCTTGTCTCTAAATTTTTGCTAATAGTCGTCAATCCCTCATTATCCTTCTGCAGAATGTCAATGCAATTTAGCAATAACCAGCCAACTCCACTGACTTTGTAGGTATTGTTTCCCCATATTTTTCAAAAGTCTCTGTTTTTTTGTTTGTTTGTTTGAGATGGAGTCTCACTCACGCCCAACCTGGAGTGAAGTGGCCCTATCTCAGCTCACTGAAAGCTCCGCTTTTCGGGTTCAAGTGATTCTTCTGCCTCAGCCTCCTGAGTAGCTGGGATTGCAGGTGTGCGCCACCATGCCTGGCTAATTTTTGTATTTTTAGTAGAGATGGGGTTTCACCATATTGGCCAGCCTGGTCTTGAACTCATGGCCTCAAGCGATCCACCTGCCTTGGCCTCCCAAAGTGCTGGGATTACAGGCGTGACCCACTGTGCCTGGCCTCAAAATCTCTGTTAACTTACTTTTTACAATATTGCTCTCCACTGATACAGTTTCTCAGTTCACCACCAGTGAAATATTCCACAATAGAGCTGCTGTCTTTTTCCAGGGGCTCTCTTTGCTCCACTTGCCAACAGAATAGCATCCTGTGTGCCTGCCAGGTAGTGGGTGAGTCAACCCCAGAGCCTCACCTCACTGCGTGTTTTGTCAATCCGCCCATGATTTAACTTATTTTATTCAGGTGTCCCTTCAGAGCAAATGCTAAGACTGGATTAAACATGAAAGGCTTTTATTCAGGGAAATTATCGTTATAGAAAATGAGGGGGAAGGGAACTGGGGAAGGCTGTGGGAACCTCCAAGTCTGTCCTGGAGTGAAGGGGAGAGGGAAGGAAGGTTAGGTGGAAGCTTCCTAGACTGTCTTGAAATCCAGGGAAAATTCAGCAAGGCCACTGGGGAGTACTTGAGCCAAAGTCAGCCATTAGAGGGGCCCTTAAACGTTTGCCATACTCAGTGTTTGAGTGGGTGCAGCCTGTGGGAAGTGCGTCCTCAGCACAAACATAGTGATGAATTTCAGAGCGTGGCAGCTCGGACCCTCAGTCAATTATGCTTCCCGTAGCTACAGGCTTGGTCATTCTCATGACCACTATAGTCCATGAACTTGGAGAAGGACCATTAGAAATTATGCATTTTGAAAATGAAGGGGAGCAAAGATGAACAATAATGAGCAGAGCCTCAGTGATGTGTGGGATATTTTAAATGATCTGTGTTAGTCTATTTTCACACTGCTCTACAGAACTTCCCGAAACTGGGTAATGTATAAAGGAAAGAGGTGTAATTGACTCACAGTTCTCCATGGCTAGGGGGGCCTCAGGAAACTTCCAATCATGGTGGAAGGTGAAGGGGAGGCAGGGACCTTCTTCACAAGGTGGCAGGAGAGAGAATGATGCAGGATGAACTGCCAAACACTTATAAAACCATCAGACTTGTGAGAACTCAGTATCAGAAGAACAGCATGGAGGAAACCGCCCCCATGATCCAATTACCTCTACCTGGTCTCTCCCTTGACATGTGGGGATTATGGGGATTATAATTCAAAATGAGATTTGGGTGCGGACACAAAGCCTGACTAACATAAGTATAAGTATAAGTTGTCTAACATAAGTATAATTTCAGTCCCAGAATGAGAAGGGAAAGAGAATGGAACAAAAAAAGAGCTGAAGAAAAAAATAATTGAAATTCCCCCAAATTTGGTGGAAATAATCTACTTACATATCAAGAAGCTCAACAAATGCCAGCAAGATAAGTACAAGAAAATCATAACTGGACACATCGTAGTGCAACTACCAAAAACTGAAGTAAAGAGATTATATTGAAAGTAGCTGGAGAATGACATTACATAAAGAAAAACAGTGACATAAGTGATGGATAATTTTTTCCTGAGAAACAGTGGATGCCAGAAAAAAATGGAAAAACATCTTTAAAGTGTATCTGGAACATGCATCAACATGAATCATGTGTTAAGACACAAAACACATCTCGCAAAATTTCCAAAATATTGAAATTTTACTATGTTCCTTGAACACAATGAAATTAAAGAATAGAAAAGAAGTAAAGTTGTCTTTATCCACAGGTGACATGACTGTTTCTACAGAAACATCAGAACGAATGCCCAAAGAACACTAGGTGTATTAAGTGAATTAGTACAAGGTCAAAAGTACAAGGTCAAGACACAAAATTCAATTATATTTCTGCTAACTGGTAAATAATTAAAAATTAACATTTAAAATGCCATTTACAATCACATAAAAAATGTAAATCACTGAAATGTAAATGTATAAAAATTACGCAAGATCTCTACACTAAAAAAATATAAAACATTGAAAGAGGTATTAAATAAAACATCAGTGAATGGAGAGCTATATCAAAATCATGGATTAGAAGACACAATATTGTTAAGATTAATAGTCTTCCAAAAGTGATCTGTAGATTCAACGCAATTCCAACCAAAATTCAAATAGAACTTTTTTTTTTAGAAATTGACACATTGACTCTAAAAATTTTATGGAAATGCCAAAGACCAACAAGAACCAAAACAATCTTGAAAAATCAAAGCAAAGCTGGAAGATGTACACTACCTTATTTCAAGACTTTGTTTAAAGCTACAGTGGGGCGGGGTGCGATGGTTCACGCTCGTAATCCCAACACTTTGGGAGGCCGAGGTGGGCAGATTACCTGAGGTCAAGAGTTCGAGACCAGCCTGACCAACCTGGTGAAACCCTGTCTCTACTAAAAATACAAAATTAGCCTGGCGTGGTGGCACGTGCCTGTAATCCCAGCTGCTCAGAAGGCTGAGTCAGGAGAATCCCTTAGAACCCGGGAGGTGGAGGTTGCAGTGAGCCGAGATCATGCCACCACTGCACTCCAGCCTGGGTGACAGAGCGAGACTCTGTCTCAAAAAAAAAAAAAAAAGAAAGAAAGAAAATACAAATAAACTTAATTATATGAAAAGATCTCAATGACAATAATGTAAGTGAAATTGAAACTACAGTGAAATGTGTTTTATCTGTTATATTCATCATGATAAAAAGTGAAAACACTTGGTGTTAGCTGGGAATGAGGAAAAGTGAGGAAACAGGTTTTTTTGGTTTGTTTGTTTGTTTGTTTTTTGAGATGGAGTCTCGCTCTGTCGCCCAGGCTGGAGTGCAGTGATGCCATTTTCACTCACTACAACCCCTGCCTCCTAGGTTCAAGCAATTCTCCTGACAGCCTCCTGAGTAGCTGGGATTACAGGTGTGCACCACCATGCCCAGCTAATTTTTGTATTTTTAGTAGAGATGGGGTTTCACCATGTTGGCCAGGCTGGTCTTAAACTCCTGATCTCAGGTGATCCTCCTGCCTTGGCTTCCCAGAATGCTGGAATTTCAGGCATCAGCCACCACACCCTGCAGAAACAGGCATTTTTATACATTCTGGGTAGGAACATAAATTGATGTCCTCTCTAAGGAGGGCAATTTGACCCAGTGACTGAACTTATGATATTTATCTTGCGGCTACATTCTGAGAACTACAAAATAACTCTTGGCAGAACATGAGCTCTAAGAGACCTGGCCAACTCCAGCGTGGCTTCTGGCTGCCTAAAGCTGCATCCTGGGACAACCTCGCTCCCTTTGAGTTCCTGTCTGTGAAAGCTCAAGCTCAGTTTGTTCTAGCCAACACCTGACAATAGGCCCTGACTCCTTCTTTCTTAGAGAATTTAGTTGAAAGAAGCTTACATTTGTAAATCCTTTCTCCGTCACTTTGGGTTATAGAGCCAGTGTTTTGTATCTGTTGGATTCAATCAACTGTGGATCAAAAATACTTGGAAAAAAATTGCATTGTACTGAACATGTACAGACTTTTTTCTTGTCAGCATTCCCTAAACAATACAGAATAACAATTATTTATATAGCTTTATATTATATTAGATATTATAAGTAATCAAAGATTATTTAAAGTATACGAGAGGACACATGTAAGTTATATGCAAATACTACACTATTTTATATCAAGGATTGGTGCATCTGGGAATTTTAGTACCTTTGGGGGTCCTGGAATCAATCCCCCATGGATACCGATGGTATATATACATATCTCATATAAACTAGGCATGCCATTCTCAGGGACCTGAAAGCCATTCTTTTGAAATGTAACCACCAGGAAGGATAGGACCTGTCTCTCAGTCTGTAGGAGAGTCCTAACTTCAATAATTGCCAGCTAGTAGGCCAGGTGTGGTGGCTTATGCCTGTGATCCCAGCATTTTGGGAGACTGAGGTAAGTGGATTACTTGAGGCCAGGAGTTCGAGGCCAGCCTGGCCAACATGATGAAATCCCATGTCTACTAAAAATACAAAAATTAGCTAGGCGTGGTGTTGTATGCCTGTAGTCCCAGCTACTCGGGAGGCTGAGGCAGCAGAATTGCTTGAACCTGGGAGGCAGGGGTTGCAGTGAGCCAAGATCATGCCACTGCACTCCAGCCTGGATGACAAAGAGATACTCTGTCTCAAAAAAAAAAAAAAAAAAGCCAGCTAGTAGACATAGCTGGCCTAATCACATTTACACTCACCCACCTTTTTTTTTTTTTAGAGTGTCACTCTATTGCCCAGATTTGAGGCGCAGTGGCATGATCACAGCTCACTGCAGCCTCGACCTCCTCAAACAATCTGGCTCAAGTGATCCTCTTGCCTCAGCCTCCCAAGTAGCTGGGACTACAGGTGTGCACCACTAGGCCCAGCTAATTTTTGTAGTTTTTGTAGATGGAGTTTCACCATGTTGGCCAGGCTGGTCTCAAACTCCTGAGCTCAAGTGATCCATCTGCCTTGGCTTCCCAAAGTTCTGGGATTACAGGTGTGAGCCACTGTGACAGGTTGACCCAACTTCATACCCACTTTTTGTAATTTTTCACTTCCCTGACTGTATTTGAGCCCCCGTTTATTCCCCTTCCCTTCTCTGTTATTCTTTTATTAAATTGCTCAGTTACCTCTGGATAAATCGGAATGGAGCTCACCTCTTTCAGCTACTGTCAGTAGTTACTGAATAAAATCTGTTTTCATTACTTTAATGTCTGTCTTTGATTATCTTTAGCAATTCACACATGTTGAAAATGACATACAGGTTGGGTATGCTGGCTCATTCCTGTAATCCCAGTACTTTGGAAGGCTGAGGCTGGAGGATTGCTCGAGCCCAGGAGTTTAAGACCAGCCTGGGCAACATAGTCTCTACAAAAAAAAAAAAAAAAAAAAATTAGCCAGGTGAGGTGGTGCACGCCTGTGGCCCCAGTTACCTAGGAGACTGAGGTGGGAGGATCACTTGAGCCAGGGAGGTTGAGGCTGCAGTCAGCTGTGATTGTGCCACTGTACTCCACAGAGTGAGACCTTGTCTCAAAAGAAAAAAGACTGGGCACAGTGGCTCACACCTGCAAACCCGGCACTTTGAGAGAACAAGGCAGGTGGATCACCTGAGGTCAGGAGTTCAAGACCAGCCTGGCCAACATGGTGAAACCCCATCTCTACTAAAAATACAAAAATTAGCCGGGCATGGTGGCATGTGCCCATAATCCCAGCTACTTGAGAGGCTGAGGCAGGAGAATTGCTTGAACCTGGGAGGCAGAGGCTGCAGTGAGCTAAGATTGTACACTGCAACTGCACTCCAGCCTGGGTAACAGAGTGAGACTGTCTCAAAGAAAAAAAAAAAAAGAAAGAAAGAAAAGAAAAGTACAAGGCAGTTCATTATAGCATTGTTTGTGATAGTCACAGATTTGTAACAACTTTTAATTTGTAGGAGTCCATCAAGAGGGGCCTGCTTGAATAAAGCATCATAGCACATCTATACAAACAGTACTATTCAACCATAAAAAACAAGGCACTTTATGAAATGGTAGAAAGATTGCCAAGATTTGTAGTTAGATGAAAAAAGGCGCCGAACAGTATGTGTTGTCATTATTATTTGTCTAGAAAAAGAAAGAAAACAGGTGAATATCAATTGTATGCCATTTATATACTGGAAGGACAATAAGACACTGAGAACAGTGGTTACCTGTTATAAGGAGACAGCAATTACCCCTGGAAGGGCAAGCAGGCACCTGATATCCAGAGGTGGGCAGAGGCAGACACAGTTCATACTTTGTTGGGGAGCTGCTTCCTGGGCAGCTGATCCTGGACTTCCAGGAGGTGCTAGGCCATGGCAGATGGCCAGCACTGAGAACAGGCTTGAAGGGATGAAAAGGTAATTTTTTTTTTTCAAGATGGAATTTCACTCTTGTTGCCCAGGCTGGAGTGCAGTGGCACGATCTCAGCTCACTGCAACCTCTGCCTCTGGAGTTCAAGTGATTCTCCTGCCTCAGCCTCCAAAGTGGCTGGAATTACAGGAAGGCACTACCACACCCGGCTAATTTTTTGTATTTTTAGTACAGATGGGGTTTCACCATGTTGGTCAGGCTGGTCTTGAACTCCTGACCTCAAGTGATCCACCTGCCTCAGCCTCCCAAAGTGCTGGGCGTGAGCTGCTGTGCCTGGCCTGAAAAGGTAATTTTTGGAGAAGGCAGAGATCAACAGGGCCAAGGTTAGTGGGCCATGAAGCAGAGTGACTACAGAGCTTCAGCCAGCAGATTGGATTACATTTAATACTCTCCTTGCTCCAAAGTTCTGGAGAGGCATCAGAAAGGGAAATGCCACTTAGCATGTGGGAGATCTGCTGAACCTCAACTCCACGTGGCCGGAGTATCCTTATTACAGATTATAGTACATTATTGAATGAACTCTATGGAGCAGGGATGAAAATGCACCACTTGGATTTCCTAATGCAGGGAAGATAGTTGGCAGGGAGCCTCAGCTGCCGCTCCCCAGCCCCCTTCCAGGTTGCAACAACACCGTGCTCCCCAGGCTGCTTTCCTGTGAAGGACTGGGTATGGTTGTGAGTGCTGGTTCAGGGTGCTCCTGTAATGGGTGGCTTTGGCTTGAGGGTTTCCCACTGGTCTGGTGAAACTTTCTTAGAACGGAGTCCCTTTCTAGTCAAGCTTTCTTCTTTCCCCACTTGCCTTTCACAGGTGTCAGATCAGCTCCAAAATCTGAAGGCCCTTCCTGCCCAACCTGTTCCCCTTGTCCCTCCTGGGCATTTCTCCCAATCTACCTCTTGCATCTCTAATATTACTCGCCTAGCACTTCCTTATCAGAGCACCTGAAGTCACACAGACTCCTTATTTTACACTTCTGGTTTCCTGGCCTCTTCAAATATTTGATTTTATTTTTAATGATTATATTCTGAAATCGAGATTTTATTGAAGTTTAGAAAGAGAATGGAAAGAGATCTTATTTAAGACCCACTAACTAGTGGATTCTATAGGATACTTGGAGTTCACCCAAGGGATTCTCATCAATAATTGAGGAAGAGAACTTTGCAATGGGAGCTCAGAATTGTTGACATTACAGGTGCTGTCGATAACCCACTTCTCACTCTCAGGTTTTTAGAGAAGAGGACCCCAAATGGGTCTCTTGGTCTGTTTATTCAGTTCTTTCATCTCTACCACAGTTACTCTAGGTAGTTCCAGAATAGCCTCACTCTTTACTCAGAATCACCGTTCCCAACACTCAGATTGATGCAGTCTGGCCCACTCTCCAGACTTCTGCGCTCAGGAGGATTCCCCTAAGGGCTTTCACTTTCCTTATCCAGCTCTGGTCATGTCCCTCCCTCCACCCATCCCCACACCTGCTCATCAAATGTGTCCAATCATGAAGAGAGTTCAGTTCCTTTTCCACAGGACTCTTGGAACCCATTCGAATGTGGAAGTATGCCTAGGCACATGTTTAACAGTCCCCAGACATTCCATTTAAAGCAAACATGTGGCTGGGCAAGATGACTCACACCTGTAATCCCAGCACTTTGGGAGGCTGAGCGGGCAGATCACCTGAGGTCAGGAGTTAGAAACCAGCCTGGCCAACATGGTGAAACCCTGTCTCTACTAAAAAATACAAAAATTATCCAGGTATGGTGGCTGGCACCTGTAATCCCAGCTACTCAGGAGGCTGAGGCAGGAGAATTGCTTGAACCTGGGACGTAGAGGTTGCAGTGAGCCGAGATCTTGCCACTGCACTCCAGCCTGGGCGACAGACAGAGACTCTGTCTCAAAAATAAATAAATAAATAAATAAAGCAAATATGTGGTACTTTGGGTCAGATAACTGCCGAGGGTATTACTTCCCACCTCAGAGGCGCCTGGTGTTTTTGGAGTGGCTGCACGGTCAGGGCTATAGTGGGCACCATGGGAGTCGGCTCACAGCCCTGCAGTTCCTCTGGAGTCAGGGTGCTGAGGCAGTGGTGGCAGTGAGGGGGCTGGATGAATCTGCAGAAAAGGCTCTGGGGACAATTTGGATTCCCTTTAACTGGAACAGAGACAAGGTGATGCAGACAGAAAACATTGTATATTTAAGCCTGGTCCCAATATCCCTCCAACCTTCACTGCCTTCAGCGAGGACCATGTTGGAAGCAGGTAGTCCTGAGGACACACGGCTCCAGCTGGAAATAACAAATGTTCAAGTAAAGCTGAAACCTTTTACCTTTCTACTATTGTGCCTTGGGATTTCATAATAATTCTGGATGTTGAAACAGAATAGAAATGTTCTGTTGAGAACTGACAGGGAGGTTTGAAGATATTTGGGTAGTATCTTGGCCTTTGACCTTACCGCAGACTAGAAGTGATGGAAAGAAAAGAGGTACCAGATGATCGGTGAGACAAGATGGCAGTCCCCTCACACCTTTATGAGGTGATCCTGGCCTGTAGAAGCCCAGTTTCTACAGAACTAATGCCACTAGGGGCCTTTGTGATACCCAGTGGAGGCACTGGCTTCTAGTCCTAGTTAATTGGATTCCAAGTGAGCCTCTGGGACCTAGAGAAGTTGTCAGAACTGATGTTTTTTCCTTGTTTGGATAGAATTAGTGATGTCAGAAATATCTCCTCTGTGGACACTTGTAAGCACCTGGATTTCTAGGAGTTCACTCTACCTGAGCACAAGAAAGATTGAGGAAGCCAGATCAGTGGACACACTGGAAAAATTCCTGGAAAATTTGAAGAATGCAGGGATTGAACCAGATGATTACTTCATGAGTCTCTGTGAGAAGAAACTAGAAGAACTCAAAGCTAAGGAGCAGTCAGGAACCCAGACAAGAAAGCCATTCTGGTTTTCATCTCAGAACATGTGTGATATTGGCAGGACGCAGTGGCTAATGTCTGTAATCCCAGCACTTTGGGAGGCCGAGGCAGGCACATCACTTGAGCTCAGGAGCTCGAGACCAGCCTGGCCAACGCGATGAAACCACATCTTTACCAAAACTACAAAAATTAGCCAAGCATGCTGGTGAGTGCCTGTAGTCTCAGCTACTGGGGAGGCTGAGGCAGGAGAATCACTTGAACCCAAGAGGCAGAGGTTGCAGTGAGCTGAGATTGTGCCACTACACTCCAACCTGGGTGACAGGGCAAGGTTCTATCTAAAAAAAAATTAAGTTAAATAAATAAGTAAACAAGAACACATGTGATATCATCTGTAAGGAAGCAGGCACGCCCTCCTTACACTAATATAGTGGCTTTGCTTTTTGCTTTTTTTTTTTTTTTTTTTTTAAAGACATGGGGTCTCAGTCTGTCACCCAGGCCAGAATGGAGTGGTGTGATCATAGCTCACTGCAGCCTCCTACTTCTGGGCTGCTCAAGTGATCCTCCCGCCTCCACTTCCTGAGTAGCTGGTACCACCCACGTGTGCCACCACCCTCAGCTACTAGTGACTTTGCTTTAAATAAATGGTGGAATCCTAAATTTACAATTAAAAATTTCCCTAAAAGATGAAAGATCTACAATTTTTTGGTTGGGTATTTTATAGGACTTGGGAACTAATTGTTGAGGAAGCTATGACACCTGCAGATGGAGGGCTGATCTTGTATGGAGTTAACAGGAGGACCGTGTCCACAGATGACGCTGCATTTGTGTTTCTCTGGATGTGTAGTATTGTGAAGACATTGCTTACTTTTATGCCTCCAAATCATGCATCACCTTTGATGTATCTGTTCATCCTTCTTGAAACTCAGGATTGTACAGTCTGTTCCTCCTGGGACCTGAATTTGTCTTGGAGGTGGCTTTTAGAAATCCTCTATATGTTATCCTGTTGACATGCACTGTGTATTCGTTTCTTCTTTCTCCTCTCCTGAACCTGCTATTCTTCCATTTCTGTCTGTGTAGAAGCACTCAACAACTACAGTTTCTGCTCACTTAATGCATTCTATATATTCGTTCTATACACTGGACTCAGTGCTTGCCACGTATTGTCTCACAATGACCCTCTGAGGTAAATACCGCTATCCCCATTTTATCTGTGAGAAAATTGAGGCTTAGAGAGCTTAATGTCTTGCCCAAGGTTCACCTTTCCAAAGTAGGCATCCACAAAGTATGAGGCAGACAGTTCTAAAGAAGAAAGATAGCTGAGGTTGACTCAAATCTTCTCTCACATGGATGGAAGTTTTTGACTTAGAAATACATACCGATTTCCATGGGTATCTGTGGGCCCCAGGCCTGCTTGGTAAAAGGGGTCTGATTTCTTGTCTGCTGTGTGAGCCAAAGGAAGCTTAACATCCTCTGAACTGAACCTTCCTTCGCTCTTTGGAAGGAGGCGGTCACCACAGGTACTTGGGAGTTAGAGGACAGGACTTTGTAGGGTTGATCCGAGCCCCTGCTTGCCCGAGGCAGCAGTTCTTTCAGTGACCAGACGGTGCCAAATCGATGTTCCTTGCTTTCCAGATGAGCTTTTTGTTTTTAAGATTAAGGAGGCTGAGAAGGGTCTGCCCACAGTCACCAGCTTACGGTTTGCTGGCCTCTGTGCCTGCTTATCTACCTGGGTAGCACTGGGCAGGTGGTGCTTTGAGCCAAAGGTCCAAAGGCCGTTAGCATTTCTGGGGAAAATAGTGGCTGTTTTTCTGAGCCAGATCTCTAGATTTGGGTTTACATGGGGTCCTTTCATGGACTATCCTGAGTATCGGTGGTAAAATGTCTTGGGGCATACAAATTTGTCTGAATCTGACATACCACTGCTATCTTTCCAAGTGGTATTACAAGAAAAAAAATTTTGTGATGTGTTTGTTCTAACAGAAATGCCAAGGCTTTAAGATAAAGATAAGATGATAATGGGAAAAAAGAAAAACAAATATAAAGTCCTTTAGGGAGATGTTTTCATATCTCTCAGGCCAGCCTGACTCAATCTCAACTCCCTTCAGCCAAGATAACTTAATTATACCGTTTATTATTAATAATACAGTTTTATTATTACATGAAGTCCTCATTTTATACTCCTGGTTGCCTAAAATTTGCAGCTATTTTATTTTGCTTTTACATAATTTCATTCTGAGATAAAGAGTTTCTACCAATTTATCACTTATCCAGGAAAAGACTGTATAAAGGAAAAGACTACCATTTGTCCAGAAACAAAGTATGTTCTCTAAAAGAAGTCATCAAATTAAAGCTGAAGTGTGGAAGTAATAACATTGTTATCATGCTTCTCTTTGAAAACAGCTGGTTATCACACTTTAGAAAACCATGGGCCCAATGACTGTCTCAAAAGGAACACAGACCTTTGGCATCATTGTACCGGTGAGTACCTATCCCACCATACGGTGGCTGAGCTAGTGAAATCTATTTATATAACCCTGCTGGTGTTCTTCGTACATGTGTTAAACAATCAAGGTGAAATGGTATTACTATCAAAGATAGTCAACTGAGGAGAGGCAATTATAAGCAGCCAGAATCTGCGAAACAGCTATGACATTCACTCATTTTGCATTCAGGCTTGTTTTTCCGCCATTTCTTTTCCTATATGTGGCTATGCTACCACTAGATGGCAGTGCAATGGCATTCTGGTGGTCTTTAAACGAAGAGCCACGATACTGGCTTCAGGACTTCCCCTCAGCCTGGCTGAAAAGTAGAACTGAGACTTCCATTGCCTTCATCTATCCATCCATCCAACCATCCATCCATCCATCCATCCATCCATCCATCCATCCATCCATCCATCCATCCATCCATCCACTCATTCACCCAACAAATATTCATTGCCTTTAAAAATAACTCTTGATAATTATACAGTTGAGTTTAAAATGATATTGCCAGAATTGTATTAAAGTTGACTGAAAGAGACCAGAGAGAAAATGAACAGATTGAAGTACATTGTTTGTGCACCGTCGGTACAGGGTAGAAGTCCAAAAGTGGGTGCTAGGATGTTTCCAAGCACAAGGGATCAAGCATTAGGTTTGGTCTCAAATCAAGGAGGTAGTAAAGGGCTGAGGGAGCTTTGGGAGCCATTTCTTGGGATGGGATCAGAAATCTAAAGTAATTGAAGGTCAGAGTTTTGGAACCAGAGTAACAGATAGCCACCAGTCAGAAATACGGTGCTGTAAATGAATTTTGGTCGCTGATGTCCTTGTGGATCCAGGCAATTTTGTAGAATTCTCACACATATAGCTGCCAGCAGAGGCAATTTGGTACTCAGCTTGCCAATTCTTAAGCACGTACTATGAGTTTCCTTGTACACAGTCAAGGAGAGAAGCATCTGGTTCCTTTGCTTACATATTTGCTGCTTGTGTACTTCTTTCCTGTTCTGTTGTTTCTAGCCTATATTTCACCTGCATCTGTTAGAAGTTTTAACTTCTTTACGAAGAGAGCTTTATAAGACTACTCCTAAACTAAAAAGGGTCTGGGCATGGTGGCTCACACCTATAATTCCAGCACTTTGGGAGGGCAACATAGCAAGACCCCATCTCTACAAAAAATACTTAAAAATTAGCTGAGCATGGTGGTGCGTGCCTCTAGTCCCAGCTACTTGACAGGCTGAAGTGGGAGGATCACTTGAACCCAAGAAGAGGTTGCAGTGAGCCGTGATCCTGCTACTGCACTCCAGCCTGGGCAACAGAGTAAGACCCTGTCTCTAAAACAAAACAAAACAAAACAAAACAAAACACTACTGAGAGAAGTGGATTATTCTCCCCATCTGACTTCTTCAGTTCAAACTGCCTTCCACCAGAACATTAAAAAGGGCAAAATTTGCTATCCCCTAATGATCAAAAGTATGATTTTATTCTTTCAATATGTAGAGAGAACCACATAAAATTGAGAGGGTAGCTTTGTCGTCTAAGGTAATGGCTTTTAAATCTTTTAGAACCCAAACCTCAATCAGAAATATATATTACTTCACAACTGTGGCGGCCCCTGGCCTGTTTGCTCTCAAATCCTTTCCTATTCTGCTGCAATGTCATGGGTATGCTGATCCCAACAGGCTGTGTTTCTGAGGCTCTCATGTTGTTAAGTGATTACTGGCTGGGTCCTACTGATACGAGGCCCTGCCACAACGCTGGAGAGTGGGAAGAATGGAAAAGCTAGGATGATTCTCCTTGCCTTTCTCTGCCCGAGGTGCATCTCTGACAGTGGCTAAATCTCCTCCCTGGCTCCAGCTCCAGCCAGAAAGGCCCTCCTGTCATTAGATGAGTCCAGTTCTGGGATCTAACCACACTGCCTCCTCTCTTTGTCCCTCTAGTCGAAAAGGATTAGTGGTTTCTGCTGCTGCTAATCTCTGGTTGCCTCACCTTCCCCTATTTGGCTTCTCAGCGTTATCATTTGTGTAACCAGTTTCCTGTATTAAATTCCGTATATTAAAAACAGATCGAATGACGGTTTCTTTTTTGTGACACATTATTATAGTACATATATACATATATATGAAACTGAAACAAATGTTTCATTAACCATATTCCTCTTACTGTGTGCAATGATTTCTTATATTAGTCTATTTTCACTTTATGCATTTATTTTGAGGCAGAATCGCTCTCTGTCGCCCAGGCTGGAGTGCAGTGGTACGATCTCAGCTCACTGCAACCTCCACCTCCCGGGCTCAAGCAATCCTCCCACCTCAGCCTCCCATTTAGCTGGGACCACAGGTGTGTGCCACCATACCTGGCTAAATTTTTTCTACTTTTTGTAGAGACTGGGGTCTCACATATTGCCTAGGCTGATTTCACACTCCTAGGCTGAAACAATCCTCCTATCTTGGCCTTCCAAAGTGCTGGGATTACAGGCATGAGCCCCACAATGGCCAGCCAATTTCACTTTTTTAAAATGCCAGTCACAACCCACTAAATTGAATTCACAACTGACTCACTGATGGATTATATCTTACTAATTTGAAAAACTCTCGCTTTAGAGACTGCATTTATTCATTTACTTTTTTCATAGTCAGGCTTGCTGAGTTATAATCTAGGCACAGTAAAATACTTTTTAGGTGCACAATGTAGGAATCTTGACGAATGTATCCAGAATATTTCCATCATCCTCAAAAGTTCCCTTGTGCTCTTTTGTAGATAACCCCTCCCTCCCTCCCTAGTCCCTAGTAACCACTGATGTGCTTTTGGTCTCTATAGTTTTATCTTTTCCAGAATGTCATATAAATACAATCATATAATATATAGCCTTCTGGCTGGGCACAGTGGCTCATGCCTGTAATCCCAACACTTTGGCAGGCTGAGGTAAGCAGATCACCTAAGGTCAGGAGTTCGAGACAAGCCTGGCCAACATGGCGAAACCCCATCTCTAATAAAAATACAAAAATTAGCCGGGCATGGTGGCTCATGCCTATAGTCCCAGCTACTCAGGAGGCTGAGGCACGAGAATTGCTTGAACCCAGGAGGTGGTGGTTGCAGTGAGCCGAGATCGTGCCACTGCACTCCAGCCTGGGTGACAGAGCAAACCCTGTCTCCAAAATATATATATATACACACAAGTATACATATGTGTGTATATATATATACATATGTGTGTGTGTATATATATGTATATAAATAGCCTTCTGCATCTGGTTTTATTCACTTAGCATAAGGCTTTATATAGTCATCCATTTTATTTTTTTTAAAATTTTTTTATTTTTGAGATGCTCTGTTGCCCAGGCTGGAGTGCAATGGCGCATTCTAGGCTCACTGCAACCTCTGCCTCCTGGTTTCAAGTGATTCTCCTGCCTCAGCCTCCCAAGTAGCTGGGAGTACAGGCACATGCCACCACACCTGGCTAATTTTTGTATTTTTAGTAGAAACAGGGTTTCACCATGTTGGCCAGGCTGGTCTTGAACTCCCAACTTTGTGATCCACCTGCCTCGGCCTTCCAAAGTGCTGGGATTACAGGCGTGAGCCACCGTGCCTGGCCTATAGTCATCTATATTTCTGCATATAAAATTAGTCCATCCCTTTTACTGCTGTGTGATATTCTATGGATGTACTATGATGTATTTACCGATTCAGCTATTGAAAGACATCTTGGTTGCTTCCAGTCATTGTTGGTTATGAATAAAGCTGCTATAAAAATTTATTTATTTATTTATTGAGATGGAGTCTCACTCTGTCACCCAGGCTGGAGTGCAGTGGCTCTATCTCAGCTCACTGCAACCTTCACCTCCCAAGTTCAAGTAATTCTCCTGCCTCAGCCTCCAGAGTAGCTAGGATTACAGGCGCCCACCACCACATCCAGCTACTTTTTGTATTTTTAGTAGAGATGGGATTTCACTATGTTTGCCAGACTGGTCTCAAACTCCTGACCTCAGGTGATCCACCCGCCTCTGCCTCCCAAAGTTCTGGGATTACAGGTGTGAGCCACCGCACCCAGCCATACTGCTATAAAAATTTATATTCAGATATTTGTATGAACACATATCTTGATTTCCCTTGGGTACATACCTAAGAATTGGGATTGGTGGTTCATAGGGTAAATATATTTTTGTTTTGTTTTGAGACAGAGTCTCACTCTGTCGCCCAGGCTGGAGTGCAGTGGCTGCAATCTCAGCTCACTGCAAGCTCCGCCTCCCGGGTTCTCGCCCTTCTCCTGCCTCAGCCTCCCAAGTAGCTGGGACTACAGGCGCCTGCCACCACGCTCGGCTAATTTTTTGTATATTTAGTAGAGACGGGGTTTCACCGTGTTAGCCAGGATGGTCTCAATCTCCTGACTTCGTGATCTGCCCGCCTCGGCCTCCCAAAGTGCTGGGATTACCGGCGTGAGCCACTGCACCCGGCATATACATGTTTAACTTTATAAAAAAGCATGAAATTATTTTCTAAAATGGCTGTACATTTTGTATTCCCACCAGCAATGCATGAGAGTTCCAGTTGCTCTGCATCCTGGCCAGCATTTAGTATTGTCATGTTTTTTGGGGTTTTTTCTTTTTCTTTTTCTTTTTCTTTTTTTTTTGCCATTATAATAGGTATGGAGTGCTATCTCATTATAGCTTTAATTTGATTTTCCTTAATGCCTAATGATGTTGCACAACTTTTTATATGCTTATATCTTGTTCATATATCTTTTTTGGTGAAGGGTCTATTCAATTATTTTTCCCATTTTAATTGGATTGCTTGTTTTTTCTTCCTTTTTTTTTTCTTTTTTTTGAGACAGAGTCTTGTGCTGTTGCCCAGGCTAGAGTGCAGTGGCATGATCATGGCTCACTGCAGCCTCCAACTCCTGGGCTCAATCGATCCTCCCACTTCAGCCTCCTGAGTAGCCGGGGCTACAGGCGCACACCACCATGACTGGCTAATTTTTGTATTTTTTTTGTAGAGATAGGGTTTCACCATGTTGCCCAGGCTTTTCTCGAACTCCTGGGCTCAAGCAATCCAACTGCCTTGGCCTTCTAGAGTGCTGGGATTACAGGCATAAACTACTGTGCCTGGCCAGATTGCTTGTTTTCTTATTATTGATATATGAGAATTCTTTATATATTCTAGATATATGTGATTTATAGATATTGTACCCAGTAGGTAATTGTCTTTTAATTTCCTAATAGTGTTTGTCAAAGAGTAAAAGTTTAAAAAAATTTTATTAAATCCAATTTATTGATTTTTTTTTCTGTTGTGGCTCATATTTTTTTGTGTGTCCTATCTAAAAAATCTTTGTGTAACTCAAGGTCGCAATAATTTTCTTCTATGTTTTCTTCTTCCAGAAACTTTATATTTTTAGATCTTGCTATATGGTCTATGGTTTTATTTAAATGGTCTATGATCTATTTTATTTTATTTTTATTTTTTGTTTTTTTGAAATGAAATCTCACTCTGTCACCCAGGCTGGAGTACAGCAGTGCAATCTCGGCTCACTGTAACCTCTGCCTCCTGGATTCGAGCTATTCTCCTGCCTCAGCCTCCCGAGTAGCTGGGATTACAGGTGTGTGGCCCCACAGCTGGCTAATTTTTGTATTTTTAGTAGAGGTGGGTTTTCACCATGTTAGCCAGGCTGGTCTTGAACTCCTGATCTCAAGTGATACACTCGCTTTGGCCTCCCAAAGTGCTGGGATTATAGGTGTAAGCCACAGCGCCCAGCCCTATGACAGATTTTAATTTGATATTTGTATATCTTGCAGGATGTGGATTAAGGTTGATTTTTTATGCTTTTGAGTGTCCAATTGTTTTGGCTTCATTTGTTAAAAAGGGTATTCTTTGTCTACTGAATACTTTTGCTCCTTTGTTAAAAGTCAGTTGACCATCTATTTGTGAGTCTATTTCTGGATTCTCCATTTTGTTTCATTTATCTACGTCCCTATTTTTTCACCAATTCTACATCCTCTTGGTTACCGTAGCTTTAGATTAAGTGTTGAAATCAGGTTGTGTGAATCCTCCAATTTTTAAAATATTGTTTTGATGATTATAAATCACAGTCAATTTTAGAATCAGCTTTTCATATATACAAAGAAGTCTGCTAGAATTTTGATTGAGATTGCACTGAATCTGTAGACCAATTTTGGGAGAATCGGCAAAAATATTCAGTCTTCTAATCCATGAACACTTTAAATCTTAGAGACTGTATTTTAGATTCAGAATGGATATTGTACTTCTGATACTTGTTTTGTTACCCAGTTAGTCTGAAACCATGCAGAACCTTTGAAGAGATCTTAACTGCTGGGGCCTGATGATTAAAGGTGCAGAGGCGGGAGTTCAGCACAGAATGGCCTCAACTATCTTTATGTTCAAAGGCAAGAGAATAATAGCCTGGGCTCTGGAGTCTTCCCCCCTGGATCAAATTCTGCATTCAACACTTGCTACCTCATGATCTTGAGCAAATTACTTAACCTCCCTTAAGGTGTTTCTTCATCTGTAAAATGACATGATAAGAATGCTACACGTTTCAGTGAGTTTTTGTAGGGATAAAACAAAACAAGACAAAATGTGTAAAATAGTGCAATAACTTGTCACAGTCAGTACTCACTAAATCAGCCTATGGTCTATGAAAGCTAGTATGAATTTTGCCAATTGAAAGGTCAGGAAGAACAGCTTTTTTCAAGACCAACTCGCTCCTTTAAGGCCCAATTGCTCGCTTCTAAATGCCTGGGAGGAGTGCCATTACCAACAAAGGAGGAAAAGAGGCCAGATTCAGTCCATGGGATCAGGAAGAAACGTCTGTGAAACCCAAATCTGTGGACTGCTCATTTACTCTGGCACCTGACTTTATTAAGTTAGGTGGTCATTAGACTCTAGATCAGCAGATACGGGGTGAGGAGTGGGATGGAGTTCACATCTCCTTCTTTGTTTATTTTTATTTTTTGAGACAGGGTTTCATTCTGTCACCCAGGCTGCAGTGCAGTGGCACTATCATAGCTCACTGCAGCCTTGAACTCCTGGGCTCAAGTGATCCTCCCACCTCAGCCTCCGGAGTAACTGAGACTACAAGCACGCCCCACCACACCCAGCTAACTGCTTTATAATCTCCCCAGTACAAATCATGTTTTGAAAAGATGCAGGCAGCATGGTACCACAGGGAATAACCCAAATTTAAAGTTCAGAACACGTTGGTAATAGCCTGAATTTGACACTTTTTACCGATCTGACCTTGAGCGAGTAACCTAGTGTTGCTGTGTCCTAGTTTCCTCATCTGTAAATGGGTATATAACATGATTATTTCCCATGAGGCTTCCTGAATCCACTGTCTTGCAGTGTTTTCAAAATTAACATTTTATGGCGGGGCATGGTGGCTTACGCCTGTAATCCCAGCACTTCGGGAGGCTGAGGCGGGTGGATCACTTGATGTCAGGAGCTCGAGACCAGCCTGACCAACATGGTGAAAACCCGTCTCTATTAAAACATACAAAAATTAGCTAAGTGTGGTGGCGGGCACCTGTAATCCCAGCTACTTGGGAAGCTGAGGCAGGAGAATCACTTGAACCTGGGAGTCAGAGGTTGCAGTGGGCTGAGATCGCACCATTGCGCTCCAGAGTGAGACTCCGTCTCAAAAAAAAAAAAGTTTACAGTTTTAATTTTTTTTTTTTTTTTCAGATGGAGTCTTGCTCTGTTGCCCATGCTGGAGTGCAGTGGTGTGATCTTGGCTCACTGCAACCTCCACCTCCCTGGTTCAAGTGATTCTCCTGCCTCAGCCTCCTGAGTAGGGACTACAGGCGCGTGCCACCACACCCAGCTAATTTTTTGTATTTTTAGTAGAGACGGGGTTTCACCGTGTTAGCCAGGATGGTCTCGATCTCCTGACCTTGTGATCCACCCACCTCAGCCTCCCAAAGTTCTGGTATTGCAGGCATAAGCCACCACGCCTGGCCAAAAGCTAACATTTTATTATAGCTTATATAGAAAACACAGTTGATCATTCAAATATGGCTATTCAGATTTGAATTATATGCACCTTCTGTGATATCATGAGCCTGGAGATTGTTTCTGTGAAATTATTTGTTATTGCTGTAATAAAGACTGATTGAGTTTATAAAACACTATTCCACCTGACCCCTGAATGTCAGTGCTTAATATGCATCAGACATTCACATTCTAACAGCCTTTGTGTTAGTATAATGGGCCAGCGAATTCTATTTGCTGCCGGGAATTCAATCATATCCTACAAACAAAGACAGATTGTTTTGATTTGGTATGTGTTGGGGAAATATGTTCAATTGGTAAATTATGTGTGAGTTTTAATCAACTTGAACATATTATTTAACAAGTCATATTTCTCTGTAGAATGAAATGTTTATGAATTAGATAAACCAAATTATTGATCTATATCTACATATTTAAATGACACTTGCAATACACATTTTATTTGTGCACGTGTGTGTGTGGTGGGGGGCGTTTTGTTTTGTTTGTTTGTTTTGGAGACAGTCTCACGCTGTCACCTAGGCTGGAGTGCAGTGGTGCAATCTCAGCTCACTGCAGCCTCAACCTCCCGGGCTCAAGTGATCCTTCCACCACAGTCCCACAAGTAGCTGGGACTACAGGCATGTGCCACCATGCCTGGCTAATTTTTTTGTATTTTTTATAGAGATGAGGTTTCACCATGTTGGCCAGGCTGGTCTCAAACTCCTGAGCTCAGGCAATCTGCCCACCTCGGCCTCCCAAAGTGCTGGGATTATAGGCGTGAGCCACGGTGCCTGCCTGCAGTATACATTTTAAAAACACATTTTAGGACTTTCAGAAATCCATGTCAGTGGCTGAGCATGGTGGCTCATACCTGTAATCCTAGCAGTTTGGGAGGCCAAAGTGGGAGAATGGCTTAAGCCCAGGAGTTGGAGACCAGCCTGGGCAAAATGTGAGACCCCATCTCTAAAGAAAAAGAAAGCCATGTCAACATAGGATACCTGTAGTTTAACTGTTTTCTGCGGAGCCTCATCCAATAATATAATGTAATATAATATATATCCATCATTGTATTATAGAATATCTATTATATACTTGAAATTGTGTTACCTGAGAAATGCAAAGATGAATAAGGTAAGGAGCTCACAATTTATTGAAGAAATAAAGATACAAACAAATAATTTATAGTACTATAAAAGGAGTAGTATAATCAAAATATTAATTCATTAAATTTTTTTGGAATAAATGTAGTACTGGCATGTGCCAGACCCTACACTAGCTATTAAGAATAAGATATAAGACTTAAGGAGTTTATAATCTAATAGAGGAGACAGACAAATACAGAAAAAATTACCAGAGGGTACTGAACCTAACCATGTTGTATGGTACAGGAATGAGCTCCCATAGATGAAATTTGAACCTGAGTTTTGAAAAACTAACAGGAGTAAGAGAAAAAGAGGAATAAGGGTATTCTAGGCAGAAAAACAACTTTTGCAAAGGTCCAAAATGAGGAAAACTGCAAATCATTTAGTATGTCTGGATCCTGGGGTCCCTGGTGGAAAATGGCAAGAGTTACAGTTGGGATGAGTAGATGAAGGTAATGAAGGGCTGTGTGGGCAGTTCTAAGGGGCTGGACTTTATCCAAACTGTTGAAGGGTTTTCAGTAGAGACTATACACACACACACACACACACACACACACATATATATATATTCATAAAGACATGTGCATATGTGTGTCTATATATATACTTTATTGAGATATAATTCTTGTATCGTGTGTGTGTGTGTGTGTGTGTGTGTGTCCAGACAGAGTCTCGCACTGTTGCCCAGGCTGGAGTGCAGTGGCGCGATCTCAGCTCACTGCAACTGCTGCCTCCCGGGTTCAAGTGATTCTCCTGCCTCAGCCTCCTGAGTAGCTGGGATTACAGATGTGTGCTACCTCATCTGGCTACCTTTTGTATTTTTAGTAGAGATGGGGTTTCTTAATGTTGGCCAGGCTGGTCTCAAATTCCTGGCCTCTATCTTGGCCTCCCGAAATGTGGGGATTATAGGCGTGAGCCACGGCACCTGGCCTATCATATAGTTTTAAAAATATATTCACTGAGTTGTCCTACTGTCACCACAATAACTTTTAGAACATTTCATCACCCCAAAAAGAAACTGTATCCATTAGCAGTCACAGCCCAACCCACCCCTAGCCACAGGCAACCACCAATCTTTCCACCTCTTTTAGTGACAGAACTAATTCTGTCTGCCTCAAAGGGCTTTTGCCTAGAATTATGCCCTATTTCCATTTGGTTAACATAAAATAGTCATTTTCTTGTTTTTATTTTTGCTCAAGAATTTGGGGTCAGAGGAATATTATATTTCAAGTGGTTTTTTAAATTAGTTTCTCTATGTTTTGATATCACAATGGAACGAGGTGCATCCTTTGGTAGACTTTCTGGTTTCTGGAAAGAATTTTATTTTATTTTTCCTTTTCTGTGTCATAAATCCCACATTTTAAATAGGTTCCCTTACATTTTTTTCCTTTTAAAGTGAAAATATCCTATAGAAAGGGGAAGGGATAGTGGGTAAACACAAGTTGTAAATGCCACCATCGTTGCCTCCCCCTCCCCTTTTTGCTCTGCATTTATTATTTTTGATGCAATAGGAAATACAAATCAGTCTTTGTCTCTTGCTCAATTTATCCTCCTCTTCAGACCCTACTGCCTAATGACCTCTAACAAGCCTTTACATAGAGCTGTGTAAAAAAATGTATTCATGGGCAAATATAAAGCAAATAGAGATATGCTTTGTATTTCTAGCATTTGTGATGGTAGAATATAAGATACAACAAAATTTGGCTCTCAAAGAAGACCCAAAGCTAGAAGTTCAGGAAGCAAGATATTAAATATATGTCATAAAACACTCAGCAAATATTTATTGAACATTTTTTATGTGCAGCGAATCCAGCTGATCACTGGGGAAGTTACAAAAGTGTGTAAAATGCAGGTCTTACCTTTGACAAACTTAACAGTTGAACGGAAGAGACACAGTCACATATCCAAACCACAGCACAAATTATAAGAGATTTGAAAATTACTTCAGTGATATAGGAGTGTCTACAGAGTATTTGTTTGGTCATTGTTGACAGCTCTATTGAGATATAATTTATATGTGATAAATACAACTACTGGACATGCACATTTGAATTGTTTTTGGTAAATTTATACAATTGTACAACCATCACTATGATCCAGACCTTGGCACCCATGACTCAGGTATTCATTACCTTTGGGTAGATGTTGGCAGAAGTGCACATGCCCGACCCTGAAAGTGAGGACCTACTTAAAATGTGCACCTAGGCACTTTAGTCCTGGTCCTGGCTAGCAGTCATAGTCAGTAGTGGTGGCAATTTTTGTGACAACCGGATGCCAGTAGGAGAAAAAAAAAAAACTGGTGATTTCCAGCCAGCCGCAGTGGCTCATGCCTATATTCCAACACTTTCGGAGGCCGAGGCAGGCAGATTGCTTGTGTCCAGGAGCTCAAGACCAACCTGGGCAACACAGTGAGATCTCCATCTCTACAAAAAATAAAAAAAATTCACCAGGCATGGTGGTGTGCACCTGTACTCCCAGCTACAAGGGAGGCTGAAGTGAGAGGATTGCTTGAGCCTGGGAGGTTGAGGTTGCAGTGAGCAGTGATTGTGCCACTGCACTCCAGCCTGGGCAGCAGAATGAGATCCTGTCTCAAAAAAAAAAAAAAAAAAAAAAAAGATGAGTTCCACAGGGAACCATGAAGTGTAATCTTTGAAAAACTCATAATACAACAGTCACTGTGTAAGCAGCATGTAGGATGAATGTTAGAGTGGCCTCAGAAACAATATGCTTTGTTGACTCAACTCTTCTGTGGCACATGGTGGGCTATAAATGTAACAATGAATCAGTCAATCATTTAAAACATTTTATTGCATATGAAGACTTGGGATACACATGGATATGTGAATTCCCTTTCCACACATCAAATTGTAGTTGATGTATTATATTTATTCTGGAAAGCTAGAGAAGTTGCAGCCATGTAGTTGTGTTATTTTCTACTAAATATTTGCCTTATAATGAAGGGAAACAAGCATATTTCTTAAGGAACAGGTGTGTGTGCTAGTGGTCAAGAGAGTAGCAAACAGCAGTGGCCTGCTGTCATGGAAACAGTGTGGTATCCTAGCAACAAGCATATTCATTTGCCTGGCCTGCCCTGTGGAGTTCTGTCAACACAGGTAAAAGGTTTATCCTTTACACAGAACTTGAGCGACAGCCTTTCTACTCCAGAGTAAAGCTACACCCATATATGTAAATCTGGAAGTGGAGGGGAAGGTGAATTTTTCTGCCAAGGAGCCAGTGGCTTGGGGGCTACAGGACAGCAAAGTGGGAGTTAAATGTACTCATCTAATTCTTCGTCTAGATAGGCTAGAAATAGGTCTCTTTCTATATTTGTTGGCTCTCTTAATGGAAGGATCGAAAATTCAGTGGCAGTGGTTAATACCATGACCTATGGCTCTGCTCCTCTCTGCCCTTCTTTGGGTTAAAAAGTGCAGTCTTTTCCCAAAACTTCATTTGTCCTCAGCTGTTCCTGTGTTTTAAGCCACAGAGACTATGGGGAAGAGGGCAGGACATACCTGGGTAGTGATTTGAAGGTTGTAGCTTCCTTTTTTCCATATATTTTAACTGTAGTCCCTAAATTCTAAGAGAAGATTGAGAACATTTTTGATCTGGAAAATGTCCAAAATATCTCATGAGGAAATCTCAAATTATTGGAACCTAGTTTGGAATAGCAAGCATCCTGCACTATGGCATAACACAAAGGGGAAATTTTCTAGTTCAGGACAGGAATTTGATAGGATTTATACCCTGACTTCTTTTTTAAAAAACACTTTATGTCTCCCTTTTTCCATTTTTTTTCCACATTTATTTACTGTGTGCTAGGAATTATTCAAAGCATAGTGAATCATGATGGTTTCTCTATAATTCTAGAGATGTACAAAAATAGTAGGCATCCACAAGCAAATGTTGAATTTCAATTCAGGGCTAACAAATTCAATATTAGATCAGATATGTCCTCAGGGAGCTAGATGAATTGGGAATTTTACTGTTGTCAGTTGGGGGATGTGTTAGGCCATTCTTCCACTGCTATAAAGAAATACTTAAGACTGAATAAATTATAAAGAAAATAGGTTTAATTGGCTTAAAGTTCTGCAGGCTGTACAAGCATGGCACCAGCATCTGCTTGACTTCTGGGGACACCTCAGGGAGCTTTTACTCATGGGACAAGGCAAAGCAGGAGAAGGCACCTTACATGGCGAAAGCAGGAGCAAGAGAGAGAGAGTTTGGGGAAGGCGCCACACACTTTTAAACAACCAGATCTCATGAGAGCTCACTCACTATCATGAGGACGGCACCAAGATGATAGAGCTAATCCGTTCATGAGAAATCCACCACCATGATCGAATCACCTCCCATCCCACCAGGCCCCACCTCCAACATTGGGGATTACAATTCAACGTAAGTTTCAGAGGGGATACATATCCAAAGTATATCAGGGGACTAAGACTTTTCAATGGATTCTCAGTAAACTTTATTCAAAAAAAGATTTCTCCTAAAAGATAATCCATCCATCTTGGGGTTTTTTTTGGTTTTTGTTTGTTTGTTTGTTTTGAGACAGGGTCTCACTCAGTCACCCCAGGCTGGAGTACAGTGGTATGATCTCAGCTCACTGCAACCTCTGCCCCCTGGGTTCAAGTGATTCACACCTCAGACACCCAAGTAGCTGGCATTATAGGGGTGTGCCACACTAAAAAAGCCCAGCTAATTTTTGTGTGTTGGTTTGTTTGTTTGTTTTGAGACGGAGTCTCACTCTGTCGCCCAGGATAGAGGGCAGTGGCGTGGTCTTGGCTCACTGCAATCTCTGCCTCCTGGGTTCAAGCAATTCTCCTGCCTCAGCCTCCCGAGTAGCTGGGACTATGGGCATGGGCCACCACATCTGGCTAATTTTCTGTATTTTTAGTAGAGGCGGGGTTTCACCATGTTGGGCAGGCTGGTCTCAAATGCCTGACCTCAGATGATTCACCCGCCTTGACCTGCCAAAGTGCTGGGATTACGGGAGTAAACCACTGCGCCCAGCCATTTTTGTGTTTTTTTTTTTTTTTTTTTTTTTTTGTAGAGAAAGGGTTTTGTTAGGTTGTCCAAGCTGGTCTCAAACTCCTGGCCTCAAGCGATCCACCTGCCTCGGCCTCCCAAAGTGTTGGGTTACAGGTGTGAGCCACCCCACCCGGCTGAGAATCCATCTTCTAGATAAGAAATAGAGTATATTGAGAATGAATATTTTTCTCCTGCTTTGTATGTGTGTTTACACACACACACACACATACACACACACATAATTTTAATGATGGAATTAAAAGAACTTAAATACAGGACTTAAGTTAAACTTTTATTCTCTTAGAATGGTTCAACTCTTTTATCAGTTGATGTCATAATTTAGTAGTCACATAAACACATACATAAAATGTTTTAGTTTCCTAAGTAAACCATGAAACACCAAAAATAAAATCACTGGTGGGGCGCGGTGGCTCACACCTGTAATCCCAGCACTTTGGGAGGCTGAGGCGGGCGGATAGCTTGAGTTCAGGAGTTCAAGACCAGCCTGGGCAACACGGTGAGACCCCATCTCTACTAAAAATACAAAAAAAAAAAAAAATAGCTGGGCATGCTAGTACACGCCTGTGGTCCTAGCTAATCAAGGGGCTGAGGTGGGAGGATTGATTGAGCCTGGGGGCAGAGGTTGCAGAGGGCCAAGATTGTGTCACTGCACTCCAGCCCGAGTAACAGACTGAGAACTTGTCTCAAAACATTAAAACAACAACAAAAACAAAATCACCTTAATAATAAATTAGTTTTTCTTAGTTTCTAAAGGAAATTCAGGCTTTCATTTTGACTCAAAATGATGATACATAAAATTCTTATAAATTATTATTTGGAAGCCAACAAGGAGGGTAATGACATAAATTATAAAAGTTCAAGTGGATGCCTGAAAAATATTTTTGTAACTCAGGAGATAATTGTTTACATATTGTGCAACTATATTGTTATTGTTACTGCAACTCAGGCTTTTAGAAGGAAGTTTTACATGGAAAAAATTATTTCCTACCTCCGAGTTGGTGACCAACCAATGAATTTAGAGATTAATTTCAGTATAATCTTTCAGCTGATTACTTTTAATTAAGTAGTAAAAGGAAACTACAAACAGATGAGATATGCTTTTTTTTTTTTTTGGTGTATGATTGGCAAGGGACAAAAAAACAAATTATGCTGAGTAATTGCATGGTGCATGTTTCAGCAAAGCATAAGGAGACACCAGGAAATAAATTACAGGTAAAGCTAATCAATACAAGGGCAGGGAGTTTTGAAGAAGACAGCAAAAGAAAGATTTTGTTAAAAGCGAATATGAGGAAAGTTATAAATGTGTATATTGTTAATAGCTCAAATGCCCAAATACATTTTAAGTAATGCCCTTAATTAAATGTAAATAGCAAACTTAGTAGTTACGTCAACTTCTTTCTTAGTAACATGTTTAAAGCAGATTACAAATCTCTTAGTAACAATGTAGCCGCAGTCCTTCTTGAAAAAAAAAAATTGCTTCTCTTCAGTTGGTTCTGAAAGACAATATATTTCTAGAAATGAAATTTGCTACCAATGAGGTCTTATTTTGTAGGTGAATTATGTGACTTTTAACTTGCAGTATGCTTGTTGAAAGTACATTTAATTTTCCAAAGGAAAGTTCTCCACAAGGTTAAACAAAAGGTTTAACAAAAGTTTGAAAGTCCTGCTAAAGATTTCCTAAGAGCTCTCATCTTGCTCGCTTCCATTTTACTTCTGCTTCTCTGTGGTCACTATTACTGTGCAGGAAGCAATTTTGCAAGCATTTATATGGCTGTGAGCCATGCATGAGTCAATTAGATTGCCTATTTTTTAAATCTCTCTAACAGTTTATAGAACAGACTAACCCCTTCACTCGCACTGCATCTGACTTGGATTCTGCCCTTTTGAGGAAGAATACATTAGACCAAAAAAAAAAAAAAAAAAAGGCATCTCACTGAGATGAGGACAGAAAGTATCAAACTCTTCTTCCTCTTCTCCCTTTAAAAATGCTCCACAAGGCCAGATGTGGTGGCTCATGCCTGCAATCCCAGCACTTTGGGAGGTCGAGGATCACTTGAGTCCAGGAGGTCGAGACTAGCCTGGGCAGTATAGTGAGACCCTGTCTCTAAACAGCAACAACAACAAAAACAAAAAAACAAAAGCTATACAAACTCCTCCTGAGAGTTATTTGAAATGCACATACAATGCTCAGATAACAGCAATTCTTTAGTAACAGGGTCTAACAGATCATTGTCAGCCCCCTATTCTTCCAGATTTGTTTATTTTAGGATAACTTAGCTGCATTGCAAATAACTTTCCATAAGAGATCCCCCTTCCATGAATGCAGGTCTGTATAGATAGAAGAGAAAGTGCTGTAATATAACAGCCTGTTCAGTATCCGTCTAGGCCAGTATTTAAGCTAAATATAATGGACTAATAAAAATGGGTAATACAAAAACAGGAGGTAGAATAATTTTTTTTTCTTTTTTTTGAGATGGAGTCTCACTCTTTGCCCAGGCTGGAGTGCAGTGGTGCGATCTCAGCTCACTGCAAGCTCCGCCTCGCCGGTTCACGCCATTCTTCTGCCTCAGCCTCCCGAGTAGCTGGGACTACAGGCGCCTGCCACCACGCCCGGCTAATTTTTTGTATTTTTAGTGCAGACAGGTTTCACCGTGTTAGCCAGAATGGTCTTGATTTCCTGACCTCGTGATCCGCCCGCCTCGGCCTTCCAAAGTGCTGGGATTACAGGCGTGAGCCACTGCGCCTGGCTGAATAAAAATATTTTTAATATCCTTTGGGGGCAGCAGTTTTGCCTTCCTTCCTTTTTTAGTTCCTTCCTTCTGCCTTTCATTTCTATTTGTTGATGTGGCTAATATTAGCATTAGTTTGCATTCCCTGAGCACAGAGCAGATGCCTAGGTCACTTGTGATGAGAAGTGAACTAATAATGTGCTGAAAAAATTTCATTTGGAATGTCTGCCTCATATGTTTTCATCGTAAGAACTTACTTGCCTGCCTTGATAACTGGATGCTATTTTGTTCTACATATGCCATCTCTTTTGGGCCTTCAGCAATTGATGTTGACTATTTAGCTACATAGGAGCAGGGACTGGACCTCATTTTACTCATCATTGCAGCCTAAGAACTTAGCAGAACATGACATAGAGTAGGCACTCAATAAATATTAAGGAATGAAGTGACTTTGGGTTAGTTTTTCTGATCATTTACACATGCAAATGAATAAAGACAACTGCATTGAACTAGCCATGCTAAAATTAGTTGCCCTTCCTCAAACACACCATGTTCTCTGTATCTCCCTGTATTTCCACCCATTTTTTTATTCAAGTAGAATTTCTTATAGCCAGCCTTTTACCTATACCTTCCTACTTTAGATTCCTAATTAGCCCTCATTTTTAGATGAAACAAAATTGTGATATTTCTTCCTACACACGGTGCACAGCATCTCATACAGACTGGTCTCTTATGACATTGTGATGGCTTATTGGTCTAAAAGGATGCTCTCTCCCTAGTCTATTCATTCCTTAAAGGAAGGTGAGATGGTTAATTTTATATGATGGCTTGACTGGGATACGAGATGCCCAGGCAGCTGGTTAAGCATTATTTCTGGGTGTGTATGAGGGTATATCTGGAGAGATTAGCATTGGAATAAGTGGACTCAACGAAGCAGATGGCCTTCCCCATTGTGGGTGGGCATCAGCTAATCTGTTGAGGACCTGAATAGAACAAAATTGTGGTGGAAGGTTGAATTCACTCTCTGACTCCTTAGGCTAGGACATTGATCTTCCCCTGCCATCAGTGCTCCTGATTCTCAGGCCTTCGAATCTGGTCTGGAATCTACATCACCGTCTTACTGGCACTCAGGATCTTTGAACTACACCACTGGCTCTCCTGGGTTTCCAGCTAGTAGATGGCAGATCATGGGACTTCTCAGTGCCCATAATCACATAAGCCAATTCCTTATAATACATTTCTTCAGCCAGGTGCAGTGGCTCACGCCTGTAATCCCAACACTTTGGGAGGCCAAGGTGGGCAGATAACCTGAGGTCGGGAGATGGAGACCAGCCTGACCAACATGGAGAAACCCCGTCTCCACTAAAAATAGAAAAATTAGCCGTGCATGGTGGCACATGCCTGTATGCCCAGCTACCCGGGAGGCTGAGGCAGGAGAATCACTGGAACCCTGGAGGCAGAGGCTGTGGTGAGCCAAGATCCTGCCACTGCATTCCAGCCTGGGCGACAGAGCGAGACTCCATCTCAAAAAACAAAAAACAAAAAACAACGGTCGGGTGCAGTGGCTCATGCCTGCAATCCCAGCACTTTGGGAGGCCGAGGCGGGCAGATCACAAGGTCAGGAGTTCGAGATCAGCCTGGCCAATATGGTGAAGCCCCGTTTCTACTAAAAAAATATAAAAATTAGCCGGACATGGTGGCATGTGCCTGTAGTCTCAGCTACTCGGGAGGCTGAGGCAGAAGAATCGCTTGAACCCAGGAAGCGGAGGTTGCAGTGAGTCGAGATAGTGCCACTGCACTCTAGCCTGGGCGACAGAGTGAGACTTTGTCTCAAAAAAAAAAAAAAATTACATTTCTTCTTATATGGATTCACAAAGATATATTCTATTGGCTCTGTTTCTCTGAAGAACCCTGACTAATACAGTAGGAAACATATCTTTTCATCATTGTATAGTCCCAGTCTTAGCACAGGTCTGATTTGTTGAGATCCATACAATGTCAGCAGAATAGAAATCCATTTTCTTTCACATTCCAACAGGAAAGTCAGACATCTTAACCAATCAATTGGGATAAAATGTGACACATATTATAGTAGAAATATAATACAATAAATTCCATGGGAGCACAAAGAAGGGAATGGTTATTTCTTCCTAGAGATCAGGATTAAGATATATAGAGGAGGTAACATTTGACCTGGCCTTGGGACCTTAAAAAAAGTTCACCAAGTGGATGTTCTAGAAGAGATAACAGTATAAGCAAAGAAAAGAAGATTTAAAAGTACTTAGCATGGCATTGGAATTCTGATTCCAGCCAAGATGGAGTAACAGGAAACAGATTTATCCTCCCACCTGAAACAACTGGAAAAAAAAAAAAAACAGACAAAATATATGAAACAATGGTTTGAAGATATTAGACATGGGTAACAGAGGACAGTGATCGGTGCAAGATGGAAAACAAGTAAGATGAGCCCTATGATTATCCCAGTTTACCTAGAGAGAGTTTCCTAGCCATGGCTCAGGATGAGGGAACTTAGTCAGACAGAGCCCATTGGTCTTCCTGAGTGGAGGAGACTCTCTGATCTGAGAGTCTCAGGAGGCCAGGATTGTAGAGTTTACAAAGAAAAGTACTGGGGCTGCAAAGAGAAGGAACTCCAGGGCACAATGGCTCACACCCGAATCCCAGCACTTTGGGAGGCCAAAGTGGGTGGATCACTTGAGGCCAGGAGTTTGAGGTCAGCCTGGGCAATATGGCGAAACTATGCCTCTACTAAAAATACAAAAATTAGCCAGGCGTCGTGGTGAGCACCTGTAATCCCAGCTACTCGGGAGGCTGAGGCATGAGAATTGCTTGAACCCTGGAGGCAGAGGTTGCAGTGAGCTGAAATCGTGCCACTGTACTCCAGCCTGGGTGACAGAATGAGACTCTGTCAAAAAAAAAAAAAAAAAAAAAAGGCCGAGCGCTGTGGCTCATGCCTATAATCCCAGCACTTTGGGAGGCCGAGGTGAGTGGATCACGAGGTCAGGAGATCGGATCAGCCTGACCAACATGGTGAAACCCCGTCTCTACTAAAAGTACAAAAATTAGTCCAGAGTGGTGGTGTGTGCCTGTAGTCCCAGCTACTCAGGAGGCGGAGGCAGGAGAATCGCTTGAATCTGGGAGGTGGAGGTTGCAGTGAGCCAAGATCGCACCACTGCACTCCAACCTGGGCGACAGAGCGAGACTCTGTCTCAAAAGAAAAAAAGAAAAGAAAAGAAAAGAAAAAGAAGAGAAAAAAGAAAAAAGAAGGGAAGATATAATTATTATCTCTATTAAAGAAAAAAAAAAAGAAGTCAGGAGTTTGAGACCAGCCTGGCCAACATGGTGAAACCCCGTCTCTACTAAAAGTACAAAAATTGGCTGGGTGTGGTGGTGGGTGCCTGTAATCCCAGCTACTTGGGAGGCTGAGGCAGGAGAATTGCTTGAACCCAGGAAGTGGTGGTTGCAGTGAGCCAAAACTGTGCCACTGAACTCCAGCCTGGGTGACAGAGCGAGGCTCCATCTCAAAAAAAAAAAAAAAAAAAAAAAAAAAAAATCAGAAAGAATTCCAGAGACCTGAAGAGATTCCCCCTGGAGTATTTAGACTGAGCACGGAATAACACATGCTGTACAGAAACTACCTGAGGCTGGGGAAAGAGCAACAAAAAAATTAGAAGGAATAATTCTTAGAACTAATACATTGGTGGAAATACTTTCCTTTCCAATAGCCACAGTGGAAAACCCCATAACTCACAGAGGATTGGACAGAAAGATTTTGCCTGAAGAGTGGGGCAAAATTAGCTCTAGACTCAATGCTGCTCTAGTCCCATCTAACAAAGCTCTAAAGCAAGAACCATGTATTAGTTTTTTATTACTGCATAACAAATTGTTACAAATTTAGCCACTTAAAACAACACAAAATTTGTCTCAGACTTCCTGTGGGTCAGGAGTCCAGGTATGGGCTATCTGGTTCCTCTGCTCAGGGCCTCAACAAGTTGAAATCAAGGTGTGGCCAGGGTGGTGATTCTTATCTGAGGCTTGGAGTCCTCTACCAAATCATTCAATTCTTTACAGAATCCACTTCCTTGCAGTTGTAGAATGAAGGTCCCTGTTTTCTTTTTCTTTTTTTTTTGAGAGGGAGTCTCGCTCTGTCACCCAAGCTGGAGTGCAGTGGTCAATCTCGGCTCACTGCAACCTTCGCCTCCCAGGTTCAAGAGATTCTCCTGCCTCAGACTCTCGAGTAGCTGGGATTACAGGCGTGTGCCACTATGCCTGACTAATTTTTTGTATTTTTAGTAGAGACAGGGTTTTGCCATGTTGGCCAAGCTGGTCTTGAACTCCTGGCCTCAAGTGATCTGCCTGCCTCAGCCTCCCAAAGTTCTGGGATTACAGGCATGAGCCACCATGTGCCCGGCCTCTCTGATGCTTCTTGTAAAGGCTCCTCTGGTTTTGTCAGGCCTACCCAGGATGGTGTCTCACCGCCAAAGGTGTGTAGAGGAAAGATTTAACACAATTGCATTTAAAACAGGGGAAGTTAAGCAGATATAAACAAAAAGCATGGTTTTTAAACGTTATTTGAATAGTCAGTTGTCAACATGGGTAAACTGTGATAAACTGTATATATATAAAATATAATGCCCAGAGTAACCACTAAAAAGCTATTCCTGGAGGGAGGCTTCAAGATGGCTGACTAGAAGAGCCTGGCACTTGCCTCCTCCACCAAAAAGTACCCGAACACTAAGCAGATAATTACACACTGAACAGATTTCCTAAGAGAGAACAGTGGAATTCAGCAGGGAAATGACAGGGAATCTCTGAGGCATGCAAAGAGAGGGAAATGAAGCAGCCAGCCCAACTGGGATCTGCCTGGAGCCAGGAAGACGTCTCCTTTGTGGGGAAAAGGTAAGTGAGAGGTCTCCAAAGGTCCAAATTCCCACTATTGACTCCTGCAATCCTAGCCACAGGAAATTCCCTTGGCCCTGATGGGCCCTGAGACTAGTATAGGTAGCTGTCTGGAGTTCACATGACAGGATTGTTCCAGAGGGAGAGTTCATGCTGGGTCTCACACACTCCCTGAAACCCAAGCAGCCGCAGCATGGTACGATGTTGAGCACACAGTCCATGCCAGATTACATCCTGTCCTGGGGCCCAGCAGCCCCTGTATCTTCATATCCCGAAGCCTGCCCCCGAAGCCTTGGTTGACATCCCTCCATGTCCACCGAGAGGGCTGTAGCATCATGACACTGGCAGAACCCAGCAGTGCTGTTGGGTCCCTAGCCTCCTAGCCCATGCAGTGTCCTAAACCCTAGGGCATGGGCAGTACAGTGCATGAAGGAGACTGGCCCCAGGATAAAGGAAGCTGAAGCATGTGTTCCCCAGAGCCTGAGAGCCACCTGTTCAGGGCCACTAACCTTGACAGCAATGCCATTCCCTCCAGCAACAAGGCTGCGTGAACCTTCAGGGGGCCTGGAGACTGCCTTACCCAGGCTCTGTTTTGGGGCCTGAGGACAAGTCCACACTACCCACTGCCACCTATGCCTGAAGATGTTTTCTGAGGGCCTAAGGACAGGTCCACTCCACCTGCCAGTGCTGGCGTGGTGCCCATACACACCATCAGGTGACCTGATGATAAACACATCCTGCCTACCTCTGCCAGCATCTGTACATGACATCTGGGAGCGTGGGGATCAACCCACACTCCTTACTACCACAAGCACCCACATGCACGATCCAAGGGCCTGAGGACAGAGCTGCCTCACCCACTGCTGCCACTGCCAGTGCCCATAAGTATCATCCAGTGGCCTGGGGATTGACCCACCCCATCTACCACTGCCAGTGCTTTCACATGCCTTTCCAGGGCCTAAAGACAGTCCCAGCCCATTCACCACCACTGCCTGTGTGCACTGTCTGGGGTCCTGGGGATAGGCCGCTTGGTGACCATGCACACCTCTTGGGGACCCAGGAACTGGCCCACCTAGCCTGCAGCCACCATCACCAGCAGCACCCACCCACATGTGCCACTTGGGGGCTTGGGGACTGGCCCACCCAGTCCAGCACTGCCACCATTGGCACACCACGCGTACTTCTCAGGGGCCTGAGGGTTAGCCTGCCATCACTGCTGCCATGACTGATGCCATGCATACTACCCAGTAGCCTGAGGATCCATCCACCTGCCTACCCCACCACTGCCACCATTGTCACCAAAGCAAGCTGCGTGGAACCCCAAGGACTGGCCCACCCATGACTGCCACTACTAGTGCCCACGTATGCCAGCCAGCTGTGATGCTTGGGCCACTGACACTACCACTGATACCTGAGGACTAGACCACCTGGCATCCCCATCTTCAGCAAAGCGTTACCACAGCCTTTATTAACCACAGCCCGAATCACTGAGGAACTCAAAGATGCCACTGACACTGATCATAGCCATAGAAATCATATGGAAGCTATACTACCGCACCCACCAAGAATCAAAGCCAAAGCACCCTACCCAACCAACATTATAGATACATCTGTAGGAAAAAGTTTTTTCTTATAAAAGAAAATCGATAAAATTGAAAGAAGAAACTGTTACACCAGATGTGCAGATATCAATGTAAGGACAAAAGAAACATGAAAAAGCAAGGAAATGTGACCCCTCCCGAGGAAAACAATAATTCTCAGCCAGGAATGGTGGCCTATAATCCCAGCACTTTGGGAAGCCAAGGTGGGAAGATCACTTGAGCCCAGGAGTTCAAGACCACCTAGAGAGAGTTTCCTAGCCATGGCTCAGGATGAGGGAACTTAGTCAGACAGAGCCCATTGGTCTTCCTGAGTGGAGGAGACTCTCTGATCTGAGAGTCTCAGGAGGCCAGGATTGTAGAGTTTACAAAGAAAAGTACTGGGGCTGCAAAGAGAAGGAACTCCAGGGCACAATGGCTCACACCCGAATCCCAGCACTTTGGGAGGCCAAAGTGGGTGGATCACTTGAGGCCAGGAGTTTGAGGTCAGCCTGGGCAATATGGCGAAACTATGCCTCTACTAAAAATACAAAAATTAGCCAGGCGTCGTGGTGAGCACCTGTAATCCCAGCTACTCGGGAGGCTGAGGCATGAGAATTGCTTGAACCCTGGAGGCAGAGGTTGCAGTGAGCTGAAATCGTGCCACTGTACTCCAGCCTGGGTGACAGAATGAGACTCTGTCAAAAAAAAGAAAGAACAAAAATTCTCTAGTAATCCCAACGAAAAGGAAATTTATAAAATACTTGAAAAAGAATTCAAAATAATGATATTAAAGAAACATTGAGATACAAGAGAACATAGATAAACAATACAAAGAAATGAAGTAAACAATTAATGATCTAAATGAGAGATTGAACAAATAAATGGATATCATGAAAAAGAACCAAACAGAAATCTTGGAACTAAAGAGTTTAATGAATGAAATAAAAAATACAACTAAGTGCTTCAACAATAGATTAGATTATGCAGAAAAATTTAAAGAATTTCTAACCTTGAAGACAGTTTTTTTTTTTAAATAACCTAGTCAAGAAGAAGAAGAAATGAAGAAAGCCTACATGACATCACATACGAGACATTATAAAGTGACCAAATATTTTAATTTTGGAGGTTCCAAAAAGAGAAGAGATAGGCAAAGTCATAGAAAACCCATTTAATGAAATAATAGCTGAAACTTCCCAAGTCAAGCAAGAGATCTAGACATCTAGATACAGAAAGCTCAAATATCTCCAGATAGATTCAATCCCCAAAGGTCTTCTCTAAGGCATATTATAGTCAAACTGTCAAAAGTCAAAGACAAAGAAAGGATTCTAAAAAGAGCAAGAGAAAAGCATCAAGTTACATATAAGGGAATCCTTATTAGACTAACTGGATTTCTAAGCAAAAACCTTACAGGCTAAGAGAGAATGGGATGATATACTCAAAGTGCTGAAAGAGGCCAGGTGCAGTGGCTCACGCCTGTAATCCCAGCACTTTGGGAAGCCGAGATGGGAAAGAAAGTCAAGAAAGAAAGATTGGATTTAAACTGGACTTTAGACCAAATGGACCTAACAGACATTTAGAGAACATTTTATCCTATAGCTGCAGAACCTTCTTCTCATCAGCACATGGAACATTTTCCAAGATAAAGCATATTTTAGGCCGCAAAACAAGTCTCAACAAATTTTTAAAATCAAAATCACAGCAATCATATCAAGCATCTTCTCAGATCACAATGGAATAAAAATAGAAACCAATTAAAAGCTGACCTTTGAAAAGTGTACAAATAATGGAAATTAAATGACATGTTCCTGAACAGAAGTCAAAAAATTTCTTGAAACAAATGAAAATGGAAACACAACATACCAAAGCCTATGGGATACATTAAAAGTAGCACTAAGAACAGGTAACAATAAATACCTTTTTGATGTAGGCAGCAATAAATACCTACATCAAAAAAGTAAAAAGGTTTCACATAAACAACCAACAATGCACCTCAAGGGGCTAGAAAAGCAAGAACAAACCAAACCCCAAATTATAAGAAGGAAAGAAATAATAAAGATCAGAGAAAAACTAAACCACATAGAGACTAAAAACCAATACAAAGGATCAATGAAATTAAAAGTTGTTTTTTTGAAAAAATAAGTAAAATCGATAAGCTGTTAGCTAGACTAACCAAGACAAGAAAGAATTTCCAAATAAATAAAATCAGAAACAAAAAAGGAGGCATTATAACTGATACCACAAAAATACAAAGGATCATTAAACTATTATGAATAACTATATGGTAATAAATTGGAAAATCGATGGGAAATGAATAAATTCCTGAACACATACAACCTATCAAGATTCAACCAGGAAGAAATAGAAAACCTGAAAAATCCAATAACAAGTAACAAGATTGAATTAGTAATAAAAAGTCTACCAAAGTTATGAAAATTTTACCAAAGTTATAAAAAATTAACAACAATTTTTCTCAAAGTATTCCAAAAACTTGAAGAGGAGGTAGTTCTCTTCCTAACTCATTCACAAGACCAGCATTACCCAGGCACTAAAACCAGACAGGGACACAATAACAAAAAACTACAAGCCAATATTCCTGATGAACGTAGATGCAAACACCCTCAACAAAATACTAGCAAACCAAATCCAACAACACATTAAAAAGATGATACACCAGGATTGAGTGAGATTTATCCCAGGGATGCAAGGATGATATGCAAATCAATGCATTATCAATACATATGCAAATCAATAACTGTGATACATCACATCAAAAGAATGAAGGACAAAAGCCATATGATCATCTCAGTAGACACAGAAAAGGCCTTGATAAAATTCAACATCCCTTCATGATAAAAACTCTCAACAAATTAGGCATAGAAAGAACATACCTCAAAATAATAAAGGTCATATATGACAAACTCACAGCTAACATCGTGCTGAATGGGAAAAAGCTGAAAGCCTTTCCATCAAGAACTGAAACAAGACAAAAATGTCCACTTTCACTACATTTATTCAACATAGTATTTTAAGTCCTTGCCAGAGTAATCAAGCAAGAGAAAGAAATAAAAGTCAACCAAATTGGAAAAGAGGAAGTCAAATTGCCTCTTTGCAGAAAACATGATCTTATATATAGAAAAATCCAAAGACTCCACCAAAAACTCTTTTGAGCTGATGAACAAATTCAGTACAGTTGCAGAATACAAAATCAGCACACTAGAATCAGTAGCATTTCTTTTCTTTTTTTTTTTTTTTGAGACAGAGTCTCACTCTGTCACCCAGGCTGGAGTGCAGTGGCCCAATCTCAGCTCACTGCAACCTCTGCTTCCTGGGTTCAAGTGATTCTACTGCCTCAGCCTCCTGAGTAGCTGGGATTACAGACACGCGGCACCACGCCCAGCTAATTTTTGTATTTTTAGTTGAGACGGGGTTTTGCCATGGTTGCCACGCTGGTCTTGAACTCCTGACCTCAGGTGATCCACCCTCCTCGGCCTCTCAAAGTGCTGGGATTACAGGCGTGAGCCACCGTGCCTCGCCAAGAATCAGTAGCATTTCTATACACCAATAATGAACTAGCTATAAAAGAAATCAAGAAGGCAGCCCCATTTACAATAGCTGAAACAAAAATTAAGTAGCTAGGAATAAATTTAACCAAGGAGGTTAAAGACCTCTACAATGAAAATTATAGAACACTAATGAAAACAATTAAAAAGGACACATGCTCATGGAATGGGAGAATTAATATTGTTAAAATAATCATATTACCCAAAGCAATTTACAATTCAATGTAATCACCATCAAAATACCAATGATATTCTTCACAGAAATAGAAACAACAATCCTAAAATTTGTATGGAGCCCAAATAGCCAAAGCAATACTAAGTAAAAAGAATAAAGCTGGAGGCATCATATTACCTGACTTAAAAATATACTACAAGTCTATAGTAACCAAATCAGCATGGTGCTGGCATTAAAAACAGACACATAAACCAATGGAACAGAATAGAAAATCCAGAAAATCCACACATTTACAGTCAACTAATTTTTGACAAAGGCACGAAGAACCTTCAATGGGGAAAAGATACCCTCTTTAATACATGGTGCTGGGAAAACTGGATATCCATATGCAGAAAAATGAAAGTAGATTCCCTGTCTCTCACCATATAAAAAAATAAAAATGGATTTTAATGTACAACATGACACTGTAAAACTACTAGAAGAAAGCATAGGGAAAATGCTTCAGGATATTGATCTAGGCAAAAATTTTGTGACTAAGACTTCAAAACTATAGGCAACAGAAACAAAAATAGACAAATGAGACTATATTAAGTAAAACAGTTCTGAATAGCAAATAAATAGTCAACAGAGTGAAAAGACATCCTGTAGAATGGGAGAAAATATTTGCAAACTATTTATCTGACAAGGGATTAATATCCAGAATATACAAGGAACTCGAACAACTCAACAGCAAAATAACAACATATAATAATAATAATTTAATTAAAAAGAGGCAAAGGATCTGAATAGACATTTCTCAAAGGAAGACATACAAATAGCCAACAGGTATATAAAAAATGCTCAATATTACTAATCATCAGATAAATGCAAATCAAAATCACAATGACATATAATCTCACCCAGGTTAAAAAGTCAAAAAGTAACAAATGCTGGCTAGTGTGTGAAGAAAAGGGAATTTTTTTTTTTTTGAGACTGAGTCTCGCTCTGTCGCCCAGGCTGGAGTGCAATGGCACCGTCTTGGCTCACTGCAACCTCTGCCTTCCCAGTTCAAGTGATTCTCCTGCCTCAGCCTCCCTAGTAGCTGGGATTACAGGCATGCACCACCATGCCTGGCTAATTTTTGTATTTTTAGTAGAGATGGGGTTTCCCCATGTTGGCCAGGGTGGTCTTGAACTGCTGACCTCGTGATCTGCCCGCCTCAGCCTCCCAAAGTGCTGGGATTACAGGTGTGAGCCACTGCACCTGGCCAGAAAAGAGAATTCTTATACACTGTTGGTGGGAATGCAAATTCGTACAGTTACTATGGAAAACAATATGGAGGTTTCTCAAAAAAACTAAAAATAGAACTACATATGATCCAGCAATCTCGCTACTGGATATTTATCAAAGGAAAGGAAATCAGTATGTCAAAGGGATAACTGTACCCCCACGTTTATTGCAGCACTATTCATAATAGCTGAGATATAGATTCAACCTAAGTGTTCATCAACAGATAAATGGATAAAGAAAATGTGATATATATATACACAATGAAATGCCATTTAGCCATAAAAAGAATGTAATCTTATTATTTGCAGCAACATGGATAATCATTATGTTAAATGAAATAAGCCAGGGTGAGAAAGATAAATATCACATGTTCTTACTCATATATGGATGCTAAAAATGTTAATATCATGGATGTAGAGAGTAGTATGATAGTTCCAGAGGCTGGGAAAAGTGGAGAAGGGTATGAAGAGATGGTTGATGGGTACAAACATACCATTAGATAGAAAGAATAAGCTCTACTGTTCAATAGCACAGTAAGGTGACTATAGTTAATAATATGTTGTATATTTCAAAATAGCTAGAAGAACAGATTTGAAATGTTCTTAGCTCAAAGAAACAGTAAGTGCTTAAGGCGATGGATATCCTGCACACCCTGATTTGATCATTACATATCGTATACATGATCAAAATATCACATGTACCCCACAGATAAGTGCAACTATTATGTATCAAAAATTAATTTTAAAAAGCGATTTCTTCATCTGGGACTAAACATACCACAGATAAATAAAAATGGAATTTTAAAAAATGTTCAAGTAACCTATAGGGAAAGAATTAAAAAAGAGAAACAAAAATAAAAATAAACAAAAAATAAAATGGTAGATTTAAGTCCTAAAATAACAGTAATTACATTAAATGTAAATGAACCAAAACACCAGTGAAGACTCACTATAAAGCTACAATAATCAGGACAGGTTGGTACTGGTGAAAGAACAGACAGATAGATAAACAGAAGAGAACAGAGAGCCCAGAAATAATCCTTATAGTCAGCTGATCTTTGACAAAGGAGCAAAGACAATTCCATAAAGAAAGAATAGTCTTTTCAACAAATGGTGCTGAAACAGCTGAATATTCACATGTTAAAAAAAAAGAGTGTAAACATGTATCTTACATCTTTCACAAACTTAAAATGGATCAAAGACTGCCAGGCGTGGTGGCTCACGCCTGTAATCCTAGCACTTTGGGAGGCCGAGGCGGGCAGATCACGAGGTCAGGAAATCGAGACCATCCTGGCTAACACAGTGAAACCCCGTCTGTACTAAAAAAATACAAAAAAATTAGCGGGGCGTGGTCGTGGGCGCCTGTTGTCCCACCTACTCGGGAGGCTGAGGCAGGAGAATGGCGTGAACCCAGGAGGTGGAGCTTGCAGTGAGCCTAGATTGCGCCACTACACTCCAGCCTACGTGACAGAGCGAGACTCAGTTAAAAAAAAAAAAAGGATCAAAGGCCTAAATGTAAAACGCTAAAACTGTAAAACTCTTAGAAGATATAACAGGGCAATGGTGGTGGGGAGGGGCAGAATCTAGATGACCTTTGATATGATGATGATTTTTAGATACACCAAAAGCACAATCAACAAAGGAAATAATTGACAAAATGGACTTCACTAAAATTAATGACCCTTGCCCTGCAAAAGTATTGTTAAGAGAATGAGAAGGTAAGTCGTAAATTGAGAGAGTATCTTTGCAAAACAAATACCTGCAAAAGGACAGATATTCAAAATATACAAAGAATTATTAAAATTCAACAATAAGAAAATAAACAACTCAATTTAAAAGTGAGCAAAAGACCTGAACCAGGTGGGTATGGTGGCTTCATGCCTATAATCCCAGCACTTTGGGAGGCTGAGGCAGGTGGATCACTTCAGGCCAAGAGTTCAACACGAGCCTGGGCAACATGGTGAAACCCTGTCTCTATTAGAAAAATATGAAAATTAACCGGGCGTGGTGGCGCTCACCTGCAGTCCCAGCTACTCTGGAGGCTGAGGTGGGAGGATCGCCTGAGCCTGGGAGGTGGAGGTTGCAGTGAGCAGCGATCATGCTACTGCACTCCAGCCTTGGTGATAGAGTGAGACCCTGTCTCAAAAATCAAACAACATCTGAATGGGTACCTCACCAAAGAAGATATGCAGATGGCAAATAAACATATTAAAAGGTGCAAACATCATGTGTTATTAGGAAAATGAACATTAAAGCAACAGTGAGATACCTCTATACACCTGTTAAAGAGCCAAAATCCAAATTCACAACACCAAATGCTGGTGAGAATATGGAGCAACAGGAACTTTCATTGCTGGTGGGAAAACAAAATGGTATAGACAATTGGGAAGACAGTTTGGTAGTTTCTTATAAAGCTAAACACACTCTTACCATACAATCCAGTAACTGTGCTCCTTAGTATTTACCCAAATAGGTTGAAAACTTACGTCCACACAAAAGCTTGCACACAGATGTTTATTGCAACTTTATTCATAATTATCAAAAGTTGGAAGCAACCAAGAGATCCTTCAGTAGGTGAATGGATAAGTAAACTGGTATGTCCAGACACAGGAATATTATTCAGTGATAAAAAGAAAAAGAAGGCCAGGCCAGGTGGCTCGCGCCTGTAATCCCAGCACTTTGGGAGGCCGAGGCGGGTGGATCACCTGAGGTCAGGAGTTTCAGACCAGCCTGGCCAACATGGTGAAACCCTGTCTCTACTAAAAACACAAAAAAATTAGCCGGGCATGGTGGGGCTCCCAGCTACTTAGGAGGCTGAGGCACGAGAATCTCTTGAACCAGGAGGCGGAGGTTGCAGTGAGCCGAAATTGCGCCACTGCACTCCAGCCTGGGCGACAGAGCAAGACTCTGTCTCAAAAAAAAAAAAAAAGAAAAAGAAAAAGAAAACAGCTGGATGCAGTGGCTCATGCCTGTAATCCCAGCACTTTGGGAAGCCGAGGCAGGTGGATTGCTTGAGCTCATGAATTCAAGACCATCCAAGGCAATATGGCAAAACCCCATCTCTATAAAAGATACAAAAATCATTAGGGTGGCACCTGCAGTCCTAGCTACTTGGGAGGCTGAGATGGGAGGATCACTTGAGCCTGGGAGGCAGAGGTTGCAATGGTCCAGGATCATGCCACAGCAATCCAGCCTGGGTAATAGAGCGAGATTGTTTAAAAAAAATAAAGGGAAATCAACTATTGAAAAACAAAAACAAACAAAAAAATTGAGGAGGCTGGGCACGGTGGCTCAGGCCTGTAATCCCAGCACTCTGGAAGGCCGAGGCGGGTGGATCACCTGAGGTCAGGAGTTTGAGACCAGCCTGACCAACATGGAGAAACCCCGCCTCTACTAAAACTATAAAATTAGTCGGCCATGGTGGTGCATGCCTATAATCCCAGCTACTCGGGAGGCTGAGGCAGGAGAGTTGCTTGAACCTGGGAGGCAGAGGTTGTGGTGAGCCGAGATGGCTCCATTGCACTCCAGCCTGGGCAACAAGAGCAAAACCCCATCTCAAAAAAAAAAAAAAAAGTATATATAGATAGATAGAGATAGAGAGAGGAAACTTAAATGCATATTACTAAGCAAAAGAAGCCAACAATCTAAAAAGGCTACATACTATTTGATTTCAATTATACGACATCCTGGAAAAGGCAAAACTATGGAGATAATAGAAAAGATTGACGGTTGCCAAGGGTTTGTGGGGAGGGAATAATAAATAGGCAGAGTACAGAAGATTTATAGGGCAGTGAAATTATTCTGTATGATACTAAAATGGTGGCTACATGTCATACATTTTTTAAATTCCATAGAACATAAAAAATTGAGTGAACCTTAATGTAAACTATGGCTGATGATGCGTAAATGTATGTTCATTGATTGTTAACAAATGTGCCATTCTGGTGTGGAATGTTGATAGTGGGGGAGGCTGTGTATGTTGGGGAGTGGAAGGGGTACAAGGGAACCCTCTGTACTTTTTGCTCAATTTTGTTGTGAATATAAAACTGTTCTGGCCGGGCGCGGTGGCTCATGCCTGTAATCCCAGCACTTTGGGAGGCCGACACAGGCGGATCACAAGGTCAGGAGTTCGAGACCAGCCTGGCCAATATGGTGAAACCCCATCTTAACTAAAAATACAAAAAAAATTAGCTGGGCATGGTGGCGGGCGCCTGTAATCCCAGCTACTCAGGAGGCTGAAGCAGGAGAATTGCTTGAACCCGGGAGGCGGAGGTTGTGGTGAGCCGAGATTGCACTACCGTACTCCAGCCTGGGCGACAGAGGCATACTCCATTTCAAAAATAAAATAAAATAAAAAATAAATAAAAGAGTAAAACTGCTCTAAAAAATAAAGTCTGTTAAAAAGCAAAACACAATATAAGAAGGCCAATGGAGCCACTTATAAAGGAAGCAAAACATCCAGATCAAGGGACAACCTTGTTAAATTTTAAAACAATGAGGACAAAGAAAAAAATCCTAAAATCTTCCAGAGAATTGAAAAACAAAAGCGTCAAGAATCAGAATAGGGCTGGGCACAGTGGCTCATGCCTGTGATCCCAGCACTTTGGGAGGCCAAGGTGGGTGGCTCACTTGAGGTCAGGAGGCCAACCCTCCTGGTCAGCCTGGCCAACCCAGGAGGCGGAGGTTTCAGTGAGCCGAGATCGTGCCATTGCACTCCAGCCTGGGTGACAAGAGTGAAACTCTGTCTCAAAAAAAATCAGAATAGCACTGGACTTCTCAACAGTAACCTTGGATGGTAGAAGACAATGGAGCATGCCCTCAAAAATCTGAGGGAGAATTACTTCTAAATTAACATTTTATACCCAGCCAAAGCAACAGTCAAGTGGAAGAAGAGGAAAGTAAAGATGTTTTCGATCATACAAGTTTCATAGAAAAGAGACAAAGAAAATTACCAGGCAGATGATGATTAGAGTTCACTAGGCATAATGGAAATTAGTCCAAATGGAAGTAGGAGGATAGCAGGCTTAAAGAGGGATGTCTCCAAGGAAAAGTTGAAATTTATAGATAAATCAATGTGTGTGAATTTATCAGGAAAGAAATAATATAATATAGGTATACAGAAAATTAAGCAAATAAGCAAGGCAATAATTAACTAGAAGAAAGGCAAAGAATTATGAAAAGTGCAATCATAATACACCATAAATTAGATGTGAATAATTAACACAGTTTAAATACTGTATATTGCTAACCAAAAATTATGTGCAGGGTGTATATTAATCCAGGTCCTTTAAGAAGCATATGCCAAGAAGGAATTAGATGTGAGAGAACATAAACAGGAAGCTGAGGGAGGCTTGGAGAGCCATCAGACCTCTGTGCATGCCTATGTGAGTGAAGGAGAGAAGTTTCATAGTCTGTAATCAAAATCTAAAGAAAGGTCAGCAAGCACATTGCAAAATCCTTGAACTAAAGCTATTGGCCAGAGGAGCCCTGTCTTCCAGGAATGAGCCTTCCTTAGTATGTCTGTTATACTCAGTTGTTAGTTAGGAGCAGCCTGTAGGAAGAATGGCCCCAGTGTGCATGGCAGCAATGGATTTCAGAGCCCACAGTAGACTGTCAATTATGTTCCCTGCTGTTGGAGAAATGAGAGGCACATTATCAGGGCTACTCTAGGATGGATCTAAAGACCACTATTTTTTATTTAAGCCCCATAAAGCTATTTGACCTTAAAAATTAGATAAATGTATAGTTTTAATAAAAATAAAATATTAATGGGCACCGTGGCACACGCCTGCAGTCCCAGCTACCCAGAGGCTGAATCAGTAAGATCACTTGAGCCCAGGAGTTCAAGGGTGTAGAGAGCAATGATCGTGGCTGTGAATAGCTACTGCATTCCATCCTGGGCAATATAGAAAGACCCTATCCCTTAAAATAAATGAAATAGTTCCAATCTTCCAGGTTGGTTAAAAATAAATAAATAAATGAAATGTTAAAATGTCAAAATGAATTTAAAACTGCTATTTGTGAGTCATTTAGGGTGCTTTACAGCATGTCTAAACTTGATTTCTTAGCCACACAGAGATGCTTCAGATTTTCAAAATTTTTCATACTTCTATCATGTATTATAATAGATGCTGTAGAAGGATTAATGTAGAAGAATAACATACTTCTATTAAAATAAAAGAGCCATATTCTGTCAAGGGGGCAAAAAAACACCAAAAAAATAGATATACTCATGAGGTATACAATGTGAATATATACACCATATGTTTTTTAAAATCCCTTAAAAGTATAAGTCTTTGGTGGTTTATATTTGATACCAGAGAAGGGAATATCTTCCTAGCTTCCTCTTTTAATACAATTAAAAATAATACAAATTCTTTACTTGTATATTCACACACACATGAATACACACAAACACATGGAAATTCACAGATTATGAAGTCAGAGACCCAAGTTAAAATTATGTTCTGTCGGCCGGGCGCGGTGGCTCACGCCTGTAATCCCAGCACTTTGGGAGGCCGAGGCGGGCGGATCACGAGGTCAGGAGATCGAGACCATCCTGGCTAACACGGTGAAACCCCGTCTCTACTAAAAAAATACAAAAAATTAGCCGGGCGTGGTAGCGGGCGCCTGTAGTCCCAGCTACTCGGGAGGCTGAGGCAGGGGAATGGCGTGAACCCGGGAGGCGGAGCTTGCAGTGAGCCGAGATCGCGCCACTGCACTCCAGCCTGGGCGACAGAGCGAGACTCCGTCTCAAAAAAAAAAAAAAAAAAAAAAAAAAAAAAAATTATGTTCTGTCACATATCTAGTTCCTGACATGGCACAAGTTAATTCATATTCTGAGGCTCATCATCTTTATCTGTAAAATTGAGATATGTCAGTGGATTATCTTAAGTAAAATGAGATAATCAGATAAAATCTAGAACTGTACAAGGCACATAGGCTTTACTAAATCTTGATAAATATAATAAATAGTCATTAGAATTATAAATATTAACTATTAGGATTATATTCATCCAACAACTCACTCTGATGTTTTATTCCATTTAAGTTATGAAGTTTAAAATAAATGTCTTAGTGAAATACCTATATTTGTCTTTTAATTACAAAAAACATAAAAAGTTCTTTTAATTAACATTTTAAATCTTTTGGAGTGCTTCAGTTTAAAAATCTGGTCATTAGTTTTTAATAGAGAGCAACGGAATAATGAATACTGATATCCATTCCGAAACTGGAATATGAATTCTCATATTTATAAATATGAATAGTTTGTAAACTTATGTGTTTATTTCTTCGTGTTTCTATCTTTCACAAACGCCAATCCTTCATCACTATGAATGTATTTCTTCCTGTCCCACTTGCCTGTTTAATGCAAAATGTGCAAAACTCCTATTTATTTGGAGTGCAAGCAATTGAGAAAATCAAATAACTGAAAATCTCCTACTCTTCATATTTGCAAGCAATCCACCCGCCTTGGCCTCTCAGGGTGCTGGGATTATAGGCATGAGCTACCATGCCTGGATAATAAACTATCTTAAAATATAATTTGTTTTAATTATTTTTGTCAACCTCACATACTTCAAAAAAACACATATACTTTATATACAGACTTTATTATTTCTTCTTCTTATTATTATTATTTTGGAGACGGAGTGCAGTGGCATGATCTCGGCTCACTGCAACCCCTGCCTCCCAGGTTCAAGTGATTCTCCTGCTTCAACCTGCCAAGTAGCTGGGACTACAGGCATGTGCCGCCACACCTGGCTAATTTTTTGTATTTTAGTAGAGACAGGGTTTCACCATGTTACTCAGGCTGGTCTGGAACTCCTGAGCTCAGGCAATCTGCCTGCCTCAGCCTCCCAAAGTGCTAGGATTACAGGCATGAGCCACCGCACCCAGTGCATACAGACTTTATAACTATGTTTTGCATAGACAAGTTACACAGTGAGGCTATATCTGCAACTGGCCTTGTCTGCAGCAGTGTATATATACATATATATATATCTTATATATATATACATATATATCATATATATACATATATATCTTATATATACACATATATATCTTATATATACACATATATATCTTATATATACATATATATAAGATATATACACATATATATCTTATATATACATATATATCTTATATATACACATATATATCTTATATATACATATATATCTTATATATAATATATATCTTATATATATACATATATATCTTATATATATACATATATATCTTATATATATACATATATATCTTATATATATACATATATATCTTATATATATACATATATATCTTATATATATATATTTTGAGCTACAGTGATGATTAAATATGAATTCTGAGAACTTCAACACTGGTATCTAGGGGCAATATATTTTAGAAATAGTGGAGCAAAGATTTTTACCTTCTCAAATTTAGTCTTTAAAAGATAAGATGTACCATGTATATTCGTGGAAATATTTTGTGTACTTAAAATACCTCTAAATAAACATGGCTACATAGAAAATAATGTGGATGGATTTGATCATCTTGTTGAAAATAGAAAGCAGAGGAAAAAATATAAAGGATAAAGGACTTTTAAAAATAATTTACTGAAATGCCAACTGCCTCTCTTCATAAAGGAAACAAGCAATTGGAAAGAAATATAAGCCAAATAAACATGTCAACTTTTTCAATTAAAACTAAATTATTAAGGTGATAAATCATATTGGTGCATATAAAAAACAACATTAATAACATTTACTTAGAATGTTGTAGTTTATTAAATTTTTTCCAATCAATTATCTTATTTCTCAGAACAATTCCCTGCAGGAAGCATTATAATCCACATATGCCAGAAGAGAAATTTGAGACTCAGAAGAGGTACTCCCCATTTTCATCATTTAATATTTCTGCCAAATCTCACCAAAGACAGTGTTCTCTTTCTTTAGCAGTAAGGGCTGTTTTCTGATTTGTAGCATTGGGTTTTTTTGTTTTTGTTTTTAAGTTTTTTTAGACAGGAGGCTGAGGTGGAAGGATTGTACACACACACACACAACTACCCGGGCATGGTGGCACCAGCACCTAGGGAGACTGAGGCAGGAGGAACACCTGAGCCCGAGAGGTCAAGGCTGTAGCGAGCTGTGATGGCACCACTGCACTTCAGCCTGGGCAACAGAGTAAGACCCTGTCTCTAAAATAAACAAATAAAAGTGTGTATGTGTGTGTTTTTTAAAGAAAATAACAGTCATGAATAAGTAGCGAGGGATACTATTTCCTACCCCAATTACACAGCAAGCTATGCTGGCTTATGCTGCCTTGTTAGGACTAAAAACACCCTAACAAAACTCTGCACTATCCTGAGGTCCAGAAATAGATACCAGTTGATCCTGGCTCCCTCAGGAATTTAGGATGGCATTTAGGGAGTGGGAGTGTGTGTACTCTGGCATTAGGGGTCACTCTGGTAGTCCTATTGATGTTTGCTGGGAGAACATTAGTTTCCAAGAAGTATAAGACAAGAAAGCAGGCTAGAGGTCCTAAAATGCAAGGAAAAACACAACAGAGGGTTTCATATAGGATTTCAAACTTCAATCTATGATTCCCCCTAACCGCCATAGAATGATTTCTAAAATTTTTCTCTTTTGCTAATGTGAAAATTCCTTGTATTTGGAGGTTATACGTTTCAGTCACTACACAGCTCTCCACTTGTTGTGCAAGTCAAATAGTTCTGTTTTTAGAAACATGTAAACCACTGTAGTTTCTGACTAAATTAGATTAAGATATGTGACTGGGGAATGTGAGATGGAGTACTTCCAGTTCACGAATCTGGATAGCTTATATTAAAGGAGATTTGGAAAAAGAAGTAAAGTTTGAACATCCCTTCTCCGAAGTGCTTGGTCCAAGAAATGTTTCAGATTTTGTATTTTGTATTTTTTTCAGATTTTGTAATATACACATACACATAATGAGATATCTTGGGCATAGGACCCAAATCTAAGCATAAAATTCATTTATGTTTCATATACACATTATATACATAGAATGAAGGTAATTTAATACAATATTTTATTTTATTTTATTTTTATTTTTTTGAAATGAAGTCTCACTCTATCACCCAGGCTGGAGTGCAGTGGTGCCATCTCAGCTCACTTCAACCTCCGCCTCCTGGGCTCAAGCAATTCTCCTGCCTCAGCCTCCCAAGTAGGCGGGACTACAGACACACACCACCATGCCCAGCTGATTTTTTGTATTTTTAGTACAGACAGGGTTTCTCCATGTTGGCCAGGCTGGTCTTAAACTCCTGAGCTCAGGTGATCTGCATGCCTTGGCATCCCAAAGTGCTGGGATTATAGGCAAGAGCCACCGCGCCCGGCCCAATACAATATTTTAAATAATTTTGTTCATGAAACAAAGTTGGATACACTGAACCATCAGAAATCAAAGGTGCCCCTACTGTAGCCACCCATGTGGATGATCTGTAGTGGTTTGGCGTCACCATCATTCCTGACTCTGAACTCATATGCTACCGATAAACAATCATTTTCTTACACTTATTCACACATGAGTACCTAATAGTAAAAAAAAAAAAAAGACATATCATTAATACTGAAAATGATATGACATATCACTAATGTCGAAAAAATAATGTGTGCAGGGTAACAAAACAGCACAGCAGCACCACCAGAATACTTGGATCAGCTGTTAAACAACAGCATGAAAAACAGCGGCAGGATTTCAATCTCAACCCACCATGCTGTGTTTTGACTAAAAGGTAACTGTACATTGTATTTTTTTTTTTTAGGTGAGAAGAAACATTAGAAGCAGTCAAGAGACCAGCAAGTGGGTCCTCTAGGGATGAGGAGGCATCTGAATAGACTGGGTTGTACTCCTATGTTCTGACTGCAACCCATCCATGGAGTCAAGTGTGGAATTTTCCATTTGTGGTGTCATGTCAGCACTCCAAAAGTTTCAGATTTTGGAGCACTTTGAATTTCAGATTTTCAGATTAGGAATGCTCAACCTGCATTATTATGAATAAAGAGGAACATTACATAATTAAAATGTGTAACTCATTAAAGAGGTAATAATCCTAAATGTGTGTGCACCTAACAACAGGGCTTCAAAATATATGAAACAAAAGCTAAAAGAACTAAAGGAAAAATAAAGAAATCTGCATTTATACATGTAAACATCAACACTTCTTTCTCAGAAATCAATAGAAGAATTTAATTAAAAATTAGTAGGATATAAGAGAACAATACTATCAATTAAGTTGACCATATTAGCTTTTTTTTTAACAACATTTTACCCAACATCAACAGACTACACAATCTTTCCAAATGTACATGGGACATTAACCAAAATAGACCATACTCTGGACCATAAAACAAATATTAACAAGTTTAAAGAATTAAAAGCATACACAGAATAGACAATTTCATAGAGACAGAGAATAGGCTAGTGGTTACACGAGGTTGGGGGAAATGGCATGCTATTGTTTAATGGGTACAGAGCTTCTGGTGATGATGAAAATGTTCTGGAAATAGTGATGATGGTTACACAACATTGTAAATGTGCTTAATGCAACTGAGTTGTGAACTTGAAAATGGCAAATTTTATATCATGGTTATTTAAAAAAAAGTCCACTGGGGAAAAAAATCCATATATATAATCTGTTATCTCACCAGAGCAGGATTAAACAAGAAAACAATAGAACGATATCAGGAAAATCCCCAAATATTTGGAAATTGAACCACATACTTCTAAATAAACCATGTGCCAAAGAGAATTTTCAAGGAAATTAGAAAATATTTTGAATTGAATAAAAATAAAAACAAATAAATAAAAACACATTTAAAAAAATCAAAATTTGTGGACTGCAGCCAATACTTAAAGGAAAACTTACAAAACAGAATGTATATATTAGAAAAGAACAAGTGTGTAAAAGTAATAGCCTAAGCTTTGAGCTTAAGAACCTAGAAAAAGGATGAAATAAATGCAAGCATGTAGAAAAAATAAAATAATAAATATAGCAGTGGAAATCAATAAAATTGAAAATAAGGAAATAATAAAACAATGAAATAAAAAGCTAATTCATTGAAAAGACCAGTAAAATGTATAAACCTTTAGCCAAACTGACCAAGAAAAAAGAGAGCAAAGGCAAATTACCAATATTAGGAATGAAAGAGAGGCCATCACTAGAGACACTACCAACACTATAAGGACAATAGGGGAATATAATTTAAAAATTTATTCTCAGAAATATAATAACTTAGATGAAAAACACAAATTAACAAAGCTCCCTCAAGAAGAAATGGGTAACCTGAAGAACCTTATATCTACTTTTAAAAATGAATTTATGGTTTAAAAGTTTTAATAAAGAAAATTCTAGATTTCCCCAGTGAGTTACACCAAACAGTTAAAGATATTATAACAATTCTACATAAACATAGAAAATAGTAGAGGACAGGACACTTCCCAGCTCATTGTATGAGTCTAGCACTACTGTGATAGTGAAACAAACCAAAGGAAAGGGAAAAGAAAAAAATAAGAGAGAGAGAGGAAGACACACGCACACACCCCCCACAGACATGAGAGAGAGAATATAAACATAGACACCTAAAATCTTCTAAAATGTTGGCAAATTGAATCCAGCAATTTATTAAAATAGTAACACTTAATGACAAGTTATTCAAGAAATGGGATAATGTTGGTTTAATATTTAAAATGTATTTAAAAGTCAGTGTAATTTACAATATCAACAGAATTTTAAAAATCATATGATCATCTCAATACATGAAGAAAAAACATTCATACTTTAATTTCTAAAAAGCCTACCAAACCAAGAAGGGAACTTCTCCATTTTAATAGAGGGCACATGTAGCTAACATAATGGTAAATGACTGAATGGTTTCTCCTAATATCAAAAACAAAGGAAGGATGTCCACTCTCATTGCTTCTATTCAACACTGTACTGCAAAGCCAAGCCAGTGCATTAAGACAAGAAAAAGAAATAAAATGAATACAGATAAAAAAAATAATTCTGTCTCTATTGGCTGACAACATGATCATCTAAATAAAAAACTCCAAGAAATACATAAAACATCTAGTGGAGCCTCTCCCTCCTCCCCCTCCCTCCCCCCCCCCCCCCCTCTTCTTTCTTTCTTCAGTCTCCCTCTGTTGCCGAGGCTGGACTGCACTGCCGTGATCTTGGCTGGCTGCAGCCTCCCTGCCCTGGGCTCCCATGGTTCTCCTGCCTCGGCCTGCCGAGTGCCTGGGATTGCCGTCGCGTGCCGCCATGCCTGACTGGTTTTTGTATTTTTGGAGGAGATGGGGTTTCGCCCTGTTGACCAGGCTGGTCTCTGGCTCCTGACCTCGAGTGGTCTGCCCGCCTCGGCCTCCCGGGGTGCTGGGATTGCAGACGGAGTCTCGCTCACTCAATGCTCAGTGTTGCCCAGGCTGGAGTGCAGTGGCGTGATCTTGGCTCGCTGCAACCTCCACCTTCCAGCCGCCTGCCTTGGCCTCCCAAAGTGCTAAGATTACAGCCTCTGCCCGGCTGCCACCCCATCTGGGAAGTGGGGAGCGTCTCTGCCTGGCCGCCCAACGTCTGGGAGGTGGGGAGCCCCTCTGCCCGGCCACCCCGTCTGGGAAGTGAGGAGTGCCTCTGCCCGGCCACCCCGTCTGGGAAGTGAGGAGTGCCTCGGACCGGCCGCCACCCCGTCTGGGAAGTGAAGAGCGTCTGACTGGCCACCCATTGTCTGGGATGTGAGGAGCACCTCTACCCGGCCGCCCTGTCTGGGAAGTGAGCAGTGCCTCTGCCCGGCCGCCACCCCATCTGGGATGTGAGGAGCGCCTCTGCCCGGCCGCCCCGTCTGGGAGGTGAGGGGCATCTCTGCCCGGCCGCCCTGACTGGGAAGTGAGGGGTGCCTCTGCCCAGCCACCCTTCGTCTGGGAGGTGAGGGGCGCCTCTGCCAGGCCGCCCCGTCTGGGAGGTGAGGGGCATCTCTGCCCGGCTGCCATCCCGTCTGGGAAGTGAGGGGCGCCTCTGCCAGGCCACCCCTTCTGGGAAGTGTACCCAACAGCTCCGAAGAGACAGCGACCATCAAGAACGGGCCATGATGACGATGGCGGTTTTGTTGAAAAGAAAAGGGGGAAATGTGGGGAAAAGAAAGAGAGATCAGATTGTTACTGTGTCTGTGTAGAAAGAAGTAGACATAGGAGACACCATTTTGTTCTGTACTAAGAAAAATTCTTCTGCCTTGGGATGCTGTTAATCTATAACCTTACCCCCAACCCTGTGCTCTCTGAAACATGTGCTGAGTCAACTCAGGGTTAAATGGATTAAGGGTGGTGCAAGATGTGCTTTGTTAAACAGATGCTTGAAGGCAGCATGCTCGTTAAGAGTCATCACCACTCCCTAATCTCAAGTACCCAGGGACACAAACAGGGCCGAAGGCCGCAGGGACCTCTGCCTAGGAAAACCAGAGACCTTTGTTCTTGTGTTTATATGCTGACCTTCTCTCCACTATTATCCTATGACCCTGCCACATCCCCCTCTCTGAGAAACACCCAAGAATGATCAATAAATACTAAAAAAAAAAAAAAAAAAAAAAAAAAATCTAGTGGAATGAATAAGTGAATTTAGGAAAATCACAACTTTCTTTTCTTTTTTTTATTTTATAAACTCCAAAACCCATCACTTGTAAAAATTAAAGGATTTAACATCAATATACAAACACCAATTGTACCTCTATAAACTAGGAACAACTATTATATATTGAAATTTGGAGAGAATAATATATATAAAAAATGTAAAAATATGAAATATTTGTGTATAATCTAACAAAATATGTGCTAGAAATTCCAAATTATTAATGTAAGAAATAAAAGAAGGTGGGCTGAGTGCAGTGGCTCACTCCTGTAATCCCAGCACTTTGGGAGGCTGAGGCAGGCGGATCACCTGAGATCGGGAGTTCGAGACCAGCCTGACCAACATGGAGAAACCTCATCTCTACTAAAAATACAAAATTAGACGGGCATGGTGGTGCATGGCTGTAATCCCAGCTACTCGGGAGTCTGAGGCAGGAGAATCGTTTGAACCTGGGAGGTGGAGGTTGCGGTGAGCCAAGATTGTGCCATTGTACTCCAGCCTGGGCAACAAGAGCGAAACTCTGTCTCAAAAACCAACAAACAAACAAACAAATAAAAGAAGACATAAGTAAATGGAAATTATATGGTGTTTATGGATTAGAAGACTCAGTATTATTAGGATGTCAGTTCTTCCCAAATTTATTTATAGATTTAATGTAATCTCAATCAAAATCCCATTAGGGTATTTTGTAGCAATCAGCAGGTTGATTTTACCATTTACATGGCTGGGTGTGGGGCACACAGTAGTTTCAGCTACTCAGGAGGCTGAGGCAGGAGGATTGCTGAGCACAGGCGTTTGAGGCTGTAGTGCACTGTGATCATGCCTATGAATAGCCACTGAACTTCAGGCTAGGTAACATAGCAAGACTCCCATCTCTAAAAATAAATAAAATTTAATTTAATTTAAAAATAAAACAAAATAATAAATAGAATGTACATGGATAAGCAAAGGACCTATAATAGCCAAAACAATTTTGAAAAATACAAACAAAGCTGCAGCAGTCACACTTCTTGATTTCAAGGCTTTTATAAATCTAGAGTAATCAAGACAGCATAGTATTGGTAAAAGACAAACATATAGATCAATTGAATAGAATAGAGAGTCCAGAAATAGACTCACACAAAATTGCTTAATTGATTTTCAGTAAAGTTGCCAAAGAAATTAAATGGTGAAAGGACAGTTTTTAGCAACTGGCAATCCAATAATTTGACATCCATATGCAAAAACAAAATGGAATTATATTTCTGTTGTGGATTTCTAACATAATTTTATTATGGTCAGTTAAAATGCTTTGTGTGGTTTCAACTTATGTAAATTTGTTAAGATTTGTTTTTGTCCTTCATGTATCTTAAAACCTTGTTATTAGATGTGTACCCATTTAGGATTATTATGTCTTCTCCAAATTCCTTTTGATTATTGTTTGCATGGTATATCTTTTTCTACCTTTTTACTTTTTGCCTATCTAAGTCTTTATAATTAAACTGGCTTTCCTGAGGACAGCACAGAGATTTTTTAAGCCAATATAGTAACTTTTATCTTTTAATTGGTGTGTTTAGATCATTTATATTTAATGTAATTATTGGGATGTTTAGATTTAGTTATATCATTTTATTATGTATTTTTTTTTGTCCTGTCTGCTTTTTTGTTTCCCTATTTTCTCTTTCCCTTTCTGCCTTCTTTTGGACTGTTTGGATAGTTTCAGTATTCTACTCTATTTTATCTGTTGCTTTTTGGTTCTCTCTCACTCTCGCTCTTTCTGGTTGTTCTAGAGCAAGGTTTCTCACTCTTAACACTATTGATATTTTGAAACAGATAATTCTCTGTTTTGGACCAGATAAATCTTTGTTCTGCATTGTGCAATGTAAAATGTTTAGCAACATTTCTGACCTCTACCCACTAGATGCCAGTCACACGCCTTTCTCCAGTTATGGCAATCAAAAATGTCTTCTCGACTCCAATTAAGAATGACTGCTCTAAGTAGTACAATAGAAATACTTAACATTTCTGGGTCTACTTAGAGCAATGTTTTACTATTTAAGTAATATGCAGATGCCTTACAACCATAAAGGTCCTTTAACTTCCTTCCTTTATGTCATAGTTGTCATATATATTAAATATACAGAAGCATTAAAAACCCCATAGGACAAGGTTAAATTTTTCTTTCAAAAATTTTTTTTTCTTTCAACAATTATACATATTTTAGGCCGGGTGCAGTGGCTCATGTCTGTAATCCCAGCACTTTGGGAGGCTAAGGTGGGTGGAACACGAGGTCAAGAGATTGAGACCATCCTGGCCAACATGGTGAAACCACGTCTCTACTAATAATACAAAATTAGCTGGGCATGGTGGCGCGTGCCTGTAATCCCAGCTACATGGGAGGTTGTGGCAGGAGAATCGCTTGAACCAAGGTTGCAGCGAGCTGAGATCACGCCACTACACTCCAGCCTGGATGACAAGAGTGAGACTCCATCTCAAACAACAACAACAATAACAAACAACAAAAAACAAAAAACAACAACAAAAAATTATACATATTTTAAAGAACTAAATAGGAAGAAAAAGGCAAACAATCTTTTAGATTTACCCAGCTATTTACTGTTCGTGTTGTTCTTCATTCATTCCTAAAGTTCCAGGTTTCACCTAGTATTATTTTGCTTCAGTCTGAAGAACTTCCTTGCACATTTCTTTTAGTTAGCTATGAGTTTTCTTAGTTTTCCTTCATCTGAGAATATCTTTGTTTCTCCTTCATGCCTGAGGATATTTTTGCTGGATGTGGAGTGCTGGCTTGACAGTTTTGTCATAATTTTACAGATGTTATTCCACTGTCTTCTGGCTTCTGTGGTTTCTGATGAGAAGTCCAACATCATTGTTAACATCATCGTTCTCCTGTATATAATGTGTCATTTTTCCTTAGCTGCTTTTAAGATTTTTTTCATTACATTTAGTGTTTAGTAGTTTGATTATAATGTGTTTGGGTGCGCTTTTCTCTGAGTTTATTCTATTTTGGGTTCGCTGAACTTCTTAAATCTGCAAGTTGATGTCTTTTTCTCCAAGTTTGGGAAGTTTTCAGTCATTATCTTCAAATGTTTTTTTCCATACCAATATCTTTATAGGACTCCAGTGTTATCAGTGTTAGACTTTTGATATAGTCCCATGAGTCCCTGAAGTTCTATTCAGTTTTTTTCCGATCTTTTTTCTCTTTGTTCTTCAAATTGGATAACTTCTATTAATCTGTCTTTAGGTTCACTTACTCTTTTCTCTGTCATCTTCATTCTGCTATTGAACCCATCCAGTAAATTTTATTTTACGTATGTATTTATTTTGAGACAGGGTCTCACTCTGTTACCCAGGCTGGAATGCAGTGGCACAATCTTGACTCACTGCAACTTCCACCTCCCAGGCTCAAGTGATCTTCCCACCTCAGCCACCTGAGTAGCTGGGACCACAGTTACGTGTCACCATGCCTAGCTAATTTTTTGTATTTTTGGTAGAGACCATGTTGCCCAGGCTGGTTTTGAACTCCTGACCTCAAGTGATACATACGCTTGCCTCAGCCTCCCAAAGAGCCGGGATTACAGGTGTGAGCCACCATATCCGGCCCCATCCAGTAAATTTTAAATTTCAGATATTGTATGTTTCAATACTAAATTTTCTATTTTCTTTTTTAATGATCTTTCCACTTACTTTACTTAACATGTGTTTTCCTTTACCTCATGAAGCTTATAGTATCTATTTTAAAGTCTTTATTTGACAATGTCACCAGGTGTGTCATCTTGGGGTTGACCTTTGCTAACTGTCTGTTCTCTTAAGAACTGGTCACGGCCAGGCACGGTGACTCACACCTGTAATCCCAGCACTTTGGGAGGCTGAGGCGGGCAGATCACAAGGTCAGGATATCGAGACCATCCTGGCTAACACGTGAAACCCCGTCTCTACTACAAATACAAAAAATTAGCCTGGCATTCAGAGGGGACAGCGTGCTGGCAGCCCTCGCAGCCCTCGCTCACTCTTGGCACCTCCTTGGCCTCTGAGACCACTCTGGCCATGCTCCAGGAGCCCTTCAGCCTGCCACTGCGCTGTGGGGGCCCCCCTCTGGGCTGGTTGAGGCCAGAGCCGGCTCCCTCAGCTTGCCGGGAGGTGTGGAGGGAGAGGAGCGGGTGGGAACCAGGGCTGCGTGTGGCGCTTGCAGGCCAGCTAGAGTTCCGGATGGGCGTGGGCTTGGCGGGCCCTGCACTCAGAGCGGCCCTGGGCAGTGGGGCCAGCAGCTGCGGAGGGTGCACTGGGTCCCCCAGCAGTGCCTGCGCTCGATTTCTCGCCGGGCCTTAGCTGCCTCCCCGCGGGGCAGGGCTCGGGATGTGGGCTCCTGCGCAGCCCGAGCCTCCCTGAGCGAGTGCCACTCCCTGCTCCACAGCGCCCGATCCCATCCACCGCCCAAGGGCTGAGGAGTGCAGGCCACGGCCCAGGACTGGCAGGCAGCTCCACCTGCGGCCCAGTGCGGGATCCACTGGATGAAGCCAGCAGGGCTCCTGAGTCTAGTGGGGACTTGGAGAACCTTTAGGTCTAGCTAAGGGATTGTCAACACACCAATCAGCACACTGTGCCTAGCTCCGGATTTGTGGATGCATCAATGGCACTCTGTATCTAGCTAATCTGGTGGACACTTGGAGAATCTTTATGTCTAGCTAAGGGACTGTGAATACACCAATCGGCACTCTGTATCTAGCGCAAGGTTTGTAAATGCACCAATCAGCACCCTGCGTCTAGCTCAAGGTTTGTAAATGCACCAATCTGTGGGTGCTCTGTGTCTAGCTGATCTGGTGGGGACTTGGAGAACCTTTATGTCTAGCTAAGGGATTCTAAACGCACCAATCAGCACCTTGTCAAAATGGACCAATCAGCTCTCTGTAAAACAGACCAATCGGCTCTCTATAAAATTGACCAATCAGTAGGCTGTGGGTGGGGCCAGATAAGACAATAAAACCAGGCTGCCCAAGTTCCCAGTGGAAACCTGGTCGGGTGTCCTTCTACACTGTGGTAGCTTTGTTCTTTTGCTTTTTGTGATAAATGTTGCTACTGCTCATTCTCTGGGTCCACACTGCCTTTATGAGCTGTAACACTCACTGCAAGGTCTCCAGCTTCACTCCTAAAGTCAGCGAGACCACGAACCCACGGGGAGGAATGAACAACTCCAGACCGGCTGCCTTAAGAGCTGTAACACTCAAGGTGAAGGTGTGTAGCTTCATCCCTGAGCCAGCGAGACCACGAACCCACCCAGAAGGAAGAAACTGAACACATCAGGAGGAACAAACTCCGGACATGCCGCCTTTAAGAACTGTAACACTCACCAGGAGGGTCTGCGGCTTCATTCTTGAAGTCAGTGAGAGCAAGAATCCACCAATTCCGGACATAAGATGGCGGCAGGCGCCTGTAGTCCCAGGTACTGTGGAGGCTGAGGCAGGAGAATGGCGTGAACCCGGGAAGCGGAGCTTGCAGTGAGCCTAGATTGCTGCACTGCACTCCAGCCTGCGTGACAGAGCGAGACTGTCTCAGGGAAAAAAAAAAAAAAGAACTGGTCACATTTTTCTGGTTTTTTGTTGAGTAAGTTTGAATTGTATTCTGGACTTTTCGAATATCAAATTGTGTGGATATAAGTCCTATCAAAATTCTCTAGGGGATGTTATTATTACTTTATCATTTTAGCAGGCAATCACTCCAGTAAGCTTCAGACGGCATGTTTTAAAAATCACTTTCTGTGGGCAGTGTTCCAATCTCAGTTCAGTTTTCAAAGTGTAGTGAATGCTGCTTTGGGTCTGTTCAACACACATACTTCTAAGAAGTTAGTCTGAGACTTGGGTGGTGGTTTACATATTAGTTCAATTCTCAAACCTTTGCTATGTTGTCTTAGGTCTAGTCCCATGCATATGCACCTCAAAGGTAAACATGGATTTGTATAGTTTCTTATATATTATTAAGACATCCTGTTCTCCGGTACACTTCTCTCCAGGATTCCTTCTACACTCTGTCCCATGGAGATCCCTTTTTCCAGTTCTGTGCAGAAAGATAAGGTTTCTTTTAAAAGTGTTAATTGCCTGGATCACTGCTACTAAGAAGTTCTGCACTTGAGGCCTGCCCTTGGGGCACAGCCACAGGAGAAAAGGGGGAAAAATGAGAAGTCATTCTCATATGTGTTGCTTCTTCAAGTTTTGACTCCACATCACTATTTGCCTGTTTTACTTTCAAGAGTCCTCAGATTTTTTTTAAATTTTGTCCAGAGTTTTTAGTTATAATCAGCAGAAGATATAGGTCATAGTGGATGTGCTCCATTTTGATCCGAATAGGAAGTCACATCCTGATATTTGATGTAAGAAAAAATTTTGGCAGGGCCTGATGGTTCATGCTTGTAATCCTAGCACTTTGGAATGCTGGGGCACGCGGATTGTCTGAGCTCAGGAGTTCGAGACCAGCCTGGGCAATATGGTGTAAACCCATCTCTACAGAAAGAAAAAAAAAATCATTAGCCGGGTATGGTGGTGTGTGCCTATGGTCCCAGTTGCTCGGGAGGCTTAGGCGGGAGGATGGTTTGAGCCCAGGAGGTGGAGGTCACAGTGAGTTGAGATTGTGCCACTGCTCTCCAGCCTGGGTTACAAAGTCAGACCCTGTTTCGAAAAAGAAAAAAAATTTTTTTGAGAATATTTGTAAGGATGTATGAAATTCATATAATGGAAGGATGAAGTCTTGGAGATCACATAGTCCAGTGGAACTCCCTCAATAGTTGCCTAGGGTAGGAGGGGGGTAAGAGTGCTAAGTATAGACAATATTCATCAAGTGTATTCTTAAAACAACTGACTGAAGTCAGAACTCAAGCATTCCAGTTATGTTGAGATCTTGATGTCTTTTCTCATACTCTTCTTTAGTGGGTAGCCTTGCACAAACACCCTCCAATGATGTCTAGGATCATCGTTTAGACATTTTGCTACTCAAAGCTCTAGGCATTCCACAGAGCAGTTTCAGGGCCAAAAGCAGTGGTGTGTGGGTGGACTTGTGTTATTAGTGCCTGCTTCAATTAGAGCAGCCCACTTTGATCTCTTTTTCATATTGGACTGCAAGATGTTATAACACGATTTACAGTGGTAAACAAAACATGACAAATCATAGAAAACCACCAGTTTACAGTAAAGAGCCTGGGATTGGATTGATCAGCAGTAGCAGTATATGATGTTGCTTTCCATTTCTTCTCTGATGCTTGTAAAACAGCTGACACACTAGATAGGAAGTAGTGACAACTCTTCAGGGATTGCCTGGGACACTAGGGGAGGTTTAGAGCAGACAACGTTTCTGTTCCCTTGCATTTAAAGCACTTGTCTGTATGCTGGAAAATGCAACATTAGCTGTCATCGGCTTCTGTGTATCACTCCCTTACTACCAGAGTAAACCAGTTCTGCTTGATGACCTAAAGCTATCAAACCAAGATGATACTAATTTTACCTTTTTGGAGAGTATTTGCTTTTTATAAGAAACTCCTGAGAATGGTAAATTCTTTACAACACAAAGAAATTGAATACTTGCATTTAAGGTATCAGGCTAGTGGAAGAAGAGACTCTTCCTTGGTTATCTTATAACACACAGGTTATATAAAGTTAAACAATCCTGGACCCATCTGTTAGGGCTAGGGTGGTGGCTGAGTATTAATTACACCTAATAGTTATCCCAAGCTTCCGATAAATTCTCATAAAGTAGTACCAAAAAATGAAAATGCACGACACACAACAACCTGTGAAACAAAAGATAAAAGTCAAACATAGAGGAGAAACCTAGAAGTATTTCTATTAAACTCTTAGTAGAGCCAAATTAAGAAACAGAAGTGCATAGTGATGCACACAGCACCTTTTTTTTTTTTCTGTTTGTTTTTTTGTTTTTGTTTTTTGAGACAGGGTCTTGCTGTGTTACCCAGGTTGGAGTGCAGTGGCATAATCATAGCTCACTGCAGCCTTGACCTCCCAGGTTCAAGCGATCCTCCCATCTCAGCCTGCTGAGTAGCTGGGACCACAGGCATGTGCCAGTGCACCCAGCTAATTTTTTTTGTTGTTGTCTTTTTTGTAGACGAAGGGTTTTGCCACGTTGCCCAGGCTCGATCTCCTGAGCTTAAGCAATCCACCCACCTCGGCCTCCCAAAGTGTTGGAATTACAGGCATGATCCACCATGCCTGGCCTCATATAGCATTTTTTGAATTAGGAAAACACAGCTGGAAAATAGGTAAAAATAATTGTTTCATATCTCCCCTCACTTCCCCTGAGTGCCCAGAGTTTGGGAACACAGAGCTTCGTTAATGAGAAGGCTAGGCAGCCATGGCTTTCACCGTGTGAAAACTGATTTCTGAATGGTCAGAGTGTCCCATCCTGTCATTAACAGCCCCTTTTAGCCAATTCAGGTTCAATAATTCCCAGTGCATAATAGGCTAGGATAAAGAGAATGGAGATCTTGAGATACGAAGTCCTCTCAAAGGTAAAGAATTTCAGGTGGGGTAAATGTAGAGGAACCATAAAGGTGGTGCAATCTGGGGAAGAGTTAGAGTTTTCATTCACCACTCAATGGCATTAAAGGATAAATATGCTTAAACTTCTACACTTCTCTAGGTTAAACATCCTCTTCCTAATATAGAATTAGGAAGAGACTATTTCATTTCAAAAAAATGACACAAGATAAATGCTCGTTAAGCAATAAAAACTGGCTTTGCATGTCAAATCACGAAGTATTAGAGAAGCGTCCATCAGTACCTAAGTTATTATTATTATTATTATTATTTTTTTTTTTGAGACAGAGTCTTGCTATGTCACCTAGGCTGCAGTGAAGTGGCACAGCCTCAGCTCACTGCAACCTCTGCCTCCTGGGTTCAAGTGATTCTCACGCCTCAGCTTCCCGAGTAGCTGGGACTACAGGTGTGCGCCACCACACCCAGCTAATTTTTTATTTATTTTTTATTTTTTAGTAGAGATGGGGTTTTGCCATGTTCCCCAGGCTGGTGTCAAACTCCTGAGCTCAGGCAATCCACCTGCCTCAGCCTCCCAAAGTGCTAGGATTACAGGCATAGGACACCGCACTTGGCCAGTACATAAGTTAGATGTACTAAATAGCAAAACTCTGTACCTTCTCTGTTTCCAAACTCTGGGCCTAGATATTTTCCCTCCAATTTGAAGATGAGAAAATAAGGGAAAAATAGTGGAGCCTAAGGAAAAAAGATCTTAGTATAAGACAGCTCTTCTAGGAACTCAGAAAAGTCTTCATCTAATACTGATTTTCTACAGGCAGAGGAAGAAATTTTAGAAAGATTGTTTATTTTAAAACAAAACCTGTATGTTGACTGACAGGTGAATGGGTACACAAAATGTACTATATACACATAATGGAATATTATTCAGCCTTTAAAAAGGAATGAAATTCTTATATATGCTCCATTGTAGGTGAAACATGAAGACACTATGCTAAGTGAAATAAGCCAGCCACAAAAGGACACATATTGTATGACTGCATTTACATGAGCTGCCTAAAATAGTTAAATTCATAGACAGAAAGTAGAATAGTGGTTGTTAAGGGTTGTGGGGAGAGAAGAATTGGGGAGTTGTTGTTTAACGGGAATAGAGCTTCAGTTTGGAAAGATGGAAAAGTTCTGGAGATGAATGGTGATGATGGTTGTACAACAATGTAAATGTATTTAATGCCTCTGAATTGTACACTGAAAAATAGTTAAAATGGCATATTTTATGTTAAGTACATTTTACCACAATAAAAAATGCAAAAAAAAACTATGAAAAACCAAAGAAGTCACAAAAAAGTATATACTGTATTATTTCATTTCCATGAAGTTCAAAACCAGGTAGAACGAATCTATGGTGATAGAAATCAGAATATTGATTACTTTTGATGGGTAAGGTTTGTGGGAAGGGAAAGTGAGGAAATATTCGGGAGTATTGAAAGTGTCCTGGCCGGGCGAGGTGGTTCACACCTGTAATCCTAGCTCTTCGGGAGGCTGAGGCGGGTGGATCACGAGGTCAGGAGCTCGAGACCATCCTGGCTAACACAGTGAAACCCCGTCTCTATTAAAAATACAAAAAAATTAGCCGGGAGTGGTGGCGGGCGCCTGTAGTCCCAGCCACTCAGGAGGCTGAGGCAGGAGAATGGCGTGAACCCGGGAGGCAGAGGTTGCAGTGAGCCGAGATTGCACCACTGCACTCCAGCCTGGGCGACAGAGCGAGGCTCCGTCTCAAAAAAAGAAAGTGTCCTATATCTTGACTGGGGTAGTGTTCACCCAGGTGTATACATATATAAAAGTCCATTGAGTTGTATACTCAATTTGTATGTTTTACTAAATATACATTATATTTGTATATATTATATACAGTGTATTATATATAGTATATCAGATATTATATCTAATTGTATATATTATATCTGCACCTATGAAATACAAACAGGCTATTAAAAAGAGAGAAAAGTCTAGGCCAGGTGCAGTGGCTCATGCCTGTAATCCCAGCACTTTGCGAGGCCAAGGCAGGTGGATCACGAGGTCAGCAGATCGAGACCATCCTGGCCAACATGGTGAAACCCTGTCTCTACTAAAAATACAAAAATTAGCCGGGCATGGTGGCGTTTGCTGTAGTCCCAGCTACTCAGGAGGATGAGGCAGGATAATTGCTTGAACCCAGGAGGCGGAGGTTGCAGGGAGCCCAGATTGCACCACTGCACTCCAATCTGGGTGACAGAGCGAGACTCCGTCTCAAAAAAAAAAAAAAAAAAAAAAGCAGTCTAAGATGAGATGAAAACAGATTGAGATTCAAAACAAACCAAAACAAAAAAAAACAGGCTATAAAAGCCTTCAAGGAAATCAAAAATTTAAAAGGCAGTAATTCTTTGAGAGGCTGCAGCAGGAGGATCACTTGAGGTCAGGAATTTGAGACCAGCCTGGGCAACATAGCAAGATCTTGTCTCTACAAAAAATTCAAAAAAAAACCCAAAAATAATTAGCCAGGTATGGTGGTGTGTGCCTGTAATCCCTGCTACTCCAGAGGTTGAGGTGGGAAGATTGTTAGAGCCCAGGAATTTGAGGCTGCAGTGAGCTATCATCACACCACTGCACTCCAACCTAGATGACAACATGAGACTCTGTCTCTAAAAAAATTTTTTAAAATAGAAATTAAAATGCAGTGACTCAACATCCATTTTGGGAACAGTTTATAGCAGACTTACAGATCAAATCATGAAGTACTAGAGATTTACTAATAGGTAAAAATAATTTCTCAGTGCAGAAAATTAAATTCATGTTTCAGAAGACAAACTTTGAAGTCTTCCCAGAATGCAGAATAAAAGAAAGAAAAATAAAAACAGATGAGGACAGAGATAAGACTGTGAGTATTGATAATTGATGTTCCAAAAGAAGAAAACAAAATAAATGGGGCATAATCAATAAACTAATATATGAGAAGAAAATTTTACTGAGGAGAAAAAACCGAGTCAAAGAGTTCTCTCTTTTAGAAAAACATTATGGGAGATGCACCTCTGGGATTATACCAGTCAAGTTTTTGAATTTCAGAAATACACAAAGAATCTTACGAGAGCTAAGCTGGAAAACATTGCCTATAAAGTAGCAAAGCGCAGATTGTTTTTTAACTTTTTCTCAGTGGCACTGAGTCTAAAAAAGAAAATGGAGCAAATGTAATGAATTTTGAGAAAACTCTATCTACCCATGTTGTCACTGATGTGAAGACAATAGGCATTCTTACCCAAGCAAGATTTCACCTAAGTATTTTTCATTTTAAAATTATTTAAAGTTTTACTTTAGGTTGCCCAAAATGAGTCAAAATTAAAACTCAAGAAAACAGATTCTCTAGGACTAGAAATAAACATGGGAATTAAACATACAGAAAGAAATCTAAACATTAATCATAGTTTAGGTACAAATCTGAATTAGTATTGTAAAACTTGGAAAAAAAGGTTATAGTGTTTTTAAAAGAGAGAAAGATAAAGTTTGAGGCAGCAAATGTGCCAAGTTTCTCATCCAAATAGAAAGTTAGAAAGTTATCATTTTATTTTTAAATTTATGATCAGAGAAATGTGTGGTCAACATTGCTTATGTTTCAAGGTAATTATTAGTAAACTAACAAGAATTTTTTAATCCGAAATCCAAATCATTGCAGAAGCAAGAGGAAAATAAGGTCAAGGTTATAGAGCAAATTATAGAAAGCAAAAACAACAATTAAGAAGAAATTTTAAAAAAAAAAATGAGGGCAGGTATAGTGACTCATGCCTGTAATCCCAGCACTTCGGGAGGCCAAGGTGGGAGGATCGCTTGAGCCCAGGAGTTCAAGACCAACTTGGGCAACAAAGTGAGACTCCCTTGACCCCACCTTACCCTCTCTACAAAAAAATGGAAAAAAATTAGCCCATCGTGGTGGCAAGTGCCTGTAATCCCAGCTACTCTTGAGGCTGAGGCAGGAGGATTGCTTGAGTTCCAGACTAGCCTGGGCAACAAGTGAGAATCCATCTCTACAAAAAATAGAAAAAATTAGCTCAGTGGGCTGGCTGGACCCCTGTAGTCTGGATCACTTGAGCCCAGGAGTTTGAAGTTGCAGTGAGCTATGATCGCCCTACTGCATTCCAGCCTGGGCAACACAGTGAGACCCTGTCTAAAAAATATATGTATATATGGATATGATTGTGTACCTATGGGAAGAATAAAAGAAACTGAACAGCCATTTCCTTTTGTGAAAGGAACTAAGTGGCTTATGGAGGCTTTATTTATTTTTATGGCTGCCTTCCATTTATGAAAAATTATGTTTTTTCATCTTCCATAATGGTATAACGTTTTTAAGTCAAAAAATTATACAATTAATGGAGGAAGAATTATAATAATACTTTTCATTGTATACCCCATTGTCTCTTTTAAATTTGTGTGATCATATACATATACTAATTGTTTGAATAAGGATAGTATAAAATTTTCAGAATATGGATTGCAACAAGAGATACTTCTCAATCTCTGTTAAACTCACTGTATGTGTATGATGCTGAAGTTGTATTTGGCTTATATGTAGAGAAAAGTAGAAAAAGTTGGTTTTAAGGACATGGGGAAAAGAATAAAGTAGACGTAGTTGAAAAGATGGAAACCATTTAGGCCTGAAAATTCGAAGAACATGCTTGTTCATCGGAGCTTCTCATCTCCTGGTTTTAGTTCCTGGCGGTGCCCAGCTATACTTTCTGCTGTTGCTTAAATTGGCTTAAGTTGGTTTCTGTTTCCTGCAATAACCACATCAAAATACCTAAAACCTTGGTGATACAGTTGTAAATAGGAAAATCCTAAATAAACCGTTCAAAAGTAGCAGTACATTGGGATGAATGTGTGTGTATTTATCTCTAGAACTATGAGGGTAACATAATATTACCCTTGTAACATAATATTAGAAATTTTCTTTCTTTTTTTCTTTTTAAGATGGAGTCTCTGTCACCTAGGCTGGAGTACAGTGGTGCAATCTTGGCTCACTGCAACCTCTGCCTCCCAGGTTCAAACAATTCTCCTACCTCAGCCTCCCAAGTAGCTGAGATTCAGGCACATACCACCACACCTGGCTAATTTTTTTGTATTTTTGGTAGAGACAGGGTTTCACCCTGTTGGCCAGGCTGGTGTCAAACTCCTGGCCTCAGGTGATTCAGCCGGCCTCGGCCCCCCAAAATGCTGGAATTATAAGTGTGAGCCACTGTGCCTGGCCTGGAACTTTCTTTATATGATACATATGTCAATCATTAGCTATATAATAACTTCAACATATACCAAAAAAGCAATTGATAAAATATTAAACAAATTCCTAATGAAGCTTCAAAAGCAGATTGGATAGATAATTTTAGATGGGACTCAGCATAGTTTTAACTGTAGTGATAACATTATTCTATGTCAATTATCTTCGTAGTCTAATTACTTCCGAAGAAAGTTTGAGTTTGGTGCACTAGTATACAGTCTTAACACTTTCCTAACACTTCCTAATGTCCTTTTTTTTTTTTTTCCACTGAGCAGTTGGCATTAGGCTCAGTGCCTTTTTTGTTGTTGTTGTTGAGACAGGGTCTCACTCTGTTGCTCAGGCTCGAGTGCAGTGGTGCAATCATGGCTCACTGCAGTCTACTTCCCAGGCTTAGGTGATCCTCCCACCTCAGCCTCCCAAGTGGCGGGGGCTACAGGTGCTCGCCACCATGCCTGGCTAATTTTTTATATTTTTTTGTAGAGATGGAGTTTCGCCATGTTGTGCAGGCTGGTCTCAAACTCCTGGCCTCAAGTGATCTGCCCGCCGGGGTCTCCCAAAGTGCTGCGATTACAGGCATGAGTCATGGCACTCAACCAAGCTCAAAGCCTTAAGCAAGGAATAGTAATAGAATGTTACAACATTGTTTTTGTGTTATTTTATTTATTTTTATGGTTGCCTTCCATTTATAGAAAATGATTATGTTTTTCCATCTTCCATAATGGTGTAAAGCTTCCTTTTTAGTGGAATTTAAATCTAAAAAAATTACACAGTTAAAGAAAAACATTAGGTAAATAAAATCATATGTTGTAGTAGATATGATGTTAGTATTTAACTGATGTCCATACATCAGTGAATAGAAATACAGTCTTTACATGATAGCGAGTATTTATTTTAAATCAAAACTTAACATATGCTTAAATATGAGTTGTTTCTGAGGAAAACTGACAAAAGACAAGGATATCTGTTGTCTGTCTCTACTGCTGTAGTTAAAGCACTGAGACCTGAAATAGATGTGAGGTATGATTACTGGTAAGAAAGAAACCAAACCAAATGTGTAAACATTATTTAGTATGTCTAACACATGATATTTTGTCAAATTTAAGATTTTTTTTTTCACATTTTAGACTCCCTGAAATTGAGATACATCTCAAAAATGATAGCTTGTTAGTGTCCTTTCCTTTGGTGGTATGTAAAATAATTATATATCTTATAATTGATATTGTTTTACATTAAAATATGGTAGTTATCAATAAACCCTTAAAAATTTCAAAATGAGAAAATTTTGTAGACACAATAAGTTCAATAAAATGGCTGGGTAAGAGATGCTAAATATATCATAATCAATAATAGTGAAATAATCAAAATAAAAGTCCTTTTCAGAATGACAGCAAGATTTTTAGAATATCCAGAAATAATCTCAGTGAAAAATCTGTGTGGTCCAGGTGATAACATCTATAACATTTTGTTAAAAAATATTTTTAAACATTTTTGGGCTGGGTGTGGTGGCTCATGCCTGTAATCCTAGCACTTTGGGAAACTGAGGCAGGCAGATTGCTTGAGCCCAGGAGTTTGAGACCAGCCTGAGTAACATAGCAAAATTCTGTCTCTACAAAAGAATACAAAAATTAGCTGGGTGTGGTAGCAGGCACCTGTGGTCCTAGCTACTCAGGAGGCTGAAGTGGGAGGATCACCTGAGCCCAGGAGGTCGAGGCTATGGTGAACAGTGATTGTGCCACTGCACTACAGCCTGGGTGACAGAGTGAGACCCTGTCTGAAATAAAAATAATTTTTTTGAATAAAAGTTACCAATTATTGATTGGGAATAGCATAAATATTTCTTTTCAAATTAAATTATAATTTAAAATATTTTCAGTTAAAATGGCAGTGGAATGGGGGTACAGTGAGGAAGAACTTGAAAACTTATTCCAAAATTCGTATGTAAGAATAACAAGTTAAAATAACTTTTTAAAGAAGAAAAGTAACAAAAGAAGACTAGATTTTCTGGGCTATCAAAACACACCATATGACTATAGTTATATTACTATACTAGTAGAATAAATATATTTACAATGAAATAGAAGAGAGCAGGAATATAGTTACACATAATTCATCCTTGTTAATGAAAGTATCACAATGAATCATTAAGACAAACTTATTTAATAGATGGTATTAATAGAATTGTTTAGCAATTTGAAAAAGTACAACAGATTCTCACCTTCTTTAATACATCAAAATATATTCACTTATAATTAAAAATAAAATATGGAAAACCAAGCCATGGTGGGAGAGTGCGGGGACAAAAGTAAATAGAAATAAAAATATATTAAGCCTTTGGAAAGTGGAAGGACTTTTTTTTTTTTTTTTTTTTTAGACGGAGTCTTGCTCTGTCGGCAGTCTGGAGGGCAGTGGCGGCAATATCGGCTCACTGCAAGCTCCGCCTCCCGGGTTCAAGCGATTCTCCTGCCTCAGCCTCCCGAGTCGCTGGGACTACAGGCATGCGCCACCGCACCTGGCTAATTTTTTGTATTTTTAGTAGAGACGGGGTTCACCATGTTGGTCAGGCTGGTCTCGAACTCCTGACCTCAGGTGATCCGCCTGCCTCGGCCTCCCAAAGTGTTGGGATTACAGGCGTGAGCCTCTGCGCCTGGCCGGAAAGTGGAAGGACTTTCTAAACATAAAAACAGCAAAAGAAATGCTCACTTGGGCAGCACATATACTGTAATTGAAAGATACAGAGATTAGCATGGCTCCTGTGCAAGAATGACACACAAATTAAATTGTTTAAAAAAGTAAACGTTTTGGTTGTCAAAAATATACTCAGAATTTAAAAATAAATAAAAAAATTGGTAAGAATGTGCAATTGATAAAGGTTAGTATTGTATTTATATTCATACAAATCAATAAGAAAAATTCTGAGTCAATTGATGAATAGGCACAGAATGTAAATTAATGCAAAAAAAACAAAAACAACTAATTGACAAACATATGGAACACATATCCAACCTCATAATAATCAATGATATGCAAATCAATAGAACAATGAGCTCAGATGTAAATAGTAACACACCCAGTGCTGAGGAAAAAATAAAAGGCGCGAAGGCTAGGCGTGGTGGCTCACACCTGTAATTCCAGCACTTTGGGATGCTCAGGCAGGCGGATCACCTGAGCTCAGGAGTTCGAGACTAGCCTGGCCAATGTGGGGAAACCCTGTCTCTACTAAAAATACAAAAAATTAGCCAGGCTTGATGATGCGCCCTGTAGTCCCAGCGACTCAGGAGGCTGAGGCAGGAGAATTGCTTGAATCCAGGAGATGGAGGTTGCAGTGAGCAGAGATCGGCCACTGCACTCCAGCCTGGGCAACAGAGTGAGACTCTATCTCAAAAAAATAAAAAATAAATAATAAATAAAAATAAATAAGAAGGCATGCAACTACTAATAGTGGGAGCATAAACTTGTATTACCAAATTAAAACAAACAAACAAACAAAAAACTCCCTTCCTTTTGGCCGGAACCGCCATTTTCTAGTAATTCGCCAAAATGACGAACACAAAGGGAAAGAGGAGAGGCACCCGATATATGTTCTCTAGGCCTTTTAGAAAACATGGAGTTGTTCCTTTGGCCACGTATATGCAAATCTATAAGAAAGGTGACATTGTAGACATCAAGGGAATGTGTACTGTCCAAAAAGGAATGCCCCACAAGTGTTACCTTGGCAAAACTGGAAGAGTCTACAATGTTCCCCAGCATGCTGTTGGCATTGTTAACAAACAAGTTAAGGGCAAGATTCTTGCCAAGAGAATTAATGTGCGTATTGAGCACATTAAGCACTCTATGAGCTGAGATAGCTTCCTGAAACGCGTGAAAGAAAATGATCAGAAAAAGAAAGAAGCCAAAGAGAAAGGCACCTGGGTTCAACTGAAGCCCCAGCCTGCTCTACCCAGAGAAGCACACTGTGTGAGAACCAATGGGAAGCAGCCTGAGCTGCTGGAACCTATTCCCTATGAATACATGGCATCATAGGTGTTAAAAAAATAAATGATCTCTGGACTGTAAAAATGTTTCTCTTCATTGAGTAGAAGTGTGGTCTCCTCTCCCCAAAAGAAATATTTAAAGCAAATTTTAATTGTGTCCTAATTCATTATGTAATGTCTTCAGTATGCAAATTTAATGTATTTCTTATTGAAATATGTGAGGTAGCTTATTGTGCAACAAATTACTGAATTCTTAGAAAAAGTCCAGGCATTATGTGTGAAATATTTGTACTGGTTTGAAGATAGTCCCTCTAAATCATCAAGGAAGAGATAAAATTATTTACAAAAAAAACCCAACTTTATGTACAAAGATGTTTATAGTAGCATTATTTATAGATGAACAGAGTAATGGTTAAGCAAACTATGGTAAATTTCTAGAATGGAATATTATGCAGGTTTCAAAAGTTACAATTAGAGTAAATATAAGACTGTACGCTGTAAAAATGTATACAATAATTATACATATAGCATATAAAATGAACAAACAATTGCAGAGGGAGAAAAAAGATGAAAAGGGAAACTCCAAAAACATCAACAGTGATGGTAATTGGGTGGTGGGAATATGGGTGATTTTTGTTCTCTGCTTACTTTTCCATATTTTCCAAAATTTTAAAAATAAGCATGAACTATTTTTACAATGAAAAGAAAAACATGATTATTGCTTTTAACGTCCTAGCCTATGCCCTAGGGAATGTATGAAGCAGCAATGACAAGAACACATAAACAAAAACAAATGTATAAATTCAACTAGCAGAGTATTTACACTGCAAATTAAAAGGGGTAAAGTGTATGAGTTATCATGGCTATTAAGAAAGAACACAGAGAGTGTAAGGGTAACATTTATATAAATATGGGTGGGCATAAGGAATCAGTGTCTCTCTTCCAGTTAGAGAGATTTTTAGGGAGGAGGTTACATTTCAGGAGGTATTTGAATGATAGAAGGGAGGGGAAAACAGTGAAATGTCAGAAACATTTTTCTGTTTCCAAGTGTTTGGTATGGAAGTCTGAAAGTTGGGACTGAGATGAGTGATAAAAGTTATGACAAATAAAAAAGAGAAGTAGATATTGAGTGACGAGCCCGTCACTGCCAAAAAAAGGCAAGTCACCAGTTTAGGAACATTAAAGAGGAAGATGTCAGAACCTAAAAAGCAATAGGACAGAAAGTACACTTGGTCTTGGAACTCAGTGGAGTGGTGCTGGGTGGGAGGGGGAAATCTGGATAGGAAGCTGTTACAAAAAAATGAGAAAGAGTATGTAACCAGCTATGTGTAACTCCTTGATCTGGGCTTCCTTCTCTTATTATGGCCACATACCAACTATCTCAGAAATTCCACAAACATAACAGCCCCCACCCTTAGAATAAATTGTAATATCAGCCATTTGCATGCTCGGGGTTGTGAGTTTGATAACAGTAGTGTTATCAAAATGGCAATGGCATCAAGCAGGGAAGTAATTGTTTTACAAAAATCCTTTTCCCTCTATTTCTTCATTCTGTTTCTAGGGTCAGTGCAAGTATTTTTGCAGTTGAATGGAATAGCAGCTTCTAAGAAATAAAAAACAGATGTTAGAGGAAGGCATTCCAGGGTGAGTCAGGAGAAGTCTTAAGGGTACTCTGTGCTCACAGCTTGCCCTACACTTTTCCTTGCTGTAATCTTGATAGATGCCTACATCCCCAACTCTGCGTAGGCAGCATCAAGGCCATAGTAGATCTAAAAATGTCAAAATACATTTACTCCCACGCCTGAATGTCTTGTGGAAAGAAAAGCTTGACTGATCTCAAAAGGAGTACTCTTAGGTAAAGGAACATACTCTCTTGATTCGCTTTTCAGATCTAGGAAAATACACACAGATAAACTACTTATGGGTAAATATTAATCATATAAAACCAACCTGTTAAAACAGAACTGAACTTAATTTTTTACAACTTTCTGTTTACTAAAGTTGTTCAGTATCAAGTGAAGTTATTCTATGTGAATAAAAAAGGTATTGCCCTTTGGAAAGTTATATTAAACATAATAAGTATCATACTTTCTTGGAAATGTTAGCTAAAGTTTCTATAGGAACTTAGCCACATCACACTGTTAACACGTTTGTGGTATGCATTTTTGAAATAACATGCAATTTATAGCACTGAATTAGAATTGATGTGTGATCATACCTGCATTTTTGGTATGTTTTTGAAATAGAATAAACATGATTATCTTCTAAATTGAGGAAATAGAAAAACATAGGTAGAATGTGTTTATATGAGAATATGATAATTTTGTAATAACTTAAAACACCTGAAATCATTCTTTAATTTGTTTAAAAAGCTTTTACATTTCTTTTGGACAGAGTTTCCACTGAAGTGAAGATTAACATGAGTTAGTCTGTCATTCCTTTACCAAGGGTCTATTGTGGGCAGCTTCCTTTCATAGTGGGTAATATAAAGAAGTATAAAAGGCATTCCCAACATATATCTCTCTATATATTTACTTATGATTAATTCTTTTCTGAAATTCAACTGTTTTGTCTTGTATTGCTGTAAAACTATGCCAAAACCTAGTGGCTCAAAGTATCAACCATTTTATTATTTGCCCATGATTCTGCAGTATGGGCAGAGAGCTTGGAGGGATCAGCTTGTTTCTTATTCTACGTGCCATCAAAGCTTGGGGGCTGCTGGAATGGGCCAGTCTGGGGTCTCTGTTCTCAAGGTCTGTAGGATTCTTTGGTTGTCTTCCATGTGATCTGTTCATGTGGTTACTTAGCTTGGGTTTCCTCACACCATGGTGATCTCAGTTTAGTCTGACTTCCCAGAGCATAAAACTGTTAGCTGCCAGGCACCCTCAGAGCTTAGGCCTCCTGCTGGCACAGTGCTACTTTTGCTGCATTGTACTGGTTAAAGCAGGTCACAAGACCCCAGCCCGGATTCAGTGTGGGAGGGAATGCCACAAGGGTGTGAATATTGGAGACATAGTTCATTGGGGGCAATCTTTGGAGGCTAGCTAACACATCAATGTTTATTAGAGAAATTCACGAACATGATACCAAGCCTATTTCCTACCAAATGACCAAAAGCAAAGGAATGCTCAGCTTAATTGTCTTTTACTATACAGAAGTCTACACCCAAATCTTTCTGATGTTTCCATGATCTCTCCCAAATATGCCTCATTCAAATTCTTTCAGCACTGCAGTCTCTTCATTAGGTTCTAGCATGACTCTCATCTACACTAAATGTTTCCAGATGCCTGAATTCCAAAATTCAGAAAAATTAAGATATAACTAGTTTAGTCTATATATTTACAGAGAGTTGTCAACTTTGTAAATTTTTTTTAATAATTATTTTTTTCTTTTTTAGAGACAGGGTCTTGCTATGTCACCCAGGCTGGAATGCAGTGGCTTGGTCCTAGCTCACTGCAGCCATGAACTTGTGGGCTGAAGCAATCCTCCTGCCTCAGCCTCCCAAGTAGCTGGGACTATAGACACATACCACCACGCCTGGTTAATTTTAAACACGGGGATTTCGCCATGCTGCCCAGGCTGGTCTGCAACTCCTGAGCTCAAGCGATCCTCCTGCCTTGGCTTCCCAAAGAGCTAGGGTTACAGGCATGAGCCACTGCACTTGGCCAACTTCGTAATTTTTTAATTGCCAATTAAGAACATTAAAAAATGTACCATCTACTATTACTCTTGCTTCTTAAAGTATGTTTAATTTTTTAAAAAGTAACAGAATTTCATACTGAAGGGCAGCCTTAGATCTGGTTACTTTATGAAAACTTAACTATATATCTTTATTGTTCTCATTTTGCTGCAAGTCATGAAAATCCCACCAAGGACTGCCACTGGTTCCTGGACCCAGTGTTTGGGAATCCCTAGTCAGTTCGGTGTTACTGAACATTTTCAAGGCCTTCTTAAAATTTTTTTTTTATTTTTTGAGACAGGGTCTGGCTCCATTGCCCAGGCTGGAGTACAGTGACATGATCTCAGCTCACTACAACCTCTGCCTTCCAGGCTCAAGTAATTCTCCCACCTCAGCCTGCTCGGTAGCTGGGACTACAGGTGCCACCATGCCTGGTTAATTTTTGTATTCTTTTGTAGAGATAGGATTTCACCATGTTGCCCAGGCTGGTCTCCAACTCTTGAGCTCAAGTAATCTGCCTGCCTTGGCCTCCCAAAGTGCTGGTATTACAGGTGTGAGCCACCACACCCACCCTTCAAGACCCTCTTCATTCAACCTGCTAAAATCATTTCACATCTTTACCTAAGGACTGTAATCAGACTGATGATATTGCAAATTCTATAACTCCCTCATTTACATGGAATCATTTAAATCTGTGCTAATGTAAATAATCCAATTGTTAAATACTTGTCACTGTATTAGGACTAGATAGTGTTAACATAGTCATAGTTATGAATGGGGGAGTTCTGTAGTTAGATTGTCTCTGTTCCAATCAGGGTCTGAGCAAATATTAACAACATTTCTCTCTGCACTTCAGTTTCCCCATCTGTGGCATAGTTTTAAAGAGATTATGTATAAAGTGTATGGAGTAGTACCTAGCACATGGTGAGCACTCAGTATGTTTGTTATATTATTATTATATTTATACATGGTATCAGTATTTTGCACTTGCATGTAGGATTTTAACATACTTTATATTTTAAGGGTGATCTCAAATATCCACAATACTTTGGAAGAGATTAGTCACAATTAGACGATAGAATTTTAAGGTTGGAAGGGAACTTTATTTTATTTTTATTTATTTATTTTTTTGACACAGAGTCTCGATCTGTCACCCAGGCTGGAGTGTAGTGGCGCCATCTCGGCTCACTGCAACCTCCGCCTCCCGGGTTCAAGCAATTCTCCTGCCTCAGCCTCCAGAGTAGCTGGGATTACAGGTGCCTGCCACCATGCCCAGCTAATGGAAGGGAATTTTTAATATAATATGATTCCACCCTATTAAAGGTGAGGACCTCTTTATTAAAAAAAGTTGGCCTGGCGCGGTGGCTCACGCCTGTAGTCCCAGCACTTTGGGAGGCCGAAGAGGGTGGATCACGAGGTCAGGAGTTCGAGACCAGCCTGGCCAACATGGTGAAACCCCATCTCTACTAAAAATATAAAAATAGGCCAGGGCAGTGGCTCACGCCTGTAATCCCAACATTTCCGGAGGCCAAGGTGGGCGGATCACCTGAGGTCGGGAGTTCAAGACCATCCTGACCAACATGGAGAAACCCCATCTCGACTAAAAATACAAAATTAGCTGGGCATGGTGGAGCATGCCTGTAATCCCAGCTATTCGGGAGGCAGGAGAATCACTTGAATCCAGAAGGTGGAGGTTGCGGTGAGCCGCGATCGCGACATTGCACACCAGCCTGAGCAACAAGAGTGAAACTCCATCTCAAAACAAAATAAAACAAACAAAACACCAAAAATTAGCTGGGCGTGGTGGCGTGTGCCTGTAATCCCAGCTACTCCGGAGGCTGAGGCGGGAGAATCGCTTGAACCCGGGAGGCAGAGGTTGCAGTGAGCCGAGATCGTGCCACTGCACTCCAGACTGGTAGACAAGAGTGAAACTCCGCCTCGGAGAAAAAAAAAAAAGTTAATTTAGAGTCCATCTATCTTATGGCAGAAGATAACTAGATTTAGAGTCCATCTATCTTATGGCAGAAGATAACTAGTGATGTGTCACAATAATCAGAAGAGCCTTGTAGGTAAGTAAGCTATATATGGACCCCACCTATATTTCTAGTAGATATTTCTAGAAATATATGGACCCCACATATATTTCTAGTAGTTCTGCCAGGTTGGTTATCACTTCCACTTATATTTATCAGTGTCACTCATGTATTGTCTTAACTACTTGTATTTTTTCGTATGTGTCTAAATGGAAAGCAACATAATGTTCACGGTTCTCTGAGAAACAACAAAATTCCTAATACCTAAAAATGGTAATAATAATAAAAAAAAGACAAGCAGGGTTTAGGAAATTTATTTTAGGGCAACTGCCTGATTTATTTTAAGCCCTATGCTTAAAAATAAGTCTAATTCACATGACTTAAAATGCTGGAGCCAAGAAAAGTCGCTGCAAAGGCATTTAATGAAATACCTGGTTTGTCTAGTTGTCTTTGTTATGATTTTTGTATAAACCAAGAACGTCCTATCTTGATATATATAGTGGATTTTATATCTAAATATTTCTTGTATTTAATAAATTGAAAATAGAAATAGACATTTTTTCAAACAGTGTAAGATTTTCCTAACCTCTGACTCACATCGTAAGGCTGGTGGACTGTTCAGATGCTGTACGATGCTTTTTACTCCGATGCTTTTTGGTTCATCTGTAGCATTTTCCATCATGGGGTAAAAGATCCACATTTTCTATTTCTAGTGATCCTTAATTTGGCTTCTGAGCAAAAATAAAGTTTGATGAGGAATAAATTAAGGTAGATTTCCTGCTGAAACCAGTGAAGAACATAACTTTATCAGCGGGGGTGAGTGACAAGTCTTTCACCTTTCCTCACACCACAGTCAACGAAGTAACGGAACTAGGAGAAATGCCCATTATTCTCATGTCCTACATTAGTTCTGATAAAAATCACAATTAAGTTTCACTGAATGTTTTGACATTGAAACGGCAGCATTACACGTCCAGGAGAGAACTACAGTAGGGGTGTTATGAGAACTAACACGAACGACTTAAAAATATTGATTTTTTTCTACGAGATTATTTTCCTTTAAAAAAATTAAATTGAGCTTGACTTCTATTGACTGTATCTTCCGGAGTCAGTATTTTATGGCTCCCCTGACACACACGCCTGGCGTGGGAGGGCTGAGCGCTGCAGCGCTTCGGAACTTTCCCAGTGAATCGTAAATGGGTTCAACGCCGGGGCTCGCGGAGGGCTGTCCATGGAGTACCACTGAAAACCAAACGCCACTGGTGCTCAATGCTGGTACCTGCCGACGAAAAGGCTTCTTGCCTAAAAAAGAACCTATTGCCCCACCCTAACAGCAACAAGGAGAACAAGCACTCTCTCCTCGTCAGAAGTCTCTGGACTGGCTGCAACCCAGAGGAAACAGAGCTGGGGCATCTGCCGGGACAGCGATCAGAAGCAGCCAGAGCTCCGCCTCCGTCCGGACCTCCAAGGCCGCTCCAGAGCCCTGCATGGCTCCTCAGAGCCGGCCAAGGCGAGAACCTTGCCGGCAGCTGCTTACCCGCACTCGGCTCCTCCCAGCGGTCCGCCTTCTCCACCGCCTGCCCGCAAGGCCCCGCCCACCTCACCGCCCCGCCCCACCCCACCCTGCGGAGGCGACAGAGTGCGCGCGCGCGCGCGGGGTCCCGGCTGGTTCCCCTTCCGAGCGTCCGCGCCCCGCATGCGCAGTCTGCCCCGGCGGTCTCCGTTTGTTTGAACAGGAAGGCGGACATATTAGTCCCTCTCAGCCCCCCTCGCCCCACCCCCCAGGCATTCGCCGCCGCGACTCGCCCTTTCCCCGGCTGGGACCGCAGCCCCTCCCAGAAGCTCCCCCATCAGCAGCCGCCGGGACCCAACTATCGTCTTCCTCTTCGCCCGCTCTCCAGCCTTTCCTCTGCTAAGTCTCCATCGGGCATCGACCTCGCCCTGCCCCACCGGACACCGTAGCAGCAGCCCCAGCAGCGACGGGACAAAATGGGAGAGTGAGGCTGTCCTGCGTGGACCAGCTCGTGGCCGAGACTGATCGGTGCGTCGGGCCGGGCCGAGTAGAGCCGGGGACGCGGGGCTAGACCGTCTACAGCGCCTCTGAGCGGAGCGGGCCCGGCCCGTGGCCCGAGCGGCGGCCGCAGCTGGCACAGCTCCTCACCCGCCCTTTGCTTTCGCCTTTCCTCTTCTCCCTCCCTTGTTGCCCGGAGGGAGTCTCCACCCTGCTTCTCTTTCTCTACCCGCTCCTGCCCATCTCGGGACGGGGACCCCTCCATGGCGACGGCGGCCGGGGCCCGCTAGACTGAAGCACCTCGCCGGAGCGACGAGGCTGGTGGCGACGGCGCTGTCGGCTGTCGTGAGGGGCTGCCGGGTGGGATGCGACTTTGGGCGTCCGAGCGGCTGTGGGTCGCTGTTGCCCCCGGCCCGGGGTCTGGAGAGCGGAGGTCCCCTCAGTGAGGGGAAGACGGGGGAACCGGGCGCACCTGGTGACCCTGAGGTTCCGGCTCCTCCGCCCCGCGGCTGCGAACCCACCGCGGAGGAAGTTGGTTGAAATTGCTTTCCGCTGCTGGTGCTGGTAAGAGGGCATTGTCACAGCAGCAGCAACATGTCGACTGGGGACAGTTTTGAGACTCGATTTGAAAAAATGGACAACCTGCTGCGGGATCCCAAATCGGAAGTGAATTCGGATTGTTTGCTGGTGAGTAGCGCTGTTCTCTTTTGCTTGTCTGGGGTTTTGCATGTCTTTCCTTCCTCTTGCATTAGTCTGGTTCGCTGCAAAAGTCTCAGGTGTGCATAATCGTCTTGGAAAATGCTAGATTTCTGTTTCCTGAAGAATCTTGGAGTACCATTAACATCTCATGGTGTGGTCCTATTTGCCATTTGACTGGCTCTGTACTAACTACTCTGAACTTTTAATTCTGACTCAGTTCATGAGTACCCGAAAGATACTTACAAACTGCTATTGCAGGCATCCTATAAAAAGTTATCACGTCAGAGTTACTGCAATGTATACAGTTTGTTGAATGGCGATCGTAGTAATTAATGTTAATCTTTCTGATCCGTTTGACAGTTAAATTGGAAAGACTACTTTGCATTTTTTTTCCTTTTTGCGATTTAGCTCCTAGGGGTTTAGTTTTTAGCCTTGAAAATGATAACGGAGAATTGCTATTGAGGAAGTGATTTTTGAGCCAAAATTTCATAGGTGATTTGAGTTTGAAGGAACTTTTTGCTAAACTATTGTAAAAAACCAAGATAATTGGTCATAGGTAATTACAGTGTTAACTTATTTTATTGTATTATTGGTTACAAAAGTACGTACCATACAGTTATTGTAACTGTCTTTTTGGTGGTGTGGCACTTAACATTGTCACTTGTAAAACATTCTAAAGAGGGTTTTATGACATGAAAAACCACAATCCCATTTTAAAAATAGTTAAGTGGTTGATAATACAGTTATCTGTAAATAATTGGAATTCTTAGGTTTGATACATTTCCTCTGTAAATGTATCAAAGTTGTTCAGAGTTTCTGAACAACTAAGGGTTATATAATATTTCTTGGTCCAAACAAAACCACATAATCTCTAAAATAAGGTTTCAGGGAGCATGTATATGGACAGGATTTCACAATGTCTTCGGTGAAATAATGTTAGATATGCTCAATTTTGGGGATTAAGATTAAGGAAACAAAATAATACCATTCAAAGAAATAATACAATTCAAAAATCGCATCTTGAATCAAAGGAAAATTAATGTAGATTGTTTAAAATTAACGTGCATTTCAGTTACTCTAAATTTCTGTTTATTTGTATTTTTCCACGTGTATGGGTTTTACAACAAGCTTCCCAAAGCTTTCAGAATTGTTGTAAGCATCCCTGACCAGGAAATAAGACTATTGTGGGTTGTTTGAAATGTCTCACCACATTATGGATGCTCTTTATATTGAGAGATAGTAAAGAAGGTTGATGCGTAATAGATTTTAAAACATTTTATTAAACGAGATAAGTGGAAGGAATTAGAATATATCTTGTAGTAAGGATTTCTATAACTTCTAAGAAGTCTGATTTATCTTTTAATATTTATCCAGTTTTCATATATTTTTGATTTTATTTTGCTTTTCGATCTCCTTATTACATGAGTGGTGTTATAGGGAGGGTTTAGTAGCTTTCTTTTTCTTTAAATCATCTTCTGGCCTCTTGCTATAGCTTCATTTGGTGGGGACCTTTATTTACATGTGGAGGATACAAGGAAATATAAGTCATGACTCTTTCCCTGAGAGTCCAATCTATTTAATGGAAGACAAAACCTTGTCTCACATATATACACAGAAACAAAGCTAAACACTTCACAGATTGAGAAAATGTGATAAATTCCAGATGATTGTTTAGATAATGTATGTTCTTGGAAATTGAGAGAAAGAAGTCACTGTGAGTTGAGAGAGCCAAAGTATGTTTTATAATGGATGGATAGGATTTAGGTAGAGGGTACTCAAGAGGAGTGGAGGATAACGTGAATAGAGGGTGGAGACATGACTGGCTATGACATGTTTGGGGAAACAAGGAAGATAAGGTTGGAAGGAAATATTAGCGTTAGATTGTGGAGGATTTGATTGGTAGGCTAAGGATTTTGGATTGCCTTTACACTGTTGTGGCTATTAAATATTTATAAATAAGACCGTGCTAGGATGAATGAAGAAGATGAATCTGGTGTGTGGAAGATGGGTTAGCATGGGAAAAGATTGGAGAGACAGTGAGATTGGACAGTTTTTTAAAATTGTTATTATTGTAATAGTCCAGAAATGATTGAAGCCCAAAATTGGGGCATGAGAATGAGAAAAGAAGAATTAATGGAACTTTATTGGCAGGGAAAAGATGGGGAACCAAAGAGAGAGGCAATAGTCAGATGACTCTAAAGAGGTTGAGCCTGGATTATAGGGAGAATGGTAAAAATAGCAAAGTCAGGTTTGGAAATTGCTTGTGAAGAATAGGCCTACAGATAAATTCAATTTTAGATTCGTTGTGTTTGAGGGGATAGTGGAGCAATCATGAGAAAATGACCTGTAGACTGTTGGAGATACAGAACTGAGCTCATAATTACAGATAATGATTTAGAAGTCATTTGCACAAAGGTGCAAGTTGATATAATGGTAAAGGGAGAAACAATGGAGGGAAAAATGAGGGTGAAAGATGAAGGTTGAACAAAGAGGAAGAGTGGAGGAGGTAAGCCATCAAGGCCTCCAGAGTTAGGACAGCCAGGTATCATGGAGCCCAACACTTCTAAAACAACATTTTGTTAAAGAGAATAGTCAACAGACAGATTTGGTTGTTTTTTCCCCTTCAAATCTTATAATCTTGTCCTCTTTTTCTGTTTAGTTCCACAGCTGTTTATTGATAGCTGTTACTGAAATTTTATTACCCCGTCAATCTGAACTTGGTAAAGACTGAATTTTCCTTTTTTTTTTTCTGAGATGGAATCTCACTCTGTTGCCCAGGCTGGAGTGCAGTGGCGCGATCTTGGCTCACTGCAACCTCCGACTCCTGGGTTCGAGTGATTCTCCTGCCTCAGCCCCCACGAGTAGTTGGGATTACACGCGTGCACTACCACGCCTGGCTAATTTTTGTAGTTTTAGTAGAGATGGGGTTTCACCATGTTGGCCAGGCTGGTCTTGTACTCCTTACCCCAAGGAATCCGCCTGCCTTGGCCTCCCGAAGTACTGGGATTACAGGCGTGAGCCACCGTGCCTGGCCCAAGACTGAATTTCCTTTAGAGACAAAAAATCCTTTTTCTGGGTTTGTAGTATCTAGCATGAATTTTCTTCGCATGATGTTTTATGTTTAACATTGAGCATTCGTTCGTTCATTCATTCATTGTGTCATTCAGGGTGACCTATCAGGTGACTTCAGCTTTTTCAGTGAGTCTGTTCTTGTTCTTCCCTATCTGGACTTTGGACCTCTCATGTATTATAGGAACAAAACTCCTTTTACATTGGTTGCCTTTTTCTGTTATTTTGACTTTTGTTGATTTGTGTAACTGATACTTACTTATTAGTGTGTATTATGTGCCACGTGCAGTCCTTTAGTTCTAGAGTTGTTTTTGTAATCCCAAAAATAAGGTTTTCAAATTGTTTCTTCTCTACCTCCTTTACTAGATTCATGCTTAGAAATGGAAACTTCCAAATCTTTTGGTTTCAGAAATTTGCTGGTGTATGTCCTTTTAAACTACCTTACCTACTAAACAGCTTTTTTGTTGAGACACTAATGATGAATAGCATCCGTAATCTGAAATTTGAAGTGCTCAAAATCTGAAACTTTTTGAGTGCTGACATGACGCCATAAGTGGAAAATCCACCTGACCTTGTGAGATGGGTTGCAGTCAAAATGCAGTCAGAACTTTGTTTCATGCACAAAATTATTAAAATATTGCAAAAAATAACCTTCAGGTTGTTGTGTATAAGGTATGTATGAGACGTAAATGAATTTCTTATTTAGACTTGGTCCCCATCCCCAGGGTATCTTATGTATATGCAAATATTTTAAAATCTGAAAAAGTCTGCAGTCTGAAACACTTCTAGTTCCAAGCATTTTAAACAAGGGATACTCAACCTGCAGTAGTTTAGAATAATGTAGCTGGAAGAACTCTGATAAGTGGCTATCCAATCTTTTCTCGAACACCTGTAATTTTTTTCAAGAACTAAGTAAGTTCAATCTTCATATCATGTATAAATGCTAAAATAGTCTGCAAATACTAAGATACATTATGATAACCATTCACTTGTTTCCTAGAGCATTCAAATTAGTCAACTTTGGTTTTCTGTAGGTCAGATTCTTTCCAGTGTCCTAATGGTTGTCTTTCTTACTGTCCATGTTACAGTTTATAAGGATTATCGGGAGCTATTTCTCTTTTCCGGACTTCCTTATCTTCTAATTATTTTGTCTAGGGCCTGTAATAATTTCTCAGTGATTTTGAGTACCTTTGAAAACAGAATAAGGGATGGAGTTTAGTTAAGTCTATTTAATCTTTGCAGAGGAAAAAATGCTTATGATTTGTAAATTAAATAGGAAAAACAAGGCCGGGTGCAGTGGCTCGCTCCTGGAGGGCTGAGGCCAGAGAATTGCTTGAGCCTAGGACGGGGAGGTTGCAGTGAGCCGAGATTGTGCCACTGCACTCCAGCCTGGACGACACAGTGAGAACTTGTCTCAAAAAAAAGGAAAAACAAAAATGGTTGGGAGGGTTATAGATACATTTGTTTTGAAGTTTGACATACTTTTCATGAAAATATCTTGCTTGTAGCATATTTATTGGCACATCGCTTCATGATGCCTGTTAAGAACATGACCTTTCCACTTCTCTTCTGGCTGGTGGAGGTGTAGCAACGGGTGAGCGGAGGAGACAGAAGGGAACCAGTATTAGTCAAATAGTGCCTGTTGAGTTCTAACACTGTGCTGTTTGTCACTACTATTTCTTATTAGGGAGTTTTTCAGAATGTGGAAGATAAATGTAAATGAAATTTCTGGTGTTAGTCTTTGAGTTTTTCTTCCTTTAAATTATCTTCCTGGGCTCTCTTGACCTAGTGCTTTCCCATCTTTTCATTCTTCTTTTTTTCTTTTCCTCAATCTTTGGCCTATCATACTTATCTTTGTCTTCACTCTCTTGAAGAATTCATCCATTCTTACAGCTTCAATTATTATTATCTCTATGTACATGATACCCAAATCTTTATTTTTAGTCTTTTGTTTCAAACCTTAAATATCTGACTGCCTTGTAAGCATTTCTACTTGGATGTCATGTTAGTCTCAAATCCCTCATATTCCAAAACAAGCTTCCTCCCATAAACTTATCTGTTTTGTCATTAATTCCACTATTGTCCCTGTCGCTAAACTGAAATTTTTGTTGTGAACTTTTTTGACAGTGTTAGTCCACACATTGGGTTATTACAGCAGATTTTGGGTAGCATTTTCGAATCTGGATTATTGCTGTCTAATCCCCTGTATGCCTTGCCAGTTGAATTGATCTGTTTTGGGGGTATATTACTCTTGGAATGAAAAGACCTGAGGTCATTAAATCTTTGAGCCTTAAAGTTGTATCTCTGCCAGTGTTCCTAGTTTGTGAGTTAATAGGTGTTATTAGTATCAATTGCATATCTGGTTAGTTTGGACCAGACTTTTTTGGATGTTAGTATGTTGCAGGAACTTCTTTTAAAAAAACAAGTTACTCTCCTAATTCATTTTTATTCATTCAGCAAATCTTTGTATAGGGCCTAAACTTGGATTGAAATCTAGGCTCTGACATGTATTTGCTGAAATATTTTAGGGAGTTATTTTAACCTCTCAATGCTGTTTCATCTTCAGAAAAATAAGAGGGGATAAAAGTACTAGATTGTTGTAAGAATTGAATAATATAGTCAAAGCAACTATCATAGCATTTGGTATTTAGTAAGCATTTGTAATATTGTCATATTTATAATATTTCTGTTATATACTAGTCAGTGTGCTTAGTCTAGAAGTTGATATTTATTGTCGTCTCTAAGTACAGAGTAATTTATCTGGCACCTCAAGCCGCTCATAAATTCATAATCTAGCTGTGCGTTATTGACGTCTAAGCCAATTGTAACTGAAAATTGAGACATTTATTAATAGATTCAATAAATGGGGAAGATCTTTTAGAGACTGTTTATTTGTTTAGTTGTGATTTATAATATGGTATATACTTTGTGCCAAGGGTTTAGTTGGATATAAAAGGCAATTGGGAACTAATTTATGGAGATTGAGTTGTTATCTTGTTCTCTTTCTGTGTGTATCTTTTATACTTTCAGTGTGTGTTCTGTAAATAGGCCCTCTTGCACTACAGGCACCCTGTGGGTGTGTAGAGACGTGGCTCAGAGTAACGGCTGAGATATGAATTGGTTAATTCATTAATCTTTTGAGTCAGAAATGTTTTTTTTCCGCCCAGTCCGAAGTGCCGTGGCGCTATCTTGGCTTACTGCAAGCTCCACCTCCTGGGTTCACGCCATTCTCCTGCCTCAGCCTCCTGAGTAGCTGGGACTACAGGCGCCCGCCACCGCACCCGGCTAATTTTTTGTATTTTTAGTAGAGACAGGGTTTCACCGTGTTAGCCAGGATGGTCTCGATCTCCTGGCCTCGTGATCCGCCCGCCTCAGCCTCCCACAGTGCTGGGATTACAGGCATGAGCGCCGCACCCTGCCCAGAAATGTTTTTAATCCAGAAGAAGGAACTACATATAAAATTTTATGTTGAATAAAGAGTAAATTCTCAGTTTTAGATTAGACTTTGCATAACTTTACACCAGTTTTGCTTCACGATTATAAGTTTTGGTGTTATGGATATATGGTGAAAACTACAGATTCTATTACGATAATTGATAGAAAAACCCACTTATCAGGAAATATTATATATAGAGTTCTATTGCTGAAGATAATCCAATAGCTCTACTTCTCCATTCCTCATCCCCACTAAAAAGGGGGTATATCCATTTAGTTTAAGTCCACAGTATAGCTGTTGGATACGACACACATGTGTTCAAGAAGATGAACAGGTAGTACTGCAATTCACAATGGAAAGTATTCTTAAAAATATGCCATTAGTGTGGTGTGAAAAGAACACTGGACTGAAAATTCAGAGCATAGTCTTGTTTTGCTATTAAATCTCTGTGTAATGAAGTACATCATTTTTCTCATCTAGGCTTCAGTTTCCCTATTTGTAGAACAAAGAGTTGGACCAGATAGTTGCTGATGTCTCTTGTGTCTCTGAAAATTCTATGATAGGCCTGGCATGGTGGTCTGTAATCCCAGCACTTTTGGAGGCCAAGGTGCAAGTATCCCTTGAGCCCAGGAGTTTGAGACCGGCCTGGGCAACAGAGAGGGACCTCGGCTCTACAAAAAAAATAAAAATATTACCTGGGTGTAGTCTCAGCTACTTGGGAGGTTGAGGTAGGAAGATCGCTTGAGCCCAGGAGATTGAGGCTGCAGTGAGCCATGTTGGTGCCACGGCACTCTAGCCTGGTTGTCAAAGTGAGACTCTGTCTCAAAAAAAAAAAATAATAAAATAAAATTTATTAAACAAAATCTATGAGACTTTGTTTATTACACTTCAATTAAAACTTCAAAAAATTGTCTTTGATTTATTATTTAAGAAATAAAACTTAAACAGTTAAATGATGTTGGGGTAGAAATGTAAGACTGTCAACCATCTTTAGTAAGTGCTTTTTTTGGAACTAGTTCCTAAATTAATTTCAATAGTTATATTTGCCATTATTTTTTGAATTTGTGACTTACGTTCATAATTGTAGGGGTTTGTACTTTCTGAACATAGGAAGTGTAATTTTTTATTTGTATATCTATTAAAATGTAAAGATATGATTTTCTTCTCTAGTATACTTGCCCTCTCTGTTTGGGATTATGAAATATAGAGTGTATTTTTATTACAGTTCCTAAACAATTAATAGGAAGGTAGATGTTCAAATTAACGTCCAAAGTCTGATATCTCAGGGAGGTGAGAGTTTATCTTATACTTGTGTTATATTAAGGGTAGGCCAACCTGTGCCCCTCTTAATTGATCCATACTTCTGATACCAGATTTTTGGCAAGAAATTGAAAATTTTCTCAGATTGTTGTCTTGAACTACTTTTTTTTTTTTTGAGACAGGGTCTGGCCCTGTCACCCAGGCTGAAGTGTGGTGGCATGATCTCAGCTCACTGAAGCCTCCACTTCCCGAGCTGAAGCCATTCTTCTGCCTCAGCCTCTTGAGTAACTGGGACTACAGGCAAGCGCCACCATGCCTGGCTAATTTTTGTATTTTTTTTGGTAGAGATGGGGTTTTGCCATGTTGCCCAGGCTGGTCTCAAGTGAGCCATTGGCCTCAGCTTCCCAAAGTGTAAGGATTACAGGCGTGAGCCACAGCACCCAGCCCTCAAACTAATTTTGAAACAGTGGACTGCAATTAACTTTCCTTTTTCTCTTTTCTGTTATTCATTCATTCATTTGACAAATGTTTATTTGGTGTGTACTGTGTGCTAGGAATTCTGCTATGCAATGGAACACCATGGTGAGTAAAAACAAACATGTCCCACTTTCATGGAATTTATAGTGTCAGGAAAAGGATTAATTAAATGTCTATCACACTAAGATAGGAGTGGGGTATGGTGAAGGGCAGGTAAGAGATATGATCATGACTTTCCTTTAAGGTTTGGTTTACTTGTAGTAAAGCAATTAAGTGTATAGTTTTCAGATATGAGGCTGTAGATTGTATCAGATTCACTTGAGGCACTTGTTAAAAATGGAATCTGGGATCTTGCGTAGACAAACAAAATCACAATTTTTTGGGATGATTCTTAGGATTTGCATGAGATGTGGATTCTTAGACACACTCAAGTTTGAAAACTGTAGTTACAGTGGAAAGAATGTGAATTTTCATTCTGTTTGGTAATTTTATGATAAAAATTTCAAATATACGCAGAAGTAGGGAAAATAGGATAGTGAACTCCTGTTACTCAGATTTTGCAGTTTTCAAAATGTCATCACATTTGATTTCATTAATCACCCTTTTTCTTACCAAAATATTTTAAAGTAAATTCCATATATTGTCATTTCATCCTTACATACTTCAATAAGCATCTTTGAAAAAAAAAAAGGACATTTTCTTACATAATCATAATGGCCATTATCATGCCTAGCAAAATTAAAAGTGCTTTGGTATCATTAATTCCCAGTTTATATTCATATTTCTGATTGTCTAAAACAGTGTCTATTTTACAGTTGCTTTATTAGAATCTGGATCCAAAGTCCAAATGTTGCTTTTCTTTGGTTAGGTCCTTTAAGAGTCTTTTAAGTCTCTTAATATAGAGAAATCTCATTCCCCCAACTTCTCCAACTCCCCTTCCCCTGCATGTTGAAGGAACTAGGTCAGTGGTACTATACAGGACCTTGTTTTACATTCTGGATTTTTCTTTTTACTTTCCTAATGATGTAATTTAACTTCTTCCTGTATTTTCCATATTTCCTATAAAATGGTAGTTAGATCTAAAAGCTTGATTTACTTATTTCAGATTTCTAGTCAAGGGTACTCAATAGATTGTATTTTCTTTTGCCTCACACGGAGGTGCATAATGTCTGCCTGGCCTGTAGTGATGCTAAGGTTGATCATTCTGTTCAGGTGGCATCAGTCTGTGATAGCTTCCTGTAAGAATCGTTCATTAACCTTTCATCTAATGGTTCCATTCATTCATGATCTTTAACTGAATCCCTGTTATTTCATTAGGGAATAGCAAAATAATGATTTTCTAATTCTGTTATTCCTTTCACATTTATTAACTGTAATTCCTCTGTTAAGAGTAGAACTTTTACATATTAATATCAACTAGGGCTGTATGTTTACCATGAAATCCAATTCATGAAATACAGGATGAATACTTCAATCTTTTCCTTAATTGCCACTTGTTATAGCAAGGTATTTTGGAGACTTATTATGATAGATATGCCACAAACTGGGTAACTTGAGGGGAGTTTAAGTAAAGGACTGTTTACAAAGGTATAGATAATATTTAAGGAAACTGGTAGGGATGGTACAGTGCTCTGTGACTAGTCACAGTGAGGAAGGGAGTTGCGATCGCCTCAAGGCCAGCAGGAAACAGGGAAGAGGAAAGCAGCTGAGGAGGGTAGCTCTATGGAAGAGGTCTGTCTGATGGGGAGTGTGCTTTCAAGTAAAGAGGAGCTTGTGGATCAAGTATTAAGGGAGACAGAGGAATATATCCCCTACCCTTATTCTCCTCCCTCCCTACATGCAGTCTCCTTCTGAGATCTCCCATTACCTGAAAAGCTAATATGCAAAAGAGCCTGTTGATATGATCCATATGAGTCACAAACAAGACATAACCAACATTTATTTATTTATTTCGCTCTCAGTCTTTTTTTTTTTTTTAAATTTTTGGCATCATTATAAACACATTTAAAAATATTTTTGGTGTGTTTTCAGTCAATTTATGTCATCCTTGCTGATACTCAGTTTGTCCTGTCTTTGGCTGATGGGGGCTTCTTCAGGTTGATTCTCATGTTATTTGTATATGACCCTAATTATCTTTGATAGAGCTTCCTTGTTTTTTTTTTTTTGCTGCAGTAAGGTACTCAGGCTCATCTTGTACATTTCTTGCCTCAGACTTGGAAATCAGCCATTCCTCCAGGAAACTCTTTCCTTTTGGTGGGGAATGCTACTCTTTACTATTGGATGAAATTGTTTCTTGTCCTTGTTCAGTGAATAGAGCTATGATATTTTATTTTTGAGAAGAAGAAAAAGTGACTGATTATTTCACCAACTTCTTGTCAGTTAGGCTCTTTCATTTTAGGTTTTTTTTTTTTTTCTTTTTTTCCAGTACTTAAAAAGTGCTTTCTTTACTTTTTGATGTAATTTTATTTTATTGTGTATGTGAAACATTTACATGCTTTTTGGTTGGTTTGGGTTTTTTTGTTTTTGTTTTGAGACAGTCTTGCTCTGTCGCCCAGACTGGAGTGCAGTGGCACCATCTTGGCTCACTGTAACCTCCTCCCTCCAGGTTCAAGCAATTCTTCTGACTCAGTCTCCCTAGTAGCTGGGACTACAGGCATGTGCCACCATGCCCGGCTAATTTTTGTATCTTTAGTAGAGGTAGGGTTTTGCCATGTTGGCCAGGCTGGTCTCGAACTCCTGAGCTCAAGTGATCTTGCCTGCCTCAGCCTCCCAAAGTGTTGGGATTACAGGCATGAGCCACTGCGCCCGGCCTGTTTTTTGAGACAGGGTCTTGCTCTGTCCCCCAGGCTGGAGTGCAGTGGCATGATCACGGTTCACTGCAGCCTCTTCCTCCTGGGCTCAAGCGATTCTCTCACTTCAGTTTCCTGAGCGGCTGGGACTATAGGCACGTGTTACCATGCCTGGCTGATTTTAAAAATGTTTTGTAGAGATGGAGTCTCGCTGTGTTGCCTAGGCCAGGATCAAACTCCTAGGCTCAAGGGATCCTCCCACCACAACCCCCCAAAGTGTTGGGATTAAAGGTGTGAGCTACTGTGCCAGGCCCATTTACGTGGTTTAAAAGTTAAAACTATATCAGATATATTCAGAATATTCTTACTTTGATCCACGTCTCTCTACCCTGTTCTTTTCCCTTTACTCTTTTTTTTGATTTGACATTTCAGTGTTTATTCTTATAAATATAAGCAAATATGTATCCATATACACATATACATAGATATATACATAGATATATTTATATTCTTTTTTAATCACTTTCTTACGCAAAAAGTAGCATGTTACATATTGGTGTATGATTTTCCTCCTTCCTTTTTACAGCTGAGTCCTGTTCCATTTTGTGGGTGTTAGCATTGTTAATTCAGTCTCCTATGGATGGACATTTGAGTTGTTTATATTTTTACCAGTGTGTCTTTGGAGTAGATTCCTAGAAGTGAGATTGCTGGGTTAAAGACACATGCATATATAATTTTGCTCACTGTTAAAATATTCTCCCTCTCCTAAGAGTTGTGCTATTTTACATTTCCACTAGTAATGATATGGGATTGTCTGTTGTCCTCACCAACAATATGTTGTAAGACTTTTGAATTTTTGTCCATTTAATAGGTGACAAGTGCTATTTCAGTATAATTTGAATTTGAATTTTATTTTCTATTTTTTCTATTCTAACATTAATATCAATTTCTGTTCTTCTCATGAGTAAGGTTGAATATCTTTTCATATTTTAAGGGCTATTTGAATTCCTTCTGTGATCTGCCCGTCCATATTTTTTGTTCATTTTAAATTGTTTTTCTTCTCAGTTTTTAGAAGCTCTTTATGTATTAGGGAGCTTAGCCCTTTTTCTGTGGTAAAATGCAGATTTTTTTTTTTTTTTGCAATTTTTCATGTTTTAGACTTTGCTTCTGCATTTTGTTACTTTGCCGCACAATTTTTAAATGTCTCCAAATTATCAATCTTTTGTTGCTTCAAAATTTTGAGTCATAGTTAGAAAGATTTCCCCTATGTCCAGATCATAAAGGAATTCATCCATATTTTCTCTGATGCTTAATGTTTTTTTCAGTTTTTACTTTGAAATCTACTCGGAATTTATCATGTATGGTAAATTTTGAGATACATCCAATTTTATCTTTATTCAAATGGCTATCTGTTTATCTCCACAGCATTTATTTTAAAAATGCCTATGTTTGTTGGTTGACAATGCCACTTTCTTCATATATTAAATTTCCATGTGTACTTGGGATTATTTCTAACCTTCTGTTCCATTGGTCTCTCTTGCTTTTTCATGTGCTAATACCACACTGTGTCAATTATAAAGGCTTTCTAATATCTCTTCAGCTTTTAAAATGTCTAGTAGGGCCATCTCCACCCCTGCTCTCCCATGCACATACACCGTCACATTGAAGCACATGGGTGTTTTTTAGGGATAACTAGCTTCCAACCCTGGCTTTGTTGTTTACTAGCCCTTGGTCCTTGGACAGTTTACTAAAGCACTGTGATATCCATTTATCCCATCTCTGAAATGGGATGATGATGCCTACCTTATATTGTTGTAAGGATTACATGACACCAGCAGAACTGCCTTGTCAGGCATGAATTCTGGAGTCAGACTGGGATTTTTCACTCCCACCCAGGTCGACCACTTATTAGCCCTGTGACTTTGGGTAAAGTTCTTAAGAGGAACTCAAACACATCACCTTCAAATAAGATTAATCATAGACCCTCATAGAACTCTTAAGAGTATTAAACGTGGTAATGCATGTAAGTGCTTTGCAGAGTTCACAACATTTAGTAGATGTTAGCTGTTTGTAATCATCGTCATCATTATATATCCTTATGATTTGTCCTTGGGAAAAACTACTTTTGATCTAAGTGGATTATTATCTATCTCCCAGCTCTGCTGGCCAGGTTTTTATTTAGTTGTGTAATCTTGGACAAGTTACCTAACTTTTTTGAGTCTGAATATATTTAATCTGCAAAATGAGAATCATGATAATACGTCATAGGCTTAATTAGGAGGATTAAATGAAATAATTTATAGGTGGTGCCATGGTTACATACAAGTATTAGTAGTTAATTCTTTTCCTTTGTTTACTTTTATAGTATAGGTTGGATGAAGGTTCCAGTATAGGCAAAAATACTACTTGGGGGTAAAGTAGAGTGTGATACTTTATTTGAAATGTTCCCTGAATCTGATCTTTACTTTTTGTTACTGCTGCACTACCCAAATCCAAATTTTCATCCCAACATTCTTGGATTTGTGGGACAGCGTAGCAGCTTTCCAATATAATCTATACTACATCTTTTCTTAACTTTGGTGCTTTTTGTCATGTGGTCTCAGTGTACCTATTTACTTAGTCTTTATTCCCAGCATTTCCCAAAATAGACTGCGCTCTACTGGATTTTCTTGCTTTCTATAGTATCTCACCTACTCTTTCCTACTTTTGCTGTCGTATTTCCAGGACCTACCTTTCTCTCCCCTTGAGTTCTCCCCCATGTCCTCCTCACACAATTTTCTCATCTTTATAGTCTGACATAAATCACAACTGTGTTAAACTGTTACTTTCTTTTTTGAACTCCTGTAGTCTCATGAAATTTAGAAATTGATCATAGTTGTCTTGTATAGGGCTATTTTGTTTGTTAATCTTACCTAATGAGAATTCCTTGAGGGCTAAGCATAATTCTAGACATCAGTGTTCAGTATTACTTATTGATTGGTGTGAATGATTATCTCCCCTTTCCCCATTCCTTTGTTTTTTCCCTTTCTTTCTCTGAATTAGTTGATCATACCTATCTGGTATAGGGCTATCTTGTTTGTTAATCATACCTAATGAGAATTCCTTGTGGGCTAAACATAATAATTCTAGACATCATGTTCAATAATGCTCATTAATTATTGTGAATGATTATCTCCCCTATTTCCATTCTCTTGTTCTTTCCCTTTCTTTCTCTGAATTAGTTAGGACTCTTTCAGTTGTAAGTGATAGAACCCAACATAAATATTTGTAGACAGGCTGGGCATGGTGGCTCACGCCTGTAATCCCAGCACTTTGGGAGGCTGAGGCAGGCAGATCACCTGAGGTCAGGAGTTCAAGACCAGCCTGGCCAATGTGGTGAAACCCTGTCTCTACTAAAAATACAAAAGTTAGCTGGGCATAGTGGCAGGCGCCTGTAATCCCAGCCACTCGGGAGGCTGAGACAGGAGAATTGCTTGAACCCGGGGGGGCAGAGGTTGCAGTGAGCCAAGATTGTGCCACTGCACTTCAGCCTGTGTGACAGAGTGAGACTCCATCTCAAAAAAAAAAAAAATTCGTAGACAAAAAATAATTTTAAAAATGCTTTATTTTAAATTTTTATGGGAACATAGTAGATATATGTATTTATGGGGTACATGTGATGTTTTGATATAGGCATACAATGTATAATAGTCACATCAGGGTAAATGGAGTATCCATCACCTACAACACTTGCCATTTCTTTGTGTTAAGAATGTTTTGATTCTACTCTTATTTTTTTTTTTAATTTTCAATTTTTGTGGATACATAGTAGGTGTATATATTATGGGGTACATGGGATGTTTTGATACAGGCATGCTGTGTGTAATCACATCATGGAAAATGAGGTATCCATCCTCTCAAGCATTTATCCTTTGTGTTACAATCCAATTATTCTCCATTAGTTATTTAAAAATATATGATTAAATTATTATTGACTATAGTTAGCCTGTTGTGCTATCAAATACTAGATCTTATTCATTTTTTCTAGCTAGTTTTTTTTTTTTCTTGTACCCATTAACTATCCCCCCAGTCCCTTTCTCCCCTACTACCCTTCCTATCTCTGTCTCCATGAGTTGAATTGTTTTGAGTTTTAGATCCCACAAATGAATGGGAACATGTGAGATTTATCTTTCTGTGTCTGGCTTATTTCACTTAATGTAATGACCTTGAGTTCTATCTATGTTGTGCAAATGATAGGATTTTATTCTTTTTTATGGTTGAATAATATCCCATTGTGTATATGTACCGTATTTTCTTTGTCCATTGATCATGGACACTTAGGTTGCTTCCATATCTTGGGTGTTGTGAATAGTGGTATGATAAACATGGGAGTGCAGATATCTCTTCGCTATACTGATTTCTTTTCTTTTGCATATGTACCTAGAAGTGGGATTGCTGGATTCTATGGGTAGTTTGATTAGTTCTTTGAAGAACCGCCAAACTGTTCTCCATAGTGGTTGTACTAATTTACATTCCCGTTAACATTGTAGGAGAGTTCCCGTTTCTCCACATCCTCAGTTGTATTCATTATTGCCTCTTGGATTAAAAAAAAAAGCTACTTTAACTGGGGTGAAATGATACCACATTGTAGTTTTGATTTGCATTTCTCTGATGATCAGTGGTGCTGAGTACCTTTTCATATACTTGTTTGCCATTTGTATGTCTTTTTTTTTTTTTTTTTTTTTGAGACAGAGTTTCCCTCTTGTTGCCCAGGCTGGAGTGCAATGGCGCAGTCTTGGCTCACCGCAACCTTTGCCTCCCAGGTTCAAGCGATTCTCCTGCTTCAGCTTCCCGAGTAGCTGGGATTACAGCCATGCACCACCACACCTGGCTAATTTTTTTGGTGTTTTTAGTAGAGATGGGGTTTCTTCATGTTGGTCAGGCTGGTCTCGAACTCCAGACCTCAGGTGATCTGCCCACCTTGGCCTCCCAAAGTGCTGGGATTACAGGTGTGAGCCACCGCGCCTGGCCATCTTTTTTTTTTTTTGAGACAGGATCTCATTTTGTTGCCCAGGCTGGAGTTCAGTGGTGGGGTCATGGCTTACTGCAGCATTGACCTCTCTGGCTCAGATGATTCTCTCACCTCAGCCTCTTGAGTAGCTGGGACTACAGGTGCGTGCCACCATGCCCGGCCAATGTTTGTATTTTTTTTTCTTTTTTTGTAGAGACAGGGTTTTGCCATGTTGCCCAGGCTGGTCTCAAACTCCTCGGCTTAATGATCCTCCTCCCAAAGTGCTGGGATTATAGGCATGATAGACGTCTTCTTTGGAGAAATGTCTATTCAGATCCTTTGCCCATTTAAAAATTGGATTATTAGACTTTTTTTCTCCTGAGTTGTTTGAGCTCCTTATATATTCTAGTTATTAATCCCTTGTTTGCACATATTTTCTCCCATTCTTTAGGTTGCCTCCTCACTTTGTTGATTCTTTAAAAAAGAATTTTGGATTCAGGAAAACCTAGTCTCATTAAAGGTAAAGATTAAGTTGAACTTCAGTAAAAACTAGAATTTGGGCTTAAATGCAAGCAAGGCTCATTCTCTGTGTTCTCTTACGTTTTTCTTTGTGTTGGCATCATTCTCTCAGATTGTAGACTGGTTTTAGTCACATGTGGAAAATATGGCTGCCTACAGCACTGGAACTTTATATCTAACAGCTTCAGCTTTGACCATTGACTTCAGATCTTTGAGTCTTGAGTATAGAGCTCTGGAGGAAAAGATTCATTAGTTACATTTAGGTCAGTTGCCAGGTGCCCACTCCTTGACTAATTTTTTTTTTTTTTTTGAGATTGAGTCTTGCTCTGTCACCCAAGCTGGAGTGCAGTGGCATGATCTCGGCTCACTGCAACCTCCACCTCCCAGGTTCAAGCGATCCTCCTGCCTCAGCCTCCCGAGTAGCTGGGACTACAGGTGCACACCACCACACCTGGCTAATTTTTTGTATTTTTAGTAGAGATGGGGTTTCACCATATTAGCCAGGATGGTTTCAATCTCCTAACCAAGTCTTGATCTGCCTGCCTCGGCCTCCCAGAGTGCTGGGATTACAGATGTAAGCCATCGTGCCTGGCTCCTTGACTAATTAATTGTGATCAGGCGGGTAGGGTCACATGAGAACTTTGAGAATGGGGAGGCAGTTTGCAGGAAAATGAGGGCAGTAGGGCAGGGCAGACAGTGCCGTAGGTGTACATTATGCTACCCTTTCTTTCCTCTTTGTCCTTAGAGAAGTCATATACACTCTTCTAAAGTGCAGTTTTCTCAATCTGTAAAATTGAATTAACAATAATTTATTTCATGGGGTACTGAGGAGGACTAAATGAGATAATTTAGAAAGCAGCATTTGAAACTTCACAAAAACAATAGAGTAACCTGGTGATAAGTGGCTGTACCTTGGTCTCTCACAACGTGCCCTGTGCTTATTTGGCCTGGCCCCAAAGGTTTTGCAAATGATGTGACTGCAGCTGGTTTTCCAGATCGGCTTCTTTGGTGTTGTCCACCAGAGAACTTGTGATTACAAGACGAGTGCCAGTAGCTTCTAAGACTATTTGTTCAGGTACAGTGGAAAAAGTCTTTTCTTCTTACCTTCAAATAGAATCTCTAATTGATCTGACCAATTTAGATATAATGTACCCATATCTGAATCAATCTCAGTCAAAATAATGGTGTGCTGATGAGCATAGGTCTGCATCATGTGCTCCAGTCTTGGAACTGGGGAAGAGCCAGCTTATACCAAGATACATTACGGTTGCATGAAGGAGGGGTGGAAATTGGAGTTCATTTACCATTATTAAATTATCTGACATTAAAATAAATATTGCCAGCCGTTTGCCAAACCTCAACTTAAGACCACCAACTGAGATACACTTGGACCTTTAAGAGAGGGATACCTGTGTGCTGCATTGCCTTGATGATATGTCATAGTGAGGATTACCAAATGCCTGTTGATGGATCCAGTCACATTAGAACCAAATACAGATTCTTGTGATTCATCACAGCTCCACCATATGAGAATTGAAGAAAAAGTCTTGTTTCCCATTTAATAAATTATTTTATCTTTTAAAAAATGTGGTTTAAAAAATGCCAGGCTATATGAAGAGGATGAGCATTTTCTGACACTTGCTAAAAAGAAGTTGTGTTGGTTTTTTTTTTTTTTTTTTTTTTTTAAAGATGAGGTCTTGCTTACCCAGGCTGGAGTGCAGTGGTGCGATCATGGCTCACTGCAGCCTTGACCTCCCAGGCTGAAGCAGTCCTCCCACCTCAGCCTCCCGAGTAGCTGGGACTACAGACCTGTGCCATCACAGCTGGCTAACTTTGTTGCATTTTAGTACAGATGAAGTCTTAACGATGTTGCCCAGCCTGGTCTTGAACTCCTGGGCTCAAGCAATCCTCCCACCTTGGCTTTCCAAAGTGCTGGGATTACAAGCAGTGCCTGGCCGGTTTTGTTTTATTTTGTTTGGTTGATCCAATTTTTTTAGTGGGGAAGGGAAAATCAAATTTTATACAGAAGCCAAATAAAGAGATTCCCTTAATCATCATTGTAACTCTCCAATACCTTGTTCCTTCACCTGTCAAAAGGAAGGGATTGGCTGTTTAGTAATTTATGAAGACATTATTTTAATGTGAAGAGGCTATAAAATAATAGTTTTACAATTGGTCCCTGAACAGCATGGTGGTTAGAGGTGCTGACTCCCCTAATAATTGAAAATCTGCATGTAACTTTGACTCCTCCCCAAATTTAACAGTTTTTTATTTTATTTATTTTTTGAGACAGCGTCTCGCTCTGTTGCCCAGGCTGGAGTGCAGTGGCATGATCTCGGCTCACTGCAACCTTTGCCCCACCGCCCACCCCCGGTTCAACTGATCCTTGGGCTTCAGTCTTCAGAGTAGCTGGGATTATAGGCATACGACACCACGCTGGGCTAATTTTTGTGTTTGTAGTAGAGACGGGTTTCACCACGTAGGCCAGCCTGGTCTCAAACTCATGGGCTCAAGTGATCCACTCGCCTCGGCCTCCCAAAGTACTGGGATTACAGGTGTGAGCCACTCTGCCCAGCCCCAGATTTAACAATTAACAGCCTTACTAATGTAAAGATTCAACTAGCACATATTTTGTGATATATGTACATAGTTATTTAATTTTTGAGATGGAATCTCGCTCTGTCACCCAGGCTGGAGTGCAGTGGCATGATCTTGACTCACTGCAACCTCTGCCTCCTGGGTTCAAGTGATTCTCCTGTCTCTGCCTCCCGAGTAGCTGGGACTACAGGTGCGTGCCACCACACCTAGCTCATTTTTGTATTTTTAGTAGAGACGGGGTTTCACCATGTTGGCCAGGCTGGTCTTGAACTCCTGACCTCGTGATCCACCCACCTCGGCCTCCCAGAGTGCTGGGATTACAGGCATGAGCCACCATTCCTGGCTATTATATATCTTATATACTGTATTCTTACAGTAAAGTAAGCTAGAGAAAAGAAAATATTAGGAAAATCATAAGGGAGAGAAAATATATTTACTATTCATTAAGTGGAGGTAGATCTCATAAAGGTCTTCATCCTCGTTATCTTCATGTTGAGTAGCTGAGGAGGAGGAGAGATTGGTCTTTGTATCAGGGGTGGCAGAGAGGGAAGAGGTAAAAGAGATGGAAGGGGAGGCAAGAGAGGCATACTCGGTGTATATTTTATTGAAAAAAAAAATCCACATATAAGTAGATCTATGCAGTTCCAACTCATGTTGTTTAAGGGTCAACTGTTACAGAAAAACAGATATTTTCACAGATTAAAAAGGTTTAAAAATTTACTGTTCCTATGAGATTAATTTTTTTTCCCTAAATGGTAATAAATTTTGCTTACTTAGCTTTTATGCTTCTGATCTATTGTACTTTGAGATACTGATGCTCTTACATGTAAGCTCTGTGAGAACAGGTATCTCATTGTCTTGTTCACTGTTGTATCACTGGTTCTTAGAGCCCTGCTTGGCACATTATAAGTTTTCAATAAACATTTATTTGTTGTTGTCGAATTTCTGGAAAATATCTTTTGCTTATTTGTTTCTGTAACAAGAGCTGAAGATGGTTGACATCATGTTAGGGAATAGGATATAATTGATAATTTGTTTAAATGTAAACTGTACCTATCCGGGGGATAACATTTTAAAACTGCAGGAGGTCTGTATGAAAATATAGATATTCTGCTCCCCACCCCAGTACCTCTTGAATTTTGAATGAAGGACCAAAAGCCAATAATGTGTTGTTTTGTGTGTGTGTTTTTTGATACAGAGTCTCAAAAATAAAGGGAATCACTTTATTTGGCTTCTGTATGCAGTGGTGGGATCATGATTCACTACAGCCTCAACCTCCTGGGCTTAAGTGATTCTCCCACCTCAGCCTCCTGAGTAGCTGAGATTACAGGCATGCTAATTTTACCTGGCTAGTTTTTGAATGTTTAATAGAGACAGGGTCACACTGTGTTGCCCAGGCTGGTCTTAAACTATTAGGTTCGAGGGATCCTCCCGCCTTGGCCTCCCAAAGTGTTGGGGTTACAGATGTGATGAAATGTGTCAACATTTGGCTGCATAATTCAAGGAACCAGTATTTTCTAAGTGACCAATCAATGCATGATGTTATAAAATCATCCATGAATAAAAGATCCATTCAAAGTAGAAGATAGACCAATAAATTTTAATGTTGCAAACTGTGCAAAAAGTTCAGAAACCATTGATATAATTTCAGATTCTACAATGCCACTAATCTTTAAGAAACACCCCTCGTCAAATTTGATGTAGTAGCAAATAATTTCCAGTTATCTGAAAAGACTGTTAACATACTCTTCCCTTTTCCAACTACAATCTCAGACTTAATAATGGTTCACTTTATGATTTTTCCACTTTATGATGGTGTGTGTAAAGCTATATGCATTCAGTAGAAACCGTACTTTGAGTACCCATACAACCGTTCTGTTTTTCACTTTCAGTACAGTATTCAATAAATTACATGAGATATTTGACACTTTGTTATAAAATAGGCTTTGTGTTAGATGATTTTGCACAACTGTAGGCTGATGTAAGTGTTCTGAACATGTTTAAGGTAGGCTACACTAATCTATGATGTTAGCAGATTAGATGTATTAAATGCATTTTCAACCTACAATATTTTCAACTTACAAGTGGTTTATCAGGATGTAAACCCCACCCATTATAAGTCTAGGAGCATCTGTCCATATCTGTGTGAAGTTAGATTTTCACGCTTCAAACCAAGGCAATGTATTGTCATAGATTGAATGCAGGCGCAGATATGAGTGTCCAGTTGTCTTCTATTAAGCTAGATGCTAAAGAGATTTGTAAAAATGTAAGATAATGCCATTCTTCTTCCCAATTAAAAAAAGTTTTAGGCCGGCTGCGGTGGCTCACGCCTGTAATCCCAGCATTTTGGGAGGCCAAGGCGGGTGGATTGCCTGAGGCCAGGAGTTCAAGACCAGTCTGGCCAACATGGTGAAACCCCGTCTCTACTAAAGATAGAAAAAAATTAGCCGAATGTGGTGGCGTGCCCCTGTAATCCCAGCTACTTGGAGGCTGAGGCAGGGGAATTTCTTGAACCAGGGGAACTTCTTGAACCAGTGGAGGTTGCAGTGAGCTGAGATTGCGCCGCTGCACTCTAGTCTGGGCAACAGAGCAAGACTCCGTCTTAAAAAAAAAAAGTTTTAATAAAATATGTTATTTATAATAACATATAATGGGAATTTTTTTTAAATTCCTGTCCTAGTTTATTTCTGCTGCTATAACAGAACCAAGACTGGGTAATTTATAAAGAACGGAAATTTGTTTTCTCATAGTTCTGGAGTCTGGGAAGACCAAGATCAAGGCACCAGCAGGTTTGGTTCTCTGATGAGGGTCTAGTCTCTGAATCCAAGAAGGTGCCTGGAAAGCTGCATCCTCCAGAAGGGAGGGGTCAGTATGTCCTCACATGGTAGAAGGCAAAAGGACAAAAAGGGTCCAAACTCCCTAATCAAACCTGTTCATCATGGCATTAATATACTTATAAGGACTCTGCCCTCATGACCTTTACACCTTCCCAAAGGCCCCACCTCTTAACACTGTTTCTCTGGGGATTAAGTTTCCAATAAATGAATTTTGGCACTTTCAGACCATAGCAAATTTGTTCAGATGATCCCTTTCTAGTTTCTTGAGAAAGGAACTTAGATTATTAATTGAAAATTATTATTCTTTTTCTTTTCTTAAAAAATTTATTTTAAGACAGGGTCTCACTCTGTCACCCAGACTGGAGTGCAGTGACGTGATCATAGCTCACTCTAGCCTTGACCTTTCAGGGGCTCAGGCTATCCTTCTGCCTCAGCCTCTCCTGAGTAGCTGGGACCACAGGCGTGTGCCTCGATGCCCCGCTAATTTTTAAATTTTTTTGTAGAGACGAGGTCTTTCTATTGTTACCCAGATGGGCCTTGAACTCCTGAGCTCAAGTGATCCTTCCACCTCAGCCTCCCAAAGTATTAGGATTATTGGCCTGAGCCACTGCGCCTGGCCATCATTACTCTTTTCTAATCATTTAATGCTATACATTTTTCTTTTAGCAGTGATTTAGCTGTATTCCACAAATTCCAGTGTTGTGTTCTCATTTTCATTCAGTTCAATGTATATTTTTATTTCCTTTGAGGCTTTCCCTTTGACCCAGAAATTATTTAGAAATCTGTTGTTTAGTTTCCAAGTGTTTGGAGATTTCCCTACTATCTTTTTCTTATTTATTGTAGTTTGTACATTTTGGTCAAAGAACACATTCTGTTATGATTTTAATTCTTTTTAATTTGCTGAGGTTTGAATTATGGCACACAATGTGGTGGTCTGTCTTGGTAATAGTTCCATGAGCACTTGTAAAGGATGTGTATTCTGCTATTTTGGGTTAGAATGTGATATAAATGTCAATTAGATCTTGTTGATTAATTGTGTTGAGTTCTTGATGATTTTGTGCCCAGTTCTATCAATTTTTAAGAGAGAAGTATTCAAGTTGCCGACTAAAATTGTAGATTTGTCTATTTCTCTTTTCATTTTTGTCAGGTTTTGCTTCACTTGTGTTGCAGTTCTGTTGTTCTGAGCGTACATGGTTCAGATTATTGTGCCTTCTTGGTGGATTGACTCTTTTGTGATCATATAATTTTCCATTCTGTGCCTGGCCATTTTCTTTCTCTGAAGTCTGCCTTGTCTGACACTAATATAGCCACACCCACTTTCTTTTGATTAATATTTGCATGGTAAATCATTTCCCATTCTTTTACTTCCAACCTACCTGTATTGTTGCATTTTAAGTGAATTTCTTGTCTGTGGATGGGTCATGTTTATGTATCCAGGTCTACCAATCTGTTTCTTAATTTGAATTGTTGTCTAGACCATTTATATTTCATATAACTATTGTTATGTTAGGGTTTAAATCTGCTGTTATATTCTTTCTTTTCTGTTTTTACCTCCCTGTTTTTTGTATCTGTGTTCCTTTTTTGCCTTCCTGGGCCACTTGAACATTTATTGTAATTCCCTTTTGACTTATCTGAAAGTGTTTTTGTGTGTATATGTCTTTGTATAGCTTTTTAAATTGGTTACTCTAGGTATTAAATTAGGCATAGAAAACATCACATTATATTGGTTTTGATATTTTACTAGTTCAATTGAAAGGTAGAAATTTTTCCTCCTTTTTGTCATTTTACCCTTGTTCGTAATATATTCATGTTTAATATCTTCTTACATGCATTGAGAAACAAGCAACATTATAATTTTTGCTTTAACTTTCAAGACAAGAAAAATGTATTATCTTTTCCCATATTTTTACATTTTGTTCTTCTTTTCTGATATATGATATACCAGATTTATTTCTTTCATCGTCTTCTATTTAGAGAATTTCCTTTAACCATTATTTTAGAATGTCTGCTTGTGACAAATCTCTTGGTTTTTCATCATCTGAGAATGTCTTAATTTTTTTTTTTTTTTTCAGTGGATGTAGAATTTCGGTTTGACATTTTAAAAAATTGGCTTAGGTTTCTTTGGGTGTGTCCTGTTTTGATGTTTGGTCAGCTCCTTCAACCTGTAGGTTTATGTCTTTTGCCAAATTTGGGGAATTTTTAGCCATCATTTGTTTTAGTCCCTTTTAGCCCCATTCTATTTTTCTTGTTTGTCTTCTGGGCATCCAGTGATACAAATGTTAAATCTTTTGTTATAGTTCCATGGAAAATGAATGATTCTCTTCATTTTCTTTTCCATGATCAAGGTCTGATTGTATGATAATTTGTATAAGAATTTTAAGAAAATAACAATTAGCTGAGTTTTAAAAAATTATTTTCAGGCTGGGCGCGGTGGCTCACGCCTGTAATCTCAGCACTTTGGGATGCCTAGGTGGGCGGATCACTTGAGGTCGGGAGTTCGAGACCAGCCTGTCCCACATGGTGAAATCCTGTCTCTACTAAAAATACAAAAATTAGCCAGGTGTGGTGGTGCATGCCTGTAATCCCAGCTACTCAGGAGGCTGAGGCAGGAGAATAGCTTGAACCTGGGAGGTGGAGGTTGCAGTGAGCCGAGATTGCGCCACTGCACTCCAGCCTGGGCGACAGAGTGAGACTCAGTCTCAAAAAAAAAAAAAAAAAATTATTTCCATACTACTACTAACCAAAGAATGTATGACATGTATTTATTTTTCCCCAAAATAACAAATTAGATACTTAAAAGAATCGTTTGAGAAATGACAAACTCTCTCTCCCCAAAGTCTGAACCATCTGAACTTCTTCAGTTACTCATGCCAGGAGAAAACTTTGATTGTGTTCACCCATACCTATAAAACTTTAAGGCAGTAGGGAGGAAATCCTCCTTGAAATTATCCGTGAATATATTTTTGTGACTCATTTGGATAAATCTTTAAAAAATAAAAAACAGTCCTGTGTGGTTGTTACTGATACTATCTTGTTTTACAGATGAGAACATTGAGGTGGTGATGGGTTAAATAACTTGCTCAAGATCACATGACTACTAAATATTCTAGCTTGGAATATGAGACAGGATGCCATTTCTGTAGAAGTATTCTCTTACTTTACAAGGTTAATGTCTTAACTTGGTATCTTAAGCCTGTTCTCCCTTACATCTTTTGGAACCTTGTTAAATCATGTATCTTCTATAAAAATATCTTTTCTACCTAAAAATGTTTCATCAAGTTTAAGTTTTAAATCATGCAAACTTCTAGTCTTTCTCATTTATTTAGCCATTTTTCTCATTTCTTCATTTTCCATTAATTTTTCTACCAACCATAAGCTGGTATGTGCACCTTCTCCTCTAACGAAGCATTCTAATTAAGATTAATAATGCCCTTAAAAATTGGCAGTAAAATATACGTAACATGAAATTTGCCTTTTTTTTTTTTTTGAAATGGGGTTGTCCAAGCTGCTCTGAAATTCCTGGGCTCAGGCGATCCTCCCACTTCACTTTCCTGAGTAGCTGGGATTACAGGTGCATGCCACTGCATCCGCCTCCGTTTTAACTGTTCCTGAGTACAATTTGGTGGTGTTAAAGCACATTCACAATTTTGTGTTTTCACCAGTATCTGTTTGCACTATATCATCTGTCTCAAACAAACTCTGTATCCATTAAACAGTAACTCTTTTATTCCCTGTCCCTCCAGCCTATGGTAATCTCCATTCTACTTTCTGTTTCTGTAAATTTGCCATTTCTAGGTACTGTGTATAAGTGGAATCATACAATATTTTTCCTTTTTTGTCTGGCTTATTTCATTTAGCATAATGTTTACAGATTTTATCTATGTTGTAGTATGTGTCAGCATTTCCTTTTTTAAGGCTGAATAATACTACAGTGTATGTACATACCACCTTTTATCCATTCATCTGTTGGTGTACAATTGTGTTGTTTCTACCTTGAGCTATTTTGAATATGCTGCTGTGAACATTGGTGTACAAATATCTGTTCGAATCCCTTCTTTCGGTTCCTTTGGGTGTATACCCAGAAGTGGAATTACTGATCAGGTGGTAATTTTATGAGAAACTGATACACTATTTTTCACAGCAGCTACACTGTTTTACATTCCCACCAGCATTGCCAAGGGTTCCAGTTTCATTACGTTTCATTCCAGTTTCATTCTAACACTTGTTCTTTTCTGATTTTTTAAAATAATAACTATCCTAATGGGTGTCAAGTGATGTTTCATTGTGGTTTTGATTTGTATTTCCCTAATGATTTATGATGTTGAGCATCTTTTCATGTGCTTATTGGCCATTTCTGTCTTTGGAGACGTTTTTATTCAAGTTTTTGCCCATTTTAAAATTGAGTTGTTTTGAATTTTAGGAGTGCCCTACATATTTTGCGTAATAATCTCTTATCAGATATATTATTTGCAAATATTTTCTCCCATTCTGTGGATTGCCATTTCACTCTGTTAATACTGTTCTTTGATGCACAAAAGTTTTTAATTTTGATGAGGTTTAGTTTGTTTTTTTTTTGTTGCCTGTGTTCTTGGTCTCATGTACAAGAGATCATGGTCAAATTCAATGTCCTGAAGCTTCCCCCTATGTTTTCTTCTAAGCATTTTATAGTTCTAGCTTTTATGTTTTGGTCTTTGATCCCTTTTGAGTTAATTTTGGTATATGGTATATTGTAGGGGCTCCCACTTGATTCTCTTGCATGTGGATATGCAGTTTTTCCAGCACCATTTGCTAAAAAGACTGTCCATTATTGAATGGTTATGTCACACATGTTGAAATTAATTGACCATATGTATGTGTGGGTTTGTGCCCCTTTTCCCCCCGCCATTCCATTTTTCTGCACAATTGACCCTTGAACAACATGGGGATTAGGGGCACTGACCACTACCCTCTCTCCATACATTTGAAATACATGAAATACATACTTTTTTAATTTCCCCAAAACTTAACTACTAATAGCCTGCTGTTGACTGAAAGCCTTACTGATAGCAAAACCAGTTGATTAACAACACGTATTTTGTATGTTATATGTAAATATATGTACTGTATTCTTACATAATGTTAGCCAGCAAAAAGAAAATATTACTAAAATCATAAGGAAGAGAAAATATATTTACTGTTCATTAAATGGAAGTGGATCATCATAAAGGTCTTCATATTCACCATCTTCACATTGAGTAGGCTGAGTAGAAGGAAAAGGAGGAGTTGGTCTTGCTGTTTCATGGGTAGCAGAGGTGGAAGGAGGTATAAGTGGACTCATGCAGTTGAAACTTATGTTGTTTGAGCACCAGCTGTATGTGCTTGTCCTTATGCCAGCAGTACACCATTTTGGTTACTGTAGCTTTGTAGTGATTTTTGAAGTCAGTGAATTTGAGTCCTCTAACTTTGTTCTTTTTCAAGATTGTTTTGGCTATTTGTGATCTGAGATTACATTTGAATTTTAGGATGAGGTTTTCTATTTCTGCAAAAAACACCATTGGGATTTTGATAGGGATTACATTTAATCTGTATATTACTTTGAGTAGTATTGCCATTAAAAAAAATATTTTTTCCAGTCCATGAACATAGGATGTCTTTTCATTTATGTCTTCTATAATTTCAGCAATGTTTTATGGTTTTCAGTGTACATGTCTTTAGCCTCAGTTAAATTTATTCTTCAGTATTATTTGTTTTGATGCTTTTATAAATGAAACTGCTCTTAAGTTTCTGTTTGGATTATTCACTGTTAGTATATAGAAATGCAACTGATTTTTGAGTATTGACTAACCTGTAACTTGGCTGAATTTGGTTATGGGCTCTGACGGATTTTTTTGTTTTGTTTTGTTTTGGTGTGTGTGTAATCTTTAGTTTTCCACCTATAGGATCATGTCACCTGTGAATAGATAATTTTATGTCTTTGTTTCCAATTTGGATGCCTTTTATTTCTTTTTCTTACCTAATTGCTCTGGCAAAAACTTCCAATAATGAGTTGAATAGAAGTGACAAAAGGTGACATCTTTGTCTTGTTCCTGATCTCAGGAGAAAAGCTTTCAGTCTTTCATCATTGAGTATGATGTTAGCTGTGGGATTTTCATATGTGGCCTTCACCATGCTGAGGAAGTTTCTTTCCATTCCCTGTTTGTTGATTGTTTTTTATTATGAGAGGGTGTTGAATTTTGTTGAACATTTTATCTGTATCTAATGAGGTGATGTGGTTTTTGTCCTTTATTCTATTAATGTGGTAGATTACATTAAAATATTTTTGTATGTTAAATCAACTGTGCATTCCTGGCATAAATCCCACTTGATCCTGGTGTGTACTTCTTCTCATATGTGCTATATTCTACTTGCTGTTATTTTATTGGGCATTTTTATGTCTATATTCATATGTTTCATAAACTCTGATATGTAATTTTTGTGTGATATTTTTAGTTTTGCTATCAGGGCAGTGCTGCACTCATAGAATGAGTTAGGAAATATTTCCTTCTCTTCAGTTTTTTGAAAGAGTTTGAAAAGGATTCGTGTTAATTCTTCTTTAAACGTTTGGTAGAGGCCGGACATACTGCCTACTCACAATCTGTAATCCCAGCACTTTGGGAGGCCAAGGCAAACAAATAACGTTGAGCTCAGGAGTTCAAGACCAGCCTGGGCAGCATGGTAAAACCCCATCCCTAAAAAAAAAAATTAACCAGGTGTGGTTGCTCACACAAGCTACTCAGGAGGCTGAGGCTGGAGGATAGCTTGAAGTCCAGGAAGCAGAGGTTGCAGTGAACTGAGACTGTGCCCCTACACTTCACCCTGGGCAACAGAGTGAGACCCTGCCTCAAAAAAAGGAAAAAACAAACAAATAAAAATACATAAATGTTTGTTAGAATTCACCAGTGGAGCCATCTGGCCCAGGGATTTTCTTTCTTGAGAGGTTTATTATTACCATTTCTGTCTTCTTACTTGTTACAGTTATTGGTGTATTCTGACTTTCCATTTCTTTATGGTTCATTTTTGGCAGATTGTATGCTTCTAGGAATTTGTCCATTTTATGTAAGTTACCCTTTTTTTCTGGTGTGCAGATGTTCATAATATTCTATTACAATTATTTGTAGAATTGATAGGAATGTCGTCACTTTTATTTCTGAAATTACTAATTTGAGTCTTCTCTCTTTTTCCCTTAGTCAGCTTAACCAAATATGTGCCAATTTTATCTTTTCAGAAGACCTACTTTGGGTCACATTGGCTTTCTCTGTTATTTTCCTATTCTGTGTTTTATTTATCTTCACTTTAATCTTTATTCTTTCCTTCTGTCAGCTTTGGGTTTCATTTGCTTTTCTTTTTCTAGTTCCTTATAGTATTAAGTTAGGTTATTTTTATTGATTTTAAAAGCTTTTTTTCTTTTTAAAATGTAAGCATTTATAGCTATAAATTTCCTCCTTTGCACTGATTTTTCAGCATCCTACTAGGTTTGGTACATTGTATTTTCATTTTCATTTGTCTCAAAGTATTTTCTAATTTCCCAATGATTTTTTCTTTGACCCATAGTTTTAAGAGTTCATTGTCTAATTTCCACGTTTGTAATTTTCCAGTTTTCCCCTATTATTGTTTAGTAGTTTCATTCCATTGTGATTGGAAAAGATACTTTGTGTCATTTTGGTCTTTTAAAAGTTATTAAAACTTGTTTTGTGGCATAACATAATAAGTCTATTCTTGAGAATGTTCCATGTGTACTTGAGAAAAATGTGTATTTTGTTACTGGATAGAGTGCTCTCTCTCTCTTTATAATCTGTTAGGTCCAGTTGGTTTATAGTGTCGTTCATGTCCTCTGTTTTTTTATTAATCTTCTGTCTGGTTCTATTCATTACTGAAAATGGATTATTGAAATCTCCAACTATTTGTAGAACTATGTATTTCTTTCTTAAATTCTTTCAATGTTTGCTTCACATATCATGGGGCTTGTATATTTATATACCAAATGTACATATTTGACGCATATAAATTTATGATAATATATTTTTGGTGAATTAACTCTTTTATCAATATGTAATGTCTTTTTTGTCTGTTAACCATTTTTTTAACTTAAGGTCTGTTTTGTCTGATATTAGCCTACCCACCTCAGTGCTTTTTTTATTTACTATTTGCATGGAGTATTTTTTCCCATCTTTCACTTTTAACCATTTGTCTTTGGACTTGAAGTGAGTTCCTTATGGGCAGCATATAGTTGGATCATGGTGTTTTTGTTTGTTTTTTAAAATCCATTTTGTCAGTCTCTGTAGTTTGATTGGAGAGTTTAGTCCATTTATACTTAAAGTGTTAGTTTTTAGCTCCAGAATTTGTTTGGTTTCTTAATATAGTTTCTTTCTCTTTGTTGACATTCTCATTTTGGTCATATATAATTTTCCTAGTTTCCTTTAGTTCCTTTTCTGTGTTTTCCTTCAACTCTTTGAACATATTTAAGACAGTTTTTAATGTCTTTATCAAGTCCAATGTCTGGGCTTCTTGGATATGGTTTCTGTTCATTTATTTCATTCCTCCCAGCCGTGTTTTTCTGTTCCTTTGTATATCTTGTGGTTTCTTTATGGAAAATTGGCCGTTTAACTGTTATAATGTGGTGATTTTGGAAATTAGATTTTCTCTATTCTCCAGGGTTTGCTAGTGATATGGCTTTGATGAGTGGGGGAACACCAGGGTCTTCGTCTCGAGTCGAATTAGAAAAAAACTACAGGAACACACGTGGATCACATACCGAAAGGAAGGAGAACGCTTTTGTTCTCACTTCTCTTTCTAGATGGGTAACAGATCGTCTTCAACATGCACTCCCCTGGAGTGTATTTTAAAGCACTGGGACTCCTTCGACCCTAAAACTTTGAAGAAAAAGCAGTATTCTACTGCACAAGGGCATGGCCTTCCTATCCTCTTCGTAAACCTGGCCTGGGGAGACTTAATTTTAATATTATCCAACAGTTAGAACTTTTCTGCACACAGGAGGGCAAATGGACTGAGGTCCCCTATGTACAGGCTTTCTTTGCTCTGCGAGACAACCCAGACCTTTACAAGTTCTGTACAATCGACCCAGTTCTTTTAGTAGCCATGGCAGGCAAACCCACAGGGAGTAGTTCCCCAGAGCTAAAGCGGGCTCCAGAGGAGCAATCTAAGACAGCTACTGAAGTCCCAACCCTTCCGGTTCCACTCCAGTTGTACCATCAGCACCACCATCTCCAGTATGTCCTACTCTCCCCTCTTCACTCTTACCCCTCCAGGAAATGCCTGATGGGAATGGTGCCATAAGGGTTCAAGTTCCCTTCTCATTGCAGGACGTTAAGCAAACAAAGGGAGACTTAGGTCAATTTTCTGATGACCCTGATAGGTATATAGAAATTTTCTGAAATTTAACTCAGGTGTTTGATCTCACGTGGAGGGATGTTATGTTGCTGCTAAGTTAAACCCTCACTACAGCTGAAAAGCAGACAGTTCCGCAGGCAGCAGAAAAATATGGAGGTGAGCAACATGCCTCCATACAGCAGACCAAGGAAAAAAAGAGGAGAAAAGGAAGGTGAGGAAGAGGTGAAAACTTCACTCCTGCAAGGAAGGGAAGCAGTTCCGGTAAATAACCCTAACTGGGATCCCAATAACTCAGCAGATGAATGGAAAAGGAAGCACTTTTTAAGGTGTATATTAGAAGGCCTGCGAAAGACCACAGCTAAACCTCTCAATTACTCCAAACTGTCCATGATAGACCAAAAACCAGACAAGAATCCCACAGCTTTTATGGAAAGGCTGAGAGGGGCACTAATAAAGCACACTTCTCTATACCCCAATTTAGTTGAGGGACAGCTCATCCTGAAGGACAAGTTTATTACACAGGCAGCTCCCAATATTAGAAGAAAGCTACAGAAGCAAGCAGTAGAACCAGATAGCACCCTAGAAAGCCTCCTGAGAATAGCCACTTCAGTCTTTTACAAAAGGGATTGGGAGGAGGCCCGAGAAAAGGAGAGGAAGTACAAGAGAAAAACAGAGGCTCTAGTAGCAGCATTACAAGCTTGTAAAGTCCTGAATCCCCAAGGTGCATCCACTAGCTGTTATCAATGTGGTCAGTCAGGGCATTTTAAGAAGGAATGCCCAGGAAGCAAGACAAAGCCACCTTGACCCTGTCCAGCCTGTGGTGGAGACTACTGGAGACAGACCTGCTTTGGTCTTTTGTTCTGGGTTCAGAACTAGTCTCACAGATGGTCCAGCAGGACTGATGGGTCCCAGAGCTCAAACTCCATCCACTCAGACTGCCATTACAGCACAGGTGCCCCGGGCTTTCCTGCTAGACAAGAGCTGCGAAAAACCTTCCAAAGGACCCTTTTTTTTCCTCTCTATCTGCCTAAAATAATTTCTTAATAACTCCTACCACACTAGGTTCTCTCTCTCTCTCTCTCTCTCTCTCTGTGTGTGTGTGTGTGTGTGTGTGTGTGTGTGTAGGTGGGTGTTTTGAGATAGAGTCTTGCTCTGTCACCCAGGCTGGAGTGCAGTGGTGCCATCTCAGCTCATTGCAGCCCCTGCCTCCCGGGTTCAAACGATTCTCGCACCCTAGCCCCCCAAACGGTTGGGACCACAGGCGCACGCCACCACACCCGGCTAATTTTTGTATTTTTAGTAGAGACGGGGTTTCGCCATATTGGCCAGGCTGGTCTCGAACTCCTGGGCTCAAATGATCTGCCTGCCTTGGCCTCCCAAAGTGCTGGGATTACAGGCATGAGCCACTGTGCCTGGCCAGTTTGTTTTTTATTGCTGATGGCTGTAGTACAAATGACTGCAGTCCATTTGTTTTGAGACTTTTCCAAATTGTTTTTGCAAAGACTATTCCTTACTGTGAGTGATTACTGAAGTCTTGGTTCCTTTAGCTTGTATTCAGCTAATGTTTGGACAGAGATTTCCTTGAATGTGAGATGCTCCAATACATACCAAAAAAGCCTCAGAAAACAAAAAGAGAACCACCTCTCAGTCTTTGCAGATTTGCCCTCTGCTGGGGTACTCCTTTACCACTTAGCTAGGCTTGTTCTGAGTTTCAGGATGAAACTCACATGAGATGAGAGCTTAGGATCTTCTCAGGATTTTCCTTAGCATGCTTTTTTTGCCTGGGCTTCACACGGCTTTTTATATTCTCCTGTATACATGGCTGCTTTTGAATCATCTAATTTCCCAAAAAAGTCTCGCCCCACTTCTCCTCTGGGCCTAGATGGTCTATTGTATGTGTTGTGTCCATTAGTCCTCCCTACTCCCCCATCTTTTACCTCAGGTGTGTCAGTAGGTTTTGTAGTTAGCTTCCTTGTAGCCTTTATGAGCAGCACCAGCTGCTTTTCCTGCCTGTGTTCTGAATTATGTGAAACAGAGTTTAGGTTCTTGCCTTAGTCCTTCAGGTATCTCCCATACAAGATAGAATGAACATACACAGTATGGTCTTATTCTACCCTCTTGGGTTCAAGGTGTGGGGGAGTAGGAAGAGGAGGAACCAGTCTGCTACCTGCTCAAGACTTAAGACTGTCCTTGGCCGGGCGCGGTGGCTCACGCCTGTAATCCCAGCACTTTGGGAGGCCGAGGCGGGTGGATCATGAGGTCAGGAGATCGAGACCATCCTGGCTAACAAGGTGAAACCCCGTCTCTACTAAAAATACAAAAAATTAGCCGGGCGCGGTGGTGGGCGCCTGTAGTCCCAGCTACTCGGGAGGCTGAGGCAGGAGAATGGCGTGAACCCGGGAAGCGGAGCTTGCAGTGAGCCGAGATTGCGCCACTGCAGTCCGCAGTCCGGCCTGGGCGACAGAGCGAGACTCCGTCTCAAAAAAAAAAAAAAAAAAAAAAAGACTGTCCTTTTCTCTGGCAGGGGGTGGGACAAGAGCAAGTAAACTGCCATAACACTTTCCTACCATTTGGGATAGCTTTTACTTGATTGGATATTTGCTTGTTTTTTGCTATAAACCTAAATTTTCCAGAACTATTGCAGACCTGCTTCAGATAGCTTGTTACTTTTGATGTTTCTGTCGGTGAAGGAGAGCTTGGAGCTTCCTAGTCCACCAATTTGCTGACATCTGATAGTGACTTAAAATAAATTATGGCTCTGTGTGTGTGTGTGTGTGTGTGTGTGTGTGTGTATGTACCAAGAGGGGAGGATCACTTGAGGTCAGAAATTTTAGTCCAACCTGGCCAACATGGTGAAACCCCATCTCTACTACAAATACAAAAATTTTTATGTGTGTATATATATGTACACACACACAAACGTATCATAAAACTTATCATTTAACTGTTTCTTTTTTGTTTGAGACAGACTCTCCCTCTGTCACCTAGGCTGGAGTGCAGTGGCACGATCTCGGCTCACTGCAATCTCCACCTCCTGGGTTCAAGTGATTCTCCTGCCTCAGCCTTCTGAATAGCTGGGATTACAGGTGCCTGCCACCATGCCCAGCTAATTCTTGTATTTTTAGTAGAGACGGGGTTTCACCGTATTAGCCAGGCTGGTCTTGAACTCCTGACCTCAAGTGATCCTCCTGCCTTGGCCTCCCAAAGTGCTGGGATTACAGGCATGAGCCACCTAGCCCATTTAACTGATTCTAAATGTATAGTTCTGTGGCATTAATCATTCACGTTGTTGTGCGACCATCAGTGATGTTTAAATGGCAAATGATTTGGCTTCTTTTGCATTCTCTATTCTGTTTGACTTCCTGAGATGTTTTAAATTCATTCTTAAGGCATTTCTTCTTTTTAAGTTCCTTCTCAGCTTCCTTGGTACTATTCTGTCTTTCTTCTCTGTGTCCTCCTCCACCATTTTTGCTCTGTGTACCTCTTTTTTTTCTTTCCTTTTTTTTTTTTTTTGAGACAGAGTCTTGCTCTGTCACCAGGCTGGAGTGCAGTGGTGCTATGTCGGCTCACTGCAACCTCCGCCTCCCGGGTTCAAGCGATTCTCCTGTCTCAGCCTCCTGAGTAGCTGGGACTACAGGTGCGCATCCCCATACCCGGCTAATTTTTTGTATTTTAGTAAAGAAGGGGTTTCTCCATGTTGGTCAGGCTGGTCTCAAACTCCGACCTCAGGTGATCCACCAGCCTCGGCCTCCCAAAGTACTGGGATTTCAGGTGTGAGCCACCATGCCCAGCCTGCTCTGTGTACCTGTTAAATGTTAGTGTTTCCCAGTGTTCTATTCTTCAGTCTTTCTCTACTCTCCCTGTTTATTCTTGTTGGATGATTGCATATGTTCTCATGGATTTAAGTGTGCTCTCATGACTCCCAAATCTGTATTGTAGTCCCAATCTCTCTGTTAAACCCAAACTTATATTCAGCTGCCATCTAGTTATTCATGAAATGATATCCCAAAGGACCTCAGATGTAGTGTGTCTGAAATATTTATCATCTCTCCAAATTATATTATCTGCCTTGGTTAATGAAGTCACTGTCTACTCACATCAACTTGAAGATCATATAATCATTTTCAACCCTTCCTGTTCCTCTTTCAATTATTCATCAGATTCTTTTGCCTCTAATGCCCCATTCCTGTTTACCCAGTTTTTCAGTCTTTTATCCTTTTATGCTTGTATTACCACAGTATCCTCCTAGTTGCTTTCATCTCCACCTGTCTCTTCTACTTTTAATTTATCATCTTTATCATTGCCAGACTACTAAAATAAAAACCAGTTATGCCACTTTCTCCCCCGCAGAAATTCCTGTGGTTCCAAATTATCAGAAGGTAAATTCTTCTCCTGGTATGTTATACCTTTAACATTCTCTCCCTGATCATCACAGCTTTGACTCCTTCTCCTTCATCTCCTTCTCACCTTTCCCAGTCCAGAACATTCTATCCTCATTCTCTGAATTCTCGTTGCTTTTCACCTCTAGATTGCCTTGCCCCACTTCTGTCTTATTCCTTCATAATTCTATTCTTCAAGGTTCAGCTCAAATTTCATCTTCTCTGTGAAGCCCCAAATAGCCTTTTCTCTATTTATGTAGTACCTACTTATAACACTTGATATCCTGTATTTACTTTTTCTACCTACTAACTAACTTCTGAACTCTGAGAGACAGGAAGTATTTTTTTTCTGCTTTCCTGCAGAAGAGGAGGCAGATTTAGAAATAAATAATTACAGTATAACAGCTAAATACATAATTTCTGTAATAGCACAAAGGAGGTTATGTAACATTTCCCCTCAGGGCACTGGGGAAGGCAGCACAAAGTAAGGGACATTTGAGGCAGTCTTAATGTAAGAATGTTCACATTCCAGCGGGAGAATAGAGCAGGTGCAAAGGCCCCATAGGGTAGAGTGAGCCTGGCTTATTTGGGAAATGGCTGGTAGCACACTGTGGCCTAAGCCCAGCTATGTATGTGTAGAGAAACAGGCTGGACAAAGGTATGATTGGAGACTGATTGGGAAGAGCCATTGTTTGTTGTACTAGATAATTTGGAACATTATTTACTTATTTATTGACTATAAATGTCCTGGGCAGCATTGACATGGGTATAGTAATGTCACACCAGTTAAACAGATTTTAACTGTATTTAATATCAGGTTGTTAAAATTCCCTAAGGAAATTCTGTTTTCATTTTCATAGCTGTGCTTAATTTTGATGAATTATTTCTTTATCAAGTGAAGAGAGATTGACAGACTGATTGATTTTTAGAGACAGGGTCCCACTCTGTCACCAGGGCTGTAGTGCAGTGGCAAAATCATAGATTACTGTAGCCTTGAGCTCCTGGGCTCAAGCGATCTTCCTGCCTCAGCCTCTCAAGTAGCTGGGACTGCAAGCATGCGGCACCACGCCCAGCTATTTTTTTTACTTTTATTTTTGTAGAGATAGGGTCTTGCTATGTTGTCTAGGCTGGTCTTGAACTCCTGGTTTCAAGTGATCCTCCTGTCTCGATCTCCCAAAGTGCTGGGATTGCAGTTGTGAGCCACAGCATCTGGCCTAAGGGACTTAGTTAAAACAACATTCTACTACATATACCAAAAACATTTTCTTTAAATGGTATATCCTCTCTTACCAAAGTTGGTCAGCAGTCTTTAGTACCAGTGGTCAGCCCATTTTAGAAGTAGTTTGATTTTCAGAAGCCCCAGTTTTGCTGCCATAGTTTTCAATGGATTTTGAGGGTGGGGTGGTGTTTCTCCAAAAATATGTCTGTTAGGTTTAGAATAATAACCATTTAGGTTTTGAAAATTTACCTAAAAATGAATGTTTCTTATAATAGTGTAACTGTCCTTTCCTAGTGCCATTAAATTCTCATACCTTATAATGTGTTACTTTTAATGGATTTAATCCTAAATGATGTTTTACACCTGACTCATATTTGTTAATTCAGATTTATCCAGAAAACTAAAGTTTGTAGTAGTGTTGAATAATTTTCTTTTGCTTCTGCTTTCACTTGAACTCTGTTGTGGCATAACACAATGGACCTCTACCTCCTCTTCCCCCTGCTCCCCCTGCCATATCAGTGCTTCTCAGGAAATGTGAAGTGTTTTTACTTTAGAGATCACTGTAAAATGTTATACTTTTAATTGATTATGCCTGCCTTTGTGTGTATATGTGAAAATACTTCTCTTATGTAACTACCTTCTTTTAAAATGTAACTGCTACAACTGGTCTACTACCCTTGTTCAACTATTAGTAGCAAAGAATTTAATTACTGTAATTTTTTGACATTGATTGGCCCCTCTGTTACATATTTTCTCCTCCACTTTTGTTTTTTTTTTTTTTTTTTTTTTTTTTTTTTTTTTTTGGAGACGGAGTCTCTTTCACCCAGGCTGGAGGCATGATTTTGGCTCACCGCAACCTCTGCCTCCCGGGTTCAAGCGATTGTCCTGTCTCAACCTCCCGAGTAGCTGGGATTACAGGTACCCACCACCACCATGCCTGACTAATTTTTATATTTTTAGTAGAGATGGGGTTTCACCATTTTGGCCAGGCTGGTCTCTAACTCCTGATCTCAGGCAGTACGCCTGCCTCGGCCTCCCAAAGTGCTGAGATTACAGGAGTGAACCACCGTGCCTGGCCTCCTCTACATTTTTAAATTGATGATTAAGCTATATGATGGACATGTTGTGAAAGTAGAAGGTAGTTTTGCTCATGCCTAAATCATAAAATTAAGTGAAGGATCAGTGGAAGTATATCCTTTGATTATCATTCCTCGTGAATTGTTTTTGCACTTGGATGAATGTTATGTTAACATTCCGAGTCCTGGTACTAGAATTTGGACTTTTAGGAAGTGTGGAAGTCTTATCTGCATTATTTTATGGAACTTCAGAGTATTGAATAAAAGCTAAGGTTCCTGCCTCATTTATAGTTGGACATACACATTCCTTGCATTGTGCAGCTTTTCCACTGCATTAAAATGGAAGCCTGCATCCCTCTCTCCCACCCCAGTGTCTTGACTCCCCTTAGAAACCTCAGTTGGTATATGCTTTGGTTAAGTTAGAAGAATACATTCTTGCCAACTTTATTTCCCTAATAAAGGCACACAAGTTTTGCTTATGGGTGATGCTGAAAAGTAATAGACTATCCCATGGTATTGTAGAATTAAAGTGTGTGGTACCAGGTCCAAACACTTAGTGACTATATGTAATTAGTGGAGGCAGCTCATTTTTCATTAACAAACACATGATCAAATACTTGGTCACGCAAAACTCAGATGCCCATGTGTAACAACAACAAAAGTACTTTGGATTACTGCATTGGGGAAGGGTTTAACATCATGACCTAAGATTTACTTTTAAGGTTTTATGACCACGTGACTAAAATGTCTGTTTTCTGTGTAGGTCATTCCTGTTAATAGGGAGACTAACATTCAGAGCTTTCAAATGTCAGTAACAGAAATAAAAGAGAGAGAAGTGAGACTATTAAGGTCCAGACACTTCACATGTTAACTCATTTAATTCTCACAAATCTGTTATGTGTTGTAATCATTATCCCTCATTTTACAAAAAAGAAAACTGAGGCTCAGAAAGGTTATGTGACTTGTTCTCCCAACGGTATCATGTAAATATACTATTTTTTTCTTTAAAATGCTTTTGCCTGGTTCTTTATTTTTTTAATGTTTTGACCTGTCTGGAACTGATTACATTATTAAGCATCACGCAAAAACCATTCTTTTCCATAGTGCTATTCAATTATACAAACAACATTTACTAAAGAGTGAGACTTTATAGTGAAGATTGCTTAGGATTATCTGAAGTTCTTCCAGTTCCTGCCATGCAGCAGGATATAGTCTGAATAGATGCTTTCCCACTTCAACACTGCTTGGTATACCTTCACACTGCCATGCACTTGCTTAGATAATATTTAAATATCCACTTAAAAGCAAAAGTTCGGCCAGGCGTGGTGGCTCACACCTGTAATCCCAGCACTTTGGGACTCTGAGACAGGAGCAATTGCTTGAGGTCTGGAGTTCAAGACCAGCCTGGGCAATATGGTGAAACTCTGTCTATAAAAAGACGAAATTTAGCCAGGTGTGGTAGCGTGAGCCTGTAGTCCCCGCTACTCAAGAGGCTGAGGCAGGAAGATGGCTTGAGCCCAGGAGGTGGAGGTTGCATTGAGCCAACATTGCACCACTGCACTCCAGCCTGGCCAACAGAGCAAGACCCTCAAAAAAAAAAAAAAAAAAAGCAGAAAAAATGCAAAAGCTCAGGTGTGTCCTTTACTGCTAGCTTTCCCTAGAAAGTGCCTCAAAGAAAGAAAGAAGACCCATGACAATCTAATACATTTTTATAATTAAAAATGTATATAGCTTGCATTTGTGATTATGCAGTATTTATTTTATATTAAACCTCACATTTTATTATTATTTAGCTGTTACCTTATAAAATATTTATAGTAACAAATGTAGGTTTTTGATGTCTAAGATAAAGATAAATGCAGTAGTAAGGAGAAGTAATGCAAAATAAAATTTCATGTCCTTATGAGGGGAAAAGTGCATGGATTGAAATCACTTGCAGCCAATCTGTGGTAATTTTCTTGCCCCTGGGCCTGGCAGACTTAGAAGGTAAAAAGAACTGCATATGAAATGAAAACCACTTTTCTCCCAGTACTCATCTAACCTTGTAGAGGGTGTTAAATGTACACAAGATGTGTTAGGGGAAATTAAATATTAAAGCGTATATTTTATTCTTTCATAAAAAAGGAGACTGTATAATGTGATCCAAAAAACTAACCATTGTTTGTTTGTTTCTTTAGGATGGATTGGATGCTTTGGTATATGATTTGGATTTTCCTGCCTTAAGAAAAAACAAAAATATTGACAACTTTTTAAGCAGATGTAAGTAATTTTTTGTGGAGGTTAATGACAGACTTCATATAACTACATTTTCACTTATGTCATTCAAGCCCTTATTTTTTCTTCTATTTACTTTTTGGTGATTTCATCAATGATTTCTACATAGAATTTAGTAGGAAGTGTGAAAGAAACAATTTGGATGCCTGTTAGGAGAACCAAAATATTTTGAAGAGAAAGGGATGAAAAATAGTTAAAATAAGTATTCAAAAAACTGTGCATTGAGTTTGAATAACTGCACATTGAGTTTGAGTAACTGCTGAGACATGAGAATTTTTCTCCATGAAAGCTGTTTTATATTTAAATTTTACAGATATTCTTTTCCGAAGGCTCCTTTTTAGATTGGATTTTATCATTTAAAAATTTGATTAAATAACTTATAATTTCAAACTTTTAATCTTAAAGAATTGATAAGATTTAGATCATAAAGTCCTCCTTACTTTATTTATTTCTGTTTCTGAACTATAAATATTGATACATGTAAGTTTGATTGGTTTTGGTGTTATCTTTCAATTTTGGTTATATATGTTTTATTACAAAGGTTTTGTTTTTCTAAATAGTCATATCTTTTTGATTTTTTAAATCACTTCTATACTTTGAAATCTTGTATTAGAATTTTTTAATTTTATGATCTTTTAGTTTTTCAATTTTTAAAAAATTATTGTTTTATTTTCGTTTTTGAATATGGTGCCAGATTCTGAACTGAGAAGTTTTTAAGTATAAAAGTTTTAATTATTTCTCATGTCCTATGGACATAGCAGTAAAATTTTATTAATATTTACAGTTGCTTACCTCCCTACCTGACAACATAGTGAAGGAACTAAAAAGATGGAGAGGCTTGACTATTTATCTTAATGGTAACTGGCATTTATAGAGATGGTGTAGATAAGGGGTAAATGCTCCTTAGTACAAAGGCAGAGGGTGGGGCATGGTTTTTTTTAAAGTAATGGCTAGCAAGAATGAAATTCATGCTTCCTTAAACTGTGCTACTTTGTTGCTTTCATAATGTTAAGTATGCTTGTATATTTTATAAATAGAGACATTAATGCTTTAGTAGAAATAAGTGAAATAAAAGTGTAAATCTAAAGTAAACTGTTTTAACTGGTAAACCTGTACAATTTATTTTAATTTTTAAATTGGAGAAAAATGCAGAGAATAATATAACAAAATTTTAGGGCAGTCATATGTAGCAGTAGGTAAAAATCATGACCAAGGATAGTTTATGCCAGGATTACTAAGTTAGTATAAAATTCAAAAATCAGTTAGCTTAATTTACCACATTAACATATTTTAAAAAGGAAATTTAGTAGATGCAGAAAAAGCATTTGATAAAATTTAATATCCATTCACAATTTTAAAATATCTGTCTGCAAACTAGGAAGTGAAGGAAGCTTCCTTTCCCCAATAAAGGGAATCTACAAGAAACCTACAGTTTAGATTGTATCTACTTGTTTAAGACGAATGCTTTTCCCCTAAGATTGGAAAAGGCAAATCTGTCCTCTCTTACCACTTTTATTTAACATTGTCTTAGAAGTTCTAGCCAGTGCCATCAGGTAAAATAAAGAAAAGCCGTACAGATTGAAAAGGAAGAAGTAAAACTTTCCCAATTTAGACAGCATGATTTTCCATATAGAAAATCCTCAAGATTCTGCAAAAAAGCTACATGAACTAATAAGTACATTCAGCAAGGTTGAAAGTTAGAAGATTAATATCCAAAAAGCAGTTGCACATACATTTATTAACAACAAGCAATTGGGAATTAATTTATTATAACAAATACAGCACCATTTACAATAGAAGCAAAAACATGAAAAATTTAGGAGTAAATTTGACAAAATATGTGTAAACCTGTTTACTGAAAACTATACAGCATTGTAGACAGAAATTAAGGAAGACCTAACAAGATATTCAATGTTCATGGATTGTACAATTCAATATTAAAATGTTAACAGTCCCCAAATTAATTGATCTATAGAGTCCGTATATTCTCAGAACCTTAGCAGACAGTTTTTTGTATAAGGTGACCAGCAATTCTGTAATTCATATGGAAATGTAAAGGACCTGGAACAGCCAAAACAGTTTCGAAAAGTAAGAGCAAGTTGGAGGATTAAGGTCAATATCAAGACAGTATAGTCTTGATGAAAGAATAAACACATAGTTCAGTGGAACAGAAAAGAGCATCTAGAAATAGACCTGTGCATGCAAGTATATGGTTAATTGATTTCAACAAAGGTGACAGGATAATTCAATGTTCAAGCCTCAGTTTCCACTGTATACAAAAATTAACTCAAAATAGATCATCAACGTAAATGTAAGAGCTAAAACAATAACACTTCTAGAAGAAAACATAGAACATATTTGCCACTTTCCTTAGGCAAGTTTTTCTTAGATAGGACACAAATAACACAAACCATTTTTGAAAAAGGATAAATTAGACTTATCGAAATTTAAAATAGTTCTCTTCAGAAGACACTGTTCAGAAAATGAAAAGATAAGCCAAAGGCTGGGAAAAAATAGTTGCAAAGCATGTAAAAGAAGAAAGAATAGTCCTTTCAACCAGTGGTGTTCAGACAACTGGATATCCGTACGCAAGGGAATGAATTTGGACTCCTACCTCATATCATGTACAAAAATTAACCGAAAATATAAAAGTTAAAAATGTAAAACTCTTAGGAGAAAACATAGGTTGAAATCTTCATGACCTCGGACTAAGCAGTGGTTTCTTAGACGTAATACCAAAAGCACAAGCAACAAAAGAAAAATAGATAAACTGGACATCATCAAAATAAAAAACTTTTATTTATGCTTCAAAGATACTATCAAGAGTGAAGGCCAGGCATGGTGGCTCACGCCTGTAATCCCAGCACTTTGGGAGGCTGAGGCGGGCAGATCAGTTCTGTCCAGGAGTTCCAGACCAGCCTGGCCAACATGGCGAAACCCCATCTCTACTAAAAATGCAAAAATTAGCAGACATGTTGGCAGACACCTGTAATCCCAGCTACTTCAGAGGCTGAGGCAAGGAGAATTGCTTGAACCCAGGAGGTGGAGGTTGCAGTGAGCCAAGATTGCACCACTGCACTCCAGCCTGGGCGACAGAGCAAGACTTTGTCTCAAAAAAAAAAAAAAAAAAAAAGAGTGAAAAGACAACTTACAAAATAGGAAAACATTAGCAAATCATATGTCCAATAAAGGACTGGTATCTAGAATATATAAACAAGTGTAACAACTCAATAATAATAAGACAAATAGTTCAGTTTAAAAGTAGGAAAAATATTTGAATAGACATTTCTCCAAAGAAGATGTAAAAATGGCCAGTAAACATGTGCAGAACTGTTCATGGTGGTTAGTCATTAGGAAGTTGCAAATTATGGCCACAATAAGATACTAGTACACCTCTATTAGAATGATTAAAACTTTCTAAACTGACAATATCAAGTATTTATGAAAATGCATTGCAGCTGGAACCCTGTACATTGCTGACTGGTAAATGGTAAGGCACTTTGGAAAACAGTTTGGTTGTTTCTTATAAAGTTATACATGCACTTTACTATATGACCCCAGGAATTCTGCTCCTAGATATTTACTGAAAAGAAATGAAAGCATATGTCTGCACAAAGAGCTGTATTAAAATGTTTAAGGCAACTTTATGTTTGCTGAAAACTGGAAGCAACTCAAGTGCCCGTCAGCTGATCAATGGATAAATTGTGGTACAACCACATAGTGGGATATTACTGAATAATAAAAAGTAATGAATTACTGCTATGTGCAATATCCAGCAATCTCAGAAGCATTCTGTTAAGTGAAAAAAGCCAGACACAAAAAGGCTACATACTGCATGATTCCATTTGTAGGACATGCTGGAAATGCAAAACTTTGAGCTAGAAATCCTATGGTTGAGGTAAAACTTCAGGAGTTAGAAAAGGGTATGAAGAAACCTTGGAATTCTGTAACCTCTTTGTGGTGATGATTACATGAGTATATGTGTTAGTCAGAAATGCATTGAAATCTATATACAAAAAGCATCATTTACTCTATGTTTATTAGTTATATTAACAAACTCAACCTTAAAAAACATGAAGTTTAATGCTCATTTAGTAATCAGCCTAATTCTAAACCAATATGTTACTTCAAGAAAAAAAATTACTTCTATGTAAGTTAATTTTTTAAGGAAAACAATGTATGTGGCTACCATGAAATCATAATAAAATTTAAAGACATGAACAAAAACAAGGTGAATAAACATGTTATAAGTGTAAATAAACATAACAAACTTATTTTTTCAATATAATTAGAACATTCTCCTTCAATTACTGGCATTGTGTTTTTATGTTTCACACAGAGCAATAGATTTGTATAGGATAGCATTTTACATACCGCTGAAATTCTTTTATATAGATTTAGCTTTCATCAGCAAGCACATCAAAATTATTTTATTAAAGGTAAATTTTTGTTTTGTTTCTAATTGCTTTTTGCTGACATATATCAGATGTAGTGATCTAAGAATATACCTGGAATATGGGATAAAATATTTTTCTTTAAAAAATTCAGCTTAAGTCATATTAAATTAAGCCTCAAATATAATTTTTAATCATCAGGTTTAATTATATTGCAACCTGTTAATTTTTATCTCTTTGTGTTAAGAAGTGTGTGGAAACAAAAGGGAAAGGAGAATCTGTGAACATTTGACTGAATAGTGAAATATAAAGATTTACTTTTCTGGGCTCTGGTGTATGATACCTAAATAATAAGGCTGCAAAGAAGATGTTTATCAGCCTCACATACCTGATAAGGAAAGATTTCAGGTGACATTTTCATAGGAGTTAGAGAGATGATACCAAGATAAAATTAAGCGATTGTTGTGGGAGTTAGTCACAGTTTTGAAGACACATGTTGGGAGCCAGAACATTGGGAGGATGAAGGGAGAGAAAATTTGGGAACAGTGATTATGATTGTATATGCTTATAAACCATTATGGATGTCACAGAGACTTTAGGGTACAAGATTCATAATTATATGTTAATAGAAAAACATGTTTATCAAACAAATCTTAGTCTAAAAGAAGATAATGGAGAAGGTAAGACCATTGAATGAAGAAAATTCATGAACCTCCGGGTATAAATGCAAGAGAGCTCATTTGTTTGGCTTAAAAAAAAAACAGAACTGATATTTTATGTCATATACTATATCTTTTATAATATAGATTACAAAAGTGACATAATAGCTATGGTAGTGATAAAAGCATACAGTACAGTTGGTAAATTTTTGGTTGCTTTGGCACTAGTACAATTACTGAGAAAGTAATGCGAATAATCACTATTCAGAGTTAGTGATCAAAAGCGATGATCATTTAGAATGTTACACAGACCTTGAGACAAAGCATTCAGTTCACTTTAGACCAGGGTTTCTCAAGTGGCACCAATGACATTTTAGGTCAGATAACTCTTTGCTGGGAGGCTGTTCTTTGCATCGTATGATGTTTAGCAGCACCCCTGGCCTCTGCCTTCTTAATGCCAGTAGCATATCCTAACACCTATCCCCAGTTGTGATCACCAGAAATATTTCTAGACATTGCCAAATATCCCTTGAGAGGCAAAACTGCCTAAGACTTTATGTTGATGAAGGAAAGAAATAGTGGGCGCAGTTAGACACGTGCTCCAAGCTTAGAAAATGTAATCAAAAGCAATAAATATTAGAAGGTTGCAGCCATAGAAAGCAAGGTTCTTCCACAGGGAGTTCTCAGCTGAGATTATAAAGTTTTATGAACCAGATCAGAAGTATGAATACATATCCAGGGATAAATACAAAAGAGTAGTATAAATCTATTAAAAATGTGTTAGGCTAGAAGACTATAATGAGCCACAACTTGTGAAAAGCTCTTAAGCCCTTTACAAGTCATTCTCTCTTCTACTCCCATCCTTCCTGGTTAGAATTAGGATTCAAGATGTGTGAGAAAAGGATAATTTCACTACATGAGACCATTCTTGAAATAGTTTTTGAATGACCAGTTACTAAAGACATGAAGAACAAGACTGTTTTTCTTAGAAACTGTAGCTCTTACCATCTCATGGATGGAAACACACACAGATATACCTTATAATAGTAGAAGTTTGTAGAGAATGTAATGATACACAGATCTTGAATGGGGTAAAGAAAGGCTTCCAAAAGAAAGTAATATTTGAGTCTTAAAACATGGGCTAGATTTTTCAATGGAGGAAGGACAGTTCTGAGAGGGAGGACCATTTAAATCACAGAGTCTTCCAAAAGTATGACATCTTTGAGGAACCAGGAGTTTGGTGTAAATTGAACTTGGTTTATAATGAGAGAGAAAGGGTCGGGAGGACGGACTGCAGGGGATGAGACTGAAATGGCAGGCTGGGGCTTTTGGGTTAATGGGTTGGATATTAAAAAAAATTACTTAGTTGCTTGTTTTTTCTTTTCAAATTCTCATGAGTTTTAAAAACTTAGATAAAGAAATTGAAGTAAGTTCAAGGAAGAGGAGAAAGTTTGAGTGTTTTAAATACCTCTAAATCAAGGCAGTTTACACCTATTGAATTAACATGCTGAGGTGATTGAAGATCTTTAGAGAAACTTTGGAGAATGATGGAGTTCCCAAAAAACTAAAGATAGGTAAATGGTCTGGTTATAATAAACCAAAGAAAAGACTGATAAGTGCAGATTTCTGAACAGTGGCAGTCTTCATACAGAGGCTTGACTTTCCCTCTTTTTCCAACACAACTATTGTTTAAGCTTCTTCATTTTCATTTAAATGATCACAAAAATCTTCCATTCAGTCTCAATAATACATCTACTTTTGCCTATGTACAGTTACCTACGTTGCTGCCAGAGGATTCTTTTTGAATAGTAAATTTAAGTCAAATTCCATTCCCAGCTTTTTGGTGGATTTTCTAAACTTGATGCTATCTAAGCTTCTAAATTACATTCTTAACTGTACACCTCTCCTCCTTGTTTCCTTACACATCAGCTACACGCTGACATTTATTTCCTGGAAAGTACCATGACACCTCCATAAGACTTTTCAGATGTTGTTTTTCTCTTTCTAGAATTCTTTCCAACCCACCCAACTCAAAGCAGTCATCCTTTAAATTTCAAATAAGCCTTCATTTTTGTTCCCTAACCTCTTGGTTATCTAGGCTTCATGGATCTGACCTTCTGAGCATGTACTTCTATGGCATCTTGTATACTTATCACAGGTTATATTTATTTGTATGACTATTTAATTGGTACCTGCTGTGGTTTGAATGCCCCCACCAAAACTCATTAAAGTTTAATTGCCAGTGCTAGTAGGTGGGGACGTTAAGAAGTGATTAGGTCATGTGGGTTCCACCCCCATGAATGGATTAATGCTGTTATTGTGGGAAGGGGTTATAAAAGTGAGCTCTTGTGCATGTATGCTCTTACTCTTCCACTTGTCTACCATTGAATGACCCTTGCCAGATGCCCTTTTTTCTTTTATAAATTACCCATTCTGTGGTATTCTGTTATAGCAGCAAAAAACAGACTAAGACAGTATCCATTCTCCTTTTTCTCCTTCTCCTGTCACTAGATTTTAAGTGCCATGAGAGCAGGGGCATTTATGTTTTTACTGCCAAACCTGACAGCATAGTAAGTACTTGTTATATATGAGCTCAGTGCATTAGACGTTGGATACTGACTTGTTAGAGATGATCTAGAAAGTCCAGGTGGTCTCTGACTTTAAAATTTCCAGCTTTATGAGGGTTTCATTGGAACATAACTCCATCATAAATCTAGGCACATCACTGGTGATGTTAACGCTTATCATTTGGTTTAAGGTAGTGTCTGGCAAGCTTCTCCACTAGTAAGTTACCATTTTCTTTTTCCAAACGCTGTGGAGGGGAGCGTATTCCCTTTCCATACTCTCCTGGAGGGGAGACTTTACACGTATTATTTGGAATTCTGTAGGGAAGATTTGCCTTTTCTCCCCCATTTATTAATTTAGTCATTGATTTATATAATATAAACTGCATATATTTATTTCATACTTTGGGTTGTAATCCAGTAGTGTGTTATTTATTAGGTTGGTGCAAAAGTAATTGCAGTTTTTGCCACTATTTTTAGCAAAAATCTCAATTGCTTTTGCACCAACCTAATACTTTGTTACTTAAATTGTTCTCATTTTTGCCTTTTGGGAGCTCCTTCAGGTTGGACCCAGCTCCTACTCCTGTGTTCTTTGACATGTTCTTACTTTTTTTAAAAAAAGGAACACTTCTTTACTTTCTGGCATTACACGATGCTCCAGGCTCATCTTATATTTTCCCTCAGCCCTGAAATCAGCCATTTTTTCCAAGGAGCTCTGGTTCCTTTTATTGGAGAATGATATTTAGAAACCAAGATCTGGGTGCTAGGTGTGCTTATTGCTACTGGTGATCACTGTTTCAAGGCCCTCTCAGCTGCCATAGCTAGGAAATATATGTATGCATGTATACCAGCCTGTGACTATACACATAACTATAATTCTATACCTGTACACATGTTAAACGTGTTTAGACTGATATTACCAGCTCTAAACTAGTATCACAAGATTCATTCTAGCTTTTGCCCTTGCCTGTTTGTAACTTTTTTTCTCTGATGATGAGAAACCTGGCTCCCATTATTGGTATTTACTTACTCAACCCTAATATTCATGTAAAATAAACCATACACCCTGTGAGAAATGGATTTACCAACTGGAACACAATATCTTTGTACAGTTCCTTTTTTGTCTTTAGCCTTAGTTTCCAGCTAAAACAGTTTTCCAGCATTACGTAGTTCAGCTTCTTTTCCCTCACCACCTTCAATGAGGGCATGTCATCTTGTTAGTCATACATTTAGATTCATTTGTTAGAATCTGGATTCCATCCTGAGATCCCCCAGAATCCCAATTGATTTTTTAAATTTGCATAAAGTGTGTATAGTTCTGTGGGTCTTAACAAACACATAGTCTTGTCTGCAACACCCCAATACCATTCGGAACAGTTCCATCACCCCCACTCCTGGGAAACACTGATCTCTTTTTCTGTTCCTATAGTTTTACCTTTTCCAGAATGTCATTAAATGGAATCATACAGTGTATAGCCTTTTGATTCTGTCTTTTTTTCACTTAGCAAAAATGCATTTAAGGCTGGGCACAGTGGCTCTTGCCTGTAAGCCCAGCACCTTGGGAGGCTGAAGCGGGCAGATCACCTGAGATCAGGAGTTCAAGACCAGCCTGGCCAACATGACAAAACCCCGTCTGTATTAAAAAATACGAAAATTAGCCGGGTATGGTGGCAGGTGCCTATAATTCCAGCTACTTGGGAGGCTGAGGCAGGAGAATCAATTAAACCTGGGAAGTGGAGGTTGCAGTGAGCCAAGATTGCGCCATTGCACTCCAGCCTGGGTGACAGAGCAAGACTCTGCCTTGAAAAAAAAAAAAAAATAAAAGCATTTAAGATTCCTTCATGTTGTCCATGTTGTGTGAAGTAGTTGCTTTTTCCTTTTTTCCCCTAAATTGCAGAGCAACCTTCTATTGAATGGATATACCTTGGTTTGTTTGTTCATTCCTCTGTTGAAGAACATATTCGTTATTTCCTGTTTGGGGCAATTATGAATAAAGCTGCCGTAAATATTCGTGTACAAGTTTTTGCATGAATTTAGGTTTTTTTTTTTTTTTTTTTTTTGAGATGGAGTTTCGCTCTTCTCGCCCAGGCTGGAGTGCAATGGCACAATCTCAGCTCATGGCAACCTCCACCTCCCAGGTTCAAGCAGTTCTCCTGCCTCAGCCTCCCTAGTAGATGGGATTACAGGCATGCGCCACAATGCCCGGCTAATTTTGTATTTTTAGTAGAGACAGGGTTTCTCCATGTTGGTCAGGCTGATCTTAAATTCCCGACCTCAGGTGCTCTGTCTGCCTCGGCCTCCCAAAGTGCTGGAATTACAGGCGTGAGCCACCGTGCCGGCCATGAATTTAGTTTGAAATTCACTTGGGCAGATATGTAAATACACAGATGTAGCATTGCTAGGTTGTTTGCTAAGAACAGGTTTAACTTCTTAAGAAACTGCCAAACTGTCTTCCAAAGTGGCTATACCATTTTATTATACATTCCCACCAACAATGAATGAGAGTTTCTGTTGTTGTGCATCCTTGCCGCATTTGCTACTGTCAATTTTCATTTGCATAATGTCTTTCATAGAGCAAAAATTTTAATTTTGATGAAATCTAACTTATATTTCTGCATTGATTGTGCTTTTTGTGTCATATAAAAATCATTGCCAAACTCAAGATTGATTTTTTAAAGCAACTTTATTAAGTTATCATTTACATGCTATAAAATTCACCCGTTTGAAGTATACAATTCAGTGAGCTTTTTGGGTGTATGTGTATTTTCAGAGTTGTGCAACCATTACCACAGTTGCTTTTACAACATTTTCATCACTTCGTAAGGTAACCTCATACCCATTAACAGTCAGTCTCCATTTCTCTCCAGGCTTCCAGCCCTAGACAACCACTAATCTATTTTCTGTCTCTATAGATTTGCCGACTCTATAGAGACATTTCCTATAGAAGGAATCATCAATAAAATGGTCTTTTGTGACTGCCTTCTTTGGCTTAGCATGTTTTCATTGTTCATAGTGTTATACCATGTGTCAGTATTTCATTTTTAATTGCCAGTAATATTCCATTGTATGGATATACCACATTTTGTTTATCTGCTTATCAGCTGATGGACATTTGTATTGATTCTCTTTTGGCTTTTATGAATAATGCTGCTATGAACATTTGTGTAGAAGTTTTTGTGTAGACATATGTTTTTATTGTTCTTGCGTAGATACCTAGAAGTGGAATTGGTGGGTCATATGGTAATTCTATATTTAACATTTTGAGAAACTCAAGATGGATTTTTAAATATATACTTTTATTACTTTGGAGTAAATATATATGGCTTTTCTGTTGTTCCTGAATAGATAAATGCAGCATGTGTTTATCTCCATTTGTATATAATGTCATTAAGTGTTTTTAATATTTCAGTAGCATCGAGCACAAGTATAATCTCTATCCTTAAGGATTGTGGGGACATACAACGTAATAGAAGAAACAGACCTATAGAAACAATTCCAGTTCAGATTGTTAGGTGAAATATAGGGAAATAATGTCCCAGAGAAGGGAGTCATACCTTGTGCTTGAGAGGGAATCAGGAATGTCTAAAGAGGAGATAAAAGATTAGATCTTGTTTAATAGTAACTTGGTCAGATAAGGTGGTGGGGGAAGTCATTTTAGGCTAGTGATAACATCTGGAAAGGCACAGAGAGATGAAGCAGTATGGGCTTATATAGATAATTGCAAATAACTAGGCATTGCTAGAGCATGGTTGTGGGGAGTATCTTATCTAGAACTATAAGACTGGACAGTCACTAATGATATATATATATTTTTTTGCCATGTTGAGGAGTTTGAATTTAGGAGTCTGGATTTTTTATATTTATTTTTTGTTGATCTGTTTATCAAACTGGATTACTCTGTGTGTATGTGGGTGGGTGGATGCGTGCCTATGTGCCTATGCAGTCAAAATGTAGCACATCTTCCTAGAGTGTGATTTTATTTGAACATTTGGACATGAAATAATTTTCTTAATTAAAACAGTGCTGGTTGCAGTGGCTCACATCTGTAATCTCAGCACTTTCGGAGGCCGAGGCAGGTAGATCACTTGAGCCCAGGAGTTCGAGATCGGCCTGGGCAACATGGCAAAACTGTGTCTCTGCAAAAATACAAAAATTAGTTGTGCATGGTGTTGTGTGCCTATAGTCCCGGCTACTTGGGAGGCTGCGGTGGGAGAATCGCTTGAACTCCGAGGTGGAGGTTGCAGTGAGCTGAGATTGCATGACAGCGTGAGACCCTGTCTCAAGGAAAAAGAAAAGAAAAATCAGATTTTTATGGAATTGAATATAACATTCTTGTGAATTTTTCAAATAAGTTTAATTTTTGAGCTTTTTAGGGCTGCTTTCACTACTCTAAAAGTATGCAATGTATACTGGGCTTTTTTAGGCAGAGTAGCAGTATTCTGGTCAAACAGTACAAGGTACATAATGTTTATTATGATATTTTACCTATTGTGACATTTAAAAAAACTTTGAACATTTTTGAAATTAGAATGTATCTTAGAATCTCTAGTGGTACATAAAGTAATGGTACGTTTTATAATCTAGGATCTTAGGGTAGGCAAAATACATCTTTTGTTTTTTTCATTAGAAAAGCAACAAAGGGTCATTATAAAAAACTTAAAATATATAGAAAATGTGGCAGAATAATCTGTAGTCTCACCAAACTCAGAGATGACTGCAGTTATTGTTTTGGCATATTTTCTTCTGGCCTTTAAAAAAATCCATATCTGTGTATCAGTATATAATTATGTTTTTAGAAAATCAAGTTCATATACTGTATACAGTTTGTTCTATTTCTTTGCACAACATTATATGCTGAACATAATTCTATGTAATTAAATATTCAACACAATTTTAAATGTTACCTAATACTCTATGTATATGAAATTATTTGCTCTTTAAAATTGTAAAAACTACTTTATTGTAGATATCTTGGTCCCACATTGTATCTCATTTCCTTAGGATAAATTCCTAGAAGTAAAATTTACTGGGTATAAAGTTGATTTTTATTTATTTTTAATTTAATTTAATTTTTTTCTTGATACAGAGTCTCGGTCAGTCACCCAGGCTGGAGTGCAGTGGCCCAAACTCGGCTTACTGCAACCTCCACCTCTTGAGTTCAAGTGATTCTTATGCCTCAGCCTCCTGATTAGCTGGGATTACAGGCGCCCACCACCGTGCCGGCTAATTTTTGTGTTTTTAGTAGAGACGGGGTTTTGCCATGTTGGCCAGGCTGGTCTTGAACTCCTGACCTCAAGCAATCCGCCTGCCTTGGCCTCCTGAAGTGCTGGGATTATAGGCGTGAGTCACAGCGCCTGGCCAATTTTTAAAACAGTATTAGGAAAAATCATCCATTTGCTTTCTTGAAAATTAGATTGAAGAGTTTATATATGATTGAAATGCTTTTGAATTTTTGGTAACCCAGAAGCTGTAAGTTAGCCTTTTTGCACTGGCCCTTTTGCTAACTTGTGATCATTTGGAGAAAGATTAACTCTAAACGACTAGCTCTAATGATTAGCTAGTTAGTGGTTGTCAAGACTGTGGTTCCTATTTATGACTCAATTTGCTCATTTTATTTCTTGCTGAATATGTTGCATAGTAGTATTTCACTTCTCTGAATCTTAGCTTTCTGCCAGCATCACCTGACTCAATATAGTTGACAATCAGAAATTGCTAAAAGAGTCTAGATGGTCACAACATCCTATTTGGAGGTTTTAGAATGAAGGAAGACTTACCAGATTTGTGATTTTGCAAATATTATTTTGCATAAAACTAATTTTGTGAATAACAAAGAGGTCAAAATCTGCCATAGGAAAAGATACAACAGTTTAAGAAGGATCGGAAGTTCTGAGAAGTTTGCTGTTTTAGGTAAGGTGGCCAGGGTAGGCCTTGTTAAAAGGTGACATTTGAAAAAAGAGTTGAAGTAGTTGAGGGAGTTAGCCATGTGGATGTCTGAGGGAAGAGAGTGGCATACAGAGGAGCAGCTAGTGCAAAGGCCTGAAGGGAGGAGAGTGTACCTGGCCTGTTTGAAGAACATCAAGGAAGCCAGTGTGGCTGGAGAGGATTAGGCAAGGGGGAGAATTGTAGGATGATATCATAGAGGTAAGGAAATGGGGAGGCTAGGTCATGTAGAGTCTTGTAGGCCATTGTAAAATCTTGGGCTTTTGCTCTGGGTGAGATGGCAAGACATTAGAGACTTTTGAGCAGAGAAGTGACATGATCTGACTTGTGTTTTAAGAACATCACCCTATGTTGAGAATAGACACAGGGCAATCAGTTAAGAGTCTATCACAGTAATCCAAGGAAGAGATGATGGTGACTTGGTCTAGCATGGTAGCAATGTAGAGGGTGAGAAGCTATCAGATTACAGATATATTTCAAAGAGAGAGCCAACATATTTTCCTGAAAGATAGGATGTGGAGTGTAAGAAAAAAAGGAGTCAAGAATGCCCCCTAGGTTTTTGTCCTGAGCAAAATTGAGCCATCGGCCAAAGTGTGGGACACATAGGTATAAGTTTTGGGTGAGAATATTTCTTCAGTTTTTGGCACATTAAATTTGAGATGTTTTTCAAAAGAGGATATATTTTGAAAGTAATTGAATAGATAAGTTTGAAGTTTAAGAGAGACATGTAGACTAGAGATAAAAATTTGGAAGTTGATATGTAGATGGTTTTTAAAGCCCACCAGAGAAGTGAGTGTAGATAGAGAAGAAGTCACCATTGAGGGCTGAGCCTTGGAATGCTCCAGTGTTAAGAAATCTGAGAGAAGGGGAGGAACCAGCCAAGGCAACTGAAAACTACTAAGGTTGAAAAGTAAAATCTTCAGTATTGTTGGAAGAATGTTGTGTCCTGAAAGTCAAGTAAAGAAAGTGTATCAGGAGAGAGTGATTGAAGTGTTAAAGCCACTGATATATCAAGATGAGGGCTGAGAATTGGTCATTGGATTTAGCAACATGATGCTCATTTGTGACTTTGACAAGTAGTTTTGAAAGAAAGGTAAGAGCCGACCTGAAGTGGATTTTAGAGCAAATAGTAGGAAAGATTTAGTCACAGAAATTATAGACAACTTTTGAGAAATTTTGCTGCAGTGGGGAGTTGAGTAATGGGACAGTAGCTGCTGAGAGAAATGAGATCAAGAGTTTTTTTTTGTTTCCCTAAGATGGGAGAGAAAACAGCATGGTGGGATCCGGTTAGGAGGGGTAAAGCTTAGTAATAGAGGAGAAAGGGGAGAATTGCTTGAGCAATGTCCTTGAACTACAGTAATGAAAAAGGATGACATCTAGTGCATGAGTGGAGGGTTTAAGTTAAGATAGAAGTAGTCTCCCATAGTAAAATATGAAAAGACAAAATATATGCTTGTACATGCTGATAGTTAAGTGTGTAAGTGGTGGTAAGTCAGTGGTAGTTTTCTTCTGATTGTTTCGTTCGTTTCAGGGTAGTAGCCAAACAAGATCATTAGCTGTGAACGAGGATCAGTGGGAGAGCTGTGGGAGGTGTGTGTGAAGAAAGAAGAAAACTTGAAATACGTCTCTAGGAGAGTGGGAGAGTGACTAGAAATTTAGGATTGCCAAGTAGAACTAAGGGCCAGCTTGATGTTTGTGATTATGAATTTTAAAATAGGATCAGTCATTGTGATTTTATGTATTTATTGAGACATATTCAACTGCATGGGTGCTGACATAGAGTAGTTGGAGAGTTGGATTTAACTATAATAGGATTGTCGTTTTGCCAAACTAAGTAAAGTGAGGCAGAAGAGAGCTCATGACATTAAAGGTATATGCAAGGGAGTGATTATAATAATTGACCATGTAATTTAAGCTGGCTAGGTAGGAAAAAGAGGCTATCAGTGCAACGAGGGAAAGTATGAGTGTAGTAGAATCAATGGATTGGAGGTCCTGGTGGGGTTGGGGTTGTTGGAGTTAAGATGCTAGAGGAACTAAGCAGGAAAGCTATAAGAGAGTGCTTAGAGAGTGTAAGTTTTCTAATTGAAATTGTTGGAAGATTATAATTATGAGTAATGACAAGGTCTAGTATATGACCATGGAAATGAGTGACCAAGGTAAGGTAGAGGACAAGATCATTGAAGGAGAGAAGTATAGGTGTTGAGAGGCCAAGGTACTGTAAGTATTATCTGTGGGTATATTAAAGTTATTAAGAATTAAAACAGGAGAATATTGGAGAGAAGTTCAGTAAATCAGGAAGTAAAACTGTCTAGCGATGAGACGTGGTGACCTCTGAGAGTCAGTAGATTACAGCAACAATGAGAGGTGGGAAATACAACCTAATATAATGAAAATCAAAGCTAGCAGATTTAGGGGTGGGGATGTGGGGGATCTCCCACTTTCAGGGTCGGTTGTCTAAGGCATGTGGAAAAGTAAAGGTCCCCACTTGAGAGCTGTGGGGAAGCAGTGCCCTCAGAAGGCCACTGGGTTTTATTAGAGCAGGAGTTGGTGAACTACAGCCCACAGGCCAAATCTCACCCACCACTGTGGCTCATGAACTAAGCATGTTTTTTGTATTTTTTCATGATTGAAAAAAAAGTCAAAAGAATATATAATTAAAGAATATACAATTGCATATATAAGTTTGAAGTTTAAGAGAGACTAGACTAGAGATAAAAATTTGGAAGTTGATATGTAGATGGTTTTTAAAGCCCATCATGATCATGATGGTGAAATAATGAAACAATATCATGAATGTGAAATAATAGGAAATTCAGATTTCAGTGTCCATAAATAAAGTTTTCTTGGGACGTTGCTACACTTTAAAAAATGTATTGTGTATAGCTGCTTTTGTTCTACAACACCTAAGCTGAGTAGCTACAACAGCGACCATATGTGATGCTCTCCTTGCTTCACACTGCTGCTCAGCACAGTAGAAATCACAGTGATGCTGTTACAGCTTGACAGTTTTGAGTGCTATATGTATCACCATATCACAACATTTTATTTGTTTTCTATTACCAGTACATACGCATGTGTCAAAGCAAGAAGAGAAGAGTATACTTGAAATGTTGTCTTTTTTTTTCCCTCCCCTAAAAGACTGTCACACAGGCAGGAGTGCAGTGGCACATTCATAGCTCACTGCAGCCTTGAACTCCTAGGCTCAAGCAGTCCTTCTGCCTCAGCCTCCCAAGTAGCTGGGACTACAAGTGCATGCCACCATGGGCCTGGCTAATTTTTAAATTTTTTGTAAAGACAAGTCTTGGTATGTTGTCCAGGCTGGTTTCAAACTCCTGGCCTTGAGCAATCCTCCTGCCTCTGTGTCCCAAAGCACTGGGATTACAGGTGTGAGCCATCATGCCCAGCCCAAATGTTGTCCTTTTTGAAGCATAATGGAGAATGGATTATTTTTATCAAGTTAGGTGGCAAAGCATTTTTTTAAATTATGCAATGACAGTATAGCTGTGCTAAAGGAATACAGTGTACTTTGGACATTCCCAGACTAAGCACTCACTATGATCTTCCTGACTCATAGGACAGCAACAGTGAGAAAAAATAGAAAATTTAAAACAGAGTATCTCATCCCAGTAAAATTTCTTCATAAAGAAAAATGTTCATGCAGGCTTGACCAAAAAAAAAAAAGAGGCTGCAATGTTATGTAAGTGTATGAGTGGTTTATTCACTAGCCTAGCAGAGAAAGCTGTTCACTGATGGTGTGTGATTGCAGCAGCCAAACAAATGTGTACAGAGAGAAAAACTTGCCTAAGACTGTTAGCCTTTGGGCAAGAATAGCTGCTCAAAGAATTGGGGGTATTGGGAGTGGCATCAATAGTCAATTAAAAAATAACCAATTTTGAGTTGTTTTCCTTGACTCTTGTTTATTTGAGGAATCAGTGCAGAGTTTGAAGTGACTGAAGAATTAGCCTGTGTATATAGTCTCCCCTTACAGACTTGGGAAAGCTTGGTCTTATTTTCTTTAGAATATGTATCACAATGTGAAATTAAGTTACATATTTATTTATGTACTTATTATTTTTCTTTAGAGCAGCAGTCCCCAAACTTTTTGGCACCAGGGACCAGTTTTGTGGAAGACAGTGTTTCTATGGACAGGATGGGGGTTGGGGGGTGGCAGACGGGATGGTTTTATGAAACTATTCCACCTCAGATCATCAGGCATTAAAAAAAGATTCTCATAAGGAATGTGCAACCTGGATCCCTCGCATGTGCAGTTCACAATAGGGTTTGTGCCCCTGTGAGAATCTAATGCCGCTGCTGATCTGACAGGAGGTGGAGCTCAGATGGTAATGCTTGCCTACCCACTGCTCACCTCATGCTGTGTGGCCCAGTTCCTAATAGGCCATGAACCGGTACAGGTCCACGGCTCAGGGGTTGGGAATCCCTGTTCTAGTGCATGCATTGTTTTCTGTCTCAATGGAGCCATAAGCCTACAAAGTTCAGGCTATATAGTACCCCTAGACCAAGAGTGGGTTTCTTACATGACTACTTTACAATAAATAGGCTTCGTTTAAGATCCTGAGATTTGGGTAGGTGTGAATACATAGTCCTGAGTGTTTGGGAAACTAAAGTCCAATGCTTAGAATTTTACCATTAAGTTCTTTATTAGTTCTAGGTTGGACCCTTGGTGAGATGAACTAGGAAAAGTAGAACCATAGAATCTCTGAGTTTGATTGAAAGCCATCCAACAGAGGCATTTACACTTGTTAGCACGTAAACCTGTATTAGAACAAGCTAGAATCCAAGGCAGTAGAACATAGAAAGATCTTTTAGATTTCAAATGACTTGTCTGCGGTCTTTGTCAAGACTCTACAGCCTATTCTAGCTCATAGCTAGAGCCAAGAATCTTTTTTTCAACGTAACAGGCTATTATATTATCCAGGTTCAGAACTTTCTCTCTCATCTGGGGTATTACAATACTCTTAAAATTCTCCCCACCTCCTGTCTTGACTTTATTGAACTCATCTTCTACGTATTTCCTAGAGTAGTTTTCCTGAAATGTAAGTTTGACTATGTTGTTTTATCCATCATAATTCCTTTTCATGGCTTCCTGCCCATAGTAGTGGTGCTTCTCAGTTCCCAGCAGATTCCAGAGCATTCCTCAGGGACTGTATTATGGAAGAGCCTGAAGTAGATGAGGCTCTGTCTCTTCTCTGACACCTTTAACCTCATTTAGAACAGAGCAGTTTCTTTGATCTATTTCATGTAGAGAGCTACTTTAAACTTTAATGTGAAAACGGTTTTCGGTACTTAAATATTAGTTTTATTACTGTAACTACTGGCTGATAGGTAAAGTTCAAGCTCCTGAACTTACCTGGGGCTCTCCAGCCTCTTCTGTCAGTCCTTACTACAAACTTGATACTCCAGCAACATAGAACTTAGATACAGTTCCTCTGTGCTTGGTTTACATTGCTTGTCTGCTTATATTGTTCACTTGTTCTTTCCTTTTTTTGAGACAGAGTTTCGCTCTGTCGCCCAGACTGGAGTGCACTGGTGTGATCTTGGCTCACTGCAACCTTCACGTCCTGGGCTTAGGTGATCCTCCCACCTCAGCCTCCTGAGTAGCTGGGACTACAGGAAACTGCCACTGCACCCAGCTAATTTTTAAAAAAATATTTTTTGTAGAGACAGGGTTTCATCATGTTTCCCAGGCTGGTCTTGAACTCCTGGACTCATACATTCCGCTTGCCTCAGCTTCCCAAAGTTTTGGGATTACAGGCATGAGCCACCACACCTGGCCTGTTCTTTCTTTCATTCTCTATCATCTAGCTAACCGCTACTATTCAGTTTAGACTTTTTTCAGGTACCATCATTTACAGAAAGTCTTCCTAGCTATCTCTCACCCAGCAGGCTTTAGTTAGGTGTCCTCCTTAGTACTCAAAAAACTGTTTATCTTCCTTATTACATTTTTTGAATTCTTTTTTTCATTGTTTCTGTTTTATTTGCTAGAGTTTGAACTCTTAAAGAATAGGAACTACATTTTAAAGTTATGTTTATTTATCTCCAGTGCTGTACAGCCTGATGTATGGTAGATAGAAATATTTGTGCAGCGAATTAATTGATTATTGTTCATCTTTCTGGTGCATCTTGCAGTGGATATGTAACCTAAAATTAAAGGTACTTATAACTTTGTAGAAATTTGCTCTCTGTTACATGTATTTATTGGTCATAAAGTACACAAACACTTGAGTTTAAATGCATTTGAAAAGGAAAACAAGAATATTAATACAGCTCTTATTAGGAACTGGAACTGAAGTTTAATAGCTGCTGTGTATTTTGTACAACTCTGAAATGTGAAGCTTTTCCATGTAATCTCATGCCAGTGTTGACCCATGTGGATTAAAATAGCCCTATTTTAATCTATGACCAAATTAGGAATTAGAATATCTATCCAGTGGGGATTTGTGAATTATTGTAGTTTGTAGTATGACAAGTTTATATAAATAATTGCAGTGATTTTCACTGTGTGTTTCAAGTTAAAATCTAGGTTCAAATAGAGAAATGTAATGCTATAAGTATTAAAGATTACCAGTTGGAAAATTTACTGTTTTTTTTTTTTTTAGTGTGTTTGCCTTTGATATCTTAAATTACATCTTTTTTTAAAGGATCACTAAAACTGACCTTATAAAAAGAAAAATTTATTCCAGTATTAATCTAAAATATCTACTCATGTTTCCTAAATTCAGATTTGATGTGTACTTAAAATACCAGGAACTAATTAGCTAATTATTTTCAGCTTTTGTTTGTAGTGTAATATTTGTTTTTAAAACATTCTGTTAAGTCAAATTTTGATTAATAAAAACCTTTAGTAGTTGTAATGAAGTTATTCTGGAATTTACTTTAAAAAATCTTAGCAAATTGAACATTTAGCTACTTTATAGCTTCAAGTTTCACCATATTTTCAAATAATTCTTCATGAAGTTTGTTGTTTTTCATTGTGTTTCTTAAGAACTCGAATGTAAAATAAGTAGTGCTAGTTGTAATGCTTTAGTGATTTAAAATGATAAACTTTTCTTTTCATACAGATAAAGACACAATAAATAAAATCAGAGATTTACGAATGAAAGCTGAAGATTATGAAGTAGTGAAGGTGATTGGTAGAGGTGCATTTGGAGAAGTTCAATTGGTAGGTTATTTTAATGAGAATACAAAAGGACTTTATTAAATTAAAATAATCCACTTGTGTGTTTAACATATTATTTGGGAAAATACTGTTTTTATAGAATTGTTGCTTTAAGTTCCTTTAGACATTGTTGCCTGAGGGTATGGAAGCCTAGTGTCAAATCTAGCCATAGTGGGAAGTGTTTTCCCCAAGTATCTGTGGCAGAAAAGAAGTGTCAGGCATCAGAAGATAAATCTTTGCTCCTAATATTAGACTAAAATGCTGTAGAACAGTAAGCTTTATAAACAGGAAGCAGCTTACATAGCCGTGTGGAGGGGGGAAAGTGTCTTGTAATATAGGAAATAAAAATTTTTTTAAAACATTACTTCTGATAATTAAAGTCTTGACATTAGCTACTTGGAATAATTTGGCAGAAGAGAAGAAATAAAAATAACTGAAACAGTAAGGCTAAATTATTTAGCAAGTATTAAAAGCACTTAGTAAATTGTTCTGTGAAACCTTGAGCTTTAAATGTTAACAAAAGGTTCATTATTTTCCCTTTTCAATTTTAAAGGTAAGGCATAAATCCACCAGGAAGGTATATGCTATGAAGCTTCTCAGCAAATTTGAAATGATAAAGAGATCTGATTCTGCTTTTTTCTGGGAAGAAAGGGACATCATGGCTTTTGCCAACAGTCCTTGGGTTGTTCAGGTATGACTTTGCTACTCTTTCATTATTGCTGCATTAGTTTGTAACTAAACATGTCTGAGAAGCTTAGTTTGTGTTTTAGAATAGTAGTAGAGAATTTACTGGCAGTTACAAAATTGTCTAATTACCTTTTAAATCTTAAAATTTAATTGTATTGAATCATTTCTAGCAAGAAAGGCTAGAACAAAATAACCATGCTTCTGTAGAATTTATATATAGGAAATTTAATTTAAATGTAGAATTTGTGCTGGGCGTGATGGCTCATGCCTGTTATCTGAATACTTTGGGAGGACAAGGCGGGAGGATAGCTTGAGCCCAGGGGTTTGAGACCAGCCTGGACAACATAGTGACACCTATCTCTACAAAAAATTAAAAAAATTATTGAGGCATGGTGGTACACGCCTGTGGTTCCAGCTACTGGGGAGGCTGAAGCAGGAGGATTACTTGAGTCCAGGAGGTCGAGGCTATAGTGAGCCGTGTTCACATCACTGCACTCCAGCCTGGGCAACAGAGTGAGACCCTGTCTCAAAAATAAAAATAATAAATATAAAATTTAAATACAGAATTTTAAATTAGATATTTTTAAATACAGAAGATATAGAAAACTTAATCTACTTAGATTTGAGGGAAGTCGTATATTATTAAAATTTAAATAGATACTTTTAGTTAATATTGAATTTTTTTCCCCAAACATGAGGCTCTCATTTTGTTTAGCTGTCTCCTCATTTATCTGTCTCTTATTTTGTGAAGAGGAGATAATAAGAGAAATGAAGGGAAAGTGAGAGGAAACCAAGTTAAGCTAGGTCACCAAATAATACTTGTCTTTCGGTTTTCAGTGGAAAGAAAAACTAGAAGTCAGTAGTTTTAGGTCCTCGTCTTGATTGCCATAGGCCTTTCTCTGAAGCTGTGGCCATGTTACTTAACATCTCTGGGCCACAATTTCCTTGTTCATAAGTCTGAAAGTTGTCTTTGATTGGTTATGTTCAATTGTGGAGGTACCTTAGGCAAAATCATGGGGTCAAGTGGGGTTTTGGGTAGATTATAATTCTGAGTTTTCTCTCTGCTTTTATGAGTTCAGCTTCATGTTTTATCTGTCTTATGTATTGGGATCCTTAATGCAAAATGTCATACGGGGGAAGTTAAACTGGGCTAGACCATTTCTAATTTTCTAACATGTTTTTGTGATTTATTTATAATATATAATGAAGTCTGTCCTTAAAAAGCATACCAGTAATTGGAATTAAAAGGATATGAAAAATGTTGAAGGTTTATGCCATAGCACTTTTTTTTTTTTTTTGAGACGGAGTCTCGCTCTGTCGCCCAGGCCGGAGTGCAATGGTGCGATCTCGGCTCACTGCAAGCAAGCTCTGCCCCCTGAGTTCACGCCATTCTCCTGCCTCAGCCTCCCGAGTAGCTGGGACGACAGGTGCCTGCCACCACGCCCGGCTATTATTTTTTGTATTTTTAGTAGAGACGGGTTTCACTGTGTTAGCCAGCATGGTCTCGATCTCCTGACCTCGTGATCCGCCTGCCTCGGCCTCCCAAAGTGCTGGGATTACAGGTGTGAGCCACCGTGCCCGGTCACCATAGTACTTTTAAACTTGAAATGTCTATGTTTTTACCAACTATGTAGATCAGAGTTTCTCAGGCTTAATACTATTGACATTTTGGGCCAGATAATTCTTTGTTGTTGGGGGCTATCCTTTATATTATTTCAGTTACTAATGTGTTTATTTAGGATGTTTGGCAGCATTCCTGGCCTCTACACAGGGGATGCTAGTAGTGACTCTTCCCACCTCACACACAGTTGTGACAACCAAAAATGTTTTCACCACTAGTTAACAACCACTGATACATGAACGTTCAGTGTCTGTTAGTGAAAAAATATGTGACATAATTGTTACTTTCAGGGCTATTTACAATTTAGGTATTCAGAGCTTTATTTCTCTGGATATATTGTCTATAAATAGGGTGAAACTGTCACCAAATTAACAGTATTTCTTTATGGGGCCCAAATGACAAATTATATACTTTAATCTGGGATAGTCATGAAATGCCACTTTGTTTCTTATCCTTCTCTCTTCCCCCAAAATACATTTTTTACATTAAAATAACTGAGTCTGGGCCGGGTGTGGTGGCCCCCATGCTTGTAATCTGAGCACTTTGAGAGGCTGAGACAGGAAGATCACTTGAGGGCAGGAGTTCAAGACTGGCTCCCAATCTCTACAAAAAAACAAAAAATCAAAACAAAGTAACTGAATCTATAACTAAAATTATTAAACACAGTTGAAAAAAATGAAACATTAAGAAGATTTTAAGACAAACATCTGGGTAAATTAGAGATCATCTTCTCTAGGGCTTGTTTTTTTTAGTTTAATTCTAAACTTCTTGTATTTACTTAAAATGTTATTTTATAAATTTGCCCTTCTTTTTATTTGATCCCCAGTCACATAATATATTTATGCCTGATATCCTCGCTAATTTCACATTAGTGGATTTTGCTGTTACTATTTGAACCCTAGCTGCTGCCTTCCTCCTACTTCTGTGTTAGCTATTACTGCTCCTCCTCCTGACTGCTGTCATTTGTTGAGCATCTGTTGCACTAAGTGCTTTCTATATTCAGTAATCTTTTTTAACAACCCTCAACCCTGAAAGACAGTTAATCTGTTAGGTGCACTGTTACTTTATGGATTAGTTTATGATTTGGTTCATTAAGCCTTTATTAAGCAATTGCTAACCGCCAGGCATCTGGATACTTGACTAAGCAGCAGGTATAAAAGTTAAACGAAGTATAGTCCTTACAGTGTTTTAGAAGAGATTATAGTCTCATAGACTCGGGTAGGTTAAGCAAATTACTAGTCACACAGCTAATAAGAAACAGCTGAGGCCGGGCGCAGTGGCTCATGCCTGTAATCCCAGCATTTTGGGAGGCCAGGGTGGGCGGATCACGAGGTCAGGAGATCGAGACCATCCTGGCTAACACGGTGAAACCCCATCTCTACTAAAAATGCAAAAAATTAGCCGGGCGTGGTAGCGGGTGCCTGTAGTCCCAGCTCCTCGGGAGGCTGAGGTAGGAGAATGGCGTGAACCTGGGAGGCGGAGCTTGCAGTGAGCCGACATCACGCCACTGCACTCCAGCCTGGGCGACAGAGCGAGACTCCGTCTCAAAAAAAAAAAAAAAAAAAAAAAAAAAAACAGCTGAAACTGTAAGCCAAATTTATCAAAGACTTCTTGAGCATTGTGATATTGATATAAATTTAATAGTAGACCCCACTGATGCACAAGTTAAATTAGAAATACAGTATTTCTTTGCCTAGGAGATTTGTATATTTACTGAAAATATTACAGTTTAAAAAAATTCTCAGTAAAAGAAATTCAAATAGTGTAGAAAATTATGAAGAAAGGATATCTCCATGTAACTCTTCTGAATAATTATGTTATAGTCATTTTGCATATACAAGGGTCTTTGTGGCATTTATGTTTGTCTTTTTTTAAAACTAGACTTGCAACTTCTGTAATTTGATTATTTTACTTAAATCTTTTATTAACATTTTTGCCACTTTTTAAGTGAAACAATTTTGTTTAACATTAATGAATGTGTTTTGTTTGTTTTTTCTATTTGTATAGCTTTTTTATGCATTCCAAGATGATCGTTATCTCTACATGGTGATGGAATACATGCCTGGTGGAGATCTTGTAAACTTAATGAGCAACTATGATGTGCCTGAAAAATGGGCACGATTCTATACTGCAGAAGTAGTTCTTGCATTGGATGCAATCCATTCCATGGGTTTTATTCACAGGTAAAGATAAAAGTGCTTTAAATTTTCTCATTTGTTGAGGGAAATAGCTAAAAATAACTTTAACATTTCTTACTCTCAGTTCACCCATTCTTCTTCCGTATGACATAAGTGACCTTTCAGAACTCAAGACTCTGGCCAGGCGCTGCCTCACGCCTGTAATCCCAGAGCTTTGGGAGGCCGAGGCAGGCAGATCTCTTGAGCTCAGGAGTTTGACACCAGCCTGGACAACATGGTGAAACCCATCTCTACAAAAAAAAAAAAAAAAAACACAGGTGTGGTGGCATGCACCTGTGGTCCCAGCTCCTTGGGAGGCTAAGGTGGGAGGATCGCTTGAGCCTGGGAGCAGAGGTTTCAGTGAGCTGAGATCTAGTCACTGCACTTCAGACTGGGTGACAGAGTGAGATTCTATGTCAGGAAGGGGGGAAAAAAAGAACTCCAAACTTTGAAGTTTATAATTTTAGCATTTCAATTTAATGTTGATATAAATGTATTCTTTAATATCCCTTAATCTGATCATATAGCCTTTAAATGGTGTTCTGAAAAGTAAAACTTGTAAACTAGTTTTCTAAGGTATGTGCCAGGAGTTAAACACTTTGATGTTAATTTTTTAAATATGTAACTTAATTTGCTTTTAATTAGTGAATAGGTCGTATTTATTCATTAGACGAATAGTTTCATTTGTTGTACAAACACTGCTTGAATCCTGTGTGCAGTTGCTGTGCCTACATGTCAGGGATCAAAAATGAAAGTGACTTAGACCCTGCCGTGGGGTTTTTTTATGTACTTACCTATCTAATATGTTTCAATCACCTTTTATGTCTGAGTGTTGTATTTTTGATGGTCTGTCTCTCTCAAATGATTTGATTTTCCCTCTGAAAGAATGAAACTTTTAAAAAAGGAATATATATGTTTTCTTCTGAGGCATTAACATATAAAGAAGTTTCTTTGATGAAATTTAATTTATAGATGTGGATAGAGAACACATACAGATCAAAGATGGCCTTACCTAGATTGAGGATGCTTGACCTAAAATAACTGCCTCATATAATTTTTACAGTGTCTAATCTGTTTCAGAAAATACTGTACTATTTTTTCCCTCCTGCAGAGATGTGAAGCCTGATAACATGCTGCTGGATAAATCTGGACATTTGAAGTTAGCAGATTTTGGTACTTGTATGAAGATGAATAAGGTTAATTAACTAGATTTTAATTTAGTTTTTGCTAATTCAAGGTAGATGCTTCTTTAGAAAATGGTTTAAGAATTCTTTAGAAAATGGTGTAAGAATTTACTAACCATAGCTGGACTTGTCCAGAATTAATATGACCTTATTTGTTGAACTAGATACCATGGTTTCAATGTTGTATTAGTAACTTGTTAGTGATTTATTTTTTCCTCTCTATTTAGGGTAAATATGGATTGCCAGATTTACTAAATCCTTCATAACAACTCTAATATACACTACTGGTAACTAGGAATGGAATTAGCTTAAATGTCACTAAATACTTATGCCAGTGTTAAAATTAGACTTTCATAAAAATTGGATTCCAGTAATGTGTGTATTTTTTAGTGTTTTACTTCAGTTAACATATAAAAGATTTTACTGCTTATTTTAGGAGTGAGTCTTAAAAGATACCTATCCTCACTGTTTATATAATAAATAACATATACACAGCTGTATATGTATATACATATTATGTATATGTATATACATATACATTATGTATATGTATATACATATAATAAATAACATAAATAAATATGTTATTTATATAATAAATAACATATACACAGCTGAAGGAGCTGAAGGAGCTGTGTATATGTTATTCCTTCACTTCATATACACAGTGAAGGAAACACTGCATGAGAACTTCTGTATGAACATTTAGTTATAATGCTGTTTCATTAATACCAGCGAATATAGGTAACAGCTAACAAGTCTCTCAGGTTTGTTGGGGGAGGGCAGTTAAAATTCACATCAAATAGACATTCAGTGTGCTTTACACTATTATGCCCTTTTCCCATACATATGCTTCCCCAGTTTGTATTTGTACAGTCAGCTTTTGTATGTTTCTTTTGTAGTTTCAAACATAGTTAAATAGCTATTTTAGTAGAAAATAATGAAGTCAGTGTTTATACCAATATGTTGTAAAATGCCCTATCCTATGAACTCCCCAGTGTATTTGCACTGGCCTGTGTACTTGTTCTCAGCAGTTAAATGGTTTCATGATATTGGCACAACTTGGGGAATAATAAATGTGGCAGTATGTTTTTCTAGTGAGCATTATTACAAAATAATCACTGGTGTGTGTATATATGTGAATACACATATAATGTGTGTGTATATGCATTCACATGTATACACATACATACATTATATGGTATATATGTATATGGTGTGTATATAGTATGTATATATATGATTAAGCTGTGTTAATTTTTGTCAGGTTTCCATTCAGTTTTAATATATGATATTTTATAGCTCAAAGATTTGGAGTCCCATAGGTAATATTAATAAGAAAGTCATTTTAAATAATTGAGACTTTATATCCTAATTCAAAATTTGACCTGCCGCGCTTTTTAGGAAGGCATGGTACGATGTGATACAGCGGTTGGAACACCTGATTATATTTCCCCTGAAGTATTAAAATCCCAAGGTGGTGATGGTTATTATGGAAGAGAATGTGACTGGTGGTCGGTTGGGGTATTTTTATACGAAATGCTTGTAGGTGAGTAAGGAAGATTTTATGTCTCTCTATTACAGTTGTTCATCTCAAAACTTGCCACTTGGCTCTTTCTAATATATTTATTATATTAAGCAATCTTGATTTTATTTGTGGGTAATAAACATGATCCAAACCTGCTTCGTATGTGTTTTTAAAAGCATTTAGAGGCTTAGAGCAACTTTGTGATGTGTTCTTTTATATATTAGGTGTATGTTTTTAGTTTAATACATACCTAATAATCTTTTTAAACGGGTAACTTTGACTCTTCCTTTGAAACTGACTTTTTAAAAATGTATTTCATTTTGCTTTTGTTTTCTTTATCAATTTTTCAGGTGATACACCTTTTTATGCAGATTCTTTGGTTGGAACTTACAGTAAAATTATGAACCATAAAAATTCACTTACCTTTCCTGATGATAATGACATATCAAAAGAAGCAAAAAACCTTATTTGTGCCTTCCTTACTGACAGGTAAATAATTTTAAAACTGAGCCTGTATTAATTCTGAGGACTTCTCATCTTCTGCTCCATTTTTAAGGTCCATATCTGAGCTTCTACATGTAAATTGTTAGAATATAAATGACAGTGAAACCTGATGTAATTTTATGATATTCTAGATGTCTTTTGTAGATCTCAACTCACTTATCATACCTAAGAAATTGTGATAATAATACAGTCTTGGCTGATGGCTAAACTAGATGACTTTTTTCTTTTATTGTTCAATTTTTAACTTGGTTAATTATAAAAATTACTGTGTATTTTACTGAATCTAAAAAAATTTTTTAACATAACATCTCTGAAATTAGAGTACATCTCACAGTCAATGGTATGAGTTGGGAGCATCCTTTTTCATAGTGGTATAAAAACGGTGATACACCTTATACTTTAAACCATTTTAGATTTGATGATGTATGGTATATGGTTGTTGAAAGAGTCAATAGTATAAAGCCATTTTTAAAAGTATACTATCTTTTTTCTTCTAGACATAATAGTTGGTGTTCCATCTTGTAGATCCAACAAGCATTTTAATAATAATGTCTGTCTGCATTTTTGAAAGAAAAATGGCATATTATATATACCTTTGTGGTTTACTTTTGAAATTTGAAAGTGAACCAGATGTATTAGTAAGATTATATTTAATGTTTATGATTGTATATTGTTAAATATTAGGGAGACCTAGTACTTTTAAATATGTTTCAAGTTGAGATTTGCTTTAACTTGTCTCCCTTCATTATGTCCTTTAGAGCTTGAAGTATGGTTTTTCAAATGTTTACTTTTTTTTTTTTTTTTTTTTTTTAAATAGAGACAGGGTTTTGCTCTGTTGCCCAGGCTGGTTTCAAACTCCTGGGATCAAGTGATCCTCCCACTTCAGCTTCCCAAAGTGCTGGGATTACAGGCCTGAGCCACCCATGCCTGGCTAATTTTTACATTGATTGATTGATTGATTGAGACAGAGTCTCACTCTGTTGCCCAGGCTGGAGTGCAGTGGCATGATCTCGGCTCACTGCAACCTCCACCTCCCGGATTCAAGTGATTCTCCTGCCTCAGCCTCCCAAGTAGCTGTGACTACAGGTTCCTGTCACCATGCCTGGCTAATTTTTGTATTTTTGATAGAGAGGGTTTCACTATGTTGGCCAGGCTGGTCTTGAACTCCTGACCTCATGATCTGCCTGCGTTGGCCTCCCAAAGTGCTGGGATTACAGGTGTGAGCCACCGCACCTGGCCAATTTTTACATTTTAATATAAAGCATTGTATTATGCTGTTTATTAGGTGCTAGGGATATAGTAGTGAGGAAGATACAGAGCCACTTTTCTCAAATACCTCATAGTCCTTTGGGGGAATTAGATAAGCAAATCAGACATTTATAGTACACACAGCTAATTACCATGAGATAAGTACCATGTGCCGGAGAACCATGGAGAGGTTTTCTAATCCAGTTTGAGAGTTAGTGAAAGCTTCTTGGAAAAATTGTCACATGTCTAAGCCAACTTATCTTTTAGCTTATGCAAAAACTTAGAATTTAGAGTATTTTCTTTATTTATAAGCACTGTACTAGGGAAAAAAGGTGCTAACTTTCTTTTTCCAATTCAGCTAAAATCACATTTTTAAAAACTTTTTGCTCACCAAAAAAGAGGCTGGTATCAGTAACTTGTCCAGTGAAAGCTCTGAATTCTGTGGCAGTATCAAGAATTAGTAGTCATTGGCTTTTGAATGGTCAGAAATAATTAATAGATTATAAATTGGAAGTTCAAAATTTTAAATGTGTTTCTGGAGGTTTTTGGTAGCATCTGGTATTGCTGCCTAAGTAAAGTTTTGGTTGGGGAAAAAAAAGCCTAACTTTACCATTGTAAGAAAAAAATAACACACACACACAAAAAACTGTCAAGAAAATGCATGGTGCTTTATTCATTTTGCTAATGAAGTAAGGTGGTGATTAATCTGGATTTTTGTTGTCAGTAGAAAAGTCATGGGTGTTTTTTGTAGTTATTCTTTAGTTTTCTTTTTTTTGAGACGGAGTCTCGCTGTGTTTCATCCAGGCTGGAGTGCGGTGGCGCAATCTCAGCTCACTGTAGCCTCTGCCTCCCGGGTTCAAGCGATTCTCCTGTCTCAGCCTCCCAAGTAGCTGGGACTACAGGCGTGTTCCAGTACACCCGCTAGTTTTATATTTTTAGTAGAGATGGGGTTTCACAGTGTTGGCTGGGCTGGTCTCGAACTCCTGACCTCAGGTGATCCACCCCACCTGAGCCTCCCAAAGTGCTGGGATTATAGGCATGAGCCACCATGTCCAGCCTTTCTTTAGTTTTCTTTTAAAAAAATTCTTTAATGTTCTCAATCTTTAACATATTTTCTATTTGGGCTGATACTATGCTGACAATATAATTTCACCTTAGAACTATATTTGTCGTCCTACACTGATTTAATATCCTGCCCACAAATAAACCTGGACAGGTTATAATAAGATCTTAAATGATTGATTACTTTTCTCCTTCTGTCATTATTCAGGGAAGTGAGGTTAGGGCGAAATGGTGTAGAAGAAATCAAACGACATCTCTTCTTCAAAAATGACCAGTGGGCTTGGGAAACGCTCCGAGACAGTAAGTTTTTTTTTTTCTTTCATATTTTAGTGAATATTTGAAAGTAGTTGTGGTAGTTTGTTGAAACTACATTGCTAAATATTTGTGTGTATCTGATGAAAATCAGAAGCCACAAATACTATATGGGAATTGTCCTAACCTATTAATTTGATAATATTGGGCAGATTATATTGTTACTCCTCTTATGTCCCACGCAGGATACCCAGATGAAATATAAATGTAATGGATTTAGGCTCACCAGTCATAATTTTACATTTGATCTTTGTTGAATTGTTCATTTTAGGCGTTAGTTATCTTATTATGGAGGTGGTCAATAAGTAGTAAGTAATGAGATTAAAATATATGTTTTTGTGAGAAGACAAGTTATTCTCTTGTTTTTATTAAAACCCAAAATATAAGAAGGTTCTATTATTAATTCCAGAATTCAATTTAATTTTATTTATGAGTTTATAGGATATTGTGATATACTTGATTCCATCAGGCTTTTGCAGCTGGCAATTCAGAAACAAAAATGTATTGTATAAGAAACTAATTTTCAGTCAGTTTAGAACACTTTCTTACTTTTTAAAAAAAGTTAAAATTACAAGATGATTCACAGAAAACTCTACAACATAGCTGAATCAAAATTATCATGACACCAAAGGTTCTCATCATCTTCGTGGATTTGGGAGGTAAAGAATTCATCTTTCCCCTGCTGACATCTTAGGATTTTTTTCCCTGTTCATCTATCAGAGAAAGGATAATGTATCTCAGTCCCTAACTTGCTGCCTTAGCAATAGCAGTGAATAGTAACAATGGAAATGAACTCAGCTACCTTATTTTAGAAAGTTACACAGTAGTTATTTGTCTTAAGGACTGCCTATCTAGTTGAGACAGTGAAGGATAGTACTTTGCAGAGAGATGGAAATCTTGTTAATTCTGATGAAATAAATCATGTAGGTTTGCTAATATTAGTGAAGCATTCTAGTTATCAAATATTTTAAAAGAACAATTGTATTGCCTTCAAGTACTATAGCACAGTACTTACATTGTGCTGAGCTATAAAATTGTCTAAGGAGGAGAAAGGGAAAATAAATCCTCTGGAAATTAAGAAATTATACAACAAAGAACATCATTGAATGACCAGCTGTCTGAGAAGCTGTAAGAGCAGCTTGACTTTGGGAGAATTTTATTAGCAATTATATACTAGGAAATAAGGAACTTCCTCCTCTTCAGAATTAAATGTGACATAATTATTATCTTCATGCTGCAAGTGAAATTGTTGCATGACAAAGAGATGATCAGGGAGTGAGAAATGGTTACATCAAAACACTTTTTGTGTTTTTATTCAGGTTATTCTCTTAGTAAAGTTTAAGAAGGCTGAAGACGTACAAATATTATTATAAATCTGAATAAAACTTTGAAGGGGACTGAAGAAAATACAAAATAATATTTTGTATTGCTTTAAATTCTTTTTCAAAGTTAAGCAATGCATAAATAATTATAGAATAACCACACAATAAATCAACCGCAAAAGTAACAAGGATATTTTTCCTTTTATGTATTGAAAAACCGATCACTTGAAAGAGGAGGTAATTTAGTCAACAACTATTTACTGAACACCTGTTGTATATTGATCACTGTTCAATTTCAGACACTGGGAAAACAGCAGTGATCAAACCACCAAAAGTTTTCTTTCTCCCTTCTGGAGCTCATAGTCTTATGGAATTAGGGAGTCCAGATCAGTGGCATTTTATTATATTGCTGTACCTCCTTCATAAAACTACTTAAGATCTGCATTATCTATGGTTTTATTCTAGCGTGGTTAGATTTAGCATACTTAAAAGAATTTTGGTAGTTTTTCCTAATTCTAAGAGGTCCTGTTTTGTGGTTATTGGAAAAAACAAAGAAAAATTGAAATCTGTAGAACTTATTGTTCTTTGCTTCCCTTCCCCTCTTCCTACCCCTTCTTTACTTCCCACCCCTAAAATACCAAGAATTCTTTTATTCTGAACTGACCTCTTTGACCTGCTAAATTTTTAAAACTTATGTAACAGTTATAATTCCTTTTAATTTTTTTGGGTTTCCATTTTCCGTGGCAAAATTGCTTTCTAATACAAATAATAGTTTTTTTTGGTATTTTTACCACTTAACATGTCTCCACATTGCAATGGCAATTAATCTTCACCTTGTGTTCCTTGGTAATGTGGGAGCAGGATACAAAATAGCTTGATTTTTGGCAGAATTTCCATGAGCTTCCTGATCTTGTTCACAAAGTATGAAGATTTTAACACTATTTTTCCACTCATTTGAGATAAAATTGAAGGAGTAACATGAGTAAGATCAAAGATAGGAGAAGGACAAAAGAAATGAAAAGACCTAAATAACTTACTACAGGTCATAACTGCAAGCAAACAACAATGTCAAAATTCAGATCTAAGTCTCTTAACTCCAAAGCCTTTGATCTTTGAAGTACCATGTACGATTTAAAGATCGTTACCTGTTCAGTGTTATATAGATCAAAAATGGAAGGAATTGACAATTGTTGGCAGTTAAATTTGGGGGAAAAAAAATAACATTTATTACATATTTAGCATACATTATTAATAATACTGTTATATTTAGTATTTAACATAGTATTAATAATTTCAAATGAAATAAATGGCAAAGGATTTTGCTAGTTACCACATATTTAACATATTAATATTAATAATGAATAGGGCCAGGTGGCTCTATTGTACAGTGTTCTACAGTATTATACAGTGGCTCATGCTTGTCATCTCAGCACTTTGGGAGGCCAAGGTGGGAGGACCTCTTGAGGCCAGGAAACCAACCTGGGTAATGTTGCGAGACCCTATCTCTATAAAAATAAAAATAAAAAATTAGCCAGGTGTGATGGCATGCACCTATGTTTCAACTACTTGGGAGGCTGAGGTAAGAGAATCACCTGAGCCCAGGAGTTCAAGGGTGCGGTTAGCTATGATAATGCTACTGCATTCCAGCCTGGGCAACAGAACAATAACTGTTTCTTTAGAAAAATTAATAATACTACATTAAATATGTGGTAACTTGCAAAACACTTTGCCATATATTATTATCTCATTTGAAATAAGATATTGGTGTTACTTAATCAACCTATAGTTTGTGGGCAACACACAAGATGCTAACAGTGGTAATACTTCTGCCGGCTCAAAACTCATTGTGTACACACATATATATTATTCTAGGTTCTGTGAGTTAATCAAGACTAGTAACCTTTCTGTTTGAATTTTACATTCTCACGGGAGAGATTATCAATGTGGGCTTTGTGAATAAAGAACTGAAGGCCTAGCAAGTTTCAGGGCTCTTTTACTTAGGAGTTTAGACGTTCTGAACATTATAATGGATTTTTAAAAAATAAGTTATCTCTTTGTATTGTGATAAAGTATGCATAAGATAAAATTCCCCATGTTGGGCATTTTTAACTGTACAATTCAGTGGCATTAAGTACATTCACATTGTCTTAAAACTATTACCTCTACTGTGTCCAGAACTTTTTCGTCATCCTAAACTAAACTCTTAAATAGTAACTCTCCATTTCCCTGTCCAGTAATCACTATTCTTTCTGTCTCTATGAATTAGACTACTACTCAGGGTGTTTCGTTTAAGTAGATTACTATAATATTTGTCTTTTTGTGGCTGGTTTATTTCACCTAGCACAATGTCTTCAAGGTTCATTCATGTCATAGCATGTATCATAATATTCCATTGTATGGATATACTATATTTTGTTTATCCATTTATCCGTTAATAGACACTTAAGATTGCTATCTCTTTTAGCTATTGTGAATAACAAACAGTAGAATACAAATATCTGCTTTCCATATTATATTACGGATATTTTATATCCATATTAATGTTATATATATGGATATTCTGTAATATCCCTGTTTTCTATTAATTTGAGTATATACCTAGAAGTGGAATGGCTAAGTCATATGATAATTAGTTAGTTTTGTAGAGACAGAGTCTTGCTGTGTTGACCAGGCTAGTCTCAAACTCCAGGGCTCAAGAGATCCTCCTGCCTCAGCCTCCCAAAGTGCAGGGATTGTAGGCATGAGCCACCATGCTCAGCCATATGTTTAATGTTTTGAGGAAATGCCATAACATTCACAACATTTGCACCATTTCACATTCCCAGCAGCAGTGCACCAAAGTGCTGGGATTGCAGACGTGAGCCACCACGCTCAGCCATATGTTTAATTTTTTTGAGGAAACGCCATAATAGTATCCACAATGTTTGCACCGTTTCACATTCCCAACGGCAGTGCACATGGGTCTGGTTTCTCCACATCTCCAGCATTTGTTCTTTTCTGTTTTGTTTGTTTGTTTTTTGTGTTTAAATAGTAGTCATCCTAATGGATGTGAAGTGGTATCTCATTGTGGCTTTGATTAGCATTTCTCTAATGACCAGGAATGGTAAACATCTTGTCATGTTGCTTATTGGCCATTCGTATATCTTCTCTTGAGAGATTTCTATTCAAGTTCTTTGCCCATTTTAAAATTTGGTGGTTTGGTTTTTTTGTTGTTGTTGAGTTATAGGAGTTCTTTAAAAATTTTGGATATTAATCTCTTATCAGATACATGGTTTGCAGATATTTTCTATTCTCTGCACTCTGTTATTAGTGCTTTCAAGCACAAAATTTTTAATTTTGATGAGATCTGGTTTATTTCTTCTTTTGTTGCTTGTATCTTTGGCTTCGTATTTAAGAAATCATTGCCAAATCCAATGTCATGAAATGTCTTACCTATGTTTTCTTTGAATTTTATAGTTTCAGCTAGTATGTTTAGGTCTTTGACCCATTGTGAATTAATTTTTATATAGTGTATAGTAAGGGTCCAATTTAACATTTTTGTATGTGGATATCCAGTTTTCCTAACACTATGTGTTGAAAGGACTGTCCTTTCCCTGCATTGAAAGTTGTTGGCACCTTGTATCAATCATTAAACCATATACATGAGGGTTTATTTGTGGGGTTTTTGTTGTATTCCATTGATCTGTATAAGTTTGTTTTTATGTTGGTACCACACTGTATGATTATGGTAGCTCTGTAGTAAGTTTTGAAATCAGGAAATGTGAGTCTTTCAACTTCGTTCTTTTTCAAAATTGTTTTGACTATTTGGGATCTCATGAGATTTCATATGAATTTTATAATGGGTTTTTACGTCTTTGCCAAAAAGGACATAGGGATTTTGATGGAGATTGCATTGAATCTTTAAATTACTTTGGGTAGTATTATCATCTTAACAATGTTATCTTTTCCAGTCCATGAACACAGGATGTGTCCCCATTTATTTAAGCCTTCTTTAATTTCAGCAACGTTTTTAAGTTTTTGGTGCATAAGCCTTACACCTCCTTGGTTAAATTTGTTCCTAGGTATTTCTTTTTGACTTTTTTTTTCATTTTTTTTTTTTTTTTTGAGATGGAGTCTCGCTCTGTCGCCCAGGCTGGAGTACAGTGGCTCGATCTCGGCTCACGGCAAGCTCCGCCTCCAGGGTTCATGCCATTCTCCTGCCTCAGCCTCCCGAGTAGCTGGGACTACAGGCACCCGCCAGCACACCCGGCTAATTTTTTTTTTTTTTTTTTTTTTTTTTTTTTAGTAGAAACGGGGTTTCACTGAGTTAGCCAGGATGGTCTCGATTTCCTGACCTCGTGATCTGCCCACCTCCGCCTCCCAAAGTGCTGGGATTACAGGCGTGAGCCACCGCGCCTGGCCTTTGACATTATTTTAAATGGAATTGTTCCCTTAATTTTCTTTTCATATTGTTTATTGCTAGTATATAGAAGTAGAACTTTTATTTCTGATCTTGTAACCTGCAATTTTGTTGAATTTGTCTATTACCTCTAATATATTCTTTTGTAGCTCCTTTAGGGTTTTCTATGATAGGATCATGTCACCTGCAAATAGAGATAGTTTTACTTCTTCTTTTCCAATTTATATGCCTTTTATTTATCATTCTTGCCTAATTACTCAGACTAGAGCTTCCAGTAAAGTGTTGAATAGCAGTGGTAGAAGTGGGCACCTTGTCTGTTCCTGGTCATAGGGGGAAGCTTTTAGTCTTTCACCGCTGAATATAATGTTAGCTGTGGGATTTTCATTAATGTCCTTTATCATATTGAGGAAGTTCCTCTCTAGTCCTTGTTGGCCAGGTGTTTTCAATCATGAAGGGGTGTTGTGTTTGTCAAATGCTTTTTGTATGACAACTGAAATGATCATATGGGTTTTTTTTCTTCATTTTATTTTATTTTTTTAATAGAGATAAGGTCTTGCTCTGTTGCCCAGGCTGGAATGCAGTGCCATGATCTTAGCTCACTGTATTTTTGAACTCTCAGACCCAAGGGATCCTCCTGCCTCAGCCTCCTGAGTAGCTAGGACCACGGTCATGTGTCACCACACCTGGCTAATTTTCTTTTAATTTTCTGTAGAGCTGGGGTCTTGCTATGTTGCCCAGACTGGTTTCAAACTCCTGGTCTTAAGCCACCCTCCCTTGGCCTTCCAAAGTGCTAGGGTTACAGGTGTGAGCCACTATGGCCCTATTTTGATTCTTTATTTCTTTTAAAATAGATTTTGTCAGCCTGTGTTTTCTAGGAATGTCTCTATTTCATCTAAGTTATCTAATTTGTCACTGTAGGCCGGGTGTGGTGGCTCACCCCTGTAATCCCAACACTTTGGGAGGCCAAGGCAGGTGGATCACTTGAGGCCAGGAGTTCGAGATCAGCCTGGTCAACATGGCAAAACCTCATCTCTACAAAAAAAAAAAAAAAAATAGCCAGGCATGGTGGTGCACTCCTATAGTCCCAGCTACATCAGAGGCTGAGGCAGAGAATCACTTGAACCCGGGAGGCACAGGTTATAGTGAGCTGAGATTGCACCACTACACTGGAGTGTAGTGCAATGCACTCCTGGGTGTTTTTGAGACTCTGTCTCAAAAAAAAAAAAAAAAAACTTTCCTATTTGTTTTCTATGTCATATATTTCCTTTTTATTCCTCAGCTAATACATTATTGCTTTCTTTTGTGTTTAGTTTTTTCCCCTAGTATGCTATTTTGATTCCTTCTTCTTTTCCTTTTCTGTATATTTTTTAGTCATTTTCTTATTAGTTAACGTGGAATTACACTTAACATTCTAAATTGAAAACAATCTAGGTTGAATTGATACCAGTTTACTTTGAGTAGCTTAAAAACCTGCTTCTGTTTACATTTATCTAAATAGTTACCTTTACTGATACTCCTTTTTCTTCTTCATATGGCTTTGAGTTAAGACAGTTTGATTATGGCATGTGATTATGATGTGTCTTCATGTGGAGCTTTTGGAGTTTTTCATAGTTGGCATTCAGCTTCTTGGATGTGTAGATTTATATCTTTTACCAGATTTGGAAAGGTTTGGCCATTATTTCTTCAAATAGTCTTTCTGCCCCTTTCTCTCCTTCTGGAACTCCCATAATGTGTATGTTGGTCTGGTTGATGCCACAGTTTCCTTAGTCTCTGTTCACTTTTTCATCCTTTTTCTTTCTGTTCCTCACACTTGATAATTTCATTTGTCCTATCTTCAAGTTCACTGGTTTTTTTTCCTCTGCCTGTTCAGATCTGCTGTTGAAGCCTTCTAGTGAAATTTTAACTTCAGCTATTGTACTTTTCAGTGCTAGAATTTCTATTTGGTTCTATTTTCGATCTCTTTCATGATATTTTTTCTTTGTTAAGTCATCATCTTCCTGGTACTTCATCCATAGTGTTCATTTGCTTTTTGAACACATTTAAGAGAGTTTAAGATTTTGTTGAGTAAATCTAATATCTTGGTTTCCTCAGAGGTGGTTTCTATATTATTTTCTTTTTTTTTTTTTTTTTTTTTGAGATGGAGTCTCGCTCTGTTGCCCAGGCTGGAGTGCAGTGGCACGATCTTAGCTCACTGCAAGCTCCGCCTCCTGGGTTCACGCCATTCTCCTGCCTCAGCCTCCCAAGTAGCTGGGACTACAGGTGCCCGCCACCACACCTGGCTTATTTTTTGTATTTTTTAGTAGAGACGGGGTTTCACCATGTTAGCCAGGATGGTCTCGATCTCCTGACCTTGTGATCCACCTGCCTCAGCCTCCCAAAGTGCTGGGATTACAGGCGTGAGCCACCACGCCTGGTGGTTTCTAACATTTTTCTATATTCCCTGTGAATGGCCCATATTTTCTTGCTTCTTTACATGCTTTGTAATTTTTTGTTGTAAACTGGACATTGTTTTAAAGCAGCTGTATCCTTCTAAGAGGGACATTTTGGATATTACAGTGTTGTAACTCTGGAAATCAGATTCTTCCTCTTTCCCCCAGGGCTTGCGGTTGTTGCTTGTTGTGGGCTGCAGTCATTCATTCATTTAGTGACTTTTCCAAACTAATTTTGCAAAATCTGTATTCCTTGTCATGTGTATTCACTGAAATCTCCATTTCATTATCTCAGCCAGTGACAGAGATTTCCTTAAATGCCAAATTTTTATAGCCTCTTTCTTCATTAAACACTCCTTGCTTGTTATTAGTTTTTTATTAGATTCCAGAGTTCTCAGAAAGTTGCTCTGGTCGTTTTTGCCAACTCAATGGTTGCTTCAGTGGAGGTATGATTTCTTTGAGTTCCCTACTCTGCCATTTTTGACAACATCTGCTGGACTCTTTTTTATGGAACATGATTTCTAAATTAACAGTTATTTAATGAAAACAAATTTTTAAACAAATATATACTGATGTTTATTCCATAGTTATCTTTATTCTTATTAGTTCTGAAGTGATTAAATGGCATTATATAAAGCCTAAGCATCTTAATTTAGAAGCAGAAATAATTATTTTTATAACTCTTCCAATATTTTCCCCACTTGTATCTCAGAATTTAAACAGGTGAGAATTTGTCATTTTAGAACTACTGTGAAATAGTGTCATTTATAAAAAGAGTAGGTCCATCAGAAACAGCAAGAGAAAATGCAGCACACTTACTCTGTTCTCTCTTTCTGATATAATTTTAAAGCAGGTTTTCTGAGCTTTAGCAGTTGACAGATCATTCTTTTTGTGGGGATTATCCTAAACTTAAGGATGTTTAGTGGCATCCTATGACTGTACTCATTAGGTGCTAGTAACACCTTTTTTCCCATTAATGACAACCAGAATATGTACCCAGACATTGCTGAACACCTTCCAGCAGGCAAAAGTGTCTCTGATTGAGATCACTCTTTTAACATAAAATGTATGCCAAGACCATAATTAACTTCTGTATTTCCCAAGGGCGGCAACTGTTTAGTGTTTTCACCTCATTTTACAAATATTAGAAAGCTGGCCATGTCTAATCAGACAGTTCTGTTGGCCATTAAGGAAAGTGGAATGGTGGAAAAGCCCTAATATCCCTCTTGTGTTACTGTTAGTACTACAGCTTCATTTGGCTAAATGTGTTGTTTCGTTCCCTAAATATTAATTTACTGTGTCTCAGATGGCACAAGAATAGGTATTTCTTGCCTGAAATACCCAGGTGATTGAAAAGAAAATTGATTCCTTTTCCCTAAAAGAACATGAGGTTATTGTACCTAAAATAATTTTTTAGTATTTTGATGATCATAATTCAGGGATGTTTTATTATACTACAGTATCTTTAAGCTAAAAAATAAATTTTCTTAAAATTTTATTTTCTTAGAATTTATTTTTAGATGTACCCCTTGTAACATTCAAGCCCCAAAAATAGATGTTAGTAGTATTAGTTTTATATGGAATTTTCTCCTATATTATGAATATTTAAACGTTGTCACATACGGTTTTATATTATTAAGTATCTGGAAGACTTGGTCCACATCAAATTTATAATTCTTGAAGATGTCATATCCATTTTTTATATTACTGCCCTTTTTTATTAACAATGATATCATAAATACCTCACTGCATTAGTCTTAATCACTTGATTCTAGAGGTAGCTAGTCTGAAAATACAATTCCAAATCCATTGCTCCTGTGGCTTAATCTTATGGAGATATTGGGGTGGGAGAAAGGAGTATTGATCATCTGGATTCTGAGTGAGTAAAAATATTTCAGTACCAAATTATGATGTCCAGGAAGCTAAGAAGTAACCTTAATTTCTGGTTTACTATACAGCAGATTAACCAAAAAATACTATATTTAAAGCTAAACAATTTTTTCGAGTACAGTTTGTTATGCTTTAGTTTCTAAAAAGTCTTTTCTGTAGTCCCGAATGCTTTTGTGTATTTTATACCTTGGTACATTCTAAAACAAACCTTAGTAATACTTGATTTGTAATAGTCAAGTTAAACCCAAGGTATAGATAATTATAGGTGACTTTGAAGATAATTGTTTCATAGAATTACATAATGATCAATTATCAGTTGATTTTTAGTCCTGGTAAAGCTTGATGTAATAGGATTCAAGCCAGGTGGAATTTGTGGTTTGCAAGGTTTTATAAGAGAGAAACCATCAGTAGTTGGTATGGAATGTGCTTCACTTTACTTGTATTTTAAGTTTGAAGTGAACAACTAATTTTGTTTTGTCTTTAGCTGTAGCACCAGTTGTACCCGATTTAAGTAGTGACATTGATACTAGTAATTTTGATGACTTGGAAGAAGATAAAGGAGAGGAAGAAACATTCCCTATTCCTAAAGCTTTCGTTGGCAATCAACTACCTTTTGTAGGATTTACATATTATAGCAATCGTAGGTAAGTATGCTAAACAGTGATTATAGGAGTAAGTGCTGATTTTGTTCTTAGAAATATCTAAAAATCATTTTTAAAGTAGATTTAATGCTATATAAAGATACACCTTATTATGCAATTTTTCATTGATGCATGATATTTCCAGTATTTCATATTTAATTTCTCTTGGACTCATCCATGTTTAGGACATTGTTTTTCAAAATTTTTTTGCTAAATGATATACTATATATCCTCAAGTTACAACAATTAATAGGTCAAAAAATGCCATAAATACTGATATTTTGATCTGTAGACTTATGGTTTATAATACATTTTGAAACAACATGTAGACTTTTTTTGTTTTGTTTTGTTTTGTTTTTTTCCACGATGGAGTCTTGCTCTGTCACCCAGGCTGGAGTGCAGTGGCACAATCTTTGCTCACTGCAACCTCCACCTCCTGGGTTCAAGCAGTTCTCCTGCCTCAGCCTCCCGAGTAGCTGGGATTACAGGTACCTGCCACCACACCCAGCTAATTTTTGTATTTTTAGTAGAGATGTGGTTTCACCATGTTGGCCAGGCTGGTCTTGAACTCCTGACCTCATGATCTGCCTGCCTCGGCCTCCCAAAGTGCTGGGATTACAGGCGTGACCCACCGTGCCTGGCCAGCATGTAGACTTTTCTAGCATTATCATCACCATATTGATGCTGTATCAATTTTTAGCTCTTCAAAAATTAAGTGGGCCGGGCGCGGTGGCTCACGCCTGTAATCCCAGCACTTTGGGAGGCCGAGGCGGGCGGATCACGAGGTCAGGAGATCGAGACCATCCTGGCTAACACGGTGAAACCCCATCTCTACTAAAAATACAAAAAATTAGCCGGGCGTGGTAGCGGGCGCCTGTAGTCCCAGCTACTCGGGAGGCTGAGGCAGGAGAATGGCGTGAACCCGGGAGGCGGAGCTTGCAGTGAGCCGAGATCGCGCCACTGCACTCCAGCCTGGGCGACAGAGCGAGACTCCGTCTCAAAAAAAAAAAAAAAAAAAAAAAAAAAAATTAAGTGATTCCTCCCCAAATTTTACCATGTGTTATAAAATGTAGTATTACCTCCACTGTGACCTTGGACAAATAACTTTGGCCTTTTATGCCTCCATTTCCTCAAAAATAGGGATGATGATAATAACAATAATACTGCTTGCCTACTTACCTCATAGGATTGTTATAAGGTTTAAGTAAATTAAAACACAGTACAGCACTTAGAAGAGGGCTTTGCATGGTGTAAGCACTCAGTGTTAACTATTATTACCATTAGTATGAGTTCATGTTAGCTTTACTCTAATGTACTTGAGATTTAAGTTAAACATTTAACATTATTTTAGTGTGCTGAGCATTCATTCATTCCACAGATATCTTTGATAACTTATTATTTGTCAGGTATATACTGAGCACCAAATTGCATGGAGAAGGATGAATAAGATACAGTGCCTTCTCTTGAGATGCTCACATCTTGGTGAGAAATGCATAAATTGTGCAATGTAGGTTAGTAAGAACTACATAGTAGAAATCTCGGCCAGGCACGGTGGCTCACGCCTGTAATCGCAGCAGTTTGGGAAGCCAAGGTGGGCAGGTCACTTGAGGTCAAGAGTTCGTGACTAGCCTGGCCAATGTGGTGAAACCCCGTCTCTACTAAAAATACAAAAATTAGCCAGGTGTCGTGGCGTATGCCTGTAATCCCAGCTACTTGGGAGACTGAGGCAGGAGAATCGCTTCAACCTGGGGGGCGGAGGTTACAGTGAGCCTAGATCACGCCACTGCACTCCAGCCTGGGCAATGGAGCGAGACTCTGTCTCAAAAAAAAAAAAAAAAAGAAAGAAAAAGAAATCTAAACAAAGTGCTATACCAGTATAATGCATTGAACTATATGATAACACTTACTGGGTGGGTTAAATCTACTTTTAATTACCTCAAAAATATGTACTTCTAATCAAATTATACTCCTTTGGAATGGTATCAGATAACTGATTGGCTTGGAGTAAATTATTACATTTGAGGTCATTATAACTAATCTTATTTTAAAGTGAAGGGTCTTGTCATTTTAGTGTAAGAGCCATTCAAGTTAATCTTAGAAAACAAAAAGACAATTTAGTCCGGCTTTTTGAAACTTCTTCAGTAATCCACTGTAAGATAGTACTTAATACTTTTTGTTGCAACATCAATGAGATAGCTGGCACTTATCTTTTTTTCCTCCCTAACACTCTGTGAGTATAATATTATAACTGTATTCAATTAACATACATATACAGAAGAGCTTCAGGGTGGTTTTTGCTGAAGCATTCTTTTTTTTTTTTTTTTTTTTTTTTTCGAGACAGAGTTTTGCTCTTGTTGCCCAGGCTGGAGTGCAATGGCACGATCTCGGCTCACTGCAACCTCCGCTTCCTGGGTTCAAGCGATTCTCCTGCCTCAGCCTCCCGAGTAGCTGGGATTACAGGCATGTGCCACCATGCCCGGCTAATTTTGTATTTTTAGTAGAGACAGGGTTTCTCCATGTTGGTCAGGCTGGTCTCGAACTCCCGACCTCAGGTGATCCGCCCACCTTGGCCTCCCAAAGTGCTGGGATTACAGGTGTCACCCACTGTGCCCAGCCTGCTGAAGTGTTAACTTTTTGTATTTTTATCAATTATTCTTTGACTTGGTTTCTGAAACACTCAAGTTGTTGATATAAACAACCGCCAATGTTTTTGTATTTTCTGTAGTAGAGTCCAGCAGTTAATAACTTTATTTAGGTTTCTCTGTATAATGGTAACCTTCAGTTAAATAAACATTTATTATACTATTTGTCCTACATTATCATGCACTTGATTATGTTCTCTAGCTTTTCTTCGTATTCATGTTTTATGGCCCAAACTAATTTTTAAGTTTCTTAAAAGTAGAAATTATACTGTGTTCTTAACTGTCACAGCCTATTGACAAATAAATATAGTATTTTTTAAGTAATCACTTACTACCTGAACAGGCAAAGGTACGGTTGCTGTTCATAAAGAAAGAACCAACAAAATATATATATATTTTTGAAACAAGAGTCTCACTCTGTCGCTGAGGCTGGAGTGCGGTGGTGTGATCTTGGCTCACTGCAATCTCTGCCTCCTGGGTTCAAGTGATTCTTGTGCCTCAGCCTCTGAGTAGCTGGGATTACAGGTGCGTACCACCATGCCTGGCTAATCTTTGTATTTTTATTAGAGATGGGGTTTTGCCATGTTGGCCAGGCTGTTGGCCAGGCTGGTCTCAAACCCCTGGCCTCAAGTGATCCACCCACCTTGGCCTCCCAAAGTAATCCCAGCGGATTACAGGTGTGAGCCACTGCACCTGGCCCTGGCAAAATATTGATTAGCTTTATTGTAATATGTAAGCATAATTTTGAATATACAGATATGAAATAGAAAACCTCTGAAATTCTTATCCCTGAAATCCAGATATACTTTTAATACCAAGGGCAGAAATCATTGTTGCTTAATTATAGCTGAATTAAACATGATTTTTAAAATAGCCTTAAGCTATATTCCTAATATAGTAACTCCCGTTTTGTAAAAAGTTACCTAAATGACCAGATTCTATGTAAAAGCACCAATATAATATGCAAATGTACCTTGATAGAGAAAAGACAGAAGGTGGAAGAATTAATGGATGTATACAAGTGATGTCCTTACATTTCCTTTGCTGCATTCAAGCTTATATTACTAATTTTGCAGAAGACTAAAATGTCAGTCTCAGTCACATAGCATGTTAAGTTTAGAAAATATCTTAGAGATGAAACAGTCTCATCTAATTTAGATGCCACTGGCATTGCTATATGCCTTATTTATATTACATAAGCAGAATCTCACATTGAATTTCTGAGATGCTTAGTAGTCAATGGAATTAAATTGCACCACACCTAGAATTTGTCATTTGTTATATGGGACTTTTCCTCTATAAAGCTGCTACACAGCCCCTATTATTGTCTTAAAGTTATTTGAATCTCCATTTGATCTGAATAATTTTTCAAGGAAAACCTAGGAAGTGGCATATTTCTAGCTGTTTCTTTTATAGTACCATTGTACTGTGTATGTTTATTGATACTTAATGGATACTTGATTATCTTCTGTTATTCACTAATTTTTAAAATTTACTTAAACTGTTCTTTTGGAACATTATTAATATCTGGTGTGTTAACACATGCCTCCAATAGCTATGAAGTATACTGTAACTATTTGATCTCCTTTTGCAATAGCTCTACTGGTTAATCAGGGTGCTGACTGTAGTGGTGGTGATGGTAGAAGTAGTGATTATGGTAGTCGTAGCATGGTGGCAGTAGGAGCAACACTGGCAGTACTAGTACCTTACCTTTATATAATATTTGGTAGCTTAAAAAATTGTTTACATATATGATCTATTTAGATTGTTTGAGAATCTTGTGAGACATCTAAAAAAGACCTCTAAATTAGTTCACTAATAGCTTTATTTATATACAATTCTAACTTTACACTGAATTTAAAGAACTCTGCAAGGCTGGGAGTCCCAAAAGATTAGCAGCATCACCTAAACTTTGGTTCTGTTATTTCACCCACATAGGCAAAAACTTTTTTGACCCGAAGAGGCAATATTATGCTTTGCTGAAGGATAGTTGGGTGCAGGAGAGGTGGTTATGCATATGTCTGCAGAAGTCAGCAGTTTCTTACCCCCAATTCTTATATACAAAAAGCTCTGAAAACTGAATGTTTTTAAGTTATTTGTTTGGTGGAAAAACCTGTCATAACCTGCTCTCATGACCAGAAAGCCTAATCTGAACTAACTTGAGACTATGGTTTTTATTTATCCTACTTGGTATGAATATTCTTATGTTTTGCTGCAGGAATATTAAGTCATATGTTTACAGGCTGCTACTATTTTTAGACCTAACTGGGTGTTTTATTTAATATATGTATCATTTCTGAATTATGTTTATAAAAATTATGAACCTATACTTAATTTTTAAAAACAAAGTTACTATAACTGAACATAAAATAGGCGTGTAGTATTTATTATTGGTTGTCATGGGATATTACAGAGTTTTTTGTTTTCTTTTCTTTTTAAACTTTTCTTTCCCTCAGATACTTATCTTCAGCAAATCCTAATGATAACAGAACTAGCTCCAATGCAGATAAAAGCTTGGTAGGTATTTTCTTAGTATTAAGAAAATTGTTTTTAAAATTGTTTTGTGGATAATATATTTGTGGGTATGATAGTAAATTTATATATTGTTTGTGAAGCTGTGGTTAGCTGAACTTAGATTTTTATGGCACTTTCATCTCCCATCTCCTTTTCAGTCTGATTTTTTGCTCAAATATCAAATGGAATAATATATTTGGAGGCAGTTAGTAAACTAAATTGTTACACAGATTGACAGTGGTCATCTTTTTTAATCTTCGGAATCAGGAACTATGATATATCAATGTATCATTAAGGGTCTTGACAGGCAAACAGATTACATGTTCAAAATATTTAAACAGAGAGTTTTGTGTGTATGGCAAATATACGTAACATGAAATTTACCGTTTTAATCATTTTTAAGTGTGCAGTTCGGTGGCATTAAGCACCTTCACATAGTTGTGCAGCCATCACTGCCATCCATCTCTAGAACCTTTTCATCATCCCAAACTAAAAATCTATACCAATTAAACAGTAACTCCTCATTTCACCCTCCCCCCAGCTCCTGGTAACCACTGTTCTACTTTCTGTCTCAATGAATTTGCCTATTCCAGGTACCTCATATGAGGTGGAATCATACAATATTTATCCATATGTGACTGGCTTATTTCATGTAGCATAATGTCTTCAAGGTTCATCCATGTTGTAGTATATATTAAAATTTCCTTCGTGTTTAAGGCTGAGTAATATTCCATTGCATACATATATATACACACACACACACATATATACACACACACCATATTTTTGCATTTATTAAATCAAGAGTTTAATGAAGGGATGATTAACATGCTGTGAACATCAGTAGAGGGAAACAATAAAGGGTACTAAAGCACCCATGTATGAACAAGAGTGGGAAGCCATTGCCCTATACTGAAGGAGCAAAGAGAGAAAATCTTATCGTAGCTCAGAGAAAGCCTGACATCATAGAAGAGGAATATAAAACGTAGAGCATTGTGAAAACCACAGTAAAGCACAAAGGGTGTAGGGAAATGAATATTTCTTTCTTTTACCTTCAGATTTCTGCTGGTGTCTCCTGTGGGTTGAAACCAACCTTAAAATCATAGGGCTACAGAGTAATACAGGCAATGCAATCTGTAGATTTTAAGGCAAAGAAGAGCAGAGGATGAATTTTCAAGGTTAGAAGGGAATGGGGGAAATGGAGAATAACCAGTATAGTTAGCATCATCTTAATTTGTCCACTGAGAAGTATATTACTCCAGAAAATACATTTTAGTTGAGTTCTTTCTGTTGTTTATATAGCTCATGTTCTGACACAGAGGTAAAACAAAATCTTACTTGCTTACATTTCAGAAGGTCCTTTTGGGTTAACAGGAATTTTCTGAAAAATATCCAGAGTAATTATCTGTCCATTCCTAGAGCATTCTTTGAACTTTTTGTCTACTATAGCCTACATTTTTTTGTGGGGGGGCACAGAGACATTGCAAGCCTACATATTTTTAACAGAGGAGAGGAAGAGGTAGCAGCCATTTTTAAAAAGCTGATAATGATTCTTTTCTTTCTCCTTGATATATTGACTCTTAAATATAAGAGAACATGCGGTGAAAAGGGAAAATGAGAAAAAGGTGAAGGAACTATATGAGTACTCATTTGGTGTTAAGTTCATCTTTCTCTTAAATTTTAATCCCAGTAGAGCTGTTTGGCAAGTTATGTATTGCTAACAAGGGCTCAAAAATCTTTGACCTACGTAATAATAAGGAGTTGCTGTAAGTCAGCTCTCACTGTGTTACTTGACTGTAGAGTTAGAAGTGCCTTCGGCCTTCAAAAATATTCAAAGGATTCATGTTTTCTTTGGGCTGATTTTGTTCAGTGGTGATTACCATAAGTTTATCAGTGGTTGCTACCTTTATCTTTTGCTCTAATAATATCAGGGGGGATATACTAATTATTTCAACCTAGAACTAAGTACAAAATCAACTAATTTAATTTTCCTTGAAAACCTAGCAGAGATGCTATTGAACAACTTTGCAATTGCCAAATACAGTGGATGATTTTCAGCCCATATCTTATTTTTCTTCTTTGCTGTATTTGACACTGACTGCTTCCTACTTCTTTGGAACTTCAAACATTTCTAAATCTTCTATGTTCCTATTGTTTCCCTCTTTTTTACCTCCCATATTTTTGAATTTTATTTATTTTTCAATCCTCTTTTCAGGATCTTCCTCCTCTGCTCACTTTCAATTATTAACATTTCCCAAAGTTCTGATCTTGGCTCTCTGCTCTTTCTCTGTAGGTAATCTCATTCATGTCCAGCTTGCTTGTCTGAGCTCCAGTCCTGAATCTTTCTCTCTCTTCTGTATACTTCTCAGGCATATCAAACTAGGCCAGAGCTAAACTCACTGTTTTCCTGTCCCCATTCCCTCCCTAGCAGTGTGTTGGCTGTCTTTCATAATGGTATTATATCTATTCTAACTTCCAGTCGGTTTGGTCATACATTGTGCTTTCCAATTGATACCTTTATCCATTACTTCCTCTTCATTCCTGTAGCCTCTGCCTTTTATCAGATCCATATTCTCTTGTCTGAACTGCTTTGATAGCTTTTTAACTGGTTGCTCTTCTTAGAACTTCACTGCCCTCTAAGCTGTTCATTAACCTTATTATTGTAGTGATGTTTCTGAGGTGCCAGTATTATGTCATTTCTCATTTAAAATGCTTATGGGGTAAAGTCCCCAACTCCAGTTTGTGCATACAAGGATCATTACCTTCTTAGGCTTAATGTGAGTTGTTTTTCCTATTACATTCTGTGCTCTGCTATAGTACTTGATTTCTTTCCATTTCCCAAATATATCATATTTTCTTCTGCCTTTCTACTTTTGGGCTCATTGTTCATTCTAGCTAAAATGCCTTTCTTGTGCCACCTTCTTTGCTTTATCAGATTATCAGTTCTTCTTATCTTTTAGGCCTCAACTCAAGGATTATATATTCTTGGCAGAGTTAGAAGTGACCTTTTCTCTCCTTTGGAACACTCCGTAGATAATTTTTTTATTATTTACCACAGTCTATTGTAATATTTTGTGTATATGTCTTTGGGACATTGTAGCTTCTTTTTTCTCTTCCAATTTAACTTTGCCTCACTATGTAACTATTTGCTTCATGAGAACAGGAACCAAATCTTTTTAATTTTTGTATTTCTAATGGCCTAACGTTTAGTAAATGTTAAGAAAGTGCTTGTTAAATTAATAATAAAAAAATTGAGATAGAAAGAGGTAAGATTAAATTAAATTATTTTCTAAAAAGGTTTAAAATATTAACATAGACTTGATATTTTTAAATGTCTAAATATTCTTAGTAGAATGAGTTTTTGTTTTTGTTTTAAATTAAAGCAGGAAAGTTTGCAAAAAACAATCTATAAGCTGGAAGAACAGCTGCATAATGAAATGCAGTTAAAAGATGAAATGGAGCAGAAGTGCAGGTGAGAATATACTTTAAGTTTTTCATATTAAAAGTTTTATATACCAAATACTTACTTGAAAGCTTATACCCTGTAAACATCTGAAAGTAAATAGAAAATGAGGATGTAAAGATTACTACTGATAATACATTCATGATGTGTCTCGGCTAGAATTGAGAAGTTGTATTTATGTTGGCTTAGTTATAGATGTATTTTCCTCAGAATATTTAAAGTACATTTGTTCCTGGCAGTCTGTATTCTTTTTTTTTTTTTTAATTCATGAAAATAATATATTGTGTACTTTGTAATATGTTCCAACTGTGTTTTCATTACAGTCATCAGAAAGTAAAGCAGTATTCTTTTTTTTTTTTTTTAAGATGGAGTCTCGCTCTGTCGTCCAGGCTGGAGTGCAGTGGCACGATCTTGGCTCACTGCAAGCTCCGCCTCCCGGGTTCACGCCATTCTCCTGCCTCAGCCTCCCGAGTAGCTGGGCCTACAGGCGCCCGCCACCACACCTGGCTAATTTTTTTTTTTGTATTTTTAGTAGAGACGGGGTTTCACAGTGTTAGCCAGGATGGTCTCGATCTCCTGACCTCGTGATCTGCCCGCCTCGGCCTCCAAAAGTGCTGGGATTACAGGTGTGAGCCACCGCACCCGGCCAACAGTCTGTATTCTTAAAAAACTGTAATGCTAATTCATTTAGTTGCCTGACTTACTGCTTTTTTCTCTTTACATAATTAGCTAACTAAAAGGGCAAATTAGGCTGCACATGGTGGATCACGTGAGGGCAGGAGTTCAAGACCAGCCAGGCCAACATGGCGAAACCGCATCTCTACTGAAAATACAAAAAATTAGCTGGGCACGAAGGTGTGCCCCTGTAGTCCCTGCTGCTTGGGAGGCTGAGGCATGAGAATTGCTTGAACCCGGGAGGGAGAGGTTGCAGGAAGTCGAGATCACACCGTTGCACTCCAGCCTGGGCGACAGAGCAAGACTCTGTCTCAAAAAGAAAAATAAATAAAGGGGAAATTAGTTTACATTAAATCAGGTGCTTTTTGAAATGTAAAATGTTGAAGATTAAAATATACTAAATTTTTGATGTGGCCATTCTAATTTCCACTGTGGTTCACCAGAGCAGTAACTCAGAGTATCTTTTTCTGTGGGTCTAATTTCAGCATGTTATTGTCATTAGACTCACAGAAAAAATATCTTTGAGTTATGCTCACGTTTATTTTAAATTACCTAGCATAATACTGAATTACTTATCAATTATAAGCAATAATTTTTTATAATTATTTATGTTTTTAGTGAATAGTATTGAATAAATGAAATGCAAAGGTAACACGAAAAGTATTCAACAAATAAAATTGGGAACACTGGTAATTTTGTGACAGAGCAGGTGGGGGGTTTGGTACAAAACAGATAAAATTCTCACTTTTAACCATTCCTGATAGATTATGTGGTTAAGTGTATAATACAAATTTCTTTTAAAAAGGCATTTGAATATAAGCAAATAATTAACTGACCCCAGGATTTGGAAAGAATTTCTAAGTATAAAATATGTAAATAAGGGGAAGAACTGGGTAGATACTGTTATATAAATGTTGGGAAGTCTCTACATCCAAATTTTTTTTTTTTTTTTTTGAGACGAAATCTCACTCTTGTCCCCCAGGCTGGAGTATGATGGCGCGATCGCGGCTCACTGCAACCTCTGCCTCCCGGGTTCAAGTGATTCTCTTGCCTCAGTCCCCCGAGTAGCTGGGATTACAGGCTCCTGCCACCACGCCTGGCTAGTTTTGGTATTTTTAGTAGAGACGGGATTTCACCATGTTGACCAGGCTGGTCTCGAGCTCCTGACCTCAGGTGATCCACCCACCTCAGCCTCCCGAAGTGTTGGGATTGCAGGCGTGAGCCACCGTGCCTGGCCCAAAAAAATTTTTAAACAAAATTAAAAGACAAGTGACAAACTGGTAGTAATGGTGAGTAGGGATCAGTTTGAGGAAGTAATAAGAATGGCTGAATTGGCTAATAATCATATGAAAGTATCACCTCAAGGAAATAAAATTGAGATGAAACTTTAAAAAATTATATATTGAATTGGTAAATAGTTTTTAAAATAAAAACCTAGTGCTAGGGATTGTGGAGTGATATTTACTTGCATTTCTTTATTTTATTTATTTTTTTTTTGTTTTTATTTTTTTTGAGGCAGAGTCTCACTCTGTCACCCAGGCTGGAGTGCAGTGCCGTGATCTCAGCTCACTGCAAGCTCCACCTCCCGGGTTCATGGCATTCTCCTGCCTCAGCCTCCCGAGTAGCTGGGACTACAGGCGCCCGCCACCATGCCTGGCTAATTTTTTGAATTCTTTAGTAGAGACGGGGTTTCACTGTGTTAACCAGGATGGTCTCGATCTCCTGGCCTTTTGATCCGCCCACCTCGGCCTCCCAAAGTGCTGGGATTACAGGTGTGAGCCACCACGCCCGGCCACTTGCATTTCTTTAAATCAAATTCTCTGCATTCAAATCATTTTAGTTACATTCATTTATTCAATAAAAATTTCAGTTAAAGTGTCATATAATGTGCTTGTCAACAATATAGTACTGAATAAATCACGACATGGCCCCTCTCCACAAGGAGCTTGTAATTTAGCAAGAAAAACAAGTAAGTAATTATCAAGAAGTGTGGTAGGCCAGGTGCGGTGGCTCATGCCTGTAATCCCAGCACTTTGGGAGGCCGAGGCAGGCGGATCACAAGGTCAGGAGATCAAGACATCCTGGCTCACAAGGTGAAACCACATCTCTACTAAAAATACAAAAAATTAGCTGGGCGCGGTGGCGGGCGCCTGTAGTCCCAGCTACTCGGGAGGCTGAGGCAGGAGAATGGCATGAACCCGGGAGACGGAGCTTGCAGTGAGCTGAGATTGCGCTGCTGCACTCCAGCATGGGCAACAGAGCGAGATTTCATCTCAAAAAAAAAAAAAAAAAAAAAAAGAAGTGTGGTATGTGTTAATTGGGGAGAGAATAAAATTATACAGGAATATCAGGAATACATCAGGAGATGCCTGTACTGTTTTGTCAGAGATCAGAGAAAGCTAAACCAGAAGAGTCAATGGAAATTATTAGGAGAAGAGTGGAAGGAAGTGTTAGGGTCCAGGAGGTGAGTATCTGTGAAGGCCGTGAGGTAAGAGACCTTGACTGGCCAGTAAGATGTGAGGGAAGGAAAAGCCTGAGATGAGAATGGGGAGGATGGCAAGGTCTAGATTGGGGAGAATTTTTTTTTCTCTTTTTTTTTGCGGGGGGGCTAAGAAATTTGGAATTTAAGTGTAATGGAAAAACATCAAAAGTCATTAAACTAATAAGTAAAAAATATATATTAAATTTGCTGTTTTCAAAAGAAGTTCCTGCTTAATTAGCAGCACTTGGCACTTTATTCAGCTAAATGGGAGTGAGGGAGGATGAGTCAAGGATGATTCCTAGGTGTTGTCATTTACTTAGGGACTCTAGAAGAGAAGCAAATTGGTATTGGGGTGGGAGTGTGGAACAGAGGCAGTAAGTTCTATTTTGGAGATGCTGAATGAGGTATTTAATGAGACATCCACGTGAAAATGTTGCATATATAGGTTTTGAAGCTCAGAATTACATTTTGAACCAAAGAAAGCAAATGGTAATGAAGATAATACACTTTGAGTGTTGCCAAATGGTGCCTTTACTGATTTGATATATACTACCTTTCTCTTTGTTTACTTTATCCTGTATTAAAGGATAAATGGCTAATTTTTGAGTAGTGGCAAGTATTGCATGACGGAGTTTAGGGATCCTTAACCTGAAATCCATAGACCTCCCCCAAAGAGTCCATGGATGAAATTTGAAGTCCTTAAACGTGGATGACAAAAGGTGAACGTTTTCTCTAACTTATAACTTAATTTTAGCACTTGTTTCAATTCTGAGCATAGGCAGCAATTCAGTTATTAGCAGTAGTTGTTAATTTTTATTACCAATAGAAATTATAGATGTTTTCTTATTACAGTTGTTACAGCTATCTCTAAATATCATTTATGCTCATCAATACTTTGAAATCACTGCCACTAGATGTTGTGATTTAATATATTAATAAGGAAGCATATATACTACTGAATTACACATATTTTTTTAAAGTTTATTACTGTGTTTCAATATAATTGGCTTCTTTTTTTTTTTTGAGATGGAGTCTCACTGTATCACCCAGGCTGGAGTACAGTAGCATGATCTCGGCTCACTGCAACCTCCACCTCCCAGGTTCAAGTGATTCTCCTGCCTTGGCCTCCCAAATAGCTGGGATTACAGGCGCCCGCCACCATGCCTTGCTAATTTTTTTTTTTTTTAATTTTTAGTAGAGACGGGGTTTCACCATGTTGGCCAAGCTGGTCTCGAACTCCTGACCTCAGATGATCCACCCGCCTCAGCCTCCCAAAGTGCTGGGATTACAGGTGTGAGCCACTGTACCCAGCCTAATTGTCTCTTTTAATCATATATAATTTTTGTGCTTCAAAAAATATTTTGAAAAAAGGCCATAGGCTTCACTTGACTGCCAAAGAGATCCATGGCACCAAGAAAGGATACAAAACTCTAGTTAAGTGGAAAAGTAAGGAATGTTAGTGTTTAACACTGGGCAATAAGAAATACGTATATTTCTAATCTGTATTGCTTTTGTTTTTACAGAACCTCAAACATAAAACTAGACAAGATAATGAAAGAATTGGATGAAGAGGTACTTTTTGTTTTCTAATCAAGTTTCCTTTTTGAGATTTTTCCCTCTTTCAAATTGTTTCGTTTCCTGAGAAAATTGTATTTGAATTCTGTAGTTTGAAACACAAAACAGAGCAGAGAATTGTGATGAAAGCCTCACCTTGGAACTGCAGTTTCAAGTGGTACAGATTAGATTATAATTTAGTTTCCTTTGTACAATTGTTTTCTACAGCCGTATTAATTTTAGTACGTAAATTTCAGTTCAGTGGTTCTCGATGGTTGAAATGTGAGAAAGGAGCCAGAGAAGCAAGCGATCAGAAATTGAATCTCAAACTATGTCAGAAAGAGACAGACAAATAAGGAAAAGAGAGAAATACAGTTTAAAATATTTTTAAAAGATTAACACTGACATAATCTCATGTAATCAAATGGAAAATATATTGATTTTAGAATGTTCATCTTTTCCATGGTTACCTGTCAAAATTTTTTATTATCAGAGAAACAATAACAAGCATTCATAATTCAGATGTTTGTTTGCAAATATGTAATACATTTCCATTCCTCTTAGTCAACTTCTAAGTATATTTCTACTGTGTCTATGAGTCCCATGAAAAGAAATACACTCTCTGTAGTCTTCTCCTAATACATTACTTACTTTGTCCTTTTTTAGGTTTAATCTCTGATAGTTTTTATGCTGTGTTAATTTTTTCTTCCCTTATAGAATGGTATCTGTCAATGGCTTGCTTGCTTTCATGGGTAGCTTTGGATATCTATGAAGATTTAGAGAGCATTTACTAACTTGCCTTTGTACTTAACCTTAGCAGTATATATTTGACTCTGAGTGTTTAAGGAGTCCTTTTTTGCATATCTTCCACTTATATTTAACTTTTAAAACACAGATAAAATTCAGATGTGCTAGATTTAAGTTATTCATTTTTCCAAATTAGAAGTAGAGAGGGAAATTTGAGGTATGAAATTAAAATAGTCTCACTTCTAGAAAGATGGAGTAAGAGTACCTTTTCTGTATTCCTCCCAGTAAGTACAGCTAAAAACCCTAAACATTAAACATAAAACAAACATGAAAAGATTTTGAAAGGTGGAAAGAAGGCAGACCAACCTGGGTTACTTGCGTCCTGAGAAACAACACATGAATGAGTCTTCAGGGTTTTCTTTTTGCTGCATGTATCCTAGACGGGGTGCCGGAGAAGCCAGCAACCTCGAAATATCAACAGTTGCAGACAAAGCTCCAAAAAAAGCTAATTTCCTTAGCCTAAAGACCAAAAAAGGAGCAGGCTAGCAAGTCAGAAAACTTACACTATCACTGCTCTTTTCAGCCAAACACCACAGAAAAACGGTAGCCTCATTCTTTTTTTTTTTTTTTTTTTTTGAGACAGAGTCTTGCTCTTTTTCCCAGGCTGGAGTGCAGTGGCGCGATCTCTGCTCACTGCAAGCTCCGCCTCCCGGGTTCACGCTATTCTCCTGCCTCAGCCTCCCGAGTAGCTGGGACCACAGGCGCCCGCCACCATGCCTGGCTAATTTTTTATATATTTTTTTTAGTAGAGATGGGGTTTCACTGTATTAGCCAGGATTGTCTCAATCTCCTGACCTTGATCCACCCGCCTTGGCCTCCCAAAGTGCTGGGATTACAGGCCTGAGCCACCGCGCCCAGCCAACTGTAGCCCCATTCTTAACAGCAAAGGCTGAGTGGGAAGTCTAGACTTCCATCTCCACTATGCTGTAGCACACCCCAACTTCCAATTAGAATAGTGTCAGAGAAGGTCCAGTAAAGGAATTTTCATCTCCTGTGGGCAGTAACAAACCTTCTTTCTCTCCCCAGACAGCGTAGCAGTGACCATGTGGGGAATCTACACTTACACTTCCAGCTGGCAGTAAGGGGGTGCCCCTCCCACTGCCTTCTGGGTTGGTATCAAAGAGACATGGTAGGGAGTCAGAACTTTCCACTGAAAATAACAAGCTCCCCTCCACAATGCAGTGTCATCTGTGGGGGCCACATAAGGAGCAGCCATGGTGCACTCAATGGAGGCCTGGTAGAGTGCCAGAACTCCTGCTTCCACCCAGCAGTGATGAGGATCTGCTCCCCTCCCTACCTGAGGTGTCAGTAGAGGCTGAGTGGAAAACCTGGACTTCTGCAAACTCCACCTGGCAGAAAAGAGGCAGCACCCCCTTAGTTTCACCAGAACAGTGTCAGAGGAGACCTTCTAAAAGAGATTTTAAATAAGATCCAGAATGTTGTAAGATGATGTCCAGGTTTGAATAGCAAACTGCTCATCATAATCAGAACTAGGAAAATTTTAACTGGAATTAGAAACAATAATAAACTAATACCAATGCTGAGATGACACAGATGTTAGAGTTATCTGACAAGTATTTAAAGGAATCACCATAAATATGTTTCAGTGAGCAACTGTAAACATACAAACAAGCAAAAAAATAGTCTCAGAAAGACATAGACAATATAAAATAGAGCCAACCAAAAATTACAATAACTGAAATAAAAGTCTCAATAGATGGTGTCAGCAGCAGAGTGAACAATGCAGAGGAGCGAATCAGAGACCTTCAACAAAGAAAAATAGAAATTATGCAGTCTGAACAACAGAGAGAAAATGATCAGAAAAAAAGTGACAGAGCCTCTGGGACCTGTAGAACTATAACAATAAAATTCTAACATTTGTGTCACTCGAATTACTAAAGGAGAGGAGAAAGGGCGTGGGAAGAAATGACGACAGAAAATTCAACAAATTTGACAAAAGACCTGAACTGACAAAAGACATGAACTACCAAGAAGCTTAGCAAACCACAAAAAGTGTAAACCCAAAGATATCCACACCAAGACACAATAGTCAGATTTCTGAAAATTAATGACAAAAAAGAAATCTTAAATACAGGACACACCTTACCTAGAAAGGAAACAACAGTGTAAGTGACAGCTGATTTCTTATCAGAAACCATGGAGGCCAGGAGGAAGTGGCATGACTTTTTCAGGTGCTAAAAAAACAAAAAAACAAACCTATCAACCTAGAATTCTGTGTTCAATTAAAACATCCTTCTCAAATGAAAAAGAAAATGACAACATTCTCAGATGAGGAAAAACTAAGATAATGTGTCACCAGCACACCTTCCCTAAAGGAATTGCAAAAGAAAATTCTCTAAACAGAAAGGAAATGATAAAAGAAGGAATCTTGGCCAGGTAGGGTGGTTCACACCTGTAATCCCAACACTTTGGGAGGCTGAGGCGAGCAGATCACTTGATGCCAGAAGTTTAAGACCAGCCTGGCCAACATGGCAAAACCCCATCTTTACTAAAAATACAAAAAAAATTAGCCAAGTGTGGTAGCGTGTACTTGTAATCCTAGCTACTCAGGAGGCTGAGGCTGAGGCTAGAGAACTGCTTGAACCTGGGAGGTGGAGGTTGGAGTGAGCCAAGCGCACCACTGCACTCCAGCCTGGGTGACACAGCAAGACTCTGTCTCCAAAAGAAAAAGGAGGAATTTTGAATTACCAGGAATAAAGAAACAGTAAAAGATGGGTAAATACATTTTTTTCTCCTCTTTATTTTTTATAGTAGGCAGTTGAAGCAGAAATTATATTGTCTAATATGATTCTCTGTGTATGAGAAAAAATATTTTAGACATTATAAACAGAGAGTAATGGGTCATAAAGAAAGGTAAAGTTTTTAGGTCAAGTGTGGTGGCTCATGTCTGTAATCCCAGCACTTTGGGAGGCCAAGGCCAGCGGATTGCTTGAGCCCAGGAGTTCAAGACCAGCCTGAGCAACAGGGTGAAACCCTGTCTCTACAAAAAATACAAAAATTAGCCAGGTGTGGTAGTGCACGCCTGTAGTCCCAGCTACTAGGGAGGCAGAGGTGGGAGGATCGCTTGAGTCCAGGAAGTTGAGGCTGCAGTGAGCCATAAGCATACCACTGTACTCCAGCCTGGGTGACAGAGTGAGACCCTTTCTCAAAAATAAATAAGATAAAAATTAAAAGAAGAAAGGGAAGATGTTTATACTTTACTCAAACTGGTAAGATGCCAATACCAGTGGAGTGTACTATATATTAAGCTATGCATATACAATGTAATATCTAGGGCAGCCACTGAAAAGGCCTTACAAGGAGATACATTCAAAAACACCATAGTTAAATCAAAAGGAATGCTAAAATAATGTTCAGGTAACCCACAGAAAGACAGGAAAGAAAATGTAGAAATAACAGAGATCAAACAAAAAAACAAAAACGGCAGACTTAACCCTAACATACTACCAATAATGACATTAAATGGAAATTAAATGGAATACCAATCAAAAGAGGTGGTAGGGGTAGATTTTTTTAAATCCCCCATTTATATATCTGTCAGAAACTCTTCAAATATAACAATATAGGCAAGTTGAACATCGGAAGATGTGAAGAGATAACATAACAAATATTAAAAAGAAAGCAGCATATTGGCAATGTTAATACCAATTAAAGTAGACTTCAGAGCAAAGAAAATTACCATGAACATAGAGGAATATTACATAATGATAAGAGTCAATCCACCAAAAATAAATAAAAATCCTAACTGTACACCAAACAACAGAGCTACAAAGTATGTGAAGCAAAAGTTGATAAGACTGGAAGGTTAAATAGACCAATCCATAATTATTGTTGGAGACTTCAGCACCCGTAAGAATCACCAAACATAGGAGAACTCAACTACACTGTCAGCTGTCAGAATTTGTTCAACATTTACAGAACCCTCTGCTTAACAGCACAATATGCCTTCTTTTCAAGTGCTTAAGGAACACACACCAAGGTAGACCACATCCCAAGCTATAAAACAAACACATTTGAAAGCACTGAAATCATACAGTTTCCTGACCAAAATGTACAGATGAGAATAACAGAAAAATCTGCAAACACATGGAAAGCAAACAATAAACTTCTAAATAACCCAGAGGTCAAAGAAGAAGTCTCAGTGAAAAAAATACATTGGAATGTTAATTATGTCTCATAAAACTGTTATGGCTCTTTATCTTTACAAAATATTTGAACAATGAAGTGAAAATACATCATCAAAATTTGTGAGATGCTGTTAACATGGTGATGAAGGTTAATTTATAGCACTAAATGCTTACCTTAGAAAAGAGGAAAAGTCTAAAATCAATAATTTAAACTCCTACTTCTGGAAACTAGAATAAGAAGAGTGAAATAAACCCAAAACAAGCAAAAGGAAGGACAAGTAACGATAAGAGCAGAGAACAAGGCAGTTAAAAGCAGAAAAACAATAGAGAAAATCAGTGAAACAAAAAGCTGTGTGAAAAGATCAACAAAATTAACAAACCTCTAGCAAGACTGATAAAGGAAAAAGAGAGGACACAAATTACCAGTATGAGGAATGAAATAGGGCATATACTATAGACCATATAGGTATCAAAAGAATCATAAGGAAATCCTATGAACAGTTCTAAACACAATTAAGACATGTAGATGAAAGGGACTAACTTCTCAAAAATCAAACTATCACAACTCATACAGTGTGAAATAGGTAATTTCAGTAGCCCTATATAAGTGTTAAGGAAAGCGAATCCATACTTTTTAAACTTTTTAGATATATGGATGAAAATAAACCTATGAAAAGAGGTTCACATAATTAGTCATTTGGGAAGTGCAAATTAAAACTATCATGAAATATTACTCCATAACCATGAAAAAAAGTAAGTTTTAAAATTATGTCAATAGCAAACTGGCAAGGATATGGAGAAACTAGATCACTTGGACATTGCAGATGGGGATATAAAATGGTACAGACATTCTGGAAAACCAATTGGCTGTGTTCCTGAAAAACTAAACATGTGCCTACTATGTGACCTAGCAATTGTATTCTTGGGCATGTATTCCAGAAAAATGAAAATGTATATTCTCACAAAAACCTGTATACTAATGTTTATAACAGCTCTATTTGTAATAGCCAAAAACTGAAAACAATCAAAATGTCCTACAGTAGGTGAATGGTTGAACAAACTTCGGTACATTTGTACCATGGAATACTCAGCCACAAGAAGGAATAAACTGTAGATACATACAATACAGAGATGGATTTTAAGGTCTTTATGTTGAGTTAAAAAAAAAAAAAACCTGTCTTGGCCAGGCGCGGTGACTCACGCCTGTAATCCCAGCACTTTGGGAGGCTGAGGCGGGCGGATCACGAGGTCAGGAAATCGAGACCATCCTGGCCAACATGGTGAAACCCCATCTCTATTAAAAATACAAAAAAAAAAAAAAAAAAAAGCCTGTCTCAAAAAGTCATATATTGCATGGTTCCATTTATATAACATTCTCAAAAAGACAAAATTATAGAAATGGAGAACCATTAGTTGCCAGGAGTATGGGTGGTGGGAGGACGGGGATGGGTGTGGCTATAACTAGTGACTGGAAAGAAATTGTTGTGATGACCAGTTCTGTATCTTCGTTGTGGTGGTGCTTACATGAACCTACATATGTGATAAAATGAGAGAATCATACACTCCTTATACCAGTGAGAATTTTCTGATTTTGTTATTGTACTATTGTTATATATAATGTCTCTACTGGGGGAAGCTGAGTGGAAGGGCACTTGGGACCTCTCTGTACTATCTTTGCAACTTTCTTTGAATGTATAATTATCTAAAAATTAACTAAAAGTTAGAATGATAAACTCTTAGAATCAGAAAGACCTTGAATGATTTATGTCCAATTTCTGCTTAAAGATGAGAAAGCCCAGAAACACTGTAAAACAGGTTTCCTAATGTGGAGTCTTAAAAAGTGAAGCATCAAAAACAAGATTTACTGATAGTGGTAACTCAGAAAGGTACATTTTTAAGTTGTGAAAATTTGGGTATTTTAGGCTGGGCACAGTAGCTCATGCCTGTTATCCCAGTACTTTGGGAGGCTGAGGCAGGCGGATCACCTGAGGTCAAGAGTTCAAAACCAGCCTGGCCAACATGGCAAAAGCCGTCTCTACCAAAAATAGAAAAATTAGCTGGACGCAGTGGTGCGTCCCTGTAGTCCCAGCTACAGAAGACAGATTCCCACTGTCTTCTTAAAAGGCAAGCTACTTAGAAAGTTGTATTAGGAGATACTATTTGCGTTTGAAACAGAACATTCATCTTAAGTGTTTGTCTTTTTTTTTTTCTTGTTTTTTGTTTTTAAGAACAAAATACTCACTTGAATGAATGACCAGAGTATTAATCACAGTGGTAACTTTTATCATTATAATTCCAGGGAAATCAAAGAAGAAATCTAGAATCTACAGTGTCTCAGATTGAGAAGGAGAAAATGTTGCTACAGCATAGAATTAATGAGTACCAAAGAAAAGCTGAACAGGAAAATGAGAAGAGAAGAAATGTAGAAAATGAAGGTAAATTGTCACTACTTTTGAAAAATGATAGAATTTCTAACACTGTCATGAGGTTGTCTTTAATTTAGTGTCCATGATACATACATGAAGCTACAATCCTAAGACACTTTATAAGCTAAATAACCCAGGTCTCAGGTTAAATTTATAACATATTAAATAGTAATTAAATTAAATATTAAATTACATATTAAAGTAAATAGTAAGTAGCATTTAACTAGAGTAGTGATTGTCATCATGGTGTGCATACTGGAATCTCCTGGGAAGCTTTAAAGAGTACTGATGCCTAAATCCCAGCGATTCTAATTTAATTGGTCTAGATATGTGGCCTGAGTATCATTATTCTTTACAAGCCCCCTAGGTACTTCTAACAAGCAGCTGCGTCTAAGAACTTCTAAACCAGAATTTCTTGTGTTTTAATGCTTGTGTTACAAATATATTTAAAATACCTTTCTACTCCCATTGATGCAGTAATTTCACTTCCATAAGTTATTTCACGTACATACTCCTACTGCAAACTGATATATACACAAGGCTATTCATTGTAGCATTGTTTAAAATGACAAAAAAAATGCAGTCAATGCTGTATATGAAACATAATGTAATACATATATGAAACATAAAGGTAATGAATGCTGTAATAAATTTTAGTACATCTATATGGTAGAATACTATGTGGCTTATAAAAAATAATAAATCATCTCCTTAAATACGGTTATAAAACAGTCTCTAAGACAGATCTTTAAGTGACAGAAACGGATTGCTTGTGTTTAAAACAAGAGTACTTGTCTATATATGCTTAAATTAAATATATATTAGGGAGGAGAGCCAGTTAAGGGAGACTCAGAAGGGGCAAAAATGACTAAATGGAGAAAGGAGGACTTATTCTATACTATCTACCATTTGGTACCTTTTAAATTTTGTATTTTTATTAAGATATTGAATTATCAAGCAATTGAACTCTTGAAAAATAAATAATATTAAAACTAGCTTTATAAGTATACTATCAGTGATCTTATAAAGGGAATAAAGGAGTTTGAGATTTACAACAGTAAGAAGAAATCTTTTTGCACTCTGTATTAGAAGATAATGTTCTACTTTTTAATGAATTTAAAATGCAGGTACTTCCAAATTGGAATTTGGCTTTGGGAGTGGACCTAATGTAGCTGACTATTATGGCCTAAGACTAAATGTCTTTTTTTAAAAAAGGATTTATATGTTTCCCCTATGAAAATGTTGTAATTTCTATATATTATTCTTTCATTTTCTAGTTTCTACATTAAAGGATCAGTTGGAAGACTTAAAGAAAGTCAGTCAGAATTCACAGCTTGCTAATGAGAAGCTGTCCCAGTTACAAAAGCAGGTAAGTGTTTCAAATGAGGTTCCTTTTTAAAAAAATTGTAGATAATTAAATTATATCGTACTTTGGTCAGAAACCTATTTTTTTGCTTTCTTTTTAAATAGCTAGAAGAAGCCAATGACTTACTTAGGACAGAATCGGACACAGCTGTAAGATTGAGGAAGAGTCACACAGAGATGAGCAAGTCAATTAGTCAGTTAGAGTCCCTGAACAGAGAGTTGCAAGAGAGAAATCGAATTTTAGAGAATTCTAAGTCACAAACAGACAAAGATTATTACCAGCTGCAAGCTATATTAGAAGCTGAACGAAGAGACAGAGGTCATGATTCTGAGATGATTGGAGACCTTCAAGGTAATATTTTTTCTTATTGTGGTAAAATATACGTAACATGAAATTTATTATAACATTTTAACCATTTTTATATATACAGTTCAGTGGGATTAAATGCAGTTCACAATGTATGCAACCATCATCATATAAGTGGAATCATACAGTGTTTGTCCTTTTGCGTCTGGCTTTTTTCACTTAGCACAATGTCTTCAAGGTTTATCCATGTTGTGTGTGTCAGATTTTCCTTCCTTTTTAGGGCTCAGTAATATTCCATGGTATGTGTATACCACATTTTGTTCATCCACTCATCTATCAATGGAAGGAATATTTTATAATTTTTATTTTTAATTGTTAAAAATATATAACATAAAATTTACCATCTTGACCATTTTTAAGTCTAAGTTAATATATTTATGATCATATTACCCTCATAAAGAAAATGACTTTGGTGAAACCAGAAATGGTTGCATTCTTTTTTATTGTTTACGTTTTTTTGAGATAGGAACTTGCTCTGTTGCACAGGCTGGAGTGCAGCGGCATGATCACAGCTCACTGCAGCCTTGAACTCCTGAGGTCAAGCAATTCTCCCACCTCAACCTCCTGAGTAGCTGGGACTACAGGTGCATGCCACCATGCCCAGCTAATTTTTGCATTTTTTGTAGAGACGGGGTTTCACCATTTTGCCCAGGCTGGTCTCAAACTCCTGAGCTCAAGCGATCCGCCCACCTCGACCTCCCAAAGTGCTGGCATTATGGGTGTGAGACACCACACCAGGCCAGCATTCTTTCTCTTTTAGAATAATGCCCACATTTGTATCACATTGTAATTTCTTCACCCTCACAGGTACTCCTGCAGGGTATGTAATGTGGATATTTTTCAGTTTTACAGACAAATTAACCAAAAACTTCATTTAAAAACTTGCCTAATTCATAAAGGTTTTACTCAAAGTGAGACTAATCCAGGCAAAGAGGATTATCACTATTAAAACCTAGGAATTCCTCATGCATCGTTGGTAGTAATAGAAAGTCAGTTGCAGAAATAAAATCCCATTACACATTAAAAGTTAGATACTTGGGAATGTTTGAACTGGAGATATTGACAGTCTTTGTGAATCTAAGAGGCAGAAGATTGAGTATAACTAAGTGAATAAATGAACAGTTTTTAAATAGTAATAAAATTCAGTTTGTTTTCAAAAAGATTCCTGGCTTTACCTACTCACATATTTTTCTATTTTCTATTCCTGTTAGCAGCAGCATCCATACTACCTAATCAAAACAAATATGCATAGAAGTTGCCAGATGTCTCAGGAAAAAATTGGAGGGAGGAGTTCTTTTTAACCTTAGTTAGAGATGGGAACATAGTTTCAGGTCCCTTGGGGCTTGATGATTAGCTATAATTCAGTGGAGAGAGGTCAGGGTCAGTTTTTGTGACTAAGGAAACAGAAAATACAATCTCCTGTTGGTTCTTAGCTGAGGAGTGTTGTGCAATCATATTTCTCAGGGACCAGGCTTAAAATAGATCTGATTATAACTAAGAAAGTAACCACTTTATATGTAATAGGAAAGTCACAGACTTCCTTAAATTGTTTTCCTAGGCCTTTTTATACAGCTTATTAGCTGTTTGAAAGTCTCTTCATCTCCCTTCTTTATCTGTAAACCAAGGAGATAAGAATAGGTTACCTCTATAAATCCTTCCAATTCTAAAATTCTTATAAGTTTGTGATCTGTGTTTGACTGAGCTTTAAGCTCCTTGCTTCAGAGGCAGAGATCATCCATGTACTATCAACAGTGGTTTTTAACTGAATCTATTTTTTAGATATCAGTAAAAGTTAAGGAAAATTTATAGCATGATTTATTGTTAGTTTATTCTTTTTCAGAGTTTAATTTGGAACTTAAACGTGAATAAAAGCTCACATACACTAAAATAATGCACACAACTTATGTGAGTTTCAACATACATATAAAAGTGCATTGTGGGTTTTTAAAAAAATCACAATGCTTATATTAGTCTTTTCTGGTCTTTAAGAACTTTCAGGTCTCTCAAGTATAAATTTAGTTTGGGATGGTGGGCTTCTGGCAGAGTCTTGATTGTTATTCATTAATTGAATGTCCTCCATATATGATCTCTGTTGCATAGTCTTTTTTATTTTTTACTTTTTATAACCTTTTAAAGTATAAAAACCATTCTTAGCTTGACATCTGTACAGAAACAGGCTGCAGCCCTGATGTTTGCCAGTACCTGGACTAGTGCAACAGTAAGGCTGCAATTGATTATAGGGAAAGTTTCCAAAAGTTCAGGCTATAGAGGCTTAATGAAAGTGATCAAAATGTTATGGAGGATTGAAATTTTAACTGAATTGATAAGCTTTCATCTAGTAAGTTTATCTCTGATTCTTCAGATTGAAAGGCAAAAATCAATTTTTTTAAATTAACCATTTTTAAAAGTCTTTTTCTGTTTTTTTTAATTGTTTGCTTGGAACCAGAAGTGCTTCAGATTTTGGATTTTGGGTGGTTTGTGAGAATATTTGCATTATGTATACTTACCAGTTGAGTATCCCAAATCTGAAATCCTTGAATGTCATGTCAGTGCTCAAAAAGTTTCAGAATTTGGAGCATTTTGGATTTTTGGATTTTCCAATTAAGGATGCCTAACCTGTACTATAGTGACCTCTTGTGTACTCATTAAGCTTCAAAAACCTTCATTTGGTAGCCAGTCGTGTTTCATTTTGTACCTCCACCTCCCCTTCCCAATCCTCTGACACTGAATTATTTTGAAGCTCATATCAGGCACCACATTGTCCTTTTGTAAATACATCCTAATTTGTAAATATTTCATTATCTTAAAGATAGGGACTCTTTTTTAAAAAGACAAACATAACTACAATGCCATTATCAAAGGTAGAAAATAGGTGACAGTTATATAATATTATAAAATATCTAATTAGTGCTTAAGTTCCTCTAGTAGTCTCATAATTTGTTCTTATTGCATTTATTTTGCTTGAATTTGGATCCAAAGTTTGGACATTGCATTTCATTAATACGTCCCTTAAGTTTATTTTAATCTGTATTTTCCTCCTCCCTTTTGTGTTCTTTGTAATCTCTTTTTGCTGTTGTTTTCGGTTAAAGAAACCATGTTTTTTTCGTCCTGTGAGTGGCTCCTGTTCAGAATTTTACTGATTTCATCTGCTGGTATCATTTAGCATGTTGCTCTGTCCGCCGTAGTACTTTAAACTAGACGTTAGATCTAGAGATGTGATCTACTTCGGTAGGACTTTGTCAAGAATACTTGTAAGTAGTATTTAGGTACCAGGAGACACATAAACATAAAATCTGGGCTGGGTGCAGTGGCTCACACCTGTAAAACCAACACTTTGGGAGGCTGAGGTGGGTGGATCTCTTGAGCCCAGGAGTTTGAGGCCAGCCTGAACAACATGACGAAACCTCATCTCTACAAAAAATAAAAAATTAGCGAGGTATGGTGGCATGCACCTGTAGTCCTAGCTACTTAGGAGGCTCAGGTGGAGGATTGCTTGAGCCCAGGAGATGGAGGTTGCAGTGAGCTGAAATCGTGCCACTGTACTTCAGCCTGGGCAACAGAACAAGACCCTGTCTCAAAAACAACAACAAACAAACGAATGAAAAAACATAAAGTCTGGCTGTATCTTTTTGTGGTGTTAGTAGCCATTGATGATCATTGCCTAGGTCCTTTGTTTCTTTAGGAATTTGCAGTGGTGATCATCTATTTTTATCCATCTTCCTTCATTTGTTAATTGGAATACTACTCTAGAGATGAACATTTCCTCATCAATTATATAGTAGTTACTTTGAGGTACAGCTTATAAAAGAAAGTCAGGTTAAATACTTAATTCTTTGTCAGTTTTTGGAACAGTGAGTTATTTCCCAGGCATCCTCCAAAGATGATTAGTGAATTTTTAAAATATATTTGTGAACTCATGAATTTTAATATATTTAATATATGTTAGCCCTTTGCATTATTCTTAATGATGCTCACATGAAGTTTAGTAGGAATTCTTTAAGTTTAGACACTACCCTAGTAGTTTTAGATCACATCCTTGCTTTTTGATATGCATAGATTTTCCAGAATTATTTTTTGTCCCAGACCTGAAATCACCCATTTGCCTAGGAACTCCGGTTCCTTTTGTAGCATATGACATTCGGGGTCTATAACCTGAATTCTATGGGTGCTCACTACTGTTGGGTTGGTCAATGTTTGTAGGTGATTTTAATGGACAGAGGTAGGAAACAATTTTTTTTGTAATTAATAATTTCTTATTGTGATCAGGAACTATTAAAAGATTTCTACTTTGGGATTTCTACTTTTAATGATTTTTTTTCTGGCTTAGTTTATAAATGATTTTTGCATTTCACTGTTACATGGGCATTTGAAAATTGTCGATTTTTGTATGAAACATCTTTTTGGGTGAAAAGTTGATCCGTTTTCTAATGTAATCCATCAGTTTTCTAAGATTGCATTTATTCTTTGTCCCTTTGTTCTGTCAAATTTTAAAATGTGTTTTAAAAGTTTTCACTATCATTGTGGGTTTTTTCTCATAGCCTCCCATGTATTTCTTTTCTTTTTTTTTTTTTGAGACGGAGCCTCACTCTGTCACCCAGGCTACAGTGCAGTGGCATGATCTCGGCTCATTGCAACCTCTGCCTCCCAGGTTCAAGTGGTTCTCCTGCCTCAGCCTCCCAAGTAGCTGGGACTACAGGCATGCGCCACCATGCCCAGCTAATTTTTGTATTTTTAGTAGAGACAGGGTTTCACCATGTTGGCCAGGATGTCTTGATCTCTTGACCTCGTGATCTGCCTGCCTCAGCCTCCCAAAGTGCTGGGATTACAGGCGTGAGCCACCATGCCTGGCAGCCTCCCTTGTATTTCTAACAGCTTTTGCTGTCTATATTTTTTAATTAAGGTGAAATTCTTGTAACAAAAAGCTAACCATTTAAAAATATACAATTCAACAGCATTTACTACATTCAAAATGTTCACAAATACCTCCTCTATGTGGTTCCAAAACATTTCATTTTGAAACTACAAAATAGGATCCATTAAGCTGCCCCTCCCTATTCTCCGCTCCACTATCTCCTGGCAACCACCAATTTCCTTTCTGTCTCTGAATTTACCCGTTCTGGATATTTCGTATAAATGGCATCATAGAATGTGTGACCTTTTGTGTCAGGCTTTTTTCACTTAGCATAATGTTTTACAGGTTCATCTATATTGTAGCATGTGTCAGTAGTTCATTCATTTGTGGCTGAGTAATATTCTGTTATATGTATTTACCACATTTTGCTTAGCCATTCATCTGTTGATGATATACATATAACAGAATATTACTGTGGATTGATTCCACCTTTTGGCTATTGTAAATAGCACTCCTTCAACATTTGTGTACAAGTATTTGTTGGAGTACCTGTTTTTAATTCTTTAGGGGTGTATATTTAGGAGTGGAATTTCTGAGTCATCTTGTAATTCTATGTGTAACTTTGGAGGAATTTCCAAACTGTTTTCTGCAATGGCTGCACCATTTTACATTCCTGTCAGCAATGTACAGGATTCCAGTTTCTCCATATCCCTGCCAACACTTGGTATTTTCCTTTTTTTCAGTTAGTTACTCTAGTGGGTATGTGGTGGTTGTCCCATTGCTGTTTGTTTTGATTTTCATTGTCCCTAATGACTAATGATATTGAGCATCTAATATCCAGTTGTCCCAGCAACATTTGTTTGAAGAGACTATTCTTTCCTGTGTAAATGGTCTTGGCATCTTTGTTGAAAATCGATTGGCAGCCAGGTGCAGTAGCTCACACCTGTAATCCCAGCACTTTGGGAGGCTGCGCTGGGCAGATCGCTTAAGCTCAGGAGTTTGAGTCCAGCCTGGGCAACGTGGCAAAACCATGTCTCTACTAAAAATACACAAATTAGCCAGGCATGATGGCACGTGCCTGTAGTCCCAGCTACTTGGGGGACTGAGGCCGGAGGATCACTTGAGCCTGGGAGGCAGCGGTTGCAGTGAGCCAAGATTGCACCATTGCACTCCAGCATGGGCGAACACAGTGAGACCCTGTCTCCAAAAAAAAAAAAGAAAATCAATTGACTATAGATATCATGCATCTATGATATTCTGGATTCTCAACCCTATTCCATTGGTCTGTGTGTTTGTCCTTATGCCAGCATGTACCACACTGTTTTGTTTTGTTCACTGTAGCTTTGTAGCAAGTTTTGAAATCAGGAAGTTTGAACCCTCCAAGTTTGTTGTTCTTCAGTATGTTTTACGTATTCAGGGTTCTTTGCAATTCTATGTGAATTTGAGGATTGGCTTTTCTATTTCTGCAAACAAGACCTTTAGAATTTTGATAGCAATTTCTTTGAATCTGTAGATTACTTTGTGTAGTATTGCCATCTTAACAATATTAAATCTTCCAGCCAGGCGCCAGTGGCTCAAGCCTGTAATCTCAGCATTTTGGGAAGCCAAGGTAGGCAGATCACTTGAGCACAGGAGTTTGAGACCCCCCCGAGCAACATGGCGAAGCCTGTCTCTACAAAAAATAAAAAATCAGCCAGGTGTGGTGGTGCACGCCTGTTGTCCCAGTGCTCCAGCCTGGCTGACAGAGGCAGACCTTGTCTCAAAAAAAACCAAAACTAATATTAAGTCTTCCAATCCATGAACAAGGATATATTTTCATTTATTTAGATCTTTTAAAATGTGTTTCAGCAGTGTTTTTGTTCATTTGTGTGTTTGTTTTTAGTTTTCTATATACAAATTTCTTCCTGGGTATTTTATTCTTTTTGATGCTCTTAAAGGGAATTTTCTCAATTTTCTTTTTGGATTGTTCATTGAGTATGATGTTAGCTGTGGGTATTTCATGAATACCTTGCTTTACATATTTTTAATGCAGTGTTTTTTGGTGTGTAAGATTTTGACTCCTGTATCTTCTGGGTGGATTAAAATTTGTATTATAAATGATATTAAATGTATCTGACTCTGAGGCTTTTTCTTAATGTGCATTTTCTTCTTATATCTTGCCCATTAATTTATTTTTAATTTTTGTATGTTCTTGGTGGGACTCAATGCCTTTTTGTAGATTATGCCTTTTTGTAAATTTTATATTTTATTTTGGCATTTTAACATATTTAAATTAGTTTTTTGCTAAAACAATGATATTTCAGCAAATGGTATTTGTCATGATGAATGAACTTTTTAATGTATTGTGGAATTTGGTTTGCTAGCATCTTGTTGAGGGTTTTTGCATGTGTGCTCCTCGTGAATATTGGCTTATAGCTTTTTTGTTTATTTGTCTTTTAAAATGTGTCTTCATCTGGTTTTGGTATCAAGGTAATACTGGCCTTGTAGAATGAGTTTGGAAACATTCTCTCCTCCTCTATTCTTTGAAATAGTTTGAGTAGGATTGTTATTTGTTCATCTTTAAATGTTTGGTAAGGGCCGGATGCGGTGGCTCACGATTGTAATCCCAGCACTTTGAGAGGCCAAGGTGGGCGGATCACTTGAGGTCTGGAGTTCCAGACCAGCCTGGCCTAGCCAACATGGAGAAACCCCATCTGTACTAAAAATACAAAATTAGCTGGGCATGGTGGTGCATGTCTATAATCCCAGCTACTCGGGAGGCTGAGGCAGGAGAATCACTTGAACCCGGGAGGCGGAGGTGGCAGTGAGCCGAGATTGCATCACTGCACTCCAGCCTGGGTGACAGAGCAAGATCCTGTCTCAAAAAAAAAAAAAAAAAAAAAAAAAGTTTGGTAAAATTTAGCAGTAAAGTCATTCAGTCCTGGGCTTTTATTTGCTGGAAGACTTTTTATTACAGCTTAGATCTCATTACTTGTTATTTGTCTGTTTAGGTTTTGGATTTCTTCATGGTTTAATCTTGGTAGGTTGCATGTGTCTGATCTTTATTATTTATTTTCTTCTACTAATTTTGGGTTTGATTTGCTCTGGCTTTTCTAGTTCTTTAAGATGTATCATTAAGTTGTTTATTGAAACTTTTTCTACCTTTTTGATGTAGATGCTCAGAGCTATAAGCTTTCTTGTACTGCTTTCACTGTATCCCATTGGCTTTTGTATGTTTTGTTTTCATTATCATTTGTTTCAGGAAATATTTTAATTTTCTTCTTAATTTCTTCATCAATCCGCTGGTCATTCAGGAGCATATTCTTTAATTTCCAGGTATTTGTATCGTTTCAAAAATTCCGCTTTTTGGCCAGGCATGATGGCTCATGCCTGTCATCCCAGCACTTTGGGAGGCCGAGGCGGGTGGATCACTTGAGGTCAGAAGTTCGAGACCAGCCTGGCCAACATGGTGAAACCCTGTCTCTACTAAAAATACAAAAATTAGCCAGGAGTGGTTGCAGGCACCTGTAGTCCCAGCTAGTTAGGAGGCTGAGGCAGGAGAATCGCTTGAACCCGGGAGTCGGAAGTTGCAGTGAGCCAAGATCACGCCATTTGTACTCCAGCCTGGGGTACAAGAGCGAAACTTCGTCTCAAAAAAAAAAAAAAAATCCACTTGTTGTTGATTTCTAGTTTTGTTTCATTGTGGTCAGAGAAGATAGATACATGATATAATTTTACTTTTTTTGAATTTTTCAAGACTTGCTTTGTGGAGTAACATATGGTCTGTCCTTGAGAATGATCCTCATGCTAAGGAGAATGTATATTCTGTGGCTGTTGGATGAAATGTTCTGTAAATATTTATGAGGTCCCATTTGGTCTATAGTGCAGATTAAATCTGATTTTTCTTTGTTGATTTTCTGTCTAGGTGATCTGTCCAGTGCTGAAAGTGAGGAGTTGAAGTCTCCAGGATTGGGGTCTATCCCTGTCTTTAGCTCTAACAATATCTGCTTTATATATCTGGTTGCTCCAGTGTTGGGTGCATCTGTATTTACAATTGTTATATTCTCTTGCTGAATTGACCCCTTTATCATTACATTATGACCTTTTCTGTGCCTTTTTATAGTTTTTGTCTTGAAATCTATTTTGTCTGATACAAGTATAACTGCTACTGCTCTTTTTTTGTTTTTGTTTTTGTTTTAATTGGCATGGAATATCTGTTTCCATCCCCTTGTTTTTTCTGTGTATGTCTATGTGTACCTTTATACATGAAGTGTGTTTCTTGTAGTCAACAGATCATTGGGTTCTGTTTTTTTGTTTTTTTATTTGTTTGTTTTTTGGTCCATTCAGCCACTCCATGTCTTTCGATTGGGCAGTTTAGTTCATCTGCATTCACTGTTATTGTTAATAAGTAGGGACATACTCCTGCCATTTTGTTATTTTTTTGTGATTGTTTTGTGGTCTTCTCTTCCTTCTTTCCTTCCTGTTTCTGCTTAATGAACATGATTTTCTCTGGTGATAGGTTTTAATTTCTTGCTGCTTATTTTTTGGGTATCTATCTGTTGTATGTCTTTTGATTTGAGGTTACCATGAGGCTTGCAAATAATATCCTCTAACCCGTTATTTTAAACTGATGATGACTTAACAGTGATGGCATTAACAAACTAACAAACAAGCAAAGAGAAAACTAATACAAACTCTACACTTTAACTTAGTCCCCTGCATCTTAACTTTTCGTTGCTTCTATTTATAATCTTACTGCCTCTTGGAAAGTATTATAGTTGTTATTTTTGATCAGTTCTTTTAGTCTCTCTACCCAAGATATGAATAATTTATACACTGCAATTGCAGTGTTACAGTAGTGTTTTTCAGTGTACTTACCATTACCCTATGGCCACCACCCTGGAACTGTGCTGAGTCAGACCTCTGAACCCTTAGAACCTTCTTGTGCTTGAATATTGGTATCTTTTTCTAGATTTGGGAAGTTCTGTATTATTACCCTTTGAGTAAACTTTCTACCCCTATCTCTCTTTCTGCCTGCTCTTTAAGGCTAATAACTCTTAGATACTCTCTTTTGAGGCTATTTTCTAGATCTTATATGCATGTTCCATTCTTTTTAATTCTTTTTTGTCTCCTATGACTGTATTTTCAAATAGTCTGTCTTCAAGCTCACTAATACTTTCTTTTGCTTGAACATTTCTGCTGGTAAGAGACCCTGATGCATTCTTCAGTATGTCGGTTGCATTTTTCAACTCCGGAATTTCAGCTTGATTCTTTGTACTTATTTCAGTCTTTTTGTTAAATTTATCTGATGGGATTCTGAATTCCTTCTTTGTTTTATCTTGAATTTCTTTGATTTTCCTCAAAACAGCTATTTTAAATTCTCTGTCTGAAAGGTCTTATATCTCTGTCTCTCCAGGATTGGTCCCTGGGGCCTTATTTAGTTTCTTTGGTGAGATTATGTTTTCCTGAATGGTCGTGATGTTTGTGGTTGTTTGTTGGTGTCTGGGCATTGAAGAGTTAGGTATTTATTGTAGTCATTGCAGTCTGGGCTTGTTTGTACCTGTCATTTTTGGAAAGGCTTTCCAGGTATTCGAAGGGACTTAGGTGTTGTGATTTAAGTTTTTGGTCACTGTAGCCATATCTGTATTAGGAGGCATCCGAAGCCCAGTAATACTGTGGCTCTTGCAGACTCTTAGAGGAACCATGTTGGTGGTTTTGGGTAAGATGTGGAAGAATTATCTGTATTATAATGCAGAGGCTCTGTTCTCTTCCCTTTCTCCCAAACAAATGGAGTCTCTCTGCGCTGAGCTGCCAGGGAGAGGGTGGGGAGGGGTTACACAATCACCCTTGTAGCCACCACCACTGGAACTGTGCTGGGTCAGACCTGAAGCCAGCACAGCACTGGGTCTCAATGCTGCCAGGCTTGGGACTCTCCCTTCAGGGCAGTGGGCTCCTCTCTGGCCCAGAGCAGGTCCAGAAATGCCATCCAAGAACCAGGACCTGGAATTGGGGACCCCCAAGAGCCTGCTTGGTGCTGTACCCCACCATGGCCAAGCTGATATATATCACTAAGCTGATTGTTGGTTCTTATGAAGGTGCTTTTCTGTGCGAATGGTTGTTCAAATTGGTGTTCCTGCAGAGAGGACAATCGGTGGAGGCTTCTATTTGGCCCTTCTCTGCCTCCCCCTGTTTTATTTTTAATTGACACATAATAATTGTACATACTTATGGGATGTTTTGGTACGTATATGCAATGTGTAATGATCAAATTAGGGTAATTAGTATGTACATCTCCTCAAACATTTGTCATTTCTCTATGGTGAGAACATTCAAAATCATCTCTTCTAGCTATTTTGAAATATGCAGTATGTTATTGTTAACTATAGTCAGTCTACTGCATGGTGGGAACATTTTCACTCTTCAGTGCTGCTTTTGGATAAGCAAAAGGTCTTAATTTCTTGTATTTGATGTAGTCCAGTGTATCTAGTTTTTTCTTTATTGTTAGTGTGGTTTTTAGTGTGGCCTATCGAAAAAGTCTTTGACTAGATTATGAAGATAATATCTTCTATTAGCTTTTAGAAATTTTGTTTTAATCAACTTAGATTATGATACCTAGTGTTTGGGCCCTTATTCCTCCCATTATGTTTTTATATTTTCTGTATATAAAGCTTCTTTGCTTTCGTGTATTGCACAGGTAAGTTCTAGTTTATTTCCGACATTTCTTTTCAGACAGAGTAAATGAGGAAAATAAACTATACTTAATTTGTCTCTTTCATGTGGTTGCTAGGAATCTTGCGTGGATTCAACCCATATAGTTTATTATCTTGTCTCCTTAGGAGTTGGTTTGCAGTAAGCTGCTTCTACATGAAAAATTCAAAGATTAATCTGAATTACTATCTTTGTACAGATTTTTTAAAATGATTTTTAAAACAGATTTTCTCCTAGAACTCCTGGGCTCAGGCGATCCTCCCACCTCAGTCTCCCAAGTAGCTGGGACTATAGACTTGTGTCACCACACCCAGCTGATTTTTGTATTTGAGACAGGGTTTCACCATGTTGGCTAAGCTGATCTCAAACTCCTGAGCTCAGGCAATCTGCCTGCCTCAGCCTCCCAAAGTGCTGAGATTACAGGCATGAACCACTACACCTGGCCTATTTTAAAGATAATTATATCATTTATTTTTTAAATTATAATTTCTAAATAGCACTTCAACATTTAAACATCTTAGCACATTTGCTTTATCTCTGTCCACACAAACACACATATACTCTGTATTTTTGGTCAATTATTTGAAAGAAAGCGGCAGCTGTTTCTTTCTCCTACATGAACTTACTGCAACATGAAAATATCTTGAGTGTGTAAATAAAATTATTTATTTCATTGTTTTCTAGATCTAGAACTAATCTAGCAGATATGCATTATCAGGTGCCAAAGATTTAATATTTATTTGTTTATTAAATAACTACTTTAGAAACCCTGAAATATGGGAGGTGACTAGAGTACATTTGAGAGTGGGACAAGTACAGTAAGTCAAACTGTACTTTGAGTAGTACAGAAGTTTTACTGGCCCATCTGGTACTTCATCTATTTTCCTTGTCAAATCCTAGGCCACTTTGAATTACAAAATATGAAAATATAATTTTTATTTTAAGCTAGACAATATATTAAGTCAGATACTACATGTGTTAAATTTGTGTGTTTATTAAATATTTATGCCTTAAATACCTGTAAGGTTAAAGCATGTTTTAATGAGTAGACAATTACTAAATATATGAGTTACTACCATTGCAAGGCACGAACATCAGGTAAGTTAAAACTAAGCTTTGTTAGAGTACTTGAATTCCTTAAAAACTTAGTTTTCTGTGAAAATAGAGTTTGGCTCCATTAAGTTTAAAAGTAATTTTATTAAACACTTTGCAGTGTCTGGCACATATGGACCACTTAATACTTGCCTTAATTAACTAAAGGCTCTCACCTTTAATGTGGTTAGAAAGAGCACTCAGTGCCGGGCGCGGTGGCTCACACCTGTAATCCCAGCACTTTTGGAGGCTGAAGCAGGCGGATCACGAGGTCAGGGGATTGAGACCATCCTGGCTAACAAGGTGAAACCCCGTCTCTACTAAATATACAAAAATTAGCCGGGCCTGGTGGCAGGCGCCTGTAGTCCCAGCTACTCGGGAGGCTGAGGCAGGAGAATGGCGTGAACCTGGAGGCAGAGCTTGCAGTGAGCTGAGCTTGTGCCACTGCACTCCAGCCTGGGCAACAGAGCGAGACTCCGTCTCAAAAAAAAAGCACTCAGTAAGGACTTGGATCTGATTTCTAGCTCAAGCTGAGGCTTCATCTCTTTGGCTACTTGTAAATAAGGAATATGCACTAGATTATATCCAATTAGCATTAATATTTTTATTCCATATCTTGTGTTTATTGTGAAAACACTTAATAAAATCTTATCGGATCAGGAAACTTAATACATTAAAAAAACATTTTTTAAAAACTAAATTGTCAATACTGAACAAAAAGACTTCTTTCAATGACTACAGACTTGAACTTTTTTCTCACTTGATAGCTCGAATTACATCTTTACAAGAGGAGGTGAAGCATCTCAAACATAATCTCGAAAAAGTGGAAGGAGAAAGAAAAGAGGCTCAAGACATGCTTAATCACTCAGAAAAGGTAAATGATTTAACATATACCAATTATTATAAAATAGTAATTACTGATTATCATAGACTACTAGGTGGTTTTATAAAATAGCATTTATTCTTAATGTTTATATAGTTACATTTCTAAAAGTTTTTATGTTTGATTGGTTGTATGTGGGGCTGTATGTATGTCTTATTTAGGGTTTTGTTATTTGTTATTTTTGTTTTTACCCTAGAGAGCATTAGATGTTTCATGTTAACAGATCATCACAGATTCCTTTGGTTTGGAAATACCTTTTTATAAAGTATGTTTTCCTATTTTCTTTGTACATGAGTAAGATGAATGTGCTGTGAGGGCTTATGAAGAAGGAAAACAACAGATCAGTACGTGGTAGATGATGAGTACCTGTTCTGTTGTTTTACAGTTAGCAAAATAGAAAAGAGCATAAAGTGATTGGCCTTTGCATTTAGAATTTTCTTAACAATAAAAATTTCATTGGTTATTCTCTGTTATATACCTAGCTAAGAGTTAAATAGATGATATAGAGATACAGCTGTCACTTTTTCAAAGCCTCTGAAATGTTGGAGGTTCAATAGAACCTCAGGTAAATTATCAGAAAAGCCACTACTTATCTTGTCCTTTGGACATGTTTTGTCACAATTAGAATAGTTTTTGATGGCCAAGCTGGTGTAAATGTGGACATAGGATAAAAGAAGCTTGAAGAGTAGAAAAGGGTACCCAAACAGAAATGGAATATATTTTGACTCATTTTTCCTTTCTATATCAATGACTTGCCACAGGATACTTTGTGGGGTTTTTTTGTTTGTTTTTTGTTTTTGTTTTTTTGTGAAAGCAAAGTAAATGTGGATATAGATGCAAATGTAGATAAAGATGATTTAATATATTTTTTTAAAGTGGTAGCAGGCCAGGCAAGGTGGCTCATGCCTGTAGACCCAACACTTTGGGAGGCTGACACAGGAGGATTGCTTGAGCCCAGGAATTTGAGAATAGCCTGGGCAGTGGAGCGAGACCCCATCTCTACAAAAAAATGCTTAAAAATTAGCCAGGTGTGGTGGCATATGCCTGTAATACTAGCCACTCCAGAGGCTAAGGCTGGAGGATAGCTTGAGCCCAGGAGTTCAAGGCTGCAGTGAGCTGAGAAGGTGCCACTGCACTCCAGCCTGGGTGACAGAGTGAGACCTCATCTCTTTAAAAAAAAAAGAAAAGAAAAAAAAAGATGGTATCAGAAATTTTTAAATAAACTGAAAATTTGTCTTATTCATTTCCGATCTTAGCAATGAACTGTCCTGAACATAACCACCAGCACAGCCTTGTTCTGCCCTCCGCCATGATTAATGATTCAAATGGGAAGGGAGGGGGTAAAGAAAAGATTATCTTTTGCTTTTAATTATATGTGTTTATTGTGATTTTTAAAATAAGGCATCATATCTCTTCCAGAATATTAAATGTAAGATTTACTAACATGCATGCCTTCTGCACAGTTTATTACATGACTCCTACTCCCATTTTACAGGAAAAGAATAATTTAGAGATAGATTTAAACTACAAACTTAAATCATTACAACAACGGTTAGAACAAGAGGTAAATGAACACAAAGTAACCAAAGCTCGTTTAACTGACAAACATCAATCTATTGAAGAGGCAAAGTCTGTGGCAATGTGTGGTAAGTGTCAGTTTTAATATTTTTACAAAATTGACTTTAAATAGTGACTAGAAAAAATTTGGTTTTGGTCAAAATTTTGTACTCTTTAACTCGTAGAAAGTATAATATAAATTATAGGCCTGGCACAGTGGCTCATGCCTGTAATCCCATCACTTTGGGAGGCTGAAGCCAATGGGTCACTTGAGGCCGGGAGTTTGAGACCAGCCTGGCCAATGTGGTGAAACCCCGTCTCTACTAAAAATAAAAAAATTAGCCAGGTGTGTGTCGCACGCCTGTAATCCCAGCTACTGGGGAGGCTGAGGCAGGAGAATCGCTTGAACCCAGGAGGCAGAGGTTGCAGTGAGCCGAGATGGTGTCACTGTTCTCCAGCCTGGGCAACAGAGTGAGACTGTGTCTCAGAGAAAGAAATTATAAATTATAATCAAGAAGAGGATGCCTTCCTTTTGATACTTTCCTTTTTTTTTTTTTTTTTTTTTTTTTTTGAGACGAAGTTTTGCTCTTGTCTCCCATGCTGGAGTGCAATGGTGTGATCTTGGCTCAATGCAGTCTCTGCCTCCAGGTTCAAGCAATTCTCCTGCCTCAGCCTCCCGAGTAGCTGGGATTACAGGCACCCGACACCATGCCCGGCTAATTTTTGTATTTTTAGTAGAGACAGCGTTTCACTATGTTGGACAGGCTGGTCTCGAACTCCTGACTTCGGCCTCCCAAAGTGCTGGGATTACAGGCATGAAACACCATGCCTGGCAATGCTTTCCATTTTTTAAGATCACAATTTCACCTTCTAGTTCCCTCAGTTTACTACTCTGTTTCCTATAAAAGTTAGTGGAATCTGTCTTTTCTCTGTTTTTTAGTAGCCCTTTCCTTGATTTTCTTTATGATCCACTCTGGACCTCATCATCTGCTAATTCATCTGCTATCTTGCTTTGTACCCTCAGTTTTCTCATTTCTTTGTACTTCCACTGTGTTATGCCTCCAAACACAACCCTAGTTCAGACCAGCCAGCCACTTTCTTCAGGCAGTTGAGTGTTAGTCCAATGCATTATCTGCAACCTGAGTTGTCAATTTTTTTTCAATTTTTAAAAATTATTTATTTTTGGTAGAGAAAGAGTCTCACTATGTTGTCCAGGCTGGTCTTGAGCTCCTGGGCTCAAGGGATCCTTCCACCTCGGCCTCCCAAAGTGCTGGGATTACAGGCATGAGCCACCATGCTTGGCTGTCAATTTTTTTTGAACATATCGGTCATAAGTTTCTTCTCCCAGATTTTTATTTATCTTAAGTTTCCTGTGCCGTTTCTTTATCACTCCAGTTTTAGGTGAATTTTATTCTTATTTCACAAGTAAATAATGAAAGCATAGGTGTGAACTCCTCAAAATCTAGTTTTCTTGTCAATCTATCCTATTCTTTACCTGTCTTCATTATCTTCACTGTTATCTTAAAGGAGGGTAAGCTCCTCTCATCTCATCTTAACTTCTTTTCTCTTTTTCTTTTCTATATCAACCTTTTTACCTCCATTATCTTCTTACTGTAAACATGAACAAGTCTCCCATCTTAAAACAGAGACAAATCCATGCAGCAATCTGTCATCCTTACTAATTACTACTGTTTTATTTCAAATAAATTAATAAAATAGTCAAACTTCAATGGTGTCAGATTCTTTATAGAAAAAAATTAAAAAATATCCAAACTTCTAAAAGTCTTTTCCTCACCTTCTGCTTATTCTTAACCTACTACAGTCTGGATGTGTTGGCATCTTAAATTATTTTTGCTCAAAAGAAAGCTCATAATCTCATCCATCAAACCTGCTCTTATTCTTTATTCTCACTAACCTAGTTAATGGCCATATGGTCTTTATGAGCTAAGGCTTTGGAATCAGACAGATCAATGTTGCTCTGTAACTATTCTAAGTTAGATGAAAAATGCATGTAAAGTGCCTGTGCATAGAAAGTTTTCAGTAGCTATTATCTTGGCTACTGAACATCACATCATCATCTTGCCAAGAGTTGTTCTACTCATCAGTCATTCTCACTTAGGTTAGAACAATTTTCCTTTTTAGTCAAATCGTATTTTGGTTGTCCTTAAAATCCTTTAGTGGCTTTTCATTGTTTGCAGGGTACCTTTCAAACTCCTTGTATATATAGAATCTTTAAGTTGACACCTGCCTGTCTTTACAATCTTACTACCCTACACTTTGTTGTGTGTACCCTGTGCTTCAGCCATATTGAGCTTCTTTTATTTCCTTCACTTAAGTTAATTATTGACTGCCTACAGACAAGGCACAGCTGGGAATATCGCAGAGAATAAAACTGACAGGAAGCCCGGAGATTACATTCAGATAGTGAATATAGACAAAAAAAAATAATAATACATAAATGAAAATACATACAGCTTGTAATTATTAATGGGAAGGAAATACATATTAATATGATTGTTTTGACTTGGCACTGCCCTGGATGGGGGTTCTGAGGAAGGCTTTCTGAGCTAGTAATATTTGAGGTAAGAACTGAAAGTCAAAATGAACCACCTGTTAAATGAGCTGGAGAAAGTGCATTACAGGCAGAAGTGATAGTAAGTTCAGTATTCTTATTCTAAGATTTGTATTAAGCCACTAGCACATTTTAAGCTTCTGGGATGTGTAATTTATATTTTTAAAAGATCATTCCCGCTGCTCTGTGGGGAATGCTTTCAAGAGTGAGAACAGTGATAAAAAGGGAGATCAGTTAGAAAGCTATACGCTGTAAACACTGGTAGTAGTAGAGAGGGAAAGAAGTCGAGGTATAGAGGAGAAGAGTGATGAATTGGATAGAAAGAGGCCGGGTGCGGGGACCCACACCTGTAATGCTAGCACTTTGGGAGGGCAAGGCAGGCAGATTATTTGAGGTCAGGAGTTTGAGACCAGCCTGGGCAACATGGTGAAACCCCCATCTCTACTGAAAAATACAAAAATTAGCTGCGTGTAGTGGTGCGTACCTGTAATCTCAGCTACTCAGGAGACTGAGGCAGGAGTATTCTTAGAATCCAGGAGGCGGAAGTTGCAGTGAATCGAGATTGCACCACTGTATTCCATCCTGGGCAACAGAGCGAGACACCATCTCAAAAAAAGAAAAAAAAAAGACTGAGTCTAACTGGGGTTGGAGTGGTTTGGGGATAGGCCAGAAGTAAAGGCATCTATTGTGGATATGTTAACTTTAATAAGATTATTAGATATCTAGGTGGAGATGTTAAATAGTCAATTGGTATCTAAGTCTGGAGCTCAGGAGAGAGATACCAAGAGTCAGAAGAACATAGTGGATGGATTTGTGTTTGATTAAACAGAAGGGTCTTAAGAGGTGACAGTTTTATTGGTGCAGCTAAGTTTGTAAGTTTGGGGGGAAAGATAAGGAATAGTTTATTTATATTTATTTAATAGTTTATATTTTGTCACCTAGAGGGTGGTCTCCAAGAGTGGGAAAGCACACTTTAAATAAACTTGAATCCTTATGGGGCAACTTACTAGTTACATGAACATGGAAAAGTTAACCTCTCAGAAGCTTAGTTATATTTCAAAAAAGGAGCCTCAGTGTAGACTAATATATTCCAGTAATAATTAAAAGAGGTATACTACTGTGGAATCTTATTCATCTGAATTGTATAAATTGGAGTTCCTACCATAGCCTTAAGCCTCTTCAACCTTTTCTGGAACAATGCAGGGTATAAATTAATAACCACAGCCTTATTTTTCTGCTTTTGCTTGATGTATGTTCATTGTTCTTTGTTAATTCACTTCCTTTCTAGCTATACTCTTCACCTTCTTGTCTGAAAGTGGTACCGATTAATCTCTCATCACTGGGCAAGAGCTGGGTTTAGAAGATTTTATTACTGTATTATATTTTATAACTCCTTTTCTTTAGAGATTTCTGCTATATAAATAGTTTACATAATGTGAGAATTTCTATAATTACTAGCTCTATTCAAGTCCCAGAATAAAAACAATAGAGACATTTGAAACCAGTTTACAGCCCATATAAAGTGAAATGTGTTAAAGTACTCTTTCTTTAAATGTATGTTTGTAACTTTTTGCTTTCCCAGAGATGGAAAAAAAGCTGAAAGAAGAAAGAGAAGCTCGAGAGAAGGCTGAAAATCGGGTTGTTCAGATTGAGAAACAGTGTTCCATGCTAGACGTTGATCTGAAGCAATCTCAGCAGAAACTAGAACATTTGACTGGAAATAAAGAAAGGATGGAGGATGAAGTAAGAAAAATAGTACTGACTTTGTTCATCTATTAAAAGAGAAACGGTTATATAAGTTATGACTGGAGTTATCTATAATTTAAACACCATGAAGGAGATTTGAATGAAATAATTGACATGGGTCTGTGTTCACTGCTGTATGGTCACCCCAGCACCTAGAATTTTCCTCTTCAAATAGTTATTGAACATTCACTCTGTGTGATCTATGCCATTTTTCACTATGACAGTACAACTATATTGAAATGTCATAGTTCCTTCCCTGAAAAAACTGACCATCTGCTTTAAAGAAAAAAAAAGTCTTTATTATAATGCATCTTATATCCCCAAAGAAAAGAGCATTGCTCTTAGATTTCAATAAAAGTGTTTAACTGCAGTCTTTCCTGGCTTAGATTGATAGCACAGGGTATACATTTTATAAAGCAGTTAATAAACAGATAAAATGACAGTATGTCCTGGTGGTTACTATATGTACTTTAGAAATTATTTCTAAGACTGAAAGTAGGAAAGCCTTTTCAAGAAGATGTAACATGTTACCTAGATTTTAAAGGTTGAGTAAGACTTCAAAAGGTAATAGTTTTGGAGTCAGGGCTTTACTTGCTAGAGGGAATATTATCAGTAAAGAGATGGATAATAAAGTGAGTACCGGCTGGATAAGAAGATGCATAAGGAAGGCATAAAAAGGAACTTGATAGAACTTTAACTTTTTGAAGGAAAAACGAAGACATGTTGAGTAGTCATGGGAGAAATTTGTAGGCCAAAGTATCGATACTCTTTAAAACTTCCATGGGTGGCCAGGCACGTTGGCTGACACCTGTAATCCCAGCACTTCGGGAGGCTGAGGTGGGCAGATGGGCACATTGCTTAAGCTCAGGAGTTTGAAACCAGCCTAGGCAACATGGTGAAACCCCATCTCAAATACAAAAATCAGCTAGGTGTGGTGTCGCATGCCTATAGTTCCAGCTACTCAGGAGGCTGAGGTGGGAGGATTCCTTGCACCTCAGGAGGTCGAGGCTGCAGTGAGCCAAGATTGCTCCATGGCACTCAGCCTGGACATCAGAGTGAGACCCTATCTCTAAAAAATAAAAAATAAAACTTGCATGGGAGCTATAGGTGAAAGCACTTTTAGAAAAATCAATCTGGTAGTGGTATATAGAATGGACTAGAAAGAAGAGAAATTAGAGATACCTATTAAAGCTAGCATGCAGGAGGAATGTATGTTCAAAATTTGAAAGATAATATTCAGTCATTTAAAAAACATAATTTTTGACTACCTATTTGGCTCTGTGCTAGGAATTGGGGGTTACCGAAGTGAATAAGATATAGGTATGGTCCTGACTGTGTTGGAACTTACAGCCAGGAGGGAAAAACAGATATTAAAATAGTAACTACAAGCATTGCAAATAATTAGAAAGAAAGTACGGAATGCTATAGGGGTGTATTACTAATCACATTTGGGAGTTACAGAAGGCCTTGCTAAGAGTATGACATTTGAGAGCTGAAGAATGAATAAATGAAGGAGGATAAAACAGGAGTAGTGCGTACAAGAAATGTGAGGTGAGGGAGAATTTGTTGCATTTGAGGATCTGAAGAATATGATTGGATTGTAGAGAATGGCCAATGATAGGAATAGAATTAGAACAGATCATGAAGGCCATTGTAAACCACTGTATGAATTTTGAGTTCATTGGTCCCAACACCTAATAAACACTTCAGAAATATTTGTTGAGTTGAATAAAACATACGTTCAGTTTGTTTGGTTAAGCTTTGAAGGGTTGTAGAGTAGAGCACGTAGACAGGTAAATTTAAGTACTCCATTCAAATGTTCCCCCAGGAATGGCTTTTTTTTTTTTGGAGACAGAGTCTCACTGTCACTCAGGCTGGAGTGCAGTGGCGTGATCTCGGCTCACTGCAACCTCTGACTCGTAGGCTCAAGTGATCCTCCCATGTAGCTGGGACTACAGGAGTGTACCACCATGCCTGGCCAATTTTTGTATTTTTTTGTAGAGACAGGGTTTCACCATGTTGACCAGGCTGGTCTCAAACTCTGGGTTCAAGCAATCCACCTGCCTCAGCCTCCCAAAGTGCTGGGATTACAGACATAAACCACTGTGCCTGGCCCAGAAGTGAGTTTTATAATCACCTTGTACTACAGAATTTTCATGCTGATTGGGGTAGAAAGGAACCAGAATTTTTTTCCCTCCACAAGATCTCATGTCTGAAATTTGGGAATTAATTTGACTTAATAGTAAATCTACTGTAATAAACACGTGGAACAATGAAGACTCTTTAAAATACTAATATTTTCTACTAGTACCATGAATTATAATGTACTTGATTTGGTTAGTAGTCTTTCAAATAATGTCTAATAAATTATTTAAGAGATTTAAGATCCCAATTATTTTTCTCATTCATAGGTTAAGAATCTAACCCTGCAACTGGAGCAGGAATCAAATAAGCGGCTGTTGTTACAAAATGAATTGAAGACTCAAGCATTTGAGGCAGACAATTTAAAAGGTTTAGAAAAGCAGATGAAACAGGAAATAAATACTTTATTGGAAGCAAAGAGATTATTAGAATTTGAGTTAGCTCAGCTTACGAAGTAAGTCTTTAAAATAACATTGTGATTTCTTTCTTTTTTGTGTTCATCATTGACTTGTGTGTTTGACATTTTACATATGTACAGATTATGTACTTAGAGTTTGTGAAAGACAGAAAAAAAGTATTTAGAAGTAAAAGAATTTACTTGCAAAGGTTTTCAGGGGAGTTCAGGCTTTGGAAAGACCACAGTTTTCTCATCTGATTTTCATGTCCACAAAAGTCATCACATTTCTTCAGGTTAGAATTACAAAAATCACGGTGCCTTGTAGGAGATGTTCAAGGTTTATTTCAGAGGCTAGAATTAGACATGACACTTTGTTCGTTTTGTTTTGTGTCTTTGGTTCATCTCAAAATGCAAAAATGTCTTTTTTCTTTTTCTGTTACTCTTGGGATGTGATATGCCTCCTTATTTGAAATGGAGAACAAGCAAGATCAGGAACGCTTTCACAATTTGTCGAAGAATATGCTTCACAAGTTTAATATCAAAAGTGGATATATCTTATGCCAAGTCTTGTGTTTTTATTTCCTCCACGTTTATTTTATCATATCATCACTTGCTAGCTTCATTTACAAAAGTGATTCTTGGATTAAATTGTCAGTTTTCATAAAATTGGATTTATATTGGTGAAATTCTTTTCCTCTTTTAGGGCCACCGTTTTCGCAAAAGTGTGTTTTATATTTTTTTTCTCCAAAAATACTCTCGCTCAGCATTCAGTGGAGATTGGTGTAGACTTTCTGTCAGCCACATGCCTTTTGAGATACTGAGAATACAAAGCTATTACTGTCTAATATGAAAGTCTAGCCGCTAGATTTTCAAGCCTAGCTGCTAGGCTTTCATATTATACAGTAAATAATTATTGAAAATCTGTGTCTTTGGGTTACATTGGGTTTCCATCTTTTGGACTCTGCTCCTATGTGAGTTGTGTTTATGTATGTATTATATACATGCAGTTGTCTATCTGCGTTCCTCCTTGTTTGTCAGTTTGTTGTTCTTGCTTTCCCTTCTTACCTGATGGTTCATTTCCACCAGCCCCTTTCTTGTGCTTAATTGGCCATAATATCTAGTATGCAGTACTGAATTATTACTTATTAAATATAGTACTATGATATGTAGCACTGAATTATTATTAAATTTTTCATGCCCCCCTCTTTTTTTATTTACTGTACAAGACATTTTCTTCCCTATGACTGCTTTTCTCTGTAAAAATTTACCAAAAATATGGTATCAATTTTATTTTTTCATTTTGGATAGATCCACAATTAATATTCTCCAAAAAGTGATCATCAGTAGAAAAGGGTTCTCACTACTTTTGCATAGCGTCATTTTATAAGGAGCAAGATAGAACCGGTGTGGCCTGACCAAGTTAATTAGTAAAATAATGAATAATGAAGTATGTTTTTAAAAAATAAAGATTGTTTTAGTAAACTTTTTTATATTAGCAACTTTAACAAACTAAGAAAAAATGAAGTCTAGTATAAGTAGGAGCGTTTGTTCACTTGTTTTTCTTTTCATCTGAAGACAGTATAGAGGAAATGAAGGACAGATGCGGGAGCTACAAGATCAGCTTGAAGCTGAGCAATATTTCTCGGTAAGTGAGAATCATTTTTAACATACACACTGTTTCAAAACCTGACTTAAAACAAGGTATTTAGATTCTTTTATGTGAACTGTAATTCTTTTTCAAATGACTCTTCATCTTCTAATAAACATTGTGACTTTTCTGCTTTTTGTTTGTCCATTTGTTTCTTGGCATATTAGGCTATCATTGGTATATGTTTTTAAATTGTAAAAACTTTTCAGGCCAGGTGCGGTGGCTCACACCTGTCATCCCAGCACTTTGGGAGGCCGAGGCGAGTGGATCACTTGAGGTCAGGAGTTCAAGACCAGCCTGGCCAACATGGTGAAACCCCGTCTCTACTACAAATACAAAAATTAGCCGATTGTGGTGGCAGGCACCTGTAGTCGCAGCTACTCAGGAGGCTGAGGCAGGAGAATTGCTTGAGTCCAGTAGTTGGACATTATAATAAGCCAAGGTCATCTGTGCTGCAGCCTGGGTGACAGCAAGACTCTGTCTCATAAACAAAATGAAAGACTTTTAAATATTGTTGAAAACTCTTTCCCTGAGTGTTTGCTAAACGTAATTATTCAAAGTATCTACTGCTAACTTCTGCAAAGTGATCGGTAGCATCCCATATGCTTTCTTGCCATATGCTTCCACAGAGCAGTCATCCAGTGCCTCCAAATGTTTGGATGGGTGTCAAATGACTTGTGGTGATTCTTGTGGATTTTTGATTTTGCTTCTAGAAAATAGTACAAAACCTGACCCTATCTCAGTTCTGATTTATTCCATTGCTTGTGGGCATTGGATTAAATAGCATTCAATTCAATAAGCTGTTATGAACCAAATTTTAAGATTTGTCTTTTTTCTGGGTTTTCAAATCAGATTATTTTTCTTTTTATCCCTTCATTGATTTACTTATTTGAATTTCAGTATTTGAAGTCAGAGAGATAAGAATCTGAGTCCTAAAGGCCAAATAGATTAATTTTAGAAATTATAAATACTTAACCTAGAGTAAGCCCTTATTCTTTTTTCATTTGCATTCCCATGGACATTTATGTATTTTTTTGCCTAGGAAAGTGCTGTTTCTTAGTGTAATAAATAAGTGTTAAAAGTAGTTCTCCACAGCTGTTTCCTGGCCCTTGCTATTTCTTTCCCTTCTCTTTTTCTTTTAAAATGAAGAGGGTAGTTAAAAAGAAATAGACATCAGAACTGGAAGTTCACTCTGTAACTTCAGCAACTAACACAATATGAGTCTGATGTGTTAAATATTTTTCACTGGCGTTGGCAAAAGCTTAGTGAATTTTGTAAGAGCCATTGTTCTGAAATAAGCATATATTATAGATATGTTAGCAGAATACTTGATAAATCTTATTTGTGGATATTTCTTTTTTTTTTGAGACGGAGTTTCACCCTCTTGCCCAGGCTGGAGAGCAAGTGGCACGATCTTGGCTCACTGCAAGCTCTGCCTCCCGGGTTCACGCCATTCTCCTGCCTCAGCATCCCGAGTAGCTGGAACTACAGGCGCCCGCCACCATGCCTAGCTAATTTTTTGTACTTTTAGTAGAGACGGGGTTTCACCATGTTAACCAGGATGGTTTCGATCTCCTGACCCCATGATCTGCCCGCCTCGGCCTCCCAAAGTGCTGGAATTACAGGCGTGAGCCACTGCGCCCGGCCCTTTTGTGGATATTTCTTTACCTGTCTCTCAACTACCCAGTACATCCCACCCCTCAAAACAGAAGTGATTTTTCTAACATTAGTCAAGAATTGATCTAACCTTTAAATTAGTAATATGTGTTAAATTTCTTTATAACGTCTTCCCAAATCTATAATACACTTTATTAAGCTATAATGTCTTTTTTTTTTTTTTTTTTGAGATGGAATCTCACTCTGTCGCCCAGGCTGGAGAGTAGTGGCATGATCTTGGCTCACTGCAACCTCCCACTCCTGGGTTCAAGCGATTCTCCTGCCTCAGCCTCCTGAGTAGCTGGGATTACAGTAGCATGCCACCACGCCCAGCTAATTTTTTGTATTTTTAGTAGAAACGAGGTTTCACTGTGTTAGCCAGGATGCTCTCAATCTCCTGACCTTGTGATCTGCCCGCCTTGGCCTCCCAAAGTGCTGGGATTACAGGCGTGAGCCACCGCACCTGGCCATTAAGCTATAATTTCTATATAATATACCCATTTTAAGTGTACTGGTTAGTAAATTTTGACAAATATGTACATCTGTGTGACCACCACCACAGTCAACATGTGGAACATTTTTTTTTCACTGCAAAAAGTTCCCTTATGGCCCTTCACTCTACATTTTCCCCACCCACCTCTATACACAGACAATGACTGTTTTTCCATGATTATTGATTATTTTCACCTGTCCTAGAATTTCATCTACATGGAGTCACAGTATACACTCTTTAACACGTGGTTTCTTTCACTCAGCATATTTTTTAGATTTCTTAGATTTACATGTTGTATGTATCAGTAGTTCATTCCTTTTTATTGCTGAGTAATATGAATTAACCACAGTTTTGTTTTTTGTTTTTTTTTTAACCCATGTATTGATGGATGTCTGGGTCATTTCCAGTTTGGAGCTGTTATAAATAAAACCATAAGGGAAATTCATGTGTAAGACTAGGTGTTGACATATATTTGCATTTGTCATGGGTAAATACTTGAGAGTGGAATTGTTGGATCATATGTTAATTTTTTAAATTTATAAGAAACTGCCAAATTGTTTTTAACCCACCATAAACACTTATTTCTCCTTGTCACTTGTTTTGCAGACACTTTATAAAACCCAGGTAAAGGAACTTAAAGAAGAAATTGAAGAAAAAAACAGAGAAAATTTAAAGAAAATACAGGAACTACAAAATGAAAAGTATGTCCATTTTACTTTAGAACAAGAATCAGTACTGCAACAGGCATTCTTAAGTTTTAAGTTAGTGAATAGATGTGCCATTATTCTGGTGGGAATGGTATAGAACACAGTTTATTGGGCTAATTCAGAACAAATCAGATTAGGCTGAAATTTGCCTTTATGGTGAAAAAAACAGTGCTATAAATCAACACTGTACCAATTGCAGAGATTCATTAAACTGACAAAAAGTTGGTTTGACAATTGTTTTCAGGGGTATTGCAATTTTTATTTTTTTAATTTTTTTTTTTTGAGATGGAGTCTTGCTCTGTCACTCAGGCTGGAGTGCAGTGGCATGATCTCGGCTCACTGCAACTTCCACCTCCCGGGTTCAAGCGATTCTCCTGCCTCAGCCTCCTGAGTAGCTGGGATTACAGGCGTGCGCCACCACGCTCCGCTAATTTTTGTATTTTTAGTAGAGACAGGGTTTCACCATGTTGGTCAGGTTGGTCTCAAACTCCTGACCTCATATTCCGTCCACCTTGGCCTCCCAAAGTGCTGGGATTATAGGCATTAGCCACCACGCCTGGGCTAGTATCAATTTTAAAAGATCTATTTATATATAAATCATGCTGTCTTTGCAAATCATTATTTTAAGTTAGATAAAGGTATTTAAGGTCTTCTTAGGATTACTATGCAGGTTATGGCCGGGCATGGTGGCTCATGCCTGTAATACCAGCATTTTGGGAGGCTAAGGTGAGAGGATCACTTGAGCCCAAGAGTTCAAGACCAGCCTGGGCAACATAATGAGACCCCATCTCCAAGGAGAAAACCTTATAAAGCTATTTCAAGTGTAACAGCTTCATTTTAGAATTCAGCTGACAGGCGCAACAAGATAGTAACTCCTGCGGAGTATCTCATAGCTAGGTAATGTCAGAACAGACACTAGAACTAGTTTTCCAACATTGTTATATTCTCTTTACATTTAATCACCTTTGAAAGACTGTTGTTGAAACAAACAATTACAGAAAACAGCAAAACTAATACAGTTCTTATGAACTATGACAAATGTCATTATAACCATCATCATCCATGAAAGAGAACCTTGCTATCCACTTCAGAAGCCCACTATATCCCACCTCCTAATTATGCCTTCTTTCCTCCCCACCTCAAGAGTAATCACCATCCTAAAACTAATTTGTTGAAGAAACTGGATTTTTTTGTCCTGTAGATGTTCCCTCAGTTGCGATTTTATTGATTGCATTTCTGTAGTTGGTTGAACATTCCCCATTTCCCTTATGTTTCCTGGAAGTCAGTAGTTGTATCTAGAGCTCCTCTGCCCAATATGGTGGCCAGTAGCCACATGTAGTTACTTAAATTTAAATTCAATTACGTAAAATTAAAACTTAGTTCCTCAGATGTACTAGTCGTATTTCAGGTGCTCAGTAGTCACATGCAGTTAGTGTCTACCATATTATAATAGATGGTACAGATATAGAACATTTCTGACATCCTGGAAAGTTTTATTGGACATTTCTGATTTAGAAGCTTAATCAGATTCAAATCTGATTTTTAGGAGGAAGAAGACTAATTCATATATAGCCTTGTACTTTCTGGTTGCCTATTTCTGTTGTTAACCACTATGGCATTCAATGTTAGATCCTTAATACATTAGGTGTTGCAAACTGGAGATACTCACTTTTATCATTCTTCATTTTTTTTTTTTTTTGTTGGAATACATAACTTTTATTTTCACTAGTTTTATAAATAAACTTAGACTTTTTGTTGTTTAACTTTGTTGACTTGATTACAATTAAGTATAATTGCATCTTTTTGCAATTAAGTTGCCTTAATCGAGTTGATTATATTGATTAAAATATTTAAGGTCCAAAATTGACAATAGTTTGTTGCAGAGCTGTATATTATCTTAAATTTTAGCATCACAGCGGGTATAAACATACTAATTCGGTGGCCAAGTATCATAGTTAGATAACCTAATTAACTGGAAGCTAAGGTAGACACAAAGCTGCATTTCCTGGTTATTCTCTGATATAGTCATATTGTAGAATCTAGTCTGTTACCTACCATTTGTGTGGTATTCACAGTGCAATATGCAATCCCAGGTGTATGCATTCACTGTGAAGGGGACAGTTTAGGCAGAAGCCAATCAGTGATCTGAGGAACAGAAAGAGAAAGTGATTAAAAGTGCCAAATATTCAATCCATACTATATTGTTTCAGAGTTGATATATTTTCCCTTTTTCATCTATTCAAGACAAATATATGGATCACCAGTATTGTGCTATAAGTACTGTGCTTTGTGCAGCTATCCAATTATTAGTAAGTTATGATTCTTCAGGTGCTTCAGAATCAAGTTAGGAGAGATATAATCAAGGTATAGTGGCTATGCCAAAGGATACCTCATCTTACCATGTGGGATTCAGAGAACATTTCCTAACAGAGATCACAACCGATGGAAAGTAGAATTAGCCAGGGAATGGGATGTGGGGAACAAGGGACAATATAGGCAGAAGCCAATCTGTGATCTGAGGAACAGCAAATGGTTAGTTCGTGACAGATAAGGCTGGAGAGAGAAAACTGAGTCAGATTACAAAGGACCTTGTGTATCATGCTGAAGAGTTTAAAATATTGAAAAGTGGGGACTTTTGTTTCTTCTATTGTTGTCTATTGTCTATTCCCAGCACTCCAATCAGGGACTTTCAGAGAATAAGTATTCAATAAATATTGAATGAATAAATGAAAATCCTAAGCTAGTGACTGATAAGTATTTTAGAAAACTCACTCTAAGGAGTGGAGAATGAATTGAAGTAAGGGAAAGCTGGGTGGATGCAGGGAGCCCAATTATATAACCGCTGGCAAAACTTAGATGTAAAATTATAGTGGAAGTTGGCAGTAGGAGGCAAGTGCATAAAACGAAGTAGGAAGTAAAAGAAGTAGGATTTGTAGATTTGGAGGCATAGGGGTAAAGGTTAGGATAATTTTCAGGCTGACTCCCAAGTTTCTGACCAGAGCTGTTGAGTTGATGGTAGTGCTGGTCCCTGAGCTAAGGAATGCCAAAATTGTGAGATGAGAGGAGAGAAGATTATTTTAATTTCAGGCCTATTGAGTTTGAGGTGCCTATGGGATGTCCAAACAGAAATGGATACCACTGTATTTGGGCTTATTGCTTTAGAATGCAGATAAAAGATAAGAACTTGAAGCTGATTTGATAGTCTTTGCATACAGAAACCACTAATATAGAGATCTGTTAAGGTGATTGTGTATCTCAGAGTTTATAAACTCATGAGCCTATGATGCCATAGGTGTAACTAGGCTGTAATTAGTGGGGTCTAAGTGCAGATATATTCGTTAATGTAAGTTGTAAGGATTGTAACAAACTGAAGATCTCGCCTTCTCAGTTCCAGCCATTTGTTACCACATGATAACACTGGCCCAGTATGTCAGGATCTTCTGATTTTTCAAGAGAAACCAAGAATCTGAATTTTTATGTAAAAGGTTGACCCAAAACTCTTTTAGGTGTATGTTTGTGTATGTGTGTCTGGATCCCTCCAGACAATTTTCTAGGCATTTGAAATATACCTGTGTGAACAAGAACAAAGCCACTCTTTATAATCTTATAATCCAGAAGAATATGGAATTATTGATTATTGAATTCTTTTAAGAGGTAGGAGAATAAGGGTGAGAGATTGACCTTAAATATTATTAAAGACAGTCTTTCATTATGGAGAGTTGTAAAGGAAGTCTGGATGAATATATAGATGCAGGGGGCACTGTTGTAGGCTCATTTGGTCCTCTCAGGTAGCAAATTGTAATCCATAGTGTAGGATCAGAAGACACAAAGGCTGAGGAAAGACTACTAGCTCCTAGACTTTTAAGGAATGGGCAGAGGAAGGGAAACCAATAAGCTACCAACAGTGTAAGAGAAGATCAGAGCAGGATATCACAAAAGCTGGGGTAAGAGAATATTTCCAGAAAGAGAAAGTGATTAAAAGTGCCACATATTGGCCGGGCATGGTGGCTCACGCCTGTAATCCCAGCACTTTGGGAGGCCGAGGCAGGCGGATCACAATATCAGGAGATTGAGACCATCCTGGCTAACAGGGTGAAACCCCGTCTCTACTGAAAATACAAAAAAATTAGCCGGGCGTGGTGGCAGGTGCCTGTAGTCCCAGCTACTCGGGAGGCTGAGGCAGGAGAATGGCGTGAACCTGGGAGGCGGAGCTTGCAGTGAGCCTAGATGGTGCCACGGCACTCCATCCTGGGCAACAGAGTGAGACTGTCTCAAAAAAAGAATAAATAAATAAAAATTAAATTAAATTTTAAAAAGTGCCACATACCCACAAAGGTCAAGAAAAACAGTCATAAATTGTCCATTTATTTATATTGAAGGTTATTCATTATCTTGGTGAGAACAGCTTCTAAATAGAGATGAGAATAGGTATTAAAGTAGATTGAGACTGAATGGAAAGGGTAAAACAAGAGACAGAGTATATCTAACAGCCTGATTAGCCTTATTTCTATTCAACAAACCAATTAGTCACTCTCCTACTTCCAGGTATGTACATTGCTCTTCTCTCTGCCTGGAACAGTTTCCTCCAAGTATCTACATGGCTTGCTCCTTGGCCCTTCTCCAGGTCCACATCATTTGACAAGGCCTTCCCTGAATATGCTTTTTAAATTGCAAACATCCCCACCCCACTACCGTGGTGCCCAGTTCATCCTTCCCTATTTTATTTTTCTCTGCAGCACTTATTCCCTCCTAATATATAATTTTCTTACCTGTTGTATTTATTGTTTTTGTTTTTCCGCTAGAAACAAAGCTCTATGGTAGGAGGAATTTTCAGATATTTCATTCTTAGGTTCAATTCATTGCTGTATGTCTAGCACCTACAATTGTAACTGCAGCATTGTGATGCTCAGCAAGTGTTTGTTAAATTAAACAATTCAGGAGACTTGGCTGTTATGGCAAGGGGATGTAGCAGTAGCTAGAGGAGAGTGTGAAGGAGAGCACTTTCTTTTTAACAGTAGTGTAAACTTGAGCATATTTAAATGGAGCATGGGAAGGAGATCAGAGTAGGAACAGCCCCACATCTATTCATTCAAATAAATAAAATTTCTGAGCGCATTCTATGGGCCAGAGAATTTTCTAGGCATTTGAAATATACCTGTAAACAAGAACAAAGCCATTCTTTATAATCTTATAATCCAGAAGAATATGGAATTATTGATTATTGAATTCTTTTAAGAGGTAGGAGAATAAGGGTGAGAGATTGACCTTAAATATTAGTAAAGACAGTCTTTCATTATGGAGAGTTGTAAAGGAAGTCTGGATGAATGTATAGATGCAGGTAATTTTACCCTGAACCATCTAATTCTTTCTTGCTTTTTCTCTTGCACAGTAGCATAACCAGGGATAGAAATATATTCTGGATTAAATAGGTTTTCTGGTGTCTTAAAGTATAACCCAGATACTTTTATCTTAACACAAAGCAGAAACTCCAGATAAGAACATGTCGTGAACCTGAAGCCCTGTATTATAGTAGCTAGCAGAACCACTCCCAATATTCTTAGATTTGGCATTGGCAGCATATCCTTTCTTTTCCTAAAGTACTAACTCTACTACTCTCCTAAGAAAATTATTTCACATCTCGTCTCTACTCAGATCTCCAGCTTTTCCTTATTCTTGTACTTAGCTAATGGCCTTGCTTCCTAAAAATCAGAAGAGAACATCTATTCTCTTTCACCACCATAGCTACTAACTTGTCTGCATCAGAGTAGAGTATCACAAAAACTGGGGGAGGAGGATATTTCAAGAAAGAGAAAGTGATTAAAAGTGCCAAATATTGCTGGGCACGGTGGCTCACGCCTGTAATCCCAGCACTTTGGGAGGCTGAGGCGGGGGGATCACGAGGTCAGGAGATCGAGACCATTCTGGCTAACATGGAGAAACCCCGTCTCTACTAAAAATACAAAAAATTACGGGCGGGCGCCTGTAGTCCCAGCTACTCGGGAGGCTGAGGCAGGAGAATGGCGTGAACCCGGGAGGAGCCGAGATCACACCACTGCACTCCAGCCTGGGTGACAGAGCAAGACTCCATCTCAAAAAAAAAAAAAAAGTGCCAAATATTGAGAAAGGTCACAAAAAAGTCATAAATTGTCCATTGTATTTATTTTGAAGGCTACTCATTATCTTGGTGAGAATAGCTTCTAAGTAGAGAATAGTACCTATAAACCCTGCCTTCCTTCTGATGATGTAAATGGACATCATGAGCTAACGCTCTTATCTAATGCTAGTCCCTCGATCCTATCTCTTCCTGCCTACTTAAGAATATGACTTGGTCGGGTGTGGTGACTCATGCCCGTAATCCCAGCAATTTGGGAGGCCCAGGTGGGTGGATCACTTGGGTCAAGAGTTCGCTACCAGCCTGGCTAACACGGTGAAACCCCGTCTCTACTAAAAATGCAAAAATTAGCCGGGCATGGTGGCACATGCCTGTAGTCCCAGCTGCTTGGAAGGCTGAGGCAGGAGAATCGCTTGAACCTGGGAGGCGAAGATTGCAGTGTGCCGAGATTGCGCCATTGCACTCCAGCCTGGGCGACAGAGACTGAGTCTCCAAAAAAAATTATGATTCCAACAATTCTCTTATCTTTTCTACATCAATTTTTACCTTTTTGTAGTCATTATCATTGTTATGTAAACATATTTAGATATCTCCTCTAAAAACAACCCTCTTACACCGGGCGTGGTGGCTCACGCCTGTAATCCCAGCACTTTGGGAGGCCAAGGCGGGTGGATTCCCTGAGGTCGGGAGTTCAAGACCAGCCTGACCAACATGGAGAAACCCCATCTGTACTAAAAATACAAAATTAGCTGGGCGTGGTGGCACATGCCTGTAATCCCAACTACTCGGGAGGCTGAGGCAGGGGAATTGCTTCAACCCAGGAGGCGGAGTTTGCAGTGAGCCAAGATCACACCATTGCGCTCCAGCCTGGGCAACAAGAGCGAAACTGCGTCTTTTAACTACATTATCTACATGGTAGCCACCATCCCACTTTTCTTTTTTTTATAGCCAACTTACTTGAAAAGTGACATACCAGGTATCTTCCACCGTCTTCTTTCATTCTCTCTTGAGCTCACTCCAGTCATACTTTTGCATTCATCATGCTAACAGAACAACTCTTCTCAAGGTCAGTGGGGTCTTCCTAATAGTGACTTCTCAGTTCTCACCTTATTTCATAGCAGGATTTGACTTAGTTGATTACTCTCTTGAGAAAATGTCTTCATTTGGCTTCTGTGACACCACATGCTGTATTTTCCTTATTGAACTGGCTACTCTTTCTCAGCCTCCTTTGTTCCTTTTTCCATTCTAATTGCTGAGACCGTTAAAAGTTTGGAGTGCTCAAGGGATTACTCCCTACTTGTTCTCATCCAGCCTTGTGGCTTTAAATGGTGTCAGAGTCCAAGTACATCCTCCCTTGAATTCCAGACTTACGTATCCAGCTGTCTAATTGACATCTCTGCTTGAGTGTTAAGCACCCCACATTTAACGTGTCCAGAAAAACTTCCTGATTCCCTGACCTTGCGAACTGCTCCTTCCTGTCTTCCTCATTTCAGTCCTGAACAATTCTGTTATTCCTAGTTGTTTAAGTGAAAAATTTAGAGTCATCCTAGACTCTTCTTTTTTTCTTACACTCTAAATGCAGTCCACCAACAAATTTTCCCAGTGTTAACTAAAAATTATGTATAGACTCTAATCACTTCTCACCACTTGTACCATTTACTGACCTGGTCCAAACTGCCATCATCTCCAATCTTGATTATTTCAGTAGTCTCCTAACTGGTATCCCAGCTTCTGCCATTGTCCCCCTACTGTCTGATCTTAATACAGCAGCCAGAATGATCTTTCTAAAACACCAGAGTACCAGAATAAAAGTCAAAGTCCTTGTATTGCCTTGGAAAGCCTTACAGTATCTGTTGTTCTCTTCCCCCTACTTTTCTTCTACTGTTGTCTTAGCAGAGAGGCCTCCTTGATCAACCTGTAATAAAAGTGATCATATTCATAACTTTCCATATTTTATCTTGTATTATTCTCTGTGGCATACTATATAGCACTTGTTCATTTTTTAAATTGCCTGTACGGCCCCACTAATGCATGCTCCCTGAGGGCAGGAACTTTGTTACTGCTGTGTCTCTTTATTTATTTATTTATTTATTTATTTATTTATTTATTTATTTATTTATTTATTTTTGAGACGGAGTCTTGCACTGTCACCTCAGCCTCCCAAGTAGCCGGGATTACAGGCACACACCACCACACCTGGCTAATTTTTTGTATTTTTAGTAGAGATGGGGTTCCACTACGTTGGCAGACTGGTCTCCAACTCCTGACCTCATGATCTGCCCGCCTCAGCCTCCCAAAGGGCTGGGATTATGGGGGTGAGCCACTGCTTCCGGCCTGCTGTATCTCTTAATTCCTAGAACAGCGTGATGCATAGTAAACATAGTGTAGTACTTAGTAAACCTTCAAGTAAATAGCTGTTGGGTGAATTAATGAATTTTCTGTGTGTATGTGTGTGTGTGTGTGTGTGTGTGTGTGTGTGTGTGTGTATGTTTACTATATGTCTCCCTCTTGAGGCTTCAGGCAGAAAATTTGAATTGTAATACTCACTAGAAAATAGGAGGTGGAAGTTACTCATTCAGAACATATTTATTGAGCACCTACTCTGTTCAGGGAATACAGTAGTGACTAAGAGAGCTTATCCAAGAGAGGCTCTTTGAGAAGAGTAGGCAAACTGGAGTTGTCTTGGTCTGAATGTCAGTTCTGAAATGTTTTAGTATCATTTCCAGGGAGCATTCTCAGATTAGTTTGTAGTGATTTGCAAATCTCTTATAAGTTTTCATAATCTCATTTAATTTCAGAGCTGGAAGGGACTAGTTTAACCATCTCATTTTACAGATTTGATGAAACTGAACTGCAGGAAGTGTAAGGGACTTGCCCAGTGTCTCTACTCAATTAGTTAATGATAAAACAGAGATAAAGTTCTGGGTCTAGCCTGCTGATTAACAAGTCAATGACTTTTCCACTATGCCACGCTGCCTTCCATTCCAAATCTGCAAGAAATTTCTTTTCAAAAGCAGACTATTTGCTATTGCTTTATGACCTTTTTTAGTTAAGCACAATATGGGATAGAAAACTAAATAGTTCTTTTATAATTTTTCAACATGTGAGAGGTTAAATTCATTACTTTTATAGAAAGTTTGCAATGGATTTAAATTTATTTTAAGCAATAAAATAATTCTTTTTATCATTTAAAGTTAATTGTGTTTTTAAGAATATGATTAAGTTGGAAGGATGAACTGAATTTGTTTACATCAGTTTCTCTTAAAAAATTGTTGCAGAGAAACTCTTGCTACTCAGTTGGATCTAGCAGAAACAAAAGCTGAGTCTGAGCAGTTGGCGCGAGGCCTTCTGGAAGAACAGTATTTTGAATTGACGCAAGAAAGCAAGAAAGCTGCTTCAAGAAATAGACAAGAGATTACAGATAAAGATCACACTGTTAGTCGGGTAAGTGTGATAGTCAGGTAAGTTATATAAAATTTATTTAAATCACAATAGGTCACATCTTAAAATATTAGGGTAAGTGTGTGTGCAAGTGTATTTACTTCTATGTTAATACATAGTGGTCATTCTGTACTCATGTATAAAATAGTTTGTATAATACCAAACATTTGTTAATTATTGAAATTCTTGTTCAAGATATTGGGCTTTTGTTTGTATAGGCACAGAACCAATGCAATATTGGGCTGTTTTTCTGGCTGTAGATCTTATTAGTTATATTTCATATGAAGTAATGGCTTAGCTTAAATTCATTTGTTGTTCTCTTAATACATTGCAACTGATTTTATGGGCCAGAATTCTGTGAAATATAGAGAAACCATTTGGGAATGAGGAATTCTTGGGATAATATATAAATCCATTATAAGAAAACCAATACTCCAAACAATTACCTATTCCTGAGGTTTATACTGTAATCTATATAGAATCATGCGACTAAAAAGAGGAGTTAGATTTTTCTTGTAAAGCCACTATCAGTCACTCTGGGTTCCAGTTTTGCCCCTAAGAAGTTATATGGTCTTGGCAAAGTTGGCTTTAACTTCTCTAAGCCTCAGATTTCTCATCTATAAAATAGAAATAGTAATATCTCTTCCACATGATTGTTATGAGGATTAAATAAGACAGTAGACATAGAATGATTAATATAACATATAACAAGTAATGATTATATATTACTAAAAGTAATCTATAAATAAATGTTTTTATTATCGTTTTCATCATCAATATTCAGATAAAGATATTGAAGTCCAGAAAAAGTATGACTTGCTCGGGGTCACATACTAGGTTAATCGCAGAGCTAGAACTAAATACAAATTTCTTAGTTTGCAATCTAGTTATCTTGCCATTACATATGCCCCCCTTTTGTTCATACATATATCTATATGCATACAATGAAATAATTTTTGGATGCTGTTAACTACTTTTAAATATTTTTGATGTAATTACATATTTTAAGCTGGAAACCAGACATTTGCTGTAGTTCAGCAGTGTCTGACCTGTCTTTATCTAGCAGTATATTTAAAGGTTACTGCCTGAAATACGAGAATAGCAAAGAGGCTGGAGCTTAAACTTTTGTGTGCTTTGTTTAGCTTGAAGAAGCAAACAGCATGCTAACCAAAGATATTGAAATATTAAGAAGAGAGAATGAAGAGCTAACAGAGAAAATGAAGAAGGCAGAGGAAGGTATGTAGAATTTTTAAAAAATCATCATGTTAAATCAAATTCAGTGATTTATCTTTACCTATGTTGTGTTAGGTTTCTAAGATACCTGTTTTCATATATTAAGTAACTTCTGTAGCCTTAAGAATTATCTTAATGAAGTTACTGAAAGTTACTATGTAATGTATACTTATTTGAATAATTAAAGACATTGTTAGTTTGAAATGCAGAAATTAAATTAATACCATACAATAACATTTAATATAATTTGTTGACAGAATATAAACTGGAGAAGGAGGAGGAGATCAGTAATCTTAAGGCTGCCTTTGAAAAGAATATCAACACTGAACGAACCCTTAAAACACAGGTATACATGCTTTCGATCTTTTCCACATGTTCATTTTTGAGTTAATCATTGCTCTTTATGCACTTTTTCCTAAAACCAAGGCTTATAAGGTTCAAGCTTTTCATCAGAACAAATAAATTCTCTCCCCGCTAACTATAAAAAACTTATTTGTGAAATAGAATTTCAAGGCCAGGCGCGGTGGCTCATGCCTGTAATCCCAACACTTTAGGAGGCTGAGGCCAGCAGAACACTTAAGGCCAGGAGTTCGAGAGCAGCCTGGCTGACATCGAAACCCCAGTCTCTACTAAAAATACAAAAATTAGCCGGGCGTGGTGGTGCGCTCCAGTAATACCAGCTAGTCAGGTGGCTGAGGCACGAGAATTGCTTGAACCCAGGAGGCAGAGGTTGCAGTGAGCAAAGATCATGCCACTGCATGCCAGCCTGGGCGACAGAGCAAGACCCAGTCTCAAAAAAAAAAAAAGAAATAGGATTTCAGTTAAGAAAGCTAACTTGCCTAGTAATATTGTATAGTTGTAGAAGATAAGAGTATGTGGCCAAGGCATAGAAGCTTTATTTGCTAGTACCCAACATCAGAGTAGGATTAGCATACTCTTGATTCAGTACTGGGTTGTAAAGTTAACCAAAGAAAGGCTCCTGGTTCTTACATTTAAGTAGTGTGATAAGTCAGTGTTAGTTACTTGTGCTACCAGTTATCATGTCTCAACCATCATGAAGTTGTCCTAATTTTCATACACACAGAAAGTCCTGCTTCCTGATTTTGAAGAAAAAAATACATTTTAGTATTAAATTGGATGACTACACTATTGATCTTTATTAATAATATTTTAATAGGCTGTTAACAAATTGGCAGAAATAATGAATCGAAAAGATTTTAAAATTGATAGAAAGAAAGCTAATACACAAGATTTGAGAAAGAAAGAAAAGGAAAATCGAAAGCTGCAACTGGAACTCAACCAAGAAAGAGAGAAATTCAACCAGATGGTAGTGAAACATCAGAAGGAACTGAATGACATGCAAGCGGTAAGGTTTCTGTGTGTGTATGGATATGAGTGTGAAGGATTATTTTCTTAAATTATTTCTGTATATACTTGTTATCTATTTATCTTGTTTAGATTGGGAACAATCAAGGGTTCTGCCTGTTTGGTTTCAGACTGAAATTGGGATATGGCTGTTATAATATTAACTATAATTGGGGTAGAGGTTTTGAAGTATTGTAGCTTATTTATTTTCTCTAGTCAAGACTCACTTTTTTGAAATCAAAATAACAAGCTTAATTTTTTGATACCCCTTGGCTTGTTAATAGAACAAAATTGAGAACCTGGTCTCGGGCACTTAGATCTAAGCTTTTTAGCTCCATCAGTTATGGTTTTCTGAAGTTTTCTATACCTTTAAAGCTACTTCATTTGGAGCCAGAAAAGCATTTTCTTTTGTTGTAACTTTTTTGTTTTGATGGCTTATGTTTGAAAACAAAAACAAAAACTCTTTTTAAGGCAAGGAGAAAAGGAATTTGTCCGAGCATTGTATTACTGAGAAAGAACTTGACATTTCTGTAGTGTATCAAAATCTGTGGTAGCAAACATTCATGAAGTTTACTGTACATTTTTAGTATTAGCAATTTAAATTATCATATTTCAATTAGTAATGTTGGAAATTGTTTTAGCTTGATTATATTATCTTGATACTTTTCAAAATTAGCAATTGGTAGAAGAATGTGCACATAGGAATGAGCTTCAGATGCAGTTGGCCAGCAAAGAGAGTGATATTGAGCAATTGCGTGCTAAACTTTTGGACCTCTCGGATTCTACAAGTGTTGCTAGTTTTCCTAGTGCTGATGAAACTGATGGTAACCTCCCAGGTAAGAATAATTCTGTATCATTCAAACATGTATAAATGTCATGGAAATTAGTGTATATTTCTTTCATTTGGTTTTCTACCTCCTTGTCATTTTGTCCATGGATTCCTAAGAAGGAATTCTTATTTCTGATAGCCAAGGCCTGATGATGATTATACACTTGGTGTATTTTGTGGAGTAGAGCAGTTGTAAGCAATCTTAGGCTATTTAAATAGACCTAAGAAGCTTTACCTGAATAAAAACCATAAGAGGTTTATGAACCTATTTTGAGCAGCCTAAGTCCACAGTGAGAGTCAAAGCTGCTACTACACATCTCACTATTTTTTAAAAGTTGTACATTTTTGTGAGTAATAGCTCTTTAACATTTTATGTATTCTTGTGCTAAAACTAAGAACTGTACTTTATCATCAGAACCACAGCAGCTACATATAGAACCCTATCTAGTGGAGTAGTGATCAACTTCAGTCAGACTTTGCTAAGTTTTAAGTTTGGGGAAATAGATAAAATGGGTTGGGCAGTGCAGTAAGAGGCCGGGGGTGTCAAATAAAGGCAGGAATGAGTGGCTAAGATTTGAGACTTTTTTCTGTGTCTTCTTTTTCCCAGTGGAGAATCAATTTAAAAATAAACACAACCTCATTCTTGGTTTAATCGTCATGTAAACTATAATACCTTTATGTACTTTACAGAGATGAGAAATACACATACTATAAGTTCAATTTAGAAATAAAATGAGTAGGTTATCATTATTAAAACATGCATTTACATATACACAGAGTCTTAGTTCAGAGTCTTGGAAGTTTTGTATACATGATAATACACTTGAAAATAGATTTTAATTAGTGTATTTTCTGAATAATACATAAATAGGAAGATATTTATGAAGCAGCATGTTTGATATTGGGATTCTGTTTTAACAGATATTACTTGTTATTGTGAATTTGATATAAGGAACTAGAGGAGTCACTCAGAAAATTTTATAGTATCTTTCTTGGTCAAGAAAGTGGGACTCAAAGTGGGAAATGAATTCAGCTCCTCTCTGTATGCTATGTGATCCCTGGCCTCATTCTTGTGTGGCTTTGCTAGGTCAAAATCAGGTATCTGGGAATGGAAAGGCAGCGAAGAAATATTTCTTATTTTAGTGGTCAAGGAACTCCTCTGTTTACCTATTTTTGGCTCTCTGAAACTGCCTACCTCTTGAGAAACTTGCAGGTACACACGATTCATTATTGTAGGATCACTTTGAATTTAATAAGAACCTGTAGCTTTAGTTATTGTTTGAACATCTTTCTAAAGTTAGACTTAATCATCACTAAGAATATGACTTTTAGAAGTGTTTGGCTACATTCTTTCAATTGTTGAACTGAATTGGTAGGTTAGATTCCCACTTCATTAACCCTGAGATACTTCTGGAGTTATTTAGTATAGGGATTCTTACTCTATGTATGTATGTATGTATACATTCTTACTCTATGTATATATGTATGTATGTATGTATGTATGTATGTATGTATGTATATATGTATGTATGTATGTATGAAACAGTCTCACTCTGTTGCCCAGGCTAGAGTGCAGTGGCGTGATCTTGGTTCATGATCCTGCCTCCTGGGCTCAAGCGATCCTCCTGCCCCAACCTCCTGAGTAGCTGGGACTACAGGTGCACATCACCACACCCGGCTAATTTTTTTAATTTTTTGTAGAGACGGGATTTCACCATATTGCCCAGGCTGGTTTTGAACTCCTGAGCTCAAGCTATCTGCCTGCCTTGGCCTTCCAAAGTGCTGAGATTACAGGCATGAGCCACCCGCCTGGCCGACCTTGCTCTATTTAGTGTCAGTTCGAAATCCTGACCAATTTTATTTTTATTCCACCCATTTCCCTTTAACTATTTATAATGCCTTATATGCACCTTAGTGTTCTTAGTATTGGGTTAAATATGTCAGAAATGGACACATTATTGGTGAATGCTAGTTAGAAGATTTGAGTTGAAAGGTGAGCTGGTGGGACTGCTAATGAGGAAAGTGATTAATTTTACCCACCATCGTGGCTGATTCAGAAAGGCTAAGCTCATAGTGCCATCAGCTGGCTTCATTGGCAGACTTAGGCTGGGAATCCATTTAGGTTTCAGAATCCTGACCTAATAAATTGACTTATTGAGCAAAGAGATTTTTAAATGTTTCTACTAGCTCCATTTTCAGTATATTTCTTAGAATATTAGTGTACTTTCAGGAATTTTGTTTTTAAGGTTATCAAAGTCCAAACCAAGTGGGGCGGGGAGTACTGGTAGCCATTCTCCCTTGCTAGAAGAGGCCAGTTAATACCTCTTTTCCTATTACTGTGTTCTTAATTTTGAGACTTTATAAAATCTCAACAGTGCTGAACCTTGACTTTCATATTGGAAGTAGAAATTAATGGATAGTCTTTGTCAATATTATTTACCTCTCTGTGGGTCAGATATTTTGCTAGTAAATTGAAAATCTGTATTAAATCCACCATTTACTAGATGCTCAAAAATGGTCCCTGGCAAATAAAGTTAAGGTTTTGCATTCATATCTAGGAAGAATTGTTAAAGAATGTTGATATTCATTCTTAATATTAGATAGTTACATATCATTCAAGTGTCTAAAAAATTTCTTGAAGGTAATGGCTAATGATTAATTTTTACTTCAGTTTAGAAAATAAGTAAATGAATATACGTACTAAAAAGGAGAGGGCTTTGAATAGATTAAGTTTACTCCAAGTTAAAATGATGGCTTTTTGAAATATGGGTCACATTTTTCAGTTTTTTTTTAAGTAGTTGGATGGATAAACTGACACTGCAACTTTTATTATTTCTCTTATATTTCATCATTCAGTATAAAGATTATAATTTAATTATCTTGCACATCTAGAACGCAGCCTCTATGAATCCTTAGTGGCCATTTTGTTATTAACTAGCTTAAATATTAAATCTCCCTTCTAAAATTCCCAATTCTAAAAACTTTATTTAAAAAATGTTACTCCTTCTCTGACTTATAACTCTTTGAAGTTCTTGAAGTCACCTTCATTCTCTTAATTCTTTTATGTCTTTATCTTCTCTTTGGTTCTGTAGCAGGTTGTGACCTAGCACACAATACAAACATAAAGATTACCCTTACGGTTATGGGTGCCTGTTGCCTAGATGACAAAAAACTTTAATGTGATAACTGTTTCTTTTCCTCATTCTTTCTCTTTCCTTCTTTTGGAACTGTTAACCTAGACATCTGAAGAGAATGTAGAAATAGATGATGGATTAGGAAAACTTGGTATTGATACTCCAGTAATATTCATTATCTCTTATGGATTATTTGTATCATACCCTTTTCCATCCAGCTTGACCTTAGGTTATGTAACTTAAACCTGAAAATGGTGGATCTCTTGGTGTGTTTCCCAATATTTGAATATATGAATGTTTCTGACCTTGCCCAAATCTAGTGATTTGAAGTTGGTGTATCTGACTTGTTGAGTATTAATTAATTTTCTTTTTTATATCACTTTTGAATTTAATTAAAGTGTTTTGAAATGGTTCTTTAGCCCTGTTTCTTAAGCAGTATGTTTGTGGTATAGCTAAATAAATTAGGTAGTCTTCAGAGGTTAGCTCTGATGTTTGAATTGGCTATATCGAGTATTGATGTACATGTAGTTAGATTGTCTCTTATTTGGGTAAAGAAATCGCTGATATTGCAGTAATATACATCTAACTTCTTATAAGTTAAAATTGTTCTACAAATATATTGTATAAAATTTAGAGCCAAGTTGTTTTTGTACATATGTAGAATATTATTAAGGATAATCCAGACTTAGAGGTTCTCTCAGTGGGAGTTTCATTTAGTTATCTGGAGAAGCTGTTTTCTGTGCTTGTGATATAAAAGATGGAATTTACAGCGTTATACCTCCAGATCACCACTTAAGTTACAGGTGGTCCCGATTTTAGAGGAGGTCTTTATATATTTTAAAAACTGGTAAGTATATTATCTTGCAACTATGGTAGGCGTAAGGAAAGGAAACGCAGGAGAAGCTAGTATGTATTTTTTTATCTGTTATTATTGAGCTTAGTTCAGTTGCTTCTCTGAGGGAATTCACCAGATGGAAAAACTAAAATTTTCTCCCATGACATTGTTGTAAATTGGCAAAAACCTTCACATATTCTTGACACCTTTATTTGCATTCCAGATTTCTTCATTTAATTTATTTTCTCCCTGACCCTCTTCATTTAATTTAAATATGAGCAAATGTAGAATTCTGGCTTATTTGACTCATAAGATTCCCTTGATATATAAAATTTCTAAGGAACACTGAAATGACAGATAAAGCCATACCATATAACAACTTATTGAAGATATATTAAAACTGGCAGGTTAACCCACATCTAGAGCCAGAAAGCATAAATATTTTTGACATTGATTGTCACAAAGAAATAATGTGAAAGTATAGGGTATTTTGGCATACAAATTTTGTGTAAATGTCAAGAATTCAAAGGCTTTTATATCTTTGTTTTTGGTGAGGAATTACTAATACTAAACAACTTTGTATTATCAGATATTAAGACTCCTTTTCATTCTCACTAATGTTCATCTTAATGTTTTCCAAACTACACTTTAAAACCAGAGCTGCAATTTCTACCACACTAATGGGAAAATTTCTGGCAATAACTTTTTTGCTTTTATAAGATAAAATATTGGTGAATGATCAATATGTGATCAACAGTCTTCTGCATGCTATTTAGTATAAAACTGCCTGTTTGGTTTTTAAACTGGAACCACTATTTACAAAGGATGACTTTAATTGGCTAATTCAGAAAAATGCAGAATTACAAAATAATCAACAAATATCTGTCAAGTACCACCTCGTTGTGTCATTTGCCATGGGATATATAAAATCAAGTGTTAAGATATGGTCCTTGCTCTCACAAAACTTACCAAGGAACTACCTAAGCAACAAAATAATTACTTCATGAACTAAATTGCAGCAATTAAAGCCAGGTGCTGTGGTACATGCCACTGCTTAGGAAGCTGAGGCTCAGGAGTTTGAGGCCAGCCTGGACAACGTAACAAGACTTCATGTCAAAAAAAAAAAAAAAAAAAAAGGAAAAAGAAAAATGTTGGGAGAAGAGAGGGATCATTTTGAACTAAAGTTACCTCACCATTTCCTCCATTTTAACAATTTATATGAAGAGGAATAACACAAGCAAAGGTGTGGAGACATTACGTACCTGGTGGGAGTAGGGGAAAAAAATATTTCCCACAATTCAGTCAACTGCAGAGCTTGTTTGCGAACAGAATAGTGTTGTGCTCTAGAAACATAAGCTCAGAAATTAGACTGCCGGGGTTTGAAACCATAGAGCTTTGATAGATACTGATAGAGTTGCCTTGCCCAAGTCCGTTTACCCTGCTAAGCCTTAGTCTCTTCTTTTGTAAGTGAAAGATGACAGTAGAACCTTTTCCGAATTCCTCGGAATATAATATCCTGTATTCATGGACTTATACATAGGTTAAATATGAGATATTATAAAGCATGTGGCAAATAGTAAATTTATGAATAAATAAATCAGTAAATGTTACCTATTGTTAACTGTTACTGTAAGACTGAGTTTATAGCTTTTAAATTATATGAAGGCGGACAATATATTGCCTTAGGATTACCATTTGAATGATAGTATAATCTCATATTTTAGTGTCATACTTTGAAATTGGTTATTTTTCTATTCTTTTGTGTTTCAAATATAAGGTAGATACGGAAAATAGTTAAATTGAATGGATTTTCTTATTTCCAACCTGATCTAAAATAACTATTTCTAATGGAGTTGTCTTTATCCCCCAGATATTTCTAGTAGACATTAGTTATATTTAAACAATAGTAATAATTATTATAAAATGCCTTGATCAAATAGTCAAGGAATTCCTGGTATGCACGTACTAGTTGAAATAATGGCAGTAGACCAAATGGATTCTGTGTTGTTTTTACTGTTGATCAAATTGTGATATCAGAAACTTAAGAGGCTTTAAAACTCTTTAGTTTGAGTAGAATTGCAATTGAACTTAGCACTAGAGTTAAGTGCTCCCCTCAACCAAATTTGGGCAATTTTATTGAAATAGTTACAAATTCAAATTGAAGTTGTTTTACCAAAAAGCTTAATCAGAATATTGTACTGAGAAAACAAATAAAATACTTGTCTCTTATTCTTTATATCTAGTTGATTCTGCCTGCATTCCTTATTTATTTATCTTCTATTCTTGTCTTCTGTGAGTAATAGGACACTTCTATACTTTTGCTTGCTCTTTCTTGTGTAAATCATGGCTCTGATTTGTTCCACTTGCTGCATTATTTTTTTCTTTCTTTTTTTTTGCTGATTATTTTTATATGAATGTTAAATGATAAAGTCTTCTACATCATATCCCATTTAAGCTGCAATCCATTCCAGTCTTGCCTGGCTCTTAAGGGTATTGTTACTTCATACTTTTGTAATTGATTACTAAATGTTAAATTGTATGGGAAAAGTGGCTTGGAATTTTTTTCTGCAATATTTGTATGGCCATTAAAGTTGATTTGTGTGATTGAAGCATGGAAGAGCAAATTATAGCACTTATTCATTTAGTTGTGTTCAATTGCTTGTTGCTGCATGCTGTCAGACAACTTTTAATAGTTTTTCTTTTGTTACAATTTAAGACTGACTAATACATATATTCTTTTTCTCCTAGAGTCAAGAATTGAAGGTTGGCTTTCAGTACCAAATAGAGGAAATATCAAACGATATGGCTGGAAGAAACAGGTACCATATACCTAATTATTTTCTAACTGGTATTTTGTTCTATATTTTACTTTGGAGCATAGAACTTATATTAGCTACTTTTTTTTACTAGCATTTATTTTACATTAATACAGTATAATCTAGATATTAGTGGCAAATATTATGCTTATCACTTTAAACCAAGTTAATGTTGCTCTTGTAACTCTTCCCCCCTTTTTCTTATTTCAGTATGTTGTGGTAAGCAGCAAAAAAATTTTGTTCTATAATGACGAACAAGATAAGGAGCAATCCAATCCATCTATGGTATTGGACATAGAGTAAGTTGCCTTTGATTGAATTTTAAAGGGGTTGAGAGCTAACTTTTGATAATTATTTTTAGACTTAAAATTTATTTTATATTTTGTGTTACTTCAGCACTGTTACCTACTTTTCTGTTTTTCTTAAGCATAAATGTTGACATTATATTAAATCTTCAGCAAAATGTGAGAAGGAAAAATGTATATACTTATTTCATGTATTTGGAAGACAACTTTTTTAGTTCAAGTGTTTAGTAGTTTGAGTTCAGAGAGCATTTCAAAAAGTATAGTCAGCTGTGTATCAGTGGGTTCCATATCCACAACTGTGGATAGAAAATATTTGAAAGAGGGCCGGGTGCGGTGACTCACACCTGTAACCCCAGCACTTTGGGAGGTCGAGGCAGGTGGATCACCTGAGGTCAGGAATTCAAGACCAGCCTGACCAACATGGTGAAACCCCATCTCTACTAAAAATCCAAAAATTAGCTGGGCGTGGTGGCAGGCGCCTGTAGTCCCAGCTACTCAGAAGGCTGAGGCAGGAGAATCACTTGAACCTGGGAGGCAGAGGTTGCAGTGAGCCTAGATTGCGCCACTGCACTCCAGCCTGGGCCACAAGAGCGAAACTCTGTCTCAAAAAAAAAATATATATATTATATGTATTATATATATTATATATAATATTATATATATTATATAATATATAATATATATATTTTATATAATATATATAATATATATATTATATAATATATATATAATATATATATTATATAAAATATATATATTATATAATATAAAATATAATATATATATTATATATTATATAAAATATATATATTATATATATTATATAAAATATATATATTATTTTTTATAAAATATATATATTATATATATTATATAAAATATATATATTATTTTTTATATAATATATATATAAAATATATAAAATATATATATATAAATAAATATATATATTTATATATATAATATATATATTTTATAACTATTAATAATAGAAATTTCTTTAAAAAATACAGTATAACAACTGTTTACATCGCATTTATACTGTATTATGTCTTATGAGTAATACAGAGATGATTTTAAAGCATACAGGAGGATGTGCCTAGGTTATATGCAAATACCACACCATTTTATATAAGAGCCTTGAGCATACTTGGACTTTGATATTTTTGGAGTTCCTGGAATCAGTTCCCTGTGGATATAAAAGAACAACTGTGTAGGATTCTTTGGTCATTATTAAGGGGAAATATAAATATATCTGTTCTTTTGTAATGATAGGTCAAAGAGGCCTATAATATAGTATTTTTTCTTATATTCATTCTAAAATCTTTTCTTAATTATTGCTGCTTATATTATCATAGATTATGTAGTATGTATAAAGATGAGTAAATTCCATCATTAAGGACCTTACCGACTAGCAGGAGAAAAGGCAAAACATATTCAACAAAATATATATTCAAAGTCAAGTCTGGTAACTGCTTTTTAAAAGAAATATATATATAAAATAAAGTATTATCATCCCTTTGGAATTAAGTATTTGTGGAGCTGGTTATAGTTAGAATGTGAAAAGAATTAAGCAAGTTCTAGAGAATACTCTTTCTTTATTTTCTGTTTTTTTAATAAACAGCTTTAGTTGTCAAAATTTAAATTATCAGCTTAAGCGAAATAATACATAAACACTAGTATGAAAGATACTATCTTTCAACTAAGTTAAATACTTTTTAGATTGATGAGAGATTTCTTTCCTCTCTTTATTAAGGTATAATTTCCCACAATAAAGTTCATAGATCTTAAGTGTTCTCTTCAGTAACTTTTTACAGTTGTAAACATTCATATAATCACTCAATACAAGATTTAAAAAAATCGTATTTCTTTAGAAAACTCACTTGTGGCTGGGCACAGTGGTTATGCCTCTAATCCCAGCACTTTGGGAGACCAAGGTGGGCGGTTGGCCTGAGTTCAATTTGAGACCAGCCTGGGCAACATAGCGAGACCCTGTCTCTGAAAAAAGAATTTTTTTTTTTTTTTTTAATTTATGAAGAAAGCTCACTTGGGCCAGTTGTGGTGGCTCACACCTGTAATCCCAGCACTTTGGAAGGCTGAGGTGGGAGGATCACGAGGTCAGGAGTTCATTCGAGACCAGTCTGGCCAACATGGTGAAACCCTGTCTCTACTAAAAATACAAAAAATTAGCTGGGCGTGGTGGCAGGTGCCTGTAATCCCAGCTACTCGGGAGGCTGAGGCAGGAGAATCGCTTGAACCCAGGAGGCTGAGGTTGCGGTGAGCCAAGATTGCGCCACTGCACTGCAGCCCGGGTGACAGAGCGAGACTCCATCTCAAAAAAAAAAAAAGAAAAAGGAAAGCTCACTTGTGCCTCTTCCCATGATCTGATTTCTATTGCCAAGATTAGTTTTGCCTGTTCTAGAACTTTATATAAATGGAATTAAACAGTAATGTACACTTTTGTGCCTAGCATCTTTCACTCAGCCTGCACCTGTGGTGGTGTCTGTATTGATTGTTCTTTGTATTGCTGAATAGTATAACATTGCATGAATTTGTTTATCCATTTTTGTGTTGATTGACATTTGGGTTGCTTCCAATTTGGGGCTATCGTAAATAAGACTTATGAGCATTCCTTTTTTTAACTTATGTTTTCATTTCTCATGGGTAAATACCCAGGATTGGAATCCTGGGTTATAAAGTAGATCTGTGTTTAACTTTTTAAAAATCTACCAAACAATTCTCAAAAATTATTATGTCACACTATTTTATATTCACCAACAGTATGAGTTTCAGTTGCTCCACATCCTCACCAACATTTGGTGATATCAACCTTTGATTTTAGCTTTTCTAGTGGATGTTAAATGTTATTTCATTGTTATTTTAATTTGCATTCTCCTCATAACTAATAATACCAAGAATCTTTCATGTCGTTATTAGCCATTGTATATCTTTTCTTTTTTCAAGTCTTTTGCCCGTTTTTAAATTGGGTTGCTTATGTTTTTAAGATTGGTTTTTAAGAGTTCTAGATATATTCTGAATAAGAATCCTATGTTAGAAATATGTAATGCAAATATTTCCCAATCTGTTGCTTACCTGTTGATTTTGTTAATGGTGTCTTTTAATGAGGATCAGTGTACCAATTTTTAAAATGTTTTCTGCCTTTTGTGGTCTGTGTTTGGTAAGAGGTGGATGTTTAGGTCAGGTTGGCTTTTTTCCCCCCACATAGGTATCTGGTTGTTCCAACAGTATTTGTTTTTATATGTTGACCTTGAATCATTTAATCTTGCTTTGCACTTAACAGTTTTATAGGGTTGTGGGGTTTTGGGATCAATTCCACAGAGCTTTTCTACACACAGTCAGCCCTCTGTATCCATGGGTTCTGCATCTGTATATTCATCCAAACATGGATTGAAAATGTAGTTAGGCCTATTGTGGTTGTGTCTGTACTTAATATGTACAGTTTTGTTTTTCTCTAAACAATATAATATAATAACAATTTCCATAGCATTTACATTATATTAGATATTATCTAGAGACAATTTTAAATATACAGGAAGGTGTACTTAGGTTATATACAAATACTACACCATTTCTTATCTTTTCTTTTTTTCCTGTCTCTTCCCTCCTTCCCTCTCTTTCTCTCTCTTTCTCTTTCACTCTCTCTCTTCAAAATCCTCCTGGGTCCTGGGACCAATCTGCCACAGATACCACGAGACAACTGCATACAATCATGTCATCGCCAAATAAAGAGTTTTACTCCTTTCTTTCCAATCTGTATGCCTTTCTCACGTGTATAGATTTGTATGACCACCACCACACTCAAAATACAGAACAATTCCATCACAAGTGTCCCTGTGCTACTCCTTTTGTAGTCAAAAGGCAGCTTCCTTCCTCCACCTCTCCCTAATCCATAGCAACATTAATCTGTTCTCCATCTCCATAATTTTGTCTCTTCAAGAGTGTTATATGAATGGAATCAAATAATGTGTAATCTTTTCTGATCAGCTTTTTTTCCCATTCAGTATAATTCCCTTAAGATCAATCCAAGTATAATTTGTTTTTTTCTTGTTGAGTAGTATTCCATAGTATAGATGTATCACAGTTTGCTTACCCATTTATTTGGGTTGTTTCTAGGTTTTGGTTATTATGAATAAAGCTCCTATGAACATCTATGTGCAGGTTTTTTTAAATAGATATAAAATGTTATATGAATTTTTGTTTCTTGAAATTAAAGGCCCAACAGTGCAATTTGCTGGGTTATATGGTAAGCATATGTTTAGTTTTCTAAGAAATTGCCATATTCTTTTTCCAGAGTGGCTGTGTAATTTTATGTTTCCATCAGCAGTATATGAGTGATTTACTTTCTCTGCATTCTCACAAGCATTTGATGTTACTACTGTTTTTATTTTTTTTAACTCTGATAGATGTGTAGTGACACTTATTGTGGTTTTAATTTGCATTTCTCTAATGACTGATGATGTTGAATATCTTTTTGTGTGCTTATTTATCACCCATATGTCCTCTTTAGTGAAATGTCTTTTACAATAAATGAGTTTTTGTAAATGGCCTGTATTTATTTTCATTTTAGTAAACTGTTTCACGTTAGACCTGTAACCCAAGGAGATGTGTATAGAGCTGAAACTGAAGAAATTCCTAAAATATTCCAGGTAAAAATCTGAAGTTATAATTTTAAAGAATCTAAGTCCTAAGCGTTTTTGTGAAGTAAATGTAAAATATACCAATGCTTAAGATTTTTAAAATCTTTTCCTTTCACCATTCCTGAATGTAGATACTATATGCAAATGAAGGTGAATGTAGAAAAGATGTAGAGATGGAACCAGTACAACAAGCTGAAAAAACTAATTTCCAAAATCACAAAGGCCATGAGTTTATTCCTACACTCTACCACTTTCCTGCCAATTGTGATGCCTGTGCCAAACCTCTCTGGCATGTTTTTAAGCCACCCCCTGCCCTAGAGTGTCGAAGATGCCATGTTAAGTGCCACAGAGATCACTTAGATAAGAAAGAGGACTTAATTTGTCCATGTAAAGGTAAGGCATGGTAATTATTGTTACAACTTATAACAAATTTAATTTTAAGTCTCAATGAACTAACTTATGTGTAGTGATTTCTATACCAAGTTGAAAAGAGATTATAGAAAGTATTATTTTGACACTGGTGGGGCAATATGCAGCTATTTACAGATTTAGCTTTTAAAAATGTTTTTATTTATTTTTATTGATTGACTGATTGATTGAGATGGATTCTCACTCTGTCTCGCCCAGGCTGGAGTGCAGTGGCGTGATCTCAGCTCACTGCAGCCTCTGCCTCCCAGGTTCAAGTGATTCTCCTATCTCAGCCTCCTGAGTAGCTGGGACTATAGGCGTGTGCCACCACACCCGGCTAATTTTGTATTTTTAGTAGAGATGGAGTTTCACCATGTTGTCCAGGCTGGTTTCGAACTCCTGACATCAGGTGATCCACCCACCTCGGCCTCCCAAAGTGCTGGGATTACAGGTGTGAGCCATTGCACGCCCGGCCAACAGTGTTTTTAAAGAGAATCACCCCCTTGTAAACAAACAAAAACAAACAAACATGCTGCTAAGAAATTATTCCAAGTTGGAGAGAAGAGCAACAGGTGAGTTCCACTCTATTCCTCCCTTGAGTTTTTCCTCTTCTTTTTGTCTGGCATTCACTGCCTGGATCAGCATGCATGCTGTATCACAGAATATCTTCTAGTTTTACAGAGGTAGCTTGAGGGAAAGAATACAGACCATAGCTATTTTCAGATAAGAAGCTTATGTTCTTTAAATACATTTATTTGTTTTACATTTTGTTATATTTCTGATTTTACTTTATTAGTTTGACTAATTTTTTTTTTTAATTTCAGCCTTATTTAACTTAAGGAGAATGAGATATTGTTCATGCTTAATTAAGCATATTAAAACTTTTAAAACCTTAAGAACTTGAAAAACTATGCATTTGATAGGTTGGATTTTAAAAAACTATATGGCTTTAATTATGCTTTTTTTTTCCTCCTTAACATAGTAAGTTATGATGTAACATCAGCAAGAGATATGCTGCTGTTAGCATGTTCTCAGGATGAACAAAAAAAATGGGTAACTCATTTAGTAAAGAAAATCCCTAAGAATCCACCATCTGGTTTTGTTCGTGCTTCCCCTCGAACGCTTTCTACAAGATCCACTGCAAATCAGTCTTTCCGGAAAGTGGTCAAAAATACATCTGGAAAAACTAGGTAAGGATTTGAAATGCTAACGTTTTTAACAATGTGAAAATGATTGGATAACAGCTATTAAAATCAGAAATCTAATTGTGCTTTTCACCACAGAGGGCATCATTTTTAGGTATTTGTATGTGAATTGCAGTGACTTTATAAATTAGTTTAACTTATTCTTGTTAGAGTTTAATAATAATAATACATGCAATATTATATTTATTTAGTTCTGTGTCTAATTTTATTGTCATAAGTTGCTGTACATGGCATAGTTTTAGCCCTTAATGCTTTAACCAACTTAATTTTTTTAATGCAGAAATTCATATAAAACTTTTCATCATCTTTTCTGTTTTTTAACTGTGTTGGCATAGTTTTTCTACAAAAACCAAAATTGTTTTTCCCTTTTTTGTTAACTTCCCATACTATCCCAACATACAAAATTATTTGGTATTATCAGTGACTATGTTTTTTTAATTATTATACTTTAAGTTCTGGGATATATGTGCAGAACATGCAGGTTTGTTACATGGGTATACACGTGCCATGGTGGTTTGCTGCACCCATCAACCCATCATCTACATTAGGTATTTCTCCTAATGCTATCCCTGCCCTAGCCCCCCATCCCTCGACAGGCCCTGGTGCGTGACGTTCCCCTCCCTGTGTCCATGTTTTCTCATTGTTCAACTCCCACTTACGAGTGAGAACCTGTGGTGTTTGGTTTTCTATTCCTGTGTTAGTTTGCTGAGAATGATGGTTTCCAGCTTCATCCATGTCCCTTCAAAGGATGTGAACTCATGACCCCCTTTTTTTTTTTGTTTTTTGAGACAGAGTCTCACTCTGTCACCCAGGCTGGAGTGCAGTGGTGGCGCTATCTCAGCTCACTGCAACCTCCACCTCCCAAGTTCAAGCAATTCTCCAGCCTCAGCCTCCCAAGTAGCGGGGATTACAGACGCATGCCACGCCTGGCTAATTTTTGTATTTTTAGTAGAGAGAGGGTTTCATCATGTTGGCCAGGCTGATCTCAAACTCCTGACCTCAAATGATCTGCATGCCCCAGCCTCCCAAAGTGCTGGGATTACAGGCGTGAGCCACCATGCCTGGCTGTTTAACTATTTTTGATGGACTTTTTTCCAAAAATATGTTTTATGCCATGATAAACAATTATAAGGCATAACCATTCATTCATTCATTCATTCATTCATTCATTCATTCATTTTGAGACAGAGTCTCGCTCTGTCACCCAGGCCAGAGTGCAGTGGCGCAATCTCAGCTCACTGCAACCTCTGCCTCCCAGGTTCAAGCTATTCTCCCACCTCAGCCTCCTGAGTAGCTGGAATTACAGGCACATGCCACCACGGCCTGCTAATTTTTGTATTTTTAGTAGAGATGGAGTTTAACATGTTGGCCAGGCTGGTCTTGAACTCCTGACCTCAGGTGATGCACCTTCCTGGGCCTCCCAAAGTGCTGCGATTACAGGCATGAGCCACCGCACCAGGCAGTTAACTCTTTCTTGGAGAGAAATAATGAAATCTCATCTCATTAAGTTCTCATTTTACACATTAGTAAATAAGGCTCAGAGAAATTAAGCAGTTTGCTCAATCACACAGCCAATGGATTGGAAACCATTTCTGTCCAATTCTAAAGCCTATGTTGTCCAATTCCAAAGCCTCTATTCTACCACATACCACCTTCCCTAGAGTGTACTCCCTAGATTAATAGGGCCACTCGAATTAGAAGCTGAGACCTAACACTGATTTGCCTCGCTGCCAATGTCACCTACATCTTCCAAGCAGGCTTAAAGCCATCTTGAATTCATCCCTTTTGTTCATGCCCTATTGTCAGTAACCAGGCCTAATTCTTTGAAATGACTTATATCCTTTCCTTTCTCAGCCACCATACTATGCCAGGTATTATCACCTTACTGCTAACTTAATTCTGTAGAATGCTATGTCAGCCTTCTCCTGAGCATAGGTTGTAAACTGGATCTAAAATGATTTGAAATGAGATTATAGCTGAGTAAGAAAATGTGTAGAAACAAAGAGGAGAGAATACTAAGTATATTTTTCCTATTCCTTGTTTTCCAAATTTTGTGTAATTGTTAATTATTTTATGTAAAGATAATGTATATTTACCTTTCCTCCTAATGTTTGTTTCTTGTATTTTTAAACTGAGTGCATTTCTTAAATTAGTTTTTTCCCCCTCCCTCAACAGTTAACCATGTGACTGAGTGCCCTGTGGAATCGTGTGGGATGCTACCTGATAAACCAGGCTTCTTTAACCATGCAGAGCAGACAGGCTGTTTCTTTGACACAAATATCACAGGCTTCAGGGTTAAGATTGCTGTTTTTCTGTCCTTGCTTTGGCACAACACACTGAGGGTTTTTTTTATTGCGGGTTTGCCTACAGGTAGATTAGATTAATTATTACTATGTAATGCAAGTACAGTTGGGGGAAAGCTTAGGTAGATATATTTTTTTTAAAAGGTGCTGCCTTTTTGGATTTATAAGAAAATGCCTGTCAGTCGTGATAGAACAGAGTTTTCCTCATATGAGTAAGAGGAAGGGACTTTCACTTTCAAGTGGAACAGCCATCACTATCAAGATCAGCTCATGGAAGGAGTAAAGAAAATATCTCAAAATGAGACAAACTGAAGTTTTGTTTTTTTTTTAATGACTTAAGTTTTTGTGCTCTTGCAAGACTATACAAAACTATTTTAAGAAAGCAGTGATATCACTTGAACTTCAGTGCCCTCACTGTAGAATTTAAAAGCCTTACTGTTGATTGCCCATGTTGGACTTGATGGAGAAATTAAATATCTTTCATTATGCTTTACAAAATACTGTATATGTTTCAGCAAGTTTGGGGAATGGGAGAGGACAAAAAAAAGTTACATTTAATCTATGCATTTTTGCCAAGCCATATTGAGTTATTTTACTACTAGAGACATTAGGAAACTAACTGTACAAAAGAACCAAGTTTAAAAGCATTTTGTGGGGTACATCATTTCTATAATTGTATAATGTATTTCTTTGTGGTTTTAAATGATAAAGACATTAAGTTAACAAACATATAAGAAATGTATGCACTGTTTGAAATGTAAATTATTCTTAGAACACTTTCAATGGGGGTTGCATTGTCCTTTTAGTGCCTTAATTTGAGATAATTATTTTACTGCCATGAGTAAGTATAGAAATTTCAAAAAATGTATTTTCAAAAAATTATGTGTGTCAGTGAGTTTTTCATTGATAATTGGTTTAATTTAAAATATTTAGAGGTTTGTTGGACTTTCATAAATTGAGTACAATCTTTGCATCAAACTACCTGCTACAATAATGACTTTATAAAACTGCAAAAAATGTAGAAGGTTGCACCAACATAAAAAGGAAATATGGCAATACATCCATGATGTTTTCCAGTTAACATAGGAATTACCAGATAAATACTGTTAAACTCTTGTCCAGTAACAAGAGTTGATTCATATGGACAGTATGATTTATTGTTTATTTTTTTAACCAAATACCTCCTCAGTAATTTATAATGGCTTTGCAGTAATGTGTATCAGATAAGAAGCACTGGAAAACCGATCGTCTCTAGGATGATATGCATGTTTCAAGTGGTATTGAAAGCCGCACTGATGGATATGTAATAATAAACATATCTGTTATTAATATACTAATGACTCTGTGCTCATTTAATGAGAAATAAAAGTAATTTATGGATGGGTATCTTTAATTTTTACTGCAATGTGTTTTCTCATGGCTGAAATGAATGGAAAACATACTTCAAATTAGTCTCTGATTGTATATAAATGTTTGTGAAATTCCATGGTTAGATTAAAGTGTATTTTTAAAAGATAAAACGTGGTCTTGGGCTCTAAAACAAGAGTGGGAATAGTTCACATGAAAAGCTGGCTAAAGTGTGTTGGAAAACAATTCTCCATGGGTCTCTTGCATTTCTACACATCAGGGAAGCAGAGGCTCTGACAACCTTTCTTTTGACTATCTTTTCCAAGGATATTTATGTAGTAAACAGCCTTGGAAGATAGAGTTCTCCCTTGTGAGGATGTCGGGTTCTTTTACTGTCCAGTATAATAAAGATAACGTCTCCCACCTATGATGCAAACCCACTGTGTGCTCAGCACCCACCTGGGCCACTCTGCATTGCCCACATGGGGCTTGGAGGGCAAAGGGAACTGATGGAACGTGAAACTTATGCTGCTTTTGCTGTGCTGTGAATGAAGTCATCTGACTCTGACCCAGGGGTCTCATCTCTTTTGTCAGGATCCATGAAACTGTGACTGGCAGCATGCAAACAGGATAAAATCTCAGCACAGTTCCTGACGGTGTCCTTACTACCTTCTCAGACTCATCACCATTACCTAATATTTTAAGGTCCAGTTGCAGAGAACAGAGTTAATTCTAATTAGTTTAAGCAAGAGAAGACTTTCCAAATGACATACTAATCTGAACTTAGAATTGTTGAGAACTGAGAGAGCTTTGAGGAATCACTCCCAATGCCACATTACAGAACTGGGTCAACCAGGAGAGCTGCTTCCTCTTCTAAGTTCAGGAAACCACTCACTCCCAAGTATACCAATATTGAGAGGGTCCAGATAGTGCCATAATCAGGAATCCACACTACCACTGCTGGTTCTCTGCAACACTTGTCAGGCTTGCTACAATCTACCTCCAGTTAGATGTTTTGTACCATTCCTCTTGCCACTTAAGAACCTCATGTCTGCACACTGCCTCAGAAAAGGCACTTCCATGACCCTGCTTGCTGGCATTTAGCACAGCCTGCATCTCACGTCTGCCTTCTCTAGGTGCATCTACGTGGCCAAAATTAAATCACATCCAGACCCCTAGCTGCAAGAAAGTCTGAGAAATATAGCCTCTAGCTTTCTCTCTAATTTGTTACAGGAGGACACACTAGGAGTGTGGAATGAAGGTTCAGCATTGAGTTAGCCCATGCACCCACACCTGTAAGCTTCTCTGAGATCAGGAACTCCAGCTTTGGGCAACAAAGAAAACATAGCCACTGTCATTATTCACAGGTTCACTCATGACCTGTCATTTGGGGTTTCAGCTTAAATTAACCCATTCACCCTTCATTTAAAGTAAAAAAAATAAGTAAAAGAACTTAAATGACAAACTCATAGTTACTTGAGTTTGTAATTCATAGTTAACTTTCACAGTTCTATAATCAATCTGGAATTCAGAGTGAGGTAGAGATCAAGCAGTATTTCTCCCATATGGATATTCAGTTGATACTGCAGTATTCATTGAAAATACTTCTTTCCTGCATCGTAATTCAGGTGAACAATCCATTGGTGTTATTTCTGTGTCCTTGCCAATATCACACTTTTAATTACTGTAACTTTATAATAAGATTTTATATCTGTAGTAGAAGTCCAACTTTGTAATCCCTCCCAATTGGCTTGGCTATTCTTGGCCTTTTGCATTTCCATATAATTTTTTATTTTTGTTTTGAAACGAAGTTTCGCTCTTGTTGCCCAGGCTGGAGTGCAGTGGCGCGATCTCGGCTCACTGCAACCTCCGCCTCCCAGGTTCAAGTGATCCTCCTGCCTCAGACTCCCGAGTAGCTGGGATTACAGGTGCCCACCACCATGCCCAGCTAATTTTTGTATTTTTAGTAGAGACAGGGTTTCACCATGTTGGCCAGCCTGGTCTTGAACTCCTGACCTCAGGTGATCCACACCCACCTTGGCCTCCCAAAGTGCTGGGATTACAGGCATGAGCCACCGCGCCTGGTTGCATTCCCATATAAATTTAAAAACAATCTACTGAAAGATGTATACGACCTCCACCAAGAAAATTGTAAGACATTTGGAGAAGTTTAAAAAGACATGAATAAACGGAAATGGTTTTTTTAAATAAACAAATGATTTTTAAAGTTGATCATTAGGTTAATAAATAGTCATATAATGACAATCCGATGAGATTATGTTGCCCAGGGTGGTCTCTAACTCCTAGCCTCAAGCAGTTTTACTCTCTCATTACAGGTGTAGGCCACCGTGCCTGGCCTGACACTTGGAAATCTTAATCACAATTATTCTTTGTTTTTATAATGTTTACTGTTCAAATCAATTTCTGGTTGGATAGTATGTATATATAAAGCCATGCTCAATGGCCTAGATATATTTACTGCCAAATCTTTTATGCTTTTAGTGTTTTTTTTCTGGACAAGATCTATGCTTATTGCAATAAATTAAATGCAAAGAATATTCTAGTAGAAAGTCAGTCTGCACTTCCTAAACCCCACCCCACCCCACCAATTCCTTCATAACTGTTATTAACAGTTAGCTGTGTTTTCTAATGGATTATCTCCAAAGTATATGTAACTCAGATTTTTGTGAGGTAGGAAAAGAATAACATTAATTCCACTTCACATATTGAAAGTCTAACATACAAAGAGATTAAATATCTCCTTTCTTTTGCCAAATGTTAATGAATTGTCTTATGAGAATTAAGATATGATACTTTCTCCCAAGCTATACTGTTTCCCATAAAGTATTTGAGATGTTGGAGATTCAAGGGAAAAAATATAAATGCTTAGAAATAAAGTGTATAATGCAAAGATTGTGAATAAAGTGACACTTGTATGTTAATCCTATAAATTGGTTTCTTGTACCATGTAGGATGGTTTGGCTATTAAATTGAATTAAGTGGTTCATTTGCCTGGATAACTGTGAGTGTAGAATCTAACTTTCACTTAGACTAGTTATTTAAGAAAGTCTACAACCGGCCGGGCACAGTGGCTCACGCCTGTAATCCCAGCACTTTGGGAGGCCAAGGTGGGCACATCACCAGGTCAGGAGATTGAGACCAGCCTGGCTAACATGGTGAAACCCCATTTTTACTAAAAATACAAAAACAAAATTAGCCAGGCGTGGTGGTGGGCGCCTGTAGTCCCAACTACTCGGGAGGCTGAGGCAGGAGAATGGCGTGAACTCACAAGGCGGAGCTTGCAGTGAGCCGAGATCACACCACTGCACTCCATCCTGGGCGACAGAGAGAAACTCCATCTAAATAAATAAATAAATAAATAAAGTCTACAACCAAATAATGTGGCAGAAATATAATATGGGCCCAGCTGGGTAAAAGGAAATATTTTGGATCTTCCTTCTACTTAGGCCGAATGGATGTTTCTGGTTTGTTTTGTTTTGTTTTGAAATGGAGTCTTGCTCTTGTTGCCAGGCTGGAGTGCAGTGGTGCGATCTTGGCTCATTACAACCTCCACCTCCCGGGTTCAAGCAGTTCTCCTGCCTCAGCCTCCCGAGTAGCTGGGATTACAGGCGCCTGCCACTATGCCCAGCTAATTTTTGTATTTTTAGTAGAGACGGGGTTTCGCCATGTTGGCCAGGCTGGTCTCGAACTCCTGACCTTGTGATCCACCCACCTCAGCCTCCCAAAGTGCTGAGATTATAGGCGTGAGCCACCATGCCCAGCCTGAATGGATGTTTCTTAGATTTACTCACTCTTGGCCAAGGTTTCATTAGTTCTGGTTGATGTAAGTTCTGTGCTGTGTGCAACACATTTGCTAACTCTGCTCAGGCCTAATTCTCATTCAAAATATGTCAATTAATCACAAGAGGGGCCATCTAAGAGTAGGCATAAAGGAGGTCAAAACTAGAAAAGAAAAAAAAATGTTTCCACTACGTTATTACCTCAAGATCTTGAAATTAAGATGTTTCAAGGTTAAAACGTAACTTTCACCTTTACAAAAAGTATCCTATTCTCAACTTTACAAGGTATTACCAACTATAGGTATTAACATCCCTACTTTATGATAGGACAATTTTATATGTTTAGGCCAGGCACAGTGGCTCATGCCTGTTATCTCAGCACTTTGGGAGGCCAAGGCCAGTGGTCACTTAGGTAGCTCAAGACCAGCCGTGGGCAACATAGCAAAACCCTGTTTCTACCAAAATACAAAAAAGTAGCAAGGTGTGGTGGCATGCATCTGTGGTCTCAGCTACTTGGGAGGCTGAGGTGGGAGGATTGCTGGAGCCCAGGAAGTTGAGGCTGCAGTGAGCCGTGATTGTGCCACTGCACTCCAGCCCGGGTGACAGACTCTGTCTCAATAAATAATAAAATACATAATATTCTGTTCTAGGGCACACAGCTATAAACCTCAATTTGCTAGATGGAATGTGAAGGTAAACTAACTTACAGCTGAAAAAAAAACAGTCATGAATTTGAATCCTGACTTACTGGGCTTTAGTATATTTCATATATCATAATCTGTTATTTAGAGGGGAAAACTTTGATTTCACTGTCATGGTATGGAAATAAGTCTTGGTTTTTTAAACTTTATAGTATGAACTCATCACTCATTTATAGTAGGCAGAAATATAGCTGTAAATGAACATTTTATCAAATGCAAAATAACAAATATAATAATAGGTGTCATTTTTTACTGGACTGAAAGCCTCTAGCAGGCTACACTTCATAAAGGAAACATTAAATGAATTATGAGCTTTATGAACACTATAGATTATTTTTCCTTTATGGTAATGTCATTTAACAGGAACTTTATTACTAAAATTCATCTCTAGGCATTGTTCAGTTGGATATATGTTGTATGTTGTCATTTCATAATATTCAGAAACTAATATTAGCTATTATAGAAATTTTTCTTATTTTTCCTTTTTACACCATATATACATTACATCCTGTGTCAACTACAGCTCACTTCTGTGGTTCTGACTATTCAACAAGAATTCCTAGGTCTGTCCTGTGTACCATATTGTTATTCTAATTATCCATATAATTATACTGCATTAAACACTGCTATCTGTGAATAGGCTCATTTATTTTACTAAGTTCAAGATAATACTGATATTTTTTAATTCTGCAAAAAATATAAAATGCATTTTTATACCTACTACCCAGAATGAGCAAATATTGTCTTTATATTTCCTTTAAATTGCTTTTTTTAAAGAAATAAAAATTACAGATTTAACCAAAGACTTCTGTGTACCTCCGTTCCCAGTTCTATTCTCTTTCCTTCCCCCTCAAAAGCCATAAATAACTGCTGTTAATTTGATGTGTATTCTCCTCATTCGCATTCTGTCCCTTTGCTAAAACCCTTGTATCTATATAAAGCTGTTTTATATGGCTTCTACATTTATATAAATGGCATTACACTTTTCACATGTAATACTCTATAACTTGGCTTTTTTTGTTTTTGTTTGATTGTTTTTGTTTTTTTGTTTTTGTTTAAGATAAGGTCTTGCTCTGTCGCCCAGGCTGGAGTGCAATGGTGTGATCACAGCTCACTGCAGCCTCGACCTCCTGGGCTCAAGCGATCCTCCCCCCACCTAAGCCTCCCAAGTAGCTAGGACTACAGGCATGCACCACCATGCCCGGCTGATTTTCTTACTTTTTGTAGAGATGGGGTTCCACTGTTGTCCAGGCTGCTCTTGAACTCCTAGGCCCAAGCAATCCTCCCACCTTGGCCTCCCAAAGTGCTGGGATTACATATGTAAGCCACGAAGCCCTGCCTCTATACCTTGTTTATTTCATCAACATTATTTATACCATTTACAATCCAAAGAGTATTTACATTACATTATAATGTCATATCTATTCCAACCAGGCTTTCAAGAAAGTGCATTTACTGTCATAGAAAAAAGGGAACATCTTCATAATCGTGCCTGAAATTGTATTTCTCATTAGCTCACTTGTTTAATGAATGTATTACATTAATTCACACTTGCACCACAAATACTCAAAAAGTAGAAACTCTCAACTATTCTCATGTTAATCATATTATTATTACAAATTATGTGATCAATAACTCCTCTAACTATAAAAGAGGCAGGCCAACCTAGAACAAACATTGTAATTAACAAGGAAACCAGAGTCAGAAACAACCAGGATTCCTACTATTATTCAACATTTTTCTGAGATAAATGCAGCAAAACACAAATACGTATTACACATATTGGAAAGAAGCAGCAAACCTGCCATTACTTGCCGATCATGATTGCTTACCAAAACTGTTCCAAACAACTAACTGAAAAATGATTAGAACTAGCAAGAGACCTTAGTCATATTTAGCCTTATTTGTTTTGTTAGACTCATATCATATTTTAAAAATATCGTTTAGTTGCTAATTTATCTTTTTTTTGAGATGTGTATTAGTCCATTTTCACCCTGTTAATAAAGACATACTTGAGACTGAGCAATTTACAAAAGAAAGACATTTAATGGACTTACAGTTCCATGTGGCTGGGGAAGCTTCACAATCATGGTGGAGGCTGAAAGGCTTGTCTCACATGGAGGCAGACAAGATAAGAAAGCTTGTGCAGGAAAGCTTCCACTTATATAATCATCAGATCCCGTGAGGGTCACTTACCCCCACAAGAACAGCACAGGAAAGACGTGCCCCCATGATTAAACTACCTCCCCCAAAGCCTCCCACAATGCCTGGGAATTCAAGATGAGATTTGGGTAGGGACACAGCCAAACTACATCATTCCATCCCTGGCCCCTCCCAAATCTTATGTCTTCGTATGTCAAAACCAATCATGCAGCCGGGTGCAGTGGCTCATGCCTGTGATCCCAGCACTTTGGGAGGCTGAGGTGGGTGAATCACCTGAGGTCAAGAGTTCAAGACTAGCCTGACATGGTGAAACCCTGTTTCTACTAAATATATAAAGGTTAGCCAGGCATGGTGGCAGGCACCCATAATCCCAGCTACTCAGGAGGCTGAGGCAGGAGAATCCCTTAAACCTGGGAAGCAGAGGTTGCAGTGAGTTGAGATCATGCCTCTGCATTCCAGCCTGGGACTCAGAGCAAGACTCCATCTTAAAAAAAGAAAAGGAAAAACAAAACAAACCAATCATGCCTTCCCAACAGTCTTCCAAAGTCTTAACTCATTTCAGCATTAACTCAAAAGTCCACAGTCCAAAGTCCCATCCGAGACCAGGCAAGTCCCTTCCGCCTATGAGCCTGTAAAATCAAAAGCAAGTTAGTTACTTCCTGGATACAATGGGGGCACAGGCATTGGATAAATACAGCCATTCCAAATGGGAGGCATTGGCCAAAACAAAGGGGCTACAGGATCCATGCAAGTCCAAAATACAGTGGGGCAGTCAAATCTTAAAGCTCCAAAGTGACATCTTTTGACTCCATGTCTCATATCCAGGTCACACTGTTGGGAGAAGTGGGTTCCCATGGTCTTGGGCAGCCCTGCCCCTGTGACTGCAGGGTTCAGCCCCCTTCCTGGCTGCTTTCATGGGCTGGTGTTGAGTGTCTGTGGCTTTTCCAGGCACACAGTGCAAGCTGTCAGTGGATCTACCATTCTGGGGTCTGGAGGATGGTGGCCCTAGGCGGTACCCCAGTAAGGACTCTGTGTGGAGACTCCAACCTCACATCCCTTCTGCACTGCCCTGGCAAAGGTTCTCCATGAGGGCCCCACCCCTGCAGCAAACTTCTGCCTGGGCATCCAGGCATTTCCATACATCTGAAATCTAGGCCAAGGTTCCTAAACCTCAGTTCTTGACTTCTCTGCACCTACAGGCTCAACACCACATGGAACCTGCCAAGGCTTGGGTTTTCCACTCTCTGAAGCAACAGCCCAAGCTGTCTCTTAGCCCCTTTTAGTGACGGCTGGAGTGGCTGGGATGCAGAGCACCAAGTCTTTAGATTGCACACAGCATGTGGACCCTGCCTGGCCCACAAAACCATTTTATCCTAGGCCTCTGGGTCTGTGATGGGAGGGGCTGCCGTGAAGGCCTCTGACATACCCTGGAGACATTTTTCCCATTGTCTTGGGGATTAACATCTTACTTATGCAAATTTCTGCAGCCAGCTTCAATTTCTCCTCAGAAAATGAGTTTTTCTTTTCTATCACATTGTCAGGTTGCAAATTTTCTGAACTTTTATGCTCTACTTCCCTTATAAAACTGAATGCCTTTAACAGCACCCATGTCACCCCTTGAATGCTTTGCTGCTTAGACATTTCTTCCACCAGATACCCTAAATCATCTCTCTGAAGTTCAAACTTACATAAATCTCTAAGGCAGGGGCGAAATGTTGCCAGTCTCTTTGCTAAAACATAACAAGAGTCACCTTTGCTCCTGTTCCCAACAAGTTCCTCATCTCCATCTGAGTCCACCTCAGCCTGGACCTTATTGTCCATATCGCTATCAGCATTTTGGACAAAGCCATTCAACAAATCTCTAGGAAGTTCCAAACTTTCCCACATTTTCCTGTCTTCTGCTGAGCCCTCCAAACGGTTTCAACCTCTGCCTGTTACCCAGTTCCAAAGTTGCTTCCACATTTTCCGGTATCTTCTCAGCAACACCCCACTTCTGGTACCAATTTACTGTATTAGTCCATTTTCACACTGCTGATAAAGACATACCTGAGACTGGGCAATTTACAAAAGAAAGACATTTAATGGACTTACAGTTCCACGTGGCTGAGGAGGCTTCCCAATCGTGGTGGAGGGTGAAAGGCATGTCTCACATGGTGGCAGACAAGATAAAAGAGCTTGTGCAGGGAAACTCCCCCTTCTATAATCATCAGATCCCATGAGAGTCATTCACCACCATGAGAACAGCACAGGAAAGACCTGCCCCCATGATTCAACTACCTCCCACCAGGTCCCTCCCACACATGTGGGAATTCAATACGAGATTTGGGTGGGGACACAGCCAAATCACATCAGATGGGGTCTCACTCTCTTGCCCAGGCTGGAGTGCAGTGGTGCAATCTCGGTTCATTGCAAGCTCTGCCTCCTGGGCTCAAGTGATCCTCCCACCTCAGTCTCCCTAGTAGCTGGGACCACAAGCACATGCCACCATGCCCAGCTAATTTTTTGTATTTTTGGTAGAGATGGGGTCTTGCCATGTTGCCCAGGCTGGTCTTGAACTACTGAGCTCAAGCAATCTGCCCATCTTGGCCTCCAAAAGTGCTGGGGTTGCAAGAAAATAGTTGCTAATTTAAAAACTGGAATACTTCAAATACAAATCTGATTTCCAATAACTGTTTCTCAACAAAGGGCCAGAGGCCTGCACATCAGCAATATCCTCTCACTGTTTTCTGAGAGAGGATATGTTTTCTATTTCACACAGTCCTTACCTGGACCACTTATTTGTGTTATCTGTCTGATGTTTAAGATCACCTGAATTTTCAGTGCTGCCAAAAAAGGTAACAATTGGCATATGATACATACAAATATAAAACATTCCCTTTCATAGAGCAGGTTTGAAACACTCTTTCTGTAGTATCTGGAAGTGGACATTTCGAGCGCTTTCAGGCCTATGGTGGAAAAGGAAATATCTTCCCATAAAAACTACACAGAAGCATTCGCAGAAACTTGTTTCTGATGTGTGTCCTCAACTAACGGAGTTGAACATTTCGTTTGACAGAGCAGTTTGGAAACACGCTTTCTGTAGAATCTGCAAGTGGATATTTGGATAGCTTTGTGGATTTCATTGGAAACGGGAGTATCTTCATATAAAATCTAGACAGAAACATTCTCAGAAACTGCTTTGTGATGTCTGCATTCAAGTCACAGAGTTGAACATTCCCTTTCATCGAGCAGGTTTGAAACACTCTTTTTGTAGTATCTGAATGTGGACATTTGGAGCGCTTTGATGCCTACAGTGAAAAAGGAAATATCTTCCCACAAAAACTAGACAGAAGCATTCTCAGAAACTTGTTTGTGATGTGTGTCCTCAACTAACAGAGTTGAACCATTCTTTTTACAGAGCAGTTTTGAAACACTCTTTTTGTAGAATCTACAGGTGGATATTGGGATAGCTTTAAGGATTTCATTGGAAACGGGAAAATCTTCATATAAAATCTAGACAGAAGCATTCTCAGAAACTTCTTTGTAATGTGTGTCCTCAACTAACAAAGTTCAACCTTTCTTTTGATACAGCAGTTTGGAAACACTCTTTTTGTAGAATCTGCAAGTGGATATTTGGATAGCTCTAACGATTTCATTGGAAATGAGAATATCTTCATATAAAATCTAGACAGAAGCACTCTCAGAAACTACTTTGTGATATCGGCATTCAAGTCACAGAGTTGAACATTCCCTTTCATGGAGCAGGTTTGAAACATTCTTTTTGTAGTATCTGGAAGTGGACATTTGGAGCGCTTTGACGACTTTGGTGAAAAAGGAAATATCTTCCCATAAAAACGAGACAGAAGCATTCTCAGAAACTTGTTTGTGATGTGTGTACTCAACTAACAGAGTTGAACCTTTCTTTTTACAGAGCAGTTTTGAAACACTCTTTTTGTAGAATCTGCAAGTGGATATTTGCATGGCTTTAAGGATGGCATTGGAAACGGGAATATCTTCATGTAAAATCTACACAGAAGCATTCTTAGAAACTTATTTGTGATGTGTGTCCTCAACTAACAGAGTTGAAACTTTCTATTGATAGAGGAGTTTTGAAACACTCTTTTTGTGGAATCTGCAAGTGGATATTTGGATTGCTTTGAGGATTTCGTTGAAAGCGCGCATTCATATAAAAAGTGGACAGCAGCATTCTCAGAAATTTCGTTCTGATGTTTGCATTCAACTCATAGAGTTGAACATTCCCTTTCATAGAGAAGGTTTGAAACACTCTTTTTGTAGTATGTGGAAGTGGACATTTCGAGCGCTTTGACGCCTATGGTGAAAAAGGAAATATCTTCCCATAAAAAATAGACAGAAGCATTCTCAGAAACTTGTCTGTGATGTGTGTACTCAGCTAACAGAGTTGAAGCTTTCTTTTCACAGAGCAGTTTTGAAACACTCTTTTTGTAGAATCTGCAAGTGGATATTTGGATAGATTTTAGGATTTCGTTGGAAACGGGAGTATCTTCGTATATAATCTCGACAGAAGCATTCTCAGAAACTGCTTTGTGATGTCTGCCTTCAAGTCACAGAATTGAACATTCTCTTTCATAGAGCAGGTTTGAAACACTCTTTTTGTAGTATCTGGAAGTGGACGTTTGAAGCACTTTGAGGCCCATGGTGAAAAAGGAAATATCTTCCCATAAAAACTAGACAGAAGCATTCTCAGAAACTTCTTTGTGATGTTTGTACTCAACTAACAGAATTGAACCTTTCTTTTGACAGAGCAGTTTTGAAACACTCTTTTTGCGGAATCTGCAAGTGGATATTTGGATAGCTTAGAGGATTTCGTTGGAAACGGGAATATATACATATAAAATCTAGACAGAAGCATTCTCAGAAACTTCTTTGTGATCTTTTCATTCAACTCGTAGAGTTGAACATTCCCTTTCATAGAGCCGGTTTGAAACACTCTTCTTGTACTACCGGGAAGTGGACATTTGGAGCGCTCTGATGCCTATGCTGAAAAAGGAAATATCTTCCTATAAAAACTACACAGAAGGATTCTCAGAAACATGTTTGTGATGTGTGTACTCAGCTAACAGAGTGGAACCTTTCTTTTTACAGAGCAGCTTTGATACACTATTTTTGTAGAATCTGCAAGTTGATATTTGGATATTCCCGTTTCCAATGAAATCCTTAAAGCTATCCCAATATCCACCTGCAGATTCTACAAAAAGAGTGTTTCAAAACTGCTCTGTAAAAAGAATTGTTCAACTCTGTTAGTTGAGGACATACATCACAAACAAGTTTCTGAGAATGCTTCTGTCTACTTTTTATGGGAAGATATTTCCTTTTTCACTGTAGGCGTCAAAGCGCTCAAAATGTCCACATCCAGATACTACAAAAAGAGTGTTTCAAACCGGCTAGATGAAAGGGAATGTTCAACTCTGTGACTTGAATGCAGACATCAAAAAGCAGTTTCTGAGAATGCTTCTGTCTAGATTTTATATGAAGATATTCCCGTTTCCAACGAAATCTTCGAAGTTATCCAAATATCCACTTGCAAATTCTACAAAAAGAGTGTTTCCAAACTGCTGTATCAAAAGAAAGGTACAGCTCTGTTAGTTGAGGACACACATCACAAATAAGTTTCTGAGAATGCTTCTGTCTACTTTTTATGGAAAGATATTTCCTTTTTCAACATAGGCCAGAAAGCGCTCAAAATGTCCACTTCCAGATACTACAGAAAGAGTGTTTCAAACCTGCTTTATGAAAGGGAATGTTCAAACCTGTGACTTAAAAGCAAACATCACAAAGAAGCTTCTGAGAATGTTGCTGTCTACTTTTTATATATAATCCCGTTTCCAACGAAATCCTCAAAGCCATCCAAATATCCACTTGCAGATTCCACAAAAAGAGCGTTTCAAAACTGATCTATAAATAGAAAGGTTCAACTCTGTTAGTTGAGTACATATATCCCAAAGAAGTTTCTTAGAATGCTTCTGTCTAGTTTTTATGGGAAGACATTTCCTTTTTCACCAAAGGCGTCAAAGCGCTCCAAATGTCCACTTCCAGATACTACAAAAAGAGTGTTTCAAACCTGCTCTAAGAAAGGGAACGTTCAACTCTGAGACTTGAATGCAGATATCACAAAGTCGTTTCCGAGAGTGCTTCTGTCTAGATTTTATATGAAGATATTCCTGTTTCCAACGATATCTTTAAAGCAATCAAAATATCAAATTGCAGATTCTACAAAAATAGTGTATCAAAGCTGCTCTGTAAAAAGAAAGGTTCCACTCTCTTAGCTGAGTACATACATCACAAACATGTTTCTGAGAATCCTTCTGTCTAGTTTTTATGGGAAGATATTTCCATTTTCACCATAGGCGTCAGAGCGCTCCAAATGTCCACTTCCCGATACTACAAGAAGAGTGTTTCAAACTGGCTCTATGAAAGGGAATGTTCAACTCTACGAGTTGAATGAAAAGATCACAAAGAAGTTTCTGAGAATGCTTCTGTCTAGATTTCATATGAATATATTCCCATTTCCCAGGAAATCCTCTAAGCTATCCAAATATCCACTTGCAGATCCTACAAAAAGAGTGTTTCAAAACTGCTCTGTCAAAAGAAAGGTTCAACTCTGTTAGTTGAGGACACACATCACAAAGAAGTTTCTGAGAATGCTTCTGTGTAGGTTTTACATGAAGATATTGCCATTTCCAACGAAATCCTTAAAGCCATTCAAATATGCACTTGCAGATTCTACAAAAAGAGTGTTTCAAAACGGCTCTGTAAAAAGAAAGGTTCAACTCTGTTAGTTGAGTACACAAATCACAAACAAGTTTCTGAGAATGCTTCTGTCTCGTTTTTATGGGAAGATATTTCCTTTTTCACCAAAATCATTAAAGGGCTCCAAAGGTCCACTTCCAGATACTACAAAAAGAGTGTTTCAAACCTGCTCCATGAAAGGGAATGTTCAACTCTGTGACTTGAATGCCGATATCACAAAGTAGTTTCTGAGAGTGCTTCTGTCTAGATTTTTTATGAAGATATTCCCGTTTCCAACGAAATCGTTAGAGCTATCCAAATATCCACTTGCAGATTCTACAAAAAGAGTGTTTCCAAACTGCTGTATCAAAAGACAGGATGTACTCCGTTGGTTGAGGACACACATCACAAAGAAGTTTCTGAGAATGCCTCTGTCTAGATTTTATATGAAGATATTCCCGTTTCCAATGAAATCCTTAAAGCTCTCCAAATATCCACTTGCAGATTCTCCAAAAAGAGTCTTTCAAAAGTGCTCTGTAAATAGAAAGTTTCAACTCTGTTAGTTGAGGACAAACATCACAATCCAGTTTGTGAGAATGCTTCTGTCTAGTTTTTATGGGAAGATATTTCCTTTTGCACCGTAAGCGTCAAAGCGCTCCAAGTGTCCACATCCAGATACTACGGAAAGAGGGTTTCAAACCTGCTCTATGAAAGGGAATGATCAACTCTGTGACGTGAATGCAGACATCATAAAGCAGTTTCTGAGAATGTTTCTGTCTAGGTTTTCTATGTTGATACTCCCGTTTCCAACGAAATAGTGAGAGCTATCCAACTATCCACTTACATATTCTACAAAAAGAGTGTTTCCAAACTGCTGTATCATAAGAAAGGATGAACTCTGTTAGTTGAGGACACACATCACAAAGAAATTTCTGAGAATGCTTCTGTCTAGTTTTTATGGGAAGATATTTCCGTTTTCAACATAGGCCTGAAATCGCTCGAAATGTCCATGTCCACATACTACAGAAATAGTGTTTCAAACCTGCTCTATGAAAGGGAATGATCAACTCTGTGACGTGAATGCAGACATCATAAAGCAGTTTCTGAGAATTTTTCTGTCTAGGTTTTCTATGTTGATACTCCCGTTTCCAATGAAATAATGAGAGCTATCCAACTATCCACTTACATATTCTACAAAAAGAGTGTTTCAAAACTGCTGTATCATAAGAAAGGATGAACTCTGTTAGTTGAGGACACACATCACAAAGAAATTTCTGAGAATGCTTCTGTCTAGTATTTATGGGAAGATATTTCCGTTTTCAACATAGGCCTGAAATCGCTCGAAATGTCCATGTCCAGATACTACAGAAATAGTGTTTCAAACCTGCTCTATGTAAGGGAATATTCAACTCTGTGACTTAAAAGCAAACATCACAAAGAAGGTTCTGAGAATGCTGCTGTCTACTTTTTATATGTAATCCCGTTTCCAAGGAAATCCTCAGAGCTATCCTAATATCCACTTGCAGATTCCACAACAAGAGCTTCTCAAAACTGACCTATAAATAGAAAGGTTCAACTCTGTTAGTTGAGTACATATATCCCAAAGAAGTTTCTTAGAATGCTTCTGTCTAGTTTTTATGGGAAAACATTTCCTTTTTCACCAAAGGCGTCAAAGCGCTAAAAATGTCCACTTCCAGATACTACAAAGTGTCTCAAACCTGCTCTAAGAAAGGGAATGTTCAACTCTGTGACTTGAGTGCAGATATCACAAAGCAGTTTCTGAGAGTGCCTCTGTCTAGATTTTATATGAAGGTATTCCCATTTCCTATGAAATCGTTAGAGCTATCCAAATATCCACTTGCATATTCTACAAAAGGAGTGTTTCGAAACTGCTGTATCAAAAGAAAGGTTGAACTCTGTTAGTTAAGGACACACATCACAAAGAAGTTTCTGAGAATGCTTCTGTGTAGATTTTACATGAATATAGTCCCGTTTCCAAGGAAATCCTTAAAGCCATCCAATTATCCACTTGCAGATTTTACAAAAAGAGTGTTTCAAAACTGCTGTGTAAAAAGAAACGTTCAACTCTGTCAGTTGAGTACACACATCACAAACAAGTTTCTGAGAATGCTTCTGTCTAGTTTTTATGGGAAGATATTTCCTTTTTCTCCAAAGTCGGCAAAGCGCTCCAAAGATCCATTTCCAGATACAACAAAAAGAGTGTTTCAAACCAGCTCTATGAAAGGGAATGTTCAACTCTGTGACTTGAATGCAGATATCACAAAGTACCTCCTGAGAGTGCTTCTGTCTAGATTTTATATGAAGATATTCCCGTTTCCAAGGAAATCGTCAGAGCTATCCAAATATCCACTTGCAGATTCTGCAAAAAGAGTGTTTCCAAACTGCTGTATCCAAAGACAGGTTGTACTCTGTTAGGTGGGGACACATATCACAAAGAAGTTTCTGAGAATGACTTTTCCGTTTCCAATGAAATCTACTTAAAGGTATCCAAATATCCGCTTGCAGATTCTACAAAAAGAGTCTTTCAAAACTGCCCTGTAAATAGAAAGGTTCAACTCTGTTAGTGGAGGACATACATCACAAAGCAGTTTGTGAGAAGGCTTCTGTCTAGTTTTTAAGGGAAGATATTTCCTATGTCACCGTACGCGTCAAAGCGCTCAAATGTCCACATCCAGATACTACAGAAACGGTGTTACAAACGTGCTCGATGAAAGAGAATGTTCAATTCTGTGACTTGAATGCAGACATCACAAAGCAGTTTCTGAGAGTGCCTCTGTCTAGATTGTATATGAAGATATTCCCGTTTCCAACGAAATCTTCAAAGTTATCGAAATATCCGCTTGCAGATACTACAAAAAGAGTGTTTCTAAACTGTTGTATCAAAAGAAACGTTCAACTCTGTTAGTTGAGGACACCCATCACAAATAAGTTTCTGAGAATGCTTCTGTCTACTTTTTATGGGAAGTTATTTCCTTTTTCAACATAGGCCTGACATCGCTCGAAATGTCCACTTAGAGATACTACAGAAAGAGTGTTTCAAAACTGCTCTATGGAAGGGAATGTTCAACTCTGTGACTTAAAAGCAAACATCACAAGGAGCTTCTGAGAATGCTGCTGTCTATATTTTATATGTAATCCCGATTCCAACGAAATCCTCAGAGCTATCCAAATATCCACTTGCAGATTCCACAAAAAGAGCATTTCAAACTGATCTATAAAGAGAAAGGTTCAACTCGGTTAGTTGAGTGCATATATCACAAAGAAGTTTCTTAGAATGCTTCTGTCTAGTTTTTATGGGAAGACATTTCCTTTTTCACCAAAGGCGTGAAAGCGCTCCAAATGTCCACTTCCAGATACTACAAAAAGTGTGTTTCAAACGTGCTCTAAGAAAGGGAATGTTCAACTCTGTGACCTGAATGCAGATATCACAAAGTAGCTCCTGAGAGTGCTTCTGTACAGATTTTATATGAAGACATTCCCGTTTCCAACGAAATCGTTAGAGCTATCCAAATATCCACTTGAAGATTCTACAAAAAGAGTGTTTCCAAACTGCTGTATCAAAAGAAAGGTTGAACTCTGTTAGTTGAGGACACACATCACAAAGAAGATTCTGAGAATGCTTCTGTGTAGATTTTACATGAATATAGTCCCGTTTCCAACGAAATCCTTAAAGTCATCCAATTATCCACTTGCAGATTCTACAAAAAGAGTGTTTCAAAACTGCTGTGTAAAAAGAAACGTTCAACTCTGTCAGATGAGTACACACAACACAAACAAGTTTCTGAGAATGCTTTGGTGTAGTTTTTATGGGGACATATTTCCTTTTTCACCAAAGTCGTCAAAGAGCTCCAAAGATCCACTTCCAGATACAAAAAAAGAGTGTTTCAAACCAGATCTACGAGAGGGAATGTTCAACTCTGTGACTTGAATGCAGATCTCACAAAATTAGTTTCTGAGAGTGCCTCTGCCTAGATTTTATATGAAGCTATTCCCGTTTTCAACAAAATCGTTAGAGCTATCGAAATATCCACTTCCAGATTCTACAAAAAGAGTGTTTCCAAACTGATGTATCAAAAGACAGGTTGTACTCTGTTAGTTGAGGACGCACATCACGAAGAAGTTTCTGAGAATGCCTCTGTCTAGATTTTACCTGAAGATATTCCGGTTTCCAATGAAATCCTTAAAGATCTCCAGATATCCACTTGCAGATTCTCCAAAAAGAGTCTTTGAAAACTGCTCTGTAAATAGAAAGGTTTAACTCTGTTAGCTGAGGACATACATCACACACCAGTTTGTGAGAATGCTTCTGTCTAGTTTTCATGGGAAGTTATTTCCTTTTCACCGTAAGCGTCAAAGCGCTCCAAGTGTCCACATCCAGATACTTCGGAAAGAGTGTTTCAAACCTGCTCTATGAAAGGGAATGTTCAAATCTGTGACGTGAATGCAGACATTACAAAGGAGTTTCTGAGAATGTTTCCGTCTAGGTTTTATATGAAGATACTCCCGTTTCCAAAGAAATCCACAAAGCTATCCAAATATCCAATTGCAGATTCTACAAAAAGCGTGTTTCCAAGCTGCTCTGTCAAACGAAATGTTCTATTCTGTGAGTTGAGGACACGCATCACAAACAAGTTTCTGCAAATGCTTGTGTCTGGTTTTTATGGGAAGATATTTCCTTGTTCACCATAGGCCTGAAAACACTCGAAATGTCCACTTCCAGATACTACAGAAAGAGTGTCTGAAACCTGCTCTACGAAAGGGAATGTTCAACTCTGTGACTTAAAAGCAAGCATCACAAAGAAGCTTCTGAGTATGCTACTGTCTAGTTTTTATGGGAAGATATTTCGTTTTTCAACATAGGCCTGAAATCGCTCGAAATGTCCACTTCCAGATACTATAGAAAGAGTGTTTCTAAACTGCTCTATGGAAGGGAATGTTCAACTCTGTGACTTAAAAGCAAACATCACAAAGAAGTTTCTGAGAATGCTGCTGTCTACATTTTGTTTGTAATCCCGTTTCCAACGAAATCCTGAAAGCTATCCAAATATCCACTTGCAGATTCCACAAAAAGAGCATTAAAAAGCTGATCTATAAAGAGCAAGGTTCAACTCGGTTAGTTGAGTACATATATCACAAAGATGTTTCTTAGAATGCTTCTTTCTAGTTTTTATGTGAAGACATTTCCTTTATCACCAAAGGCGTCAAAGCGCTCCAAATGTCCACTTCCAGATCCTGCAAAAAGAGTGTTTCAAACCTGCTCTAAGAAAGGGAATGTTGAACTGTGTGACTTGAATGCAGATATCACAAAGCAGTTTCTGAGAGTGCCTCTGTCTAGATTTTATATGAAGGTATTCCCGTTTCCAAAGAAATCATTAGAGCTATGCAAATATCCACTGGCAGATTCTACAAAAAGAGTGTTTCCAAACTGCTGTATCAAAAGACAGGATGTACCGCCGTTAGTTGAGGACACACATCACAAAGAAGTTTCTGAGAATGCCTCTGTCTAGATTTTATATGAAGATATTCCCGTTTCCAATGAATTCCTTAAAGCTCTCCAAATATCCACTTGAAGATTCTCCAAAAACAGTCTTTCAAAACTGCTCTGCAAATAAAATGTTTCAACTCTGTTAGTTGAGGACAAACATCACAATCCAGTTTGTGAGAATGCTTCTGTCTAGTTTTTATGGGAAGATATTTCTTTTGCACCTTAAGCGTCAAAGCGCTCCAAGTGTCCACATCCAGATAGTACAGAAAGAGTGTTTCAAACCTGCTCTATGAAAGGGAATGATCAACTCTGTGACGTGAATGCAGACATCATATAGCAGTTTCTGAGAATGTTTCTGTCTAGGTTTTATATGAAGATACTCCCGTTTCCAAGGAAATCCACAAAGCTATCCAAATATCCACTTGCAGATTCTACAAAAAGCGTGTTTCCAAACTGCTCTGTCAAATGAAATGTTCAACTCTGATAGTTGAGGATACATATCACAAACAAGTTTCTGCGAATGCTTCTGTCTAGTTTTTATCGGAAGATATTTCCTTTTTCACCATAGGCCTGAAAGCACTCGAAATGTCCACTTCCAGATACTACAGAAAGAGTGTTTCAAAACTGCTCTATGAAAGGGAATGTTGAACACTGTGACTTAAAAGCAAACATCACAAAGAAGCTTCTGAGAATGCTGCTTTCTATTTTTATATTTAATCCCTTTTCCAACGAAATCCTCAAAGCTATCCAAATATCCTCCTGCAGATTCCACGAAAAGACGGTTTCAAACCTGCTCTAAGAAAGGGAATATTCAACTCTGTGACTTGAATGCAGATATCAGAAAGTAGTTTCTGAGAGTGCTTGTGTCTAGATTTTATATGAAGATATTCCCGTTTCCAACGAAATAGTTAGAGCTATCCAAATATCCACTTGCATATTCTACAAAAGGAGTGTTTCCAAACTGCTGTATCATAAGACAGTTTGAACTCTGTTAGTTGAGGACACACATCACAAAGAAATTTCTGAGAATGCTTCTGTCTAGTTTTTATGGGATGATATTTCCTTTTTCAACATAGGACTGAAATCGCCCGAAATGTCCACTTCCGGATACTACAGAAAGAGTGTTTCAATCCTGCTCTATGGAAGGGAATATTCAACTCTGTGACTTAAAAGCAACCATCACAAAGAAGCTTCTGAGAATGCTGCTGTCTATATTTTATATGAAATCCCGTTTCCAAGGAAATCCTCAGAGCTATCCGAATATCCACTTGCAGATTACAGAAAAAGAGCTTCTCAAAACTGACCCAGAAATAGAAAGGTTCAACTCTGTTAGTTGAGTACATATATCCCAAAGAAGTTTCTTAGAATGCTTCTGTCTAGTTTTTATGGGAAGACATTTCCTTTTTCACCAAAGGGGTCGAAGCGGTCTAAGTGTCCACTTACACATACTACAAAAAGAGTGTTTCAAACCTTCTCTAAGAAAGGGAATGTTCAACTCTGTGACTTGAAAGCAGATAGCTCAAAGCACTTTCGGAGAGTGCCTCTCTAGATTTTATATGAAGGTATTCCCATTTCCAACGAAATCGTTACAGCTATCGAAATATCCACTTGCAGATTCTACAAAAAGAGTGTTTCCAAACTGCTGTATCAAAAGATAGGTTGTACTCTGTTAGTTGAGGACACACATCATAAATAAGTTTCTGAGAATGCCTCTGGCTAGATTTTACCTGAAGATATTACGGTTTAAAATGAAATCCTTGAAGCTCTCCAAATATCCGCTTACAGATTCTCCAAAAAGAGTCTTTCAAAACTGCTCTGTAAATAGAAAGGTTCAACGCTGTTAGTTGAGGACATACATCACAAACCAGTTTGTGAGAATGCTTCTGTCTAGTTTTTATGGGAAGATATTTCCTTTTTTACCGTAAGCGTCAATGTGCTCCAAGTGTCCACATCCAGATACTACAGAAAGAGTGTTTCAAACCTGCTCTATGAAAGGGAATGTTCAACTCTGTGACGTGAATGCAGACATCACAAAGCGGTTTCTGAGAATGTTTCTGTCTAATTTTTATATGAGGATACTTCCGTTTCCAACGAAATCCACAAAGCTATCCAAATATCCACATGCAAATTCTACAAAAAGCGTGTTTCCAAACTGCTCTGTGAAACGAAGTGTTCCACTCTGTGAGTTGAGGGCACACATCACAAACAATTTTCTGCTAATGCTTCTGTCTAGTTTTTATGGGACGATATTTCCTTGTTCACCATAGGCCTGAAAGCGCTCGAAATGTCCACTTCCAGATAGTAGAGAAAGAGGGTTTCAAACCTGCTCTATGGAAGGGAATATTCAACTCTGTGACTTAAAAGCAAACATCACAAAGAAGCTTCTGAGAATGCTGCTGTCTACTTTTTATATGCAATCCCGTCTCCAACGAAATCCTCAGAACTATCCTTATATCCAATTGCAGATTCCACAAAAAGAGCTTTTCGAAACTGATCTATCAATAGAAAGGTTCAACTCTGTTAGGTGAGTACATATATCGCCAAGAAGTTTCTTAGAATGCTTCTGTCTAGTTTTTATGGAAGATATTTCCTTTTTCACCAAAGGCGTCAAAGCGCTCCAAATGTCCACTTCCAGATACTACAAAAAGAGTGTCTCAAACCTGCTCTAAGAAAGGGAATGTTCAACTCTGTGACTTGAACGCAGATATCACAAAGTAGTTTCTGAGAGTGCCTCTGTCTAGATTTTATATGAAGTTATTCTCGTTTCCTATGAAATGGTTAGAGCTATCCAAATATCCACATGCAGATTCTACAAAAAGAGTGTTTACAAACTGCTGTATCAAAAGAAAGGTTGAACCCTGTTAGTTGAGGACACACATCACAAAGAAATTTTTGAGAATGCTTCCGTCTAATTTTTATTGGAAGATATTTCCTTTTTCAACCTAGGCCTGAAATCGCTCGAAATGTCCACTTCCAGATACTACAGAAAGAGTGTCTCAAACCTGCTCTATGGAAGGGAATATTGAACTCTGCGATTTAAAAGCAAACATCACAAAGAAGCTTCTGAGAATGCTGCTGTCTACTTTTTATACGTAATCCCGTCTCCAACGAAATCCTCAGTGCTATCCTAATATCCACATGCGGATTCCACAAAAAGAGCTTTTCAAAACTGATCTATAAATAGAAAGGTTCAACTGTGTTAGTTGAGTACATATATCCCAAAGAAGTTCCTTAGAATGCTTCTGTCTAGTTTTTATGGGAAGACCTTTCCTTTTTCACCAGAGGCGTCAAAGCGCTCCAAATGTCCACTTCCAGATACTACAAAAAGGGTGTTTCAAACCTGCTCTAAGAAAGGGAATGTTCAACTCTGTGACTTGAATGCAGATATCACAAAGCAGTTTCTGAGAGTGCCTCTGTTAAATTTTATATGAAGGTATTCCGGTTTCCAACGAAACCGTTAGAGCTATCGAAATATCCTCTTGGAGTTTCTACAAAAAGAGTGTTTCGAAACTGCTGTATCAGAAGACAAGTTGTACTCTGTTAGTTGAGGACACACATCACAAAGAAGTTTCTGAGAATGCCTCTGTCTAGATTTTTCCTCAAGATATTCCGGTTTCCAGTGAAATCCTTAAAGCTCTCCAAATATCCACTTGCAGAGTCTCCAAAAAGTGTCTTTCAAAACTGCTCTGTAAATAGAAAGGTTCAAGTCTGTTAGTTGAGGACATACATCACAAACCAGTTTGTGAGAATGCTTCTGTCTAGTTTTCATGGGAACATATTTCCTTTTTCACCGTAAGCGTCAAAGCCCTCCAAGTGTCCACATCCAGATACTACAGAAAGGGAGTTTCAAACCTGCTCTATGAAAGGGAATGTTCAACTCCGTGACGTGAATGCAGACATCACAAAGCAGTTTCTGAGAATGTTTCTGTCTAGGTTTAATAGGAAGATACTCCCGTTTCAAGCAAAATCCGCAAAGCTATCCAAATATCCACTTGCAGATTCTACAAAAAGCGTGTTTCCAAACTGCTCTGTCAAACGAAATGTTCGACTCTGTGAGTTGAGGACACACATCACAAAGAAGTTTCTGCGAATGCTTCTATCTAGTTTTTATGGGAAGATATTTCCTTGTTCACCATAGGCCTGAAAGCGCTCGAAATGTCCACTTCCAGATACTACAGGAAGAGTGTTTCAAACCTGCTCTATGAAAGAGAATGTTCAACTCTGTGACTTACAAGCAAACATCACAAAGAAGCTTCTGAGAATGCTGCTGTCTACTTTGTATATGTAATCCCGTTTCCAACTAAACCCTCAAGGCTATCGAAATATCCTCCTGCAGATTCCACGAGAAGACGGTTTAAAACCTGGTCTAAGAAAGGGAATTTTCAACTCTGTGACTTGAATGCAGATATCACAAAGTAGTTTCTGAGAGTGCTTCTGTCTAGATTTTATATGAAGATATTCCCGTTTCCAACGAAATACTTAGAGCTATCCAAATATCCAATTGCATATTCTACAAAAAGAGTGTTTCCAAACTGCTGTATCATAAGAAAGGTTGAACTCTGTTAGTTGAGGCCACACATCACAAAGACGTTTCTGAGAATGCTTCTGTATAGTTTTTATGAGAAGATATTTAATTTTTCAACATAGGCCTGAAAGCGCTCGAAATGTCCACTTCCAGATACTACAGAAAGATTGTTTCAAACCTGCTCTATGGAAGGGAAAATTCAACTCTGTGACTTAAAAGCAAACATCACAAAGACGCTTCTGAGAATGCTGCTGTCTACTTTTTATATGTCATCCCGTCTCCAACGAAATCCTCAGAGCTATTTTAATATCCACTTGCAGATTCCACAAAAAGAGCTTTTCAAAACTGATCTATAAAGAGAAAGGTTCAACTCTGTTAGTTGAGTACATATATCCCAAAGAAGTTTCTTAGAATGCTTCTGTCTAGTTTTTATGGGAAGACATTTCCTTTTTCACCAAAGGCGTCAAAGCCCTCCAAATGTCCACTTCCAGATACTACAAAAAGAGTGTTTCAAACCTGCTCTAAGAAAGAGAATGTTCAACTCCGTGACTTGAATGCAGATATCAAAAAGCAGTTTCTGAGAGTGCCTCTGTCTAGAATTTATATGAAGTTATTCCCGTATCCAACGAAATCGTTACAGCTATCCAAATATCCACTTGCGTATTCTGCAAAAAGCGTGTTTCCAAACTGCTCTGTCAAACGAAATGGTCACCTCTGTGAGATGAGGACACACATCACAAACAAGTTTCTGCGAATGCTTCTGTCTAGTTTTTATGGGACGATATTTCCTTGTTCACCATAGGCCTGAAAGCGCTCGAAATGTCCACTTCCAGATAGTAGACAAAGAGGGTTTCAAACCTGCTCTATGGAAGGGAATATTCAACTCTGTGACTTAAAAGCAAACATCACAAAGAAGCTTCTGAGAATGCTGCTGTCTACTTTTTATATGCAATCCCGTCTCCAACGAAATCCTCAGAACTATCCTTATATCCAATTGCAGATTCCACAAAAAGAGCTTTTCAAAACTGATCTATCAATAGAAAGGTTCAACTCTGGTAGTTGAGTACATATATCGCAAGGAAGATTCTTGGAATGCTTCTGTCTAGTTTTTATGGAAGATATTTCCTTTTTCACCAAAGGCGTCAAAGCGCTCCAAATGTCCACTACCAGATACTACAAATAGATTGTCTCAAACCTGCTCTAAGAAAGGGAATGTTCAACTCTGTGACTTGAATGCAGATATCACAAAGCAGTTTCTGAGGGTGCCTCTGTCTAGATTTTATATGAAGGTATTCCCGTTTCCTATGAAATGGTTAGAGCTATGCAAATATCCACTTGCAGATTCTACAAAAAGAGTGTTTATAAACTGCTGTATCATAAGAAAGGATGAACTCTGTTAGTTGAGGACGCACATCACAAAGAAATTTTTGAGAATGCTTCCGTCTAGTTTTTATTGGAAGATATTTCCTTTTTCAACATAGGCCTGAAATCGCTCGAAATGTCCACTTCCAGATACTACAGAAAGAGTGTTTCAAACCTTCTCTACGGAAGGGAATATTGAACTCTGCGATTTAAAAGCAAAGATCACAAAGAAGCTTTTGAGAATGCTGCTGTCTACTTTTTATACGTAATCCCGTCTCCAACGAAATCCTCAGAGCTATTCTAATATCCACTTGCGGATTCCACAAAAAGAGCTTTTTAAAACTGATCTCTAAATAGAAAGGTTCAACTCTGTTAGTTGAGTACATATATCCCAAAGAAGTTTCTTAGAATGCTTCTGTCTAGTTTTTATGGGAAGACATTTCCTTTTTCACCAAAGGCGTCAAAGCGCTCCAAGTGTCCACTTCCAGATACTACAAAAAGAGAGTTTCAAACCTGCTCTAAGAAAGGGAATGTTCAACTCTGTGACTTGAATGCAGATATCACAAAGCAGTTTCTGAGAGTGCCTCTGTCTAGATTTCATATGAAGGTATTCCCGTATCCATCGAAATCGCTAGAGCTATCCAAATATCCTCTTGCAGATTCTACAAAAAGAGTGTTTCCAAACTGATGTATCAAAAGACAGGTTGTACTCTGTTAGTTGAGGACGCACATCACGAAGAAGTTTCCGAGAATGCCTCTGTCTAGATTTTACCTGAAGATATTCCGGTTTCCAGTGAAATCCTTAAAGATCTCCAGATATCCACTTGCAGATTCTCCAAAAAGAGTCTTTGAAAACTGCTCTGTAAATAGAAAGGTTCAACTCTGTTAGTTGAGGACATACATCACAAACCAGTTTGTGAGAATGCTTCTGTCTAGTTTTCATGGGAAGTTATTCCTTTTTTCACCGTAAGCGTCAAAGCGCTCCAAGTGTCCACATCCAGATACTTCAGAAAGAGTGTTTCAAACCTGCTCTATGAAAGGGAATGTTCAACTCTGTGACGTGAATGCAGACATTACAAAGGAGTTTCGGAGAATGTTTCCGTCTAGGTTTTATATGAAGATACTCCCGTTCCCAAGGAAATCCACAAAGCTATCCAAATATCCACTTGCAGATTCTACAAAAAGCGTGTTTCCAAACTGCTCTGTCACAGGAAATGTTCAACTCTGTTGGTTGAGGACACACATCACAAACAAGTTTCTGCGAATGCTTCTGTCTAGTTTTTATGGGGAGATATTTCCTTTTTCACCATGGGCCTGAAAGCGCTCGAAATGTCCACTTCCAGATACTACAGAAAGAGTGTTTCAAACCTGCTGTATGAAAGGGAATGTTCAACTCTGTGACTTAGAAGCAAACATCACAAAGAAGCTTCTGAGAATGTTGCTGTCTACTTTGTATATGTAATCCCGTTTCCAACGAAATCCTCAAAGCTATCCAAATATCCTCCTGCAGCTTCCACGAAAAGACGGTTTCAAACCTGCTCTAAGAAAGGGAATATTCAACTCTGTGATTTGAATACTGATATCACAATGTAGTTTCTGAGAGTGCTTCTGTCTAGATTTTATATGAAGATATTCCCATTTCGAACGAAATAGTTAGAGCTGTTCAAATATCCACTTGCATATTCTACAAAAAGTGTTTTTTCAAACTGCTGTATTATAAGAGAGGTTGAACTCTGTTAGTTGAGGACACACATCACAAAGAAGTTTCTGAGAATGCTTCTGTCTTGTTTTTATGGGAAGATGTTTCCTTTTTCAACATAGGCCTGAAATCGCTCGAAATGTCCACTTCCAGATACTACAAAAAAAGTGTTTCAAACCGGCTCTATGGAAGGGAATATTGAACTCTGTGACTTAAAAGCAAACATCACAAAGAAGTTTCTGAGAATGCTGCTGTCTACTTTTTATATGTAATCCCGTTTCCAACGCAATCCTCAGAGCTATCCTAAGATTCACTTGCAGATTCCACGAAAAGAGCTTTTCAAGACTGATCTATAAATAGAAAGGTTCAACTCTGTTAGTTGAGTACGTATATCCCAAAGAATTCTCTTAGAATGCTTCCGTCTAGTTTTTATGGGAAGACATCTCTTTATCACCAAAGGTGTCAAAGCGCTCCAGAAGTCCACTTCCTGATAGTACAAAAAGAGTGTTTCCAAACTGCTGTATCATAACAAAGGCTGAACTCTGTTAGTTGAGGACACACATCACAAAGAAGTTTCTGAGAATGCCTCTGTCTAGATTTTACCTGAAGATATTCCGGTTTACAATGAAATCCTTAAAGCTCTCCAAATATCCACTTGCAGATTCTCCAAAAAGAGTCTTTCAAAACTACTCTGTAAATAGAAAGGTTCAACTCTGTTAGTTGAGGAAATACATCACAAACTAGTTTTTGAGAATGCTTCTGTCTAGTTTTCATTGGAAGATATTTCCTTTTGCACCGTAAGCCTCAAAGCGCTCCAAGTGTCCACATCCAGATACTACAGAAAGAGTGTTTCAAACCTGCTCTATGAAAGGAAATATTCAACTCTGTGACGTGAATACAGACATCACAAAGCAGTTTCTGAGAATGTTTCTTTCTAGGTTTTATATGAAGATACTCCCGTTTCCAAGGAAATCCACAAAGCTATCCAAATATCCACTTGCAGATTCTACAAAAAGCGTGTTTCCAAACTGCTCTGTCAAACGAAATGTTCAACTCTGTGAGTTGAGGACACACATCACAAACAAGTTTCTGCGAATGCTTCTGTCTAGTTTTTATCGGAAGATATTTCCTTTTTCACGATAGTTCGGAAAGCACTCGAAATGTCCACTTCCAGATACTACAGAAAGAGTGTTTCAAAACTGCTCTATGAAAGGGAATGTTCAACTCTGTGACTTAAAAGCAAACATCACAAAGAAGCTTCTGAGAATGCTGCTTTCTACTTTGTATATGTAATCCCTTTTCCAACGAAATCCTCAAAGCTATCCAAATATCCTCCTGCACATTCCACGAAAAGACGGTTTCAAACCTGCTCTAAGAAAGGGAATATTCAACTCTGTGACTTGAATGCAGATATTAGAATGTAGTTTCTGAGAGTGCTTGTGTCTAGATTTTATATGATGATATTCCCGTTTCCAACGAAATAGTTAGAGCTATCCAAGTATCCACTTGCATATTCTACAAAAGGAGTGTTTCCAAACTGCTGTATCATAAGACAGTTTGAACTCTGTTAGTTGAGGACACACATCACAAAGAAATTTCTGAGAATGCTTCTGTCTAGTTTTTATGGGATGATATTTCCTTTTTCAACATAGGACTGAAATCACCCGAAATGTCCACTTCCGGATACTACAGAAAGAGTGTTTCAATCCTGCTCTATGGAAGGGAATATTCAACTCTGTGACTTAAAAGCAAACATCACAAAGAAGCTTCTGAGAATGCTGCTGTCTACATTTTATATGAAATCCCATTTCCAAGGAAATCCTCAGAGCTATCCGAATATCCACTTGCAGATTACAGAAAAAGAGCTTCTCAAAACTGACCCAGAAATAGAAAGGTTCAACTCTGTTAGTTGAGTACATATATCCCAAAGAAGTTTCTGAGAATGCTTCTGTGTAGATTTTACATGAATGTAGACCCATTTCCAACGAAATCCTTAAAGCCATCCAATTATCCACTTGCAGATACTACAAAAAGAGTTTTTCAAAACTGCTGTGTAGAAAGAAAAGTTCAGCTCTGTCAGTTGAGTACACACAGCACAAACAAGTTTCTGAGAATGCTTCTGTCTAGTTTTTATGGGAAGATATTTCCTTTTTCACCAAAGTCGTCAAAGCGCTCCAAATGTCCACTTCCAGATACAACAAAAAGAGTCTATCAAACCAGATCTACGAAAGGGAATGTTGAACTCTGTGACTTGAATGCAGATCTCACAAAGTAGTTTCTGAGAGTGCCTCTGCCTAGATTTTATATGAAGCTATTCCCGTTTCCAACGAAATCGTTAGAGCTATCGAAATATCCACTTCCAGATTCTACAAAAAGAGTGTTTCCAAACTGATGTATCAAAAGACAGGTTGTACTCTGTTAGTTGAGGACGCACATCATGAAGAAGTTTCTGAGAATGCCTCTGTCTAGATTTTACCTGAAGATATTCCGGTTTCCAATGAAATCCTAAAAGATCTCCAGATATCCACTTGCAGATTCTCCAAAAAGAGTCTTTGAAAATTGCTCTGTAAATAGAAAGGTTCAACTCTGTTAGTTGAGGACATACATCACAAACCAGTTTGTGAGAATGCTTCTGTCTAGTTTTCATGGGAAGTTATTTCCTTTTTCAGTGTAAGCGTCAAAGCGCTCCAAGTGTCGACATCCAGATACTTCAGAAAGAGTGTTTCAAACCTGCTCTATGAAAGGGAATGTTCAACTCTGTGACGTGAATGCAGACATTACAAAGGAGTTTCGGAGAATGTTTCCGTCTAGGTTTTATATGAAGATACTCCCGTTTCCAACGACATCCACAAAGCTATCCAAATATCCAATTGCAGATTCTACAAAAAGCGTGTTTCCAAACTGCTCTGTCACAGGAAATGTTCAACTCTGTTGGTTGAGGACACACATCACAAACAAGTTTCTGCGAATGCTTCTGTCTAGTTTTTATGGGGAGATATTTCCTTTTTCACCATGGGCCTGAAAGCGCTCGAAATGTCCACTTCCAGATACTACAGAAAGAGTGTTTCAAACCTGCTGTATGAAAGGGAATGTTCAACTCTGTGACTTAGAAGCAAACATCACAAAGAAGCTTCTGAGAATGTTGCTGTCTACTTTGTATATGTAATCCCGTTTCCAACGAAATCCTCAAAGCTATCCAAATATCCTCCTGCAGCTTCCACGAAAAGACGGTTTCAAACCTGCTCTAAGAAAGGGAATATTCAACTCTGTGACTTGAATACAGATATCACAATGTAGTTTCTGAGAGTGCTTCTGTCTAGATTTTATATGAAGATATTCCCATTTCGAACGAAATAGTTAGAGCTGTTCAAATATCCACTTGCATATTCTACAAAAAGTGTTTTTTCAAACTGCTGTATTATACGAGAGGTTGTACTCTGTTAGCTGAGGACATACATCCCAAACCAGTTTGTGAGAATGCTTCTGTCAAGTTTGTATGGGAAGATATTTCCTTGTTCACCATAGGCCTGAAAGCGCTCGAAATGTCCTCTTCCAGATACTACAGAAAGAGTGTTTGAAACCTGCTCTCTGAAAGGGAATGTTCAACTCTGTGACTTAAAAGCAAACATCACAAAGCAGCTTCTGAGAATGCTGCTGTCTACTTTGTATATGTAATCCCGTTTCCGACGAAATCCCCAAAGCTATCCAAATATCCTCCTGCAGATTCCACGAAAAGACGGTTTCAAACCTGCTCTAAGAAAGGGAATATTCAACTCTGTGACTTGAATACAGATATCACAAAGTAGTTTCTGAGAGTGCTTCTGTCTAGAGTTTATATGAAGCTATTCCCGTTTCCAACGAAATAGCTTGAGCTATCCAAATATCCACTTGTAGATTCTACAGAAAGAGTGTTTCCAAACTGCTGTATCAAAAGACAGGTTGTACTCTGTTACTTGAGGACACACATCACAAAGAAGTTTCTGAGAATGCCCTTGTCGAGATTTTACCTGAAGATATTCCGGTTTCCAATGAAATCCTTAAAGCTTTCCAAATATCCACTTGCAGATTCTCCAATAGAGTCTTTCAAAACAGCTCTGTAAATAGAAAGGTTCAACTCTGTTAGCTGAGGACACACATCACAAACCAGTTTGTGAGAATGCTTCTGTCTAGTTTTTATGGGAAGATATTTCCTTTTGCACCGTAAGCGTCAAAGCGCTCCAAGTGTCCACATCCAGATACTGCAGAAAGAGTGTTTCAAACCTGCTCTATGAAAGCGAATGTTCAACTCTGTGACGTGAATGCAGACATCACAAAGCTGTTTCTGAGAATGCTTCTGTCTCGATTTTACATGAAGATATTCCCGTTTCCAACGAAATCTTCAAAGTTATCCAAATATCCACTTGCAGATTCTACAAAAAGAGTGTTTCCAAACTGCTGTATCAAAAGAAAGGTTCAACTCCGTTAGTTGAGGACATACATCACAAATAAGTTTCTGAGAATGATTCTGTCTAGTTTTTATGGGAAGATATTTCCTTTTTCACCATAGGCCTGAAAGCCCTCGAAATGTCCACTTCCAGATACTACAGAAAGAGTGTTTCAAACCTGCTCTATGAAAGGGAATGCTCAACTCTGTGACTTAAAAGGAAACATCACAGTGAAGCTTCTGAGAATGCTACTGTCTACTCTGTATATGTAATCCCGTTTCCAAAGAAATCCTGAAAGCTATCCAAATATCCACCTGCAGATTCCATGAAAAGACGGTTTCAACCCTGCTCTAAGAAAGGGAATATTCAACTCTGTGACTTGAATGCAGATAGCACAAAGTAGTTTCTGAGAGTGCTTCTGTCTAGATTTTATATGAAGATATTCCCGTTTCCAAAGAAATACTTCGAGCTATCCAAATATCCCCTTGCATATACTACAAAAAGAGTGTTTCTAAACTTCTGTATCATAAGAGAGGTTGAACTCTGTTAGTTGAGGACACACATCACAAAGAAGTTTCTGGGAATGCTTCTGTCTAGTTTTGAAGAGAAGATATTTCCTTTTTCAGCAAAGGCGTCAAAGCGCTCCAAATGTCCACTTCCAGATACTACAAAAACAGTGTTTCAAACCTGCTCTAATAAAGGGAATGTTCAACTCTGTGACTTGAATGCACATATCACAGAGCAGTTTCTGAGAGTGCCTGTGTCTAGATTTTATACTAAAGTATTCTCGTTTCCAACGAAATCGTTAGAGCTGTCCCAATATCCACTTGCAGATTCTACAGAAAGTGTGTTTCAATACTGCTGTATCAAAAGACAGGTTGTACTCTGTTAGCTGAGGACATACATCCCAAACCAGTTTGTGAGAATGCTTCTGTCAAGTTTGTATGGGAAGATATTTCCTTGTTCACCATAGGCCTGAAAGCGCTCGAAACGTCCTCTTCCAGATACTACAGAAAGAGTGTTTGAAACCTGCTCTCTGAAAGGGAATGTTCAACTCTGTGACTTAAAAGCAAACATCACAAAGCAGCTCCTGAGAATGCTGCTGTCTACTTTGTATATGTAATCCCGTTTCCGACGAAATCCCCAAAGCTATCCAAATATCCTCCTGCAGATTCCACGAAAAGACGGTTTCAAACCTGCTCTAAGAAAGGGAATATTCAACTCTGTGACTTGAATACAGATATCACAAAGTAGTTTCTGAGAGTGCTTCTGTCTAGAGTTTATAGGAAGCTATTCCCGTTTCCAACGAAATAGCTTCAGCTATCCAAATATCCACTTGTAGATTCTACAGAAAGAGTGTTTCCAAACTGCTGTACCAAAAGACAGGTTGTACTCTGTTACTTGAGGACACACATCACAAAGAAGTTTCTGAGAATGCCCTTGTCGAGATTTTACCTGAAGATATTCCGGTTTCCAATGAAATCCTTAAAGCTTTCCAAATATCCACTTGCAGATTCTCCAATAGAGTCTTTCAAAACTGCTCTGTAAATAGAAATGTTCAACTCTGTTAGCTGAGGACATACATCACAAACCAGTTTGTGAGAATGCTTCTGTCTAATTTTTATGGGAAGATATTTCCTTTTGCACCGTAAGCGTCAAAGCGCTCCAACTGTCCACATCCAGATACTGCAGAAAGAATGTTTCAAACCTGCTCTATGAAAGCGAATGTTCAACTCTGTGACGTGAATGCAGACATCACAAAGCTGTTTCTGAGAATGCTTCTGTCCCGATTTTACATGAAGATATTCCCGTTTCCAACGAAATCTTCAAAGTTATCCAAATATCCACTTGCAGATTCTACAAAAAGAGTGTTTCCAAGCTGCTGTATCAAAAGAAAGGTTCAACTCTGTTAGTTGAGGACATACATCACAAATAAGTTTCTGAGAATGCTTCTGTCTAGTTTTTATGGGAAGATATTTCCTTTTTCACCATAGGCCTGAAAGCCCTCGAAATGTCCACTTCCAGATACTACAGAAAGAGTGTTTCAAACCTGCTCTATGAAAGGGAATGCTCAACTCTGTGACTTAAAAGCAAACATCACAGAGAAGCTTCTGAGAATGCTACTGTCTACTTTGTATATGTAATCCCGTTTCCAACGAAATCCTGAAAGCTATCCAAATATCAACCTGCAGATTCCAAGAAAAGACGGTTTCAAACCTGCTCTAAGAAAGGGAATATTCAACTCTGTGACTTGAATGCAGATATCACAAAGTAGTTTCTGAGAGTGCTTCTGTCTAGATTTTATATGAAGATATTCCCGTTTCCAACGAAATACTTCGAGCTATCCAAATATCCCCTTGCATATACTATAAAAAGAGTGTTTCCAAACTACTGTATCATAAGAGAGGTTGAACTCTGTTAGTTGAGGACACACATCACAAAGAAGTTTCTGGGAATGCTTCTGTCTAGTTTTGAAGAGAAGATATTTCCTTTTTCAGCAAAGGCGTCAAAGCGCTCCAAATGTCCACTTCCAGATACTACAAAAAGAGTGTTTCAAACCTGCTCTAATAAAGGGAATGTTCAACTCTGTGACTTGAATGCACATATCACAGAGCAGTTTCTGAGAGTGCCTGTGTCTAGATTTTATACTAAAGTATTCCCGTTTCCAACGAAATCGTTAGAGCTATCCAAATATCCACTTGCAGATTCTACAGAAAGTGTGTTTCAATACTGCTGTATCAAAAGACAGGTTGAACTCTGTTAGCTGAGGACATACATCCCAAACGAGTTTGTGAGAATGATTCTGTCAAGTTTGTATGGGAAGATATTTCCTAGTTCACCATAGGCCTGAAAGCGCTCGAAATGTCCTCTTCCAGATACTACAGAAAGAGTGTTTGAATCCTGCTCTCTGAAAGGGAATGTTAAACTCTGTGACTTAAAAGCAAACATCAGAAAGCAGCTTCTGAGAATGCTGCTGTCTGCTTTGTATATGTAATCCCGTTTCCGACGAAATCCCCAAAGCTATCCAAATATCCTCCTGCAGATTCCACGAAAAGACGGTTTCAAACCTGCTCTAAGAAAGGGAATATTCAACTCTGTGACTTGAATACAGATATCACAAAGTAGTTTCTGAGAGTGCTTCTGTCTAGAGTTTATATGAAGCTATTCCCGTTTCCAACGAAATAGCTTGAGCTATCCAAATATCCACTTGTAGATTCTACAGAAAGAGTGTTTCCAAACTGCTGTATCAAAAGACAGGTTGTACTCTGTTACTTGAGGACACACATCACAAAGAAGTTTCTGAGAATGCCCTTGTCGAGATTTTACCTGAAGATATTCCGGTTTCCAATGAAATCCTTAAAGCTTTCCAAATATCCACTTGCAGATTCTCCAATAGAGTCTTTCAAAACAGCTCTGTAAATAGAAAGGTTCAACTCTGTTAGCTGAGGACATACATCACAAACCAGTTTGTGAGAATGCTTCTGTCTAGTTTTTATGGAAAGATATTTCCTTTTGCACCGTAAGCGTCAAAGCGCTCCAAGTGTCCACATCCAGATACTGCAGAAAGAGTTTTTCAAGCCTGCTCTATGAAAGCGAATGTTCAACTCTGTGACGTGAATGCAGACATCACAAAGCTGTTTCTGAGAATGCTTCTGTCTCGATTTTACATGAAGATATTCCCGTTTCCAACGAAATCTTCAAAGTTATCCAAATATCCACTTGCAGATTCTACAAAAAGAGTGTTTCCAAACTGCTGTATCAAAAGAAAGGTTCAACTCTGTTAGTTGAGGTCATACATCACAAATAAGTTTCTGAGAATGCTTCTGTCTAGTTTTTATGGGAAGATATTTCCTTTTTCACCATAGGCCTGAAAGCCCTCGAAATGTCCACTTCCAGATACTACAGAAAGAGTGTTTCAAACCTGCTCTATGAAAGGGAATGCTGAACTCTGTGACTTAAAACCAAACATCACAGAGAAGCTTCTGAGAATGCTACTGTCTACTTTGTATATGTAATCCCGTTTCCAAAGATGTCGTGAAAGCTATCCAAATATCCACCTGCAGATTCCAAGAAAAGACGGTTTCAACCCTGCTCTAAGAAAGGGAATATTCAACTCTGTGACTTGAATGCAGATATCACAAAGTACTTTCTGAGAGTGCTTCTGTCTAGATTTTATATGAAGATATTCCCGTTTCCAAAGAAATATTTCGAGCTATCCAAATATCCCCTTGCACATACTACAAAAAGAGTGTTTCCAAACTTCTGTATCATAAGAGAGGTTGAACTCTGTTAGTTGAGGACCCACATCACAAAGAAGTTTCAGGGAATGCTTCTGTCTAGGTTTGAAGAGAAGATATTTCCTTTTTCAGCAAAGGCGTCAAAGCGCTCCAAATGTCCACTTCCAGATACTACAAAAAGAGTGTTTCAAACCTGCTCTAATAAAGGGAATGTTCAACTCTGTGACTTGAATGCACATATCACAGAGCAGTTTCTGAGAGTGCCTGTGTCTAGATTTTATACTAAAGTATCCTCGTTTCCAACGAAATCGTTAGAGCTATCCAAATATCCACTTGCAGATTCTACAGAAAGTGTGTTTCAATACTGCTGTATCAAAAGACAGGTTGTACTCTGTTAGCTGAGGACATACATTCCAAACCAGTTTGTGAGAATGCTTCTGTCAAGTTTGTATGGGCAGATATTTCCTTGTTCACCATAGGCCTGAAAGCGTTCGAAATGTCCTCTTCCAGATACTACAGAATGAGTGTTTGAATCCTGCTCTCTGAAAGGGAATGTTCACCTCTGTGACTTAAAAGCAAACATCACGAAGCAGCTTCTGAGAATGCTGCTGTCTACTTTGTATATGTAATCCCTTTTCCGACGAAATCCCCAAAGCTATCCAAATATCCTCCTGCAGATTCCACGAAAAGACGCTTTCAAACCTGCTCTAAGAAAGGGAATATTCAACTCTGTGACTTGAATACAGATATCACAAAGTAGTTTCTGCGAGTGCTTCTGTCTAGAGTTTATATGAAGCTGTTCCCGTTTCCAACGAAATAGCTTCAGCTATCCAAATATCCACTTGTAGATTCTACAGAAAGAGTGTTTCCAAACTGCTGTAGCAAAAGACTGGTTGTACTCTGTTACTTGAGGACACACATCACAAAGAAGTTTCTGAGAATGCCCTTGTCGAGATTTTACCTGAAGATATTCCGGTTTACAATGAAATCCTTAAAGCTTTCCAAATATCCACTTGCAGATTCTCCAATAGAGTCTTTCAAAACAGCTCTGTAAATAGAAAGGTTCAACTCTGTTAGCTGAGGACATACATCACAAACCAGTTTGTGAGAATGCTTCTGTCTAATTTTTATGGGAAGATATTTCCTTTTGCACCGTAAGCGTCAAAGCGCTCCAAGTGTCCACATCCAGATACTGCAGAAAGAGTGTTTCAAACCTGCTCTATGAAAGCGAATGTTCAACTCTGTGACGTGAATGCAGACATCACAAAGCTGTTTCTGAGAATGCTTCTGTCTCGATTTTACATGAAGATATTCCCGTTTCCAACGAAATCTTCAAATTTATCCAAATATCCACTTGCAGATTCTACAAAAAGAGTGTTTCCAAACTGCTGTATCAAAAGAAAGGTTCAACTCTGTTAGTTGAGGACATACATCACAAATGAGTTTCTGAGAAGGCTTCTGTCTAGTTTTTAGGGGAAGATATTTCCTTTTTCACCATAGGCCTGAAAGCCCTCGAAATGTCCACTTCCAGATACTACAGAAAGAGTGTTTCAAACCTGCTCTATGAAAGGGAATGCTCAACTCTGTGACTTAAAAGCAAACATCACAGAGAAGCTTCTGAGAATGCTACTGTCTACTTTGTATATGTAATCCCGTTTCCAACGAAATCCTGAAATCTATCCAAATATCAACCTGCAGATTCCAAGAAAAGACGGTTTCAACCCTGCTCTAAGAAAGGGAATATTCAACTCTGTGACTTGAATGCAGATATCACAAAGTAGTTTCTGAGAGTGCTTCTGTCTAGATTTTATATGAAGATATTCCCGTTTCCAACGAAATACTTCGAGCTATCCAAATATCCCCTTGCATATACTACAAAAAGAGTGTTTCCAAACTTCTGTATCATAAGAGAGGTTGAACTCTGTTAGTTGAGGACACACATCACAAAGAAGTTTCTGGGAATGTTTCTGTCTAGTTTTGAAGAGAAGATATGTCCTTTTTCAGCAAAGGCGTCAAAGCGCTCCAAATGTCCACTTCCAGATACTACAAAAAGAGTGTTTCAAACCTGCTCTAATAAAGGGAATGTTCAACTCTGTGACTTGAATGCACATATCACAGAGCAGTTTCTGAGAGTGCCTGTGTCTAGATTTTATACTAAAGTATTCTCGTTTCCAACGAAATCGTTAGAGCTATCCAAATATCCACTTGCAGATTCTACAGAAAGTGTGTTTCAATACTGCTGTATCAAAAGACAGGTTGTACTCTGTTAGCTGAGGACATACATCCCAAACCAGTTTGTGAGAATGCTTCTCTCAAGTTTGTATGGGAAGATATTTCCTTGTTCACCATAGGCCTGAAAGCGCTCGAAATGTCCTCTTCCAGATACTACAGAAAGAGTGTTTGAATCCTGCTCTCTGAAAGGGAATGTTCAACTCTGTGACTTAAAAGCAAACATCACAAAGCAGCTTCTGAGAATGCTGCTGTCTACTTTGTATATGTAATCCCGTTTCCGACGAAATCCCCAAAGCTATCCAAATATCCTCCTGCAGATTCCACGAAAAGACGCTTTCAAACCTGCTCTAAGAAAGGGAATATTCAACTCTGTGACTTGAATACAGATATCACAAAGTAGTTTCTGAGAGTGCTTCTGTCTAGAGTTTATATGAAGCTATTCCCGCTTCCAACGAAATAGCTTGAGCTATCCAAATACCCACTTGCAGATTCTACAGAAAGAGTGTTTCCAAACTGCTGTATCAAAAGACTGGTTGTACTCTGTTACTTGAGGACACACATCACAAAGAAGTTTCTGAGAATGCCGTTTTCGAGATTTTACCTGAAGATATTCCGGTTTACAATGAAATCCTTAAAGCTTTCCAAATATCCACTTGCAGATTCTCCAATAGAGTCTTTCAAAACAGCTCTGTAAATAGAAAGGTTCAACTCTGTTAGTTGAGGACATACATCACAAACCAGTTTGTGAGAATGCTTCTGTCTAATTTTTATGGGAAGATATTTCCTTTTGCACCGTAAGCGTCAAAGCGCTCCAAGTGTCCACATCCAGATACTGCAGAAAGAGTGTTTCAAACATGCTCTATGAAAGCGAATGTTGAACTCTGTGACGTGAATGCAGAGATCACAAAGCAGTTTCTGAGAATGCTTCTGTCTCGATTTCACATGAAGATATTCCTGTTTCCAACGAAATCTTCAAAGTTATCCAAATATCCACTTGCAGATTCTACAAAAAGGGTGTTTCCAAACTGCTGTACCAAAAGAAAGGTTCAACTCTGTTACTTGAGGACACATTTCACAAATAAGTTTCTGAGAATGCTTCTGTCTAGTTTTTATGGGAAGATATTTCCTTTTTCACCATAGGCCTGAAAGCCCTCGAAATGTCCACTTCCAGATACTACAGAAAGAGTGTTTCAAACCTGCTCTATGAAAGGGAATTCTCAACTCTGTGACTTAAAAGCAAACATCACAGAGAAGCTTCTGAGAATGCTACTGTCTACTTTGTATATGTAATCCCCTTTCCAAGGAATTC